>NC_000002.12:81042625-81667625 GCF_000001405.40 Homo sapiens | reverse complement strand
AATATCCTTATATAAAGAACCCAGATGGAATACACAATTTCACAATTCTGAAGATATTATGTTATACCTATACTGTTCACTAAATAAGGTCACTTTGGCAATGATTGGATTTTTGCATACTTTCAGTAATTGCATTTGAGCTGATAATAGTCACTTGTCTAAGTAAGGATAGTCTGCGAGTCAAAATGTCTTCCCCCTTACGTGATATTGCCTAACATGAGAAAAGCAGTTCTCCAAACAAATGCATACTTTCCAAATTGAGCCTGAGTAACAAAATTAATCATGAGGATGCTGCTGATATAATGACGATGGTGGGGATGATGATGGTGACCACAGTGATAAACTTGGGACTTTCCTGTATTCAAGGTATTATGTACTATACATACTTGGTCTCATTTAATTATTACAAAAATTCTAAAGAGATAATCACATCACTAATTTAGACAAAGGAACTAAGGCTTTGAAAATTGAAATAACTTGTGCAAGATTTAGCTGCTGATAAATGTCAAAGGTAAGATTCACACTTTAATCTCTTGGCTTTCAAAAGTCATGCTTTTTTATTACACTATACTTAGTATGCTGTCTAAAGCTGGCATTAGTCACAATAAAACCCAGTTGTCACTTTTTCCCTTAAAACAAAGAATAAGTGAAAGGAAGGTAAGTATTTGCTGCACAAGTACTAGGACTCTTCCTTTTGCACCACGACCATCTCTTCGAGTAGCAGGGATCCCATATTTTGTTTCAGGGGTGAGTGACTATGAGTATTCTGAATCATTGTCAAGAGGAGGAACCACACAAATATAGATGGGAACCAGCAACTCTCAAGGAATAAGCGGGCCACACTTCTGTAAATTAACCTACTATTTTTAACAGGTTATAGCCTATTATTATTAATATGACCCCTCCTTTACTATCAAATCAATCGGCCATCAATGATATTGAACCTGCGAATACACCGACTACGGTGGACTAATCTTCAACTCCTATATACTCCCTCCATTATATCTAGAGCCAGGTGACCTATGACTCCTTGACGTTGACAATCGGGTGGTCCTCCCAGTTGAAGCTCCCGTTCGTATAATAATTACATCGCAAGATGTCTTACACTCATGAGCTGTTCCCACATTAGGCCTAAAAACAGACACAATTATTATTAAGATCTGTATTAACAGATATTGATGGAAAGGATACCCAGTGGATATAGATCCTTCATGGAGATGGCATATGATGAATCCTTGAAAGATGAAGGACAAGTGATATTAAGTGTTGGCTCAGCCTCAAGCAGTTTCTGTACCTGTCCCCCTGTAGCTGGTTGCACCCAAGACCATTAGTCACCAAGTTTTTCCCAAGTAAACCATCACGTTTCCCCATCTTAACCCAGGCGGCTTTTGCGGATGTCCCAGATATTGGTTACTCTGGGCCTTTGGTTTTCTTTTCACTCTGTGGTTCATCACAGATTCTAAGATGTAGGTGTTTTTCACGTTTTAACGTTTTTAAAATCAATAGGCACCTTTCAATCTGTAGAGCTACACAGTGGTGATGATTTAGTTATCAGTACACGTGAACTTTTTCATAGTTGTGCATATTGTGATATGGTATAGACAAGGTATAAATTAGAAGAATTTTTAAATGAATGTAAATAACATGGTAAGAAAATATTGTCATAAATTAATTTGCAGAATGTTTTTCTTGATATACACAAAACAATGGCATGACATAATCTATAACATCTCAGTATACAAAGAACAGTACTATTAAGGTACAAACTCTACAATTTGCTTCTTTCAGTACTTTTCTTATTTTTATTTGCAATAGTCCTGCCTTTCAGTTAACAGCTTCATTGAGGCATACTTTACATAACATAAAATTTCTCCTTTTCAAATTTACAATTCAAAAATTTATAGTAAATTTAAAAAATTGTACAGATATCACAATTTACTTAAAAGATATTTTCACCACCCCAAGAACATTTCTTATGTTCATTTGTAGCCGATTCCTAGTTCCCTACCCAAACTTAGGCAACTACTTTTATAGACTTGTCTTTTCTGTTAATTCCATGTATGTGGAATAATAAAATACATGGTATTTCATGTCCAAACTCTTTCACTTAGCATAATATTGAGGTTTCTTTTGTAGCTTCCATCAGGATCAATGGGTATCTTCACAACTGGGATAATTAGCACCACACCATTCTGTGACAGGCTTGTATGCCCCAAGAACAGGCGGAAAGAGCATAGGCTTCACAATTAGAAGTAATTGTGTTTGAACTTTGACCCCTGGAAAATGCATTTACTTTTTTTTTTATATTTTTAGATGGAGCCTTGCTCTGTCCCAGGCTAGAGTACGGTGGCAAGATCTTGGCTCACTGCAACTTCTGCCTCCCAGGTTCAAGCTATTCTCCTCCCTCAGCCTCCTGAGTAGCTGGGATTCCAGGTGTGTGCCACCAAACCCAGCTAATTTTTGTATTTTTAGTAGAGACAGGGTTTCACCATGTTGGCCAGGCTGGTCTCAAACTCCTGAACTCTTGATCCACCAGCCTCAGCCTCCCAAATTGCTGGGATTACAGGCGTGCGCCACCATGCCCAGCTGTGTTATATCTATTTAAGCACAGAGTTTCTTCATCAACAAAACAGAGAAAATTATACCTGACTTTTAGGGTTGTTGTGAGAATTAAGCAAAATTAAGCCTTAGTCTGATCTTAAGTAATGAAAGTTTTAACTATAGTTTTGAATAGGATTTGTGATGAAGAGACCTTTGTACCAGAATTGTCTTATCCAAGAGGACCAAGAACAAACAAAATGCAGTAAGTAATTTAAACAGCAATTTCCCTTCTTCTACCCCTATTTATGTCTTCCCTAGTTTCTATCACTTTCTTTCACTCTTTCAAGAAAATTCAAAATTCTGCCACTGCCATAAACTCTGTTGTTTACCAAAAAAGATATTCGCGCTTTTTTCCTCTTAAGTCTCAGAAGTTCTCAAAAATTGAAAGTATTTTTGAACAGGTATGAGTTAGACTTATTTAAATGAGAAAAAGCTGAGGGAGTTAGCAATATTTGCCTTGAAGGAAAAGCGATGAATAAGAAGCATGCAGCTGTCTCTTAATATATGTGAAGGGCTGTCTCAGAAAGGGAAATTATACTTGCTTTGACTCCAACCTAAATGAAAAGATTGCAGAATGGTAGCCTTCATCCCAATATTAGAAAAAATACTTTGTATCATTTAAAAAGTATTTATTATTTGACTCTTCTCATCGTGTATTCAGATTGCTCTCCAATAATCAGAAATGTCCAACATCAGAATGGGTTGTCTTAGGACAGTAGATTCTTCATCATTGAAGGTCAGCTGTAAACAGTGGTTAATGATTTAAAAAGCAGTATTTCTTGAATGGCTTGGAAGACAGACTTACTTAATGGTCGTCCAGTTCTTCTCAGTCACAAAATCCCAATTCTATGGGGTTTTTTGTAGAAGATTTTAATGGCCTATACAATGGAGTTACAGATGGTGGAATCTCAGGATGGCAAGAAAAATATTTTGGAGCATGAGTGGTTCCAACCAACTGCTCCTTTTTTTTTTAATTTTTTCCCTGGCAAAAGTATCAAAATATAAAACCTGCACCCCCAGAGATATGTTTATGTTACAGTTAACAAGAGGGAAGGCAACTATTTCTGAAAGTGAATATTTTGCTTCAAGAATCTGAAATTAAATGTATGTATCTCAAGGGAAATAGAGAAAACCTATACAGTGTGGACATCTGTTCTATTTTATTGTACTTTTCTGCTAAGCATACCAATCTCTTCTCAAAGCAAAACACTTATTCCTTTGGGGGATTCACTTTCCTCATTTCCATGTAGGTCTCAGGAGGCTATCATTTGAGTGCCTTGTCTTTAGAAATAGGAATGCAACCTAATAATTGCTAATCATTATACCCTTCCCCCTTGTTTCTGCTTTCACAGCGATTGATCAAGGGATGGTTTCATTATCCACTGACTCCCTGAAAGTCTCCCTTTTCTCCTGGTTTATAAAACTCAGGTAACATAACCCTTTATTTCTTTTGGTAGCCAAGTTTCCCTTTATAAAACCAGGAAAAAATAAGGGCAAAAGTCAAGAGGATCTTGGAGAGCAAATGAATAACAGAATAAAAAAAATTTAAATTATGTGTTTTGTATTTGTGATGTTTCAGAGGCCAACTCAACCCCTTTTCTCCTCAGGTAAATGAGTTAATGCATTTTCAACTCTTTTCCACTTAGTTTCCTTGGAGGAGATATCTTTCAGATGCAGCTTGCACTCTAATACAATGCTACCAGTGATGAAGAATATTAACTGTGTTAAGATGGGATGGCAGGAAATGAAAATTTCTTTATTCCTAAGGAAATGAATGATAATAATGATGCTTGTTATTGAATCATGTTTGAACTACCAACCCCTGAGCTTTCAAAGACCTTGTTAGAGATGCTTGAGTTTTAATAGCCAGAAATTTGGAGTGTGTAGGCTGCTTCTCACATCCTTTCGAAACATCCAATAGAAAACAGAAAGATTCTAAGTGAACACATTTGGGAGCAACAGGGAGGACCAGAGTTTTGATAAGATATGGACATTGAGGACAAAGATAAAAAACGGGAACCTGATGTCCTTGGGTCCTCCCAAATATCTCCTGCTGAGCACCAAATTATGTAAAAAGGTAGTGATTCAACTGAAAGTGCCTTTCCTTGGGGGCGGGGCAGCAGAACAGCAGACAGGACTTGCCAAAGCCTTGCTGCTCTAGCCAAATACTTCCTTCACTGTATGTCTGAGCAAACTACAAACACAGAGACATTTGGTTGAGATCTAAGCACCTATCATTTACAAAAGACCAAAATTGCAAACACAAAGTAGGATATATGTTTAAGGACCATTACCCAATAGGATTTCTGGCTATGATCCAATGGAGTACACTAGAATTGACACATAAGGCAGTTACAGTGCTTTCAGTGTTGGGTTGACCAATAAAACCCAAGCTTGTCAATAGTAACATCACTAAAGAGAAAGATGAGCTATCTGTACTATACGATATAAACATGGCAATAGGGAAGACTTATTTAAGTTATCCTCTTTTCCCTCCATTATTACTTAGAATTGTGTTGTGATTTCAATGATCATTGATCCATTGATATCAAAATCAGATAGAATAAATCTGGATTATAGATCCAGGATTTGGTGCTGGATGTGGTAGCTAAATATCCCCCTGTATGTTTTGTCTTGGGTTAAGTGCATATTTTTGTTATATTCAGAACAGATGTATTATAGAAGAGGAAATTTTTGAAAATATATTTATAGGAAAACAACTAGAAAATCCATTCTAAGTACAGATTTTATTTAATGTATCTCACAAAAAAAGACATTTATATTGCTGGAGAAATTTACACTAAATGCCAGTAATTACTCTTTAATGAGAGGATTTCAAGCATTCATGTGAAAAGTACTCTGGTGCAAAAAAAAAAATGTTGCATTACCCTTAAAAATCAAACAATTTGGCAAGTATTACTCCACTGACAAAACTCAAGTTATGTTTCCCCAAAAAAGGCACAAAGAGGTTGTATCTTTAGACATGTGAATTTAAGTGTTTGGCAACAACATTATGGAAAAGGCACACAGTTACTAAGGGATATATGATTAAAGAGTGTGAAAACAATAAGACCTGTGAGAGAAGGCCAACAGAGTCTGGATGGGAAAAAAAAAATGAAGAATTTGTCTATGTATAGCAAAAGAGAAAACTTTCTGAAAACTAACTGACATGGGACAATTGCATGCTAATTGCCTACCAATTACAAACAGTAAAATGATGTCAATGAGCTCCCTAAATTGCTGTTATTTTCTGTTTTCATTAAGGTTTTAAAATTATCCTTTTATTCCATTCACAGTTCTTTGCTGGCTACAGAATTTTATTACCCTCTTCATCCCCAAACACACACACATTTTTTTTTTTTGAAATTATAGTTCAAATTCAAAAGCTTAGTTAGGAAAGAACTTGAAGAACTCTGACAACTTCTTTTAAATAGAAAATTTTCTCACTGAGCAATTTAGTCCATTCAAGATCAACCACAGCAAAGCTTTCCCTTAATGATCAATATTGTTCTCCACTAAGGCCCTGACCTCATTAGAGTAATTAGTCCTGCTTGATTGGAAACTGTCTTCCAAACAATTGTTTGAATTTTAATTATTTGCCATCTAAAGGTATAACATCTCTGCCAGTAAATGTCACTACTTATATAGATAGTGGGTGAGACTCAAGCTAAACCTAAAAATTTTTAAACAAAATCAGAGGCAGTTAATTTCCTTACAAATGAAGAATTCCAGATCATCCTACTTGCCGTTTGCTTCTATCACTATCACCATTTCTTCCCACTCCCTGGTTTCATACTGAGACTCTCTCCTGCCTCAAGTTTAGCCAGGCTCCTGTGAGCTCTCTTTTCTACCAGGCCCCGCATTATGGGCTTCCTTGTTTCTTTCTTGTTGTTTTTTGTTTGAAGGCAAGAATCTCGCTTAGTCAGTTTAGGGAGAAGGGAATCCCCCATTCTGGATATCTCATCCCCCTCGATATCTAATCAAATTCCTCAGCTCCCACCCTTAATATCTAATCACTCTGGACTGTCTTCAGCCAGAATCCCCCCTTACTTCCATTGTTGCTCTTGGTGATTGTTCATCTGCTGACCTCCACTCTGATAGCTGGCTGTAAATCCTTGTTTGTTCTGACAGTATTTAGAATTGAGCCCAGTCCTATACTGAAGACTCTTCTAGCATATTGCAATAGTCCATCAATAAAATCTGTTTGTACTGTCTAACTAAAATACTTCTCTGAATTTCTTTAACAATCTACTGCATGCTTGTTTTTTCCCCTGGTCAGTAAAATTAAACAGCCCCAAGCATGTACTACCCATGTATAATCTTCCCCTCTACTTCCAAATTCAATTTAAAAGTCTCTATTCTTAAAGATAGTAAAGGGGGCCCAGAATAAGCCACTGTGGCATAAAAATTATTTGAGCTGAAGGCATTTGAGTTTCTGAAAATTCCTATCTGCCTAAAAATGAATCTTCCAAAAGAAAGTAACTGTCATAAATCTCTTCCCATGGAGCAACTATAATCTTCTCGAGATAAGAATTCATTCAGCACCACTCTCAAAGAGACACTGTCACAAAACTATCATATCCCTCATCTATTCTCCTAAGGTCCCATTTACTTTTACAAAATGTCATTTGTTATTCCATTCCTTTCTTCTCTCTTCCAAGTCATGTGTTTTTCCAGCAGTGCCCCTTGGCCCTTTCCATCCCTTATTAAGATATGAGCCCCCAATTCTAATCACTTTGAACCACATTTCTTCATGAACTTCCATAGAAACATAATCACATCTTTTTTTTTCTCTTGTGAATCTGTCTTTTGTAATTTTAATGCTTAATGTCTACACTTACTAAATTTAAAAGGGTAAAGAGAAAGCTTTTTCTCCCCTAAATAGTATTTCAGGGCCAAACACTCCCCATAACATCCCCACATAGCCACAGCTAGGATCCCATCATATGATAGATAGATAGATAGATAGATAGATAGATAGATAGATAGATCTTATTTTATTATATTTATGTTACTGGGAAGTGTGGGGCCCTCAGTTCTTAGTCTTCTTAGAAGAATTTGGCCAAGAGACCAATTAGTAAAGTAAGCAAAAGGTTTATTAAGGAAATAAGAGTATGCTCCAAGAGAGGAGCAGGCTAACCTGGCTGGGAACTATAAGAAGAGTTCTGCACTGTGGTTTTTATAATGTCAGGCTGCTTATTTAAGTTCCCACCTCTGCTGTAAGTCTCTGCTTTGTCTTTGTCTAGTTTCTCTGTCTTAAGACAGCTTAATGTCAGTTGATGCATGTGCATGGGGCCTGGTGATCAATATGAATTCTACCCAATGGCAGCACTGCTCATGACCACCACCCCTGGAAGGTCATATAGCAGTTACATCTGCATACCTCTTAGGAATTTCCACTTTGCCATTCTTCCTTTCTTGTTAATATGTAGCTACATTCAGACAGGTTAACTGCAGAATGAGTGATTTTGGGGCATCTTTCAGGGCATTTCAGAGCATTCCCTTCTGCATAGGTATCTCCCCCTCCCTCTGCTCATATTTAGCATGCATGTTTTAGGTAGTCCCTCTGATGTGAGATTTTTTCAGAGCTTTCTCCACCAGGGCATCCCTTTCCTGCTCATGTCTAACTATCTGCTTACTCTAATGTTGATAATGTACAAACTGTGTTTTTCTTCTTCAAATAAACTCTGAGTTTAAACATAAAAATTGTGTAATATTTATCATTAAAACTCCTTTATTTCTTATAAAGTATATGAAACAAAGCATGCTTAATATGTGTTGAATGAAATACACAAATAAATGTATTTATTGTCTCATAAAGGGACTGTCAGCACAGTCAAAACACTGCCCTATCTTCTAAGTTCCCTGATTTTAACACTGAGATTTGATAACTGTCAGTATATGATCAACACAATATGGTATCTAAAACTTGCAACAATCCCAAAATCCTCTTAAGGATTTGTAGATTTTGTAGATTAAAGATACATGTGAACTATGTTATTTCATTGTATTATTTAGAGGATGGAACTATGAATTAACACATTTAATAAAATCATCTTTGACCAGCTGCTGTGCTTTTTAACATAATAATCCAAATCTTGTTTTCTTCGTTACACCTAAGATAAACTGTTTTTTTTTTGTCTACTTACAACCACCTTTTCAAAAATTATAACAGTGAGAAAATTATTACAGTGAAAGGGATCTGATCTTACCAACTCCATCTTGCTTCTGACCAGTAGGATGTCCTTGTTCTAACTTCTAGGATGTCCTTGTTCATTCTTGGGCATATGCCAAACTAACTTTGAGAGAAACTTATAGTTTAACTTTGAAACAAAGATAATGTTAAATATGAATTCGAAATTTCTCTTCAAAGAATATGTCAGTATGTTCAATTCTTTGCCTTCAACTTTTAAACTTAATTTCCTCATAAAACAACATTTTCCAATTACCTGCTTCATCCTGACTCATTCTCCACCTTGACTCATTCCTGTTACCTACTCCACCCTGACTCATTCCGATTACCTACTGCACCCTGACTCATTCTCCACCTTGACTCATTCCAATTACCTACTCCACCCTGACTCAGTCGCTGCCCTGACTCATTTCATAACCATTTTTCCTGCCAAACCACTCACTCTCTTTAAATTAGTCAGTCGGAATTAGTTTAGCCTGTGCGGTCTAATCCTAGCCAATAGGGGAATGACACAGCTGTAAGGACCATGTGCATCAGGAATAAGAATCTCTTTCCCTCCCTTGTCCAGGTGTGCACTCACCATTGCTCCATCTGTAAGGCCACACCCTTCTATAGACGTACCTTGCCTTGCTGAGAATTCAAAAGAAAATTTTATATTTGAGTGCTATTTCTTTAGCGGCACCGAAACTTTATAGAAAACAATTTGGGGGCTCGCCCATGATTACATTCCCCTCAGGGGATGGTCTCTGTTTCTCTCTTGTGAGGAGGCATGTCCTGTCCTTTGTGGCAGCCTCAGGGGGGAAAAATCAAAACCCATCCAGTGCAAGGAATAACCCGAGCTCTCAGCAATGCAAAAAAATATAAATAAATAACAAAAACAAAAACAAAAAAAACTGGCTAGCAACCTAGCTTAAAGGATCCTCACATACTGCAGAGACAACTCTGTGCACAGACCAAGGAAGGAGAAGCTGTGGGAGCTGGTAAAGTATTTCCTTGGTGGTTGGGACCAAGGTAAGAAAGTCACGGGGGCTTTGGGTGGGGGGCGGTGGTGAAGTACTCCTTGGTCGGCATGGCTTAGAGGTTAAAAAGAGGTGAGACATCCCCACTGTTGGGGGATTGAACCTCACATGAACCTGTAGTAGTAGAAAAGGCAAGAAATTTCCGCTGGGGGAAATTGAGCCTCACCCCAAAAGGTGAGAAATTTCCAGTAAGGGAAATTGAACCTTCAACTTTACCCCAAAACCATCAAGATGGGAAATACCCCAAGCAAGACAGGAAGCAAGGGGGATAAAGATGGTAACAAAGATATCTCCCCCAGATAGCCCCTGAGGTCTCATGTTAAAACACTGGAAAGATAATGAAAGGACTAAACATAGGAAAAAGCAACAAATGATAAAATATTGCTGTTTTATTTGGACTCAGGGACCCATCCTCAAATCCTCAATCTTCTGGCCACAGTTTGGGTTGAATGAGGATGTAATGTGTCAGCTTCTGATCCGATATGTCAATGATATATATCCAGTGTGTCAAGAAGAACTAGGCTATGCCCTTTGTTGGAGGCAAGGACCTGCCCTCCTTTTTCCCTTAAAAACAAATAGGGAAAAACCCAATCTGGCACCTCAAAATGAAAAGTCAGAGGAGCCAGCTGTCATGCCTAAAGACTCCAGTGCATGGGATCCCCTAGACTATCTTCCCCCACTCAGTGTCCCCAATCTTTCCCCTCAGACAGCCACTGCCGCCTCAGATCCCATTCCAAATTCCCCCTCTACTCACGTTATCCCTCCTCCTTATAACCCTGACTCTTGGGAATTACAGTCCCATCAGTCTGTTCCCTCCAACCTAAAGACCCCTGTCTAAAAGGACTCCAGTGTGAGGCAGAATAATATAAAAAAAGTATGCAGAATTTCCCATTTCCCTCTGTACCTAAGAGGTCAGCCCCAACCCTCTTCCCTTTGAAAGAGGTGCCACAAGGAGAGGGGGTGGCATTGGCTTTGTAAATGCTCCTTAACCAGTTCAGAAGTCCAGAATTTTAAAAAGGAGCTTAAACTGCTACTAGATGACCCTTATGGAGTGGCAGACCAAATTGACCAATTCTTAGGATCTCAATTATACAGTTGGGTCGAGTTAATGTCCATCTTGGGCATCCTCTTCTCAGGGGAAGAAAGGAGTACGACTCATAGGGCTGCTATGGTAGTTTGGGAATGTGAGCACCCTCCTGGTGAAAATGTTCCTGACACAGACCAGAAATACCCCCCCACTTGAGATCCTCGGTGTGACAATAACAACACAGGTCACCGGGAAAATATGCAGGACCTAAGGGAGATAATAATAAAAGGAATTCGGGAATCAGTACCCCAAACCCAAACTCTTTCTAAAGCATTTGATATACAACAGGAAAAAGAGGAAGGGCCTATGAGATTCCTAGACAGGCTGAGGGAACAAATGAGGCAACAAGCAGGCCTCAATTTGGATGATCCCCTCGGGCAAGGAATGTTGAAACTCCAATTTGTCGCTAAAAGTTGGCCAGATGTTTCAAAAAAGTTACAAAAGATAGACAAATTTGGAAGATCATCCCCTAAGTGAGCTTCTCAGGGAAGCTCAGGAAGTATACATGAAAAGGGATGAAGAAAAACAGAAACAAAAGACAAAACTTATGTTTTCCACCTTCCAACAGTTGGTTCCAAACCCACGTACTTCTAGACAGAGCTTCCAGGGAGCCAGAAACTACAAAGGGTCCGAACCCTCTTTTAAAGGACCCCAGCCTCCATCTGGAGGACCAAGGTACTGATCTACCAGGCCCCCTAAAGAGTATAGGAGAGCAGGGGTAAAGAATCTCAGAACTCAGAAGGAGGAAGAACAAGATAGGTGCTTTAGATGTGGAAGAACAGGCCACTTCAAGTGAGGATGTCCTGAACTAAAAAAGGAGAAAGAAGCCCCTCCACTCATGACTTTCAAGGAAGAATAGGGGGGTCAGGGGCTCTGTCTCTTTTATCTTGAGTCCCACCAGGAGCCCTTGATAAATTTGGAGGTGGGACCTAAACATGAGCTTATCACCATTTTAGTCGATTCAGGGGCTGCTCGCTCCTCTGTTTGTTTTTCCCCGTCTAACCTTATCTCCTCCTCAGAGGAATTTTTAGGCTCCAGGGTAAAAGGGGAAGGATTTAGAGCAAAAATTTTAGAAAGCACAGAAGTTAGATACCAGGATCACTCAGCTTGTATTCAGTTCTTGTTAATCCCTGAAGCAGGAACTAATTTACTGGGGAGGGATTTAATGTTAAAGTTGGACATAGGTCTGCAAGTCAGCCCAAGAGGATTCCTCACCTCATTAAACCTAGTCACACTACAGATGAAAAATACATTAATCCTAATGTCTTGTCCAAAGAAGGAAACTGAGGGAAGCTCCAAGTCCCTCCTTTCCACATCAAGCTAAACACCCCGGAAGAAGTAGTAAGAAGAAAGCAATACCCTATTCCCCTAGAAGGTAGGATAGGGTTAAAACCTATAATCAAAGGCCTTTTTAAGGACAGGCTTCTCAAGCCCTGTATACCCCCTTATAACACCCCAATACTGCCAGTCAAGAAATCAGACAGGTCATACCAGCTAGTACAGGACCTTAGAGTGATCAACCAAATAGTCCAGACTACCAACCCCATTGTCCCCAATCCTTACACCATTCTTAGCAAGATTCCATATAATCATCAATGGTTCACTGCAATAGATTTGAAGGATGTTTTTTGGGCATGTCTGCTGGCTGAAGATAGCCAAGATATATTTCCTTTTGAGTGGGAGGATCCCTCCTCAGGGTGGAAACAAGAATATCGATGGACAGTCTTGCCCCAAGGGATCACAGGCTCCCCTAATATTTTTGGCCAAATTTTAGAACAGCACTAGAAAAAGTTGTCATCCCAGAAAAAATATGCCTTCTTCAGTACGTGGACAACATTCTTATCTCTGGTAAAGATATAGAGAAGGTAACTGACTTCTCTACACATATTCTTAACCATCTGCAGTTTGAGGGGCTATGAGTCTCAGAAAGAAAGCTTCAGTATGTAGAGCCTAAAGTTAAATATTTAGGCCACTTAATAAGTGCAGGCAAGTGAAGAATAGGGCCTGAACAAATTGAGGGAATCCTGTCCCTACCCTTGCCTCAAACTAAACAAGACCTCAGGAAATTTTTAGGGTTAGTTGGATACTGCCGCTTACGGATTGACTCATATGCACTGCACAGTAAACTGTTATATCAAAAACTTGCCCAGGAAAGGCCTAACCATCTCCTGTGGTCTTCTGAGGAAGTTGATCAGGTTGAGAAGCTGAAGGAAAGGCTCATAACGGCTCCCGTTTTAGCCTTACCCTCCCTAGAAAAGCCATTCCACCTTTTTGTTAATGTGGACAGTGGGGTAGCTTTAGGAGTGCTGACTCAAGAACACAGACATCGCCAGCAGCCTGTAGCCTTCCTATCAAAGGTCTTAGACCCAGTCACTTGTGGATGGCCTCAATGCATCCAGTCCATCGCGGCTACGGCAATGCTAGTCGAGGAAAGCGGAAAGTTAATCTTTGGAGGAAAATCAACAGCATGCCTCACCAAGTTAGAACTATCTTAAACCAAAGAGTAGGGAGATGGCTTACTAACTCGAGAATCTTAAAGGATGACCATTTTGTTAGAAAAGGATGATTTAACATTGACCACTGATAATTCACTCAACCCAGCAGGTTTCCTAACAGAGAATCCAAATCTAAGGAGGGAACACACATGTTTAGATTTAATTGATTACCATACGAAGGTTCAACCAGACTTAGGAGAAACTCCCTTCTGGACTGGACAGCACTTATTCATAGATGGTTCTTCCCGGGTGACTAAGGGAAAAAGACACAATGGGTATTCAGTGACTGATGGAGAAACTCTTGTAGAAAGAGAGTCAGGAAAAATGCTCAACAGTTGGTCTGCTCAAATGTGTGAGCTATTTGCACTCAGGCAAGCATTAAAGTACTTACAGAACCAGGAAGGAACCATCTATACAGATTCAAGGTATGCCTTTGTGGTGGCCCATACGTTTGGGAAAATTTGGACTGAATGAGATCTCATTAATAGTAAAGGTCAAGACCTTGTTCACAAGGAGCTGATCACCCAAGTATTGAATAATCTTCAGTTGCAGGAAGAAATAGCCATTGTCCATGTTCCTGGACACCAGAAAAGTCTCTCTTTTGAAAGTCGAGGAAATAACCTAGCAGATCAGGTAGCCAAGCAGGCTGCTATGTCTTCTGAAATGCACATTTTTTACTTAACTCCCTACCTCCCTCCTCCTACCATAATCCCCATTTCTTTTCCACCGAAAAAAGAGAAACTAATAAAAATAGGTACTAAAGAGAATTCAGAAGGAAAGTGGATACTGCCAGACCAGAGAGAAATGTCTAAACCCCTATGAGGGAAGTCTTATCCCAACTACATCAGGGGACCCACTGGGGACCCCAGGCCATGTGTGATGCAGTTCTCAGAGTTTATGATTGTATAGGAATTTATACCCTGGACAAACAGGTTATAGATAGTTGCTTACTATGTAAGAAAACTAATAGACATACTATAAAAATATTACCTCTCACGGGAAGGAATCTGGGCTTAAGGCCATTCCAAAATATCCAAGTTGATTACACAGAAATGCCTCCAATAGGCCATCTAAAATATTTACTAGTGATAGTAGACCACCTCACTCACTGGGTTGAAGCTACCCCCTTTTCAAATGCAACAGCCAATAATCTAGTTAAAGCCCTAATTGAAAATATAGTACCCAGGTTTGGACTAATAGAAAATATTGACTCAGACAATGGAACTCATTTCACCACACACATTATTAAAAAGCTATCCCAAACATTAGACATTAGATGGTAATACCATACTCCCTGGTACCTATCTTCAACGGGGAGAGTAGAAAGAATGAATCAGACTCTAAAGAATCATTTAACCAGATTAGTCTTAGAAACTCAATTGCCATGGACCAAATGTCTTCCTATCACCCTGCTGAGAATTCTAACTGCACCACGGAAAGACATTCATCTTTCTCCTTATGAGATGCTCTATGGATTACCTTATTTGCACTCCACTGCTGATACTCTTACCTTTGAAACAAAAGATCAATTCCTTAAAAATTATATACTTGATATATCTTCTACTTTCTTTTCTTTTAAAACTAAAGGTCTATTAGCACAGGCACCACCCTTGGAGTTCCCAGTACATCAACATCAGGCTGGGGATCACGTCCTCATCAACAGCTGGAAAGAGGAGAAGCTAGAGCCAGCCTGGGAAGGTCCTTACGTAGTGCTCCTAACTACTGAAACCACAGTCTGCTCAGCAGAGAGAGGATGGACTCACCACACTCAAGTCAAGAAAGCACCACCCCCTCCAGAGTCGTGGGCCATAGGCCCAGGAGAAAACCCTACCAAACTAAAGCTAAGAAGAATTTAACTCTCTTTCATCTATTACTCTTTCTTCTTTCCTGGCTCTATTGCTGACCATCTAATTATTAACATAACCAAGTCAATTTCACTTCAAACTATTGCATTTGATGCTTGCCTTGTTATACCCTGTGGGGATTGGTTAAGTCAAAGACAGCTCTCTACTTCAGAACAGTACCTCTGTCCCTCCTGGCTCTCCTCAGACTGGGCATTAGTGAATTGGGACCATTTAATCTGGGGAGATTTCAATAAAGACCCCAGTGGCAACCAAGAGTCTTGACCCCACCCCCGATGTAGAGCTTTTATGCCATAGTTGGTCCAACCTTCTGTGGACCACCAAAGAGCAAAGATGGATTGCTCCAACTGGCTTTTGTAATTTCCTAAAACCATACATTAACTGTCAGCTAAACCAGGTGCAATCCTAAACAGGTTATTATTTTGAGCCCCCAAAGTTCTTCTCCTTTTCTAAGCTGGTTTCCTTCTTTAAGCCGGTTTTATGGTATGGGGGCTGAGATTTCAGGAATAGACCCTATTGGATTCTTTGAAATGCATTTCTTTGATCCCCCGCTGCCTGCACCTACCTCTAAGCCTTTTTCCAAAACCTCTCACAGCGGAACCATTGTTCCTCCTCCATCTAATGACAAGGCCGAGATAGCGATGATAGAAGTTAAAGACTTAAAACAATCTTTGGCAATTGAGATGGGATACCAAGCTGTAAATGCCTGGCTGGAATGGATCAAATATTCTGTCTGCACATCAAACAAAAGCAATTGTTATGCTTGTGCACATGGCAAGCCAGAGGCCCAGATTGTCCCCTTTCCACTAGGGTGGTCCTCCAGTTGACCGAGCATGGGCTGCATGGTAGCTCTTTTCCAGGATTCTACAGCCTGGGGTAACAAGTCAGCCAAGCTCTCTCTCTGCTATATCCCAAAGTCTGACACCCTGCGGGTTAGCCCCCCAGGGCCATCCAGCTTCCATCTCCCAACACTAAGTTCACTTCATGTCTCTCATGACTGGGAGGAAACAGCGTTCCTTGGAGACCTGAAAGGACGCAGTAAGCTTAAGAATTTTCAAGAGCTTACCAATCAGTCAGCCCTTGTTCATCCCTGAGCGGATGTGTGGTGGTATTGTGGTGGACCTTTACTGGACACTCTGCCGAATAACTGGAGTGGCACTTATGCTTTAGTCCAATTGGCTATCCCTTTCACCGTGGCATTTCATCAACCACAGGAAGGAAAAATAAGACATCATAAAGCAAGAGAAGCCCCTTATGGGTCCTTCAACTCTCACGTCTATTTAGATGCAATTGGAGTCCCACAGGGAATACCAGATCAATTTAAAGCCTGAAATCAAATAGCTGCAGCATTTGAGTCAATATTTTGGTGGGTGACAATTAATAAAAATATAGATTGGATAAACTACATCTATTACAACCAACGGCAATTTATTAACTACACTAGAAATGTTAAAGGAATAGCTGAACAGCTAGGGGCTGCTACCTAGATGGCTTGGGAAAATAGGATAGCCTTAGACATGGTATTAGCAGATAGAGAAGGAGTTTGCATCATGAATATCAATGTTGCACCTTCATCCCAAACAACACTGCCCCTAGTGGAAGTATAACAAAGGCATTGCAATGTCTGACTGCTTTATCCAATGAGGTAGCCAGTAACTCAGGGGTAAATGACCCCTTTACAGGATGGCTCGAAAAGTGGTTAGGTAAATGGTAAGGAAGAATAGCCTCAATTCTTACTTCCCTCATAGCCATAATAGGTGTACTTATTCTTGTTGGGTGCTGTGTCATACCATGCCTCCGTAGGTTGGTGCAGAGGCTCATAGAAATGGCACTTACTAAAACCTCCCTTAACTATCCTCCACCTTATCCAGAGAAGCTTCTTCTTTTGGAAAATCAAGGACAACACCTAAGTCAAGACATGTTAAATAAGTTTGAAGAGAAAGATGTAAGAAAAATGTAAGAGGAGGAAGTTGTTAAATTCTAAATTACTCTTCAAAGAATACATCAGTATGTTCAATTCTTTGCCTTCTACTTTTAAACTTAACTTTCTTGTAAGGTAACCTTTTCCGATGACCTATTCCATCTTGACTCATTTGCCACCCTGACTCATTTCATAAACATTTTCCCTGCCAAACCACTCACCCCGTCACTCTCTTTAAATTAGTCAATTGGAATTAGTTTAGCCTGTGCAGTCTAACACTAGCCAATAGGGGAATGATACAGCAGTAAGGACCACATGCATCAGGAATAAGAACCCCTTTCCCTCCCTTGTCCACGTGTGTGCTCACCATTGCTCCATCTTTAAGGGGGCACTCTCCTATAGAAGTACCTTGCCTTGCTGAGAATTAAAAAGAAAATTTTATATTCGAGTGCTACTTCTTTTGCGGCACCAAAACTTTATATGTAACAATTATAACTTCCTTTTTTTCAAAATAAACCCCTTTCTTATCTGAGGCCAGATTGCCTTTTTAGGACTAACAAAATAGCCACAAAATTAGAAATTACAGTTTAGGAGTCATGAAGCTAGAGATTCCAAGATTCTAATCCTCCGTCAATTGCTCCTAGGGATAACATCCCTATTATAAAACTTCAGATTGGTGATCAAAATATTTTTCAGCCCCTGCATGTTTTTCAGGGTCTGACATTTTTCACCAACTTATTCTCAAAAACTCCAGTCTCAAAATATTTGGGGAGACCGATTTGAGTAATAATAAAACTCTGCTCTCCTGTTCAGCTGGCTCTGTGTGATTAAAGTTTGTCTATCGCAATTTCCCTGTCTTGATGAATCAGCTATATGTGGGCAGTGGGCAAAATGAACCTGTTGAGAGGTTACATCTTTATGTTTCTTTCACTTGCCTCTACTCTTCCTAGAATGCAAAATTCACTAAGGCAGTAACAGGTATGTCTTCTATAACATCATACTCTAATTACTTAGTAGTGCATATAGAAGCTGTAATACATACAGCTTTAACAAAAAGAGTGAATAAGGAATAATTATTAATACTGATTACAAGGTATCCTGCAAGAAATGTAACTCTCCCAAGACTGTTTTTCTCCATTATTTCTCATGCATCTTCCTACAGTCTTACTGACTTACTGGACCTATGCTTACAACTTGAAGATGTTGGGGCTCAGAAAATGATACCCTAAAAGTATGGCATTTGGCATGCTGAGACTTTGAACTAAAATGGGAAGGCCTCAGAAACTATCATAGAATGAAGAACTTTCTGACCTCTCCTATCTCCCCACACCAGCAAATTTTACTTTGATATTCTCTTATCTGCCTTATGATCAAACCCTCCAAAAAGAAGACAATTGCCTTCTATCCCCTCCCTGAAGTTTTATTATCTATCCCAGGAAAACAGACTAAGGAATGTAACCACACCTAGATGCACATTGTTATAAACTATTTCTGCCTCTAGGACTCATTCAAATTTCAAAGAGAATCATTTACAAGCTAATTTCTGTTTCCCAGGTCTACTTATCTTTCCTAAAGTCATTTTCTACACCTCTAAAAATTGTCACATTTCCCTCATCTCCCCTTCTCCTGCAAAGAAAGATCTCATTGAATAATTGGGTAATCATTTTTCTGCAATTCCCCTCTGTTTATACGAAATAAATTTATACGCATTTTCCTATTAATCTGCTTATTGTCAGTTAATTTTTAGTGAACCTTCAGAGGGTAGAAGGAAAACCTGCACTTCACCCCTATAAAGAATTCTTATGCCACAGAATCTGCCTCATTACGCACTCCTCCCTTTGGAATTCAGGCATAACTGACCAGCATTAACATTAAAACAGAATCTTAGGCCAGGCATGTGGTTGCTTATGCCTGTAATCCCAGAACTTTGGGCGGCCCAGGTGGGTGGATCACTTGAGGTCAGGAGTTTGAGACCAGCCTGGCCAACATGGTGAAACCCCACCTCTACTAAAAATACAAAAACTAGCCAGACGTGGTGGAAGGAGCCTGTAATCCCAGGTACTACATAGGATGAGGCAGTAGAATTGCTTGAAACTGGGAGGCAGAGACTGCCATAAGCCGAGATCACACCACTGCACTCCAGCCTGGGCAACAGAGTGAAACTCCATGTCAGAAAAACAAACAAACAAAAAAACAAAAAGCAAACAAAAAAACCAAACATATCTTAAGACTGACCAAACAGACTCTTTATAGCAACAAGATACATCATATGACAGACAGCAGGCCCTGAAAAAAATCAGAGTGTTTTACCCTGAAATATATATCTTTGATGTATTTTAAAATGCCCTTGCAAAGCTGTCTTACAGTAAAAAAAAGTCTACATTCTGTAGATAATTCTCTTCCCTTTCCATGTATTTTTCTGATCTAGGAGAGATTAACTAAGAGCCTGGAAACTTTTTAAGTCTCACAAGAAACATTAAACATCTTTTCTCTCTGAAGCCTGATTCCTGGCAGCTTCATCTGCATAAGAAGCAGCTTGGTCTCCATAACCCCCCATCTTAACTCAGGCATTCCATTCTATTGGTGCCAGGTCTTTAGATAATAACTTAACTCTGTCAACCAATTGCCAATCATAAAATACTTGAATCCACCTATGATCTGGAAGCTCCCCATTTTGAGTTGTCCCCCCTTTCCAAACCAAACCAATGTATGCCTTACATGTATTGATTGACATCTGCCTGTAACTTCTGTCTCCCTAAAATGTATAAGATCAAGCTGTAAGCCAACCACCTTGGGCACATATTCTCAGGACCTCCTGAGTCTGTGTCATGGACAACCTTGACAAAATAAACCTCTAAATTGATTAAGATCTGTGTCAGATACTGTTTTGTTTGTACTATCTAACACATATTAGGAAAATCATTGTTATTATCTATACATTTTCAGTCATATTGCCTGAATTAGTTTATTTTGCAAGAATGCAGTGGGGTAGGGATTCTTAATTTCAGAGTAGAAAACTGAATTCTACATAGTGTAAATAATTTAAGACCATAAATCCTGTGAATCTTACTACCGGAATTCAAACATTTTAATTATAGTTTGCTTTTAAAGTAGTTTAATGAGTTTCCTCCTTCTTGTAGAACACAAATTTTGATTCTGTAAAAAAAAATAGGAAACTAAAGAGATTTTTTCTTCATCTAGGAATTGAGGAGTTGAAGGAAGAAAAAACCTGCTAGGTTGCAGCTTAAACAAGTTGTTTTACCAGCTGCATTTCCTACCGAGAGTCCAATTCAGCAAAATAAGTGAATTTCGTTTCAAGATAAGAGCTTTCCAGTGTGATTAAACTTGAAAAAACTATTTCAGGAATATAACTATTTTACATGAGTGTATCTTCCAAAGGAAGTATCAGTCAGGCCTGTTGCAGCCTAAGCAGTTCTATCCTCTTAAGAAAATATAAATAATTGATGAAGGAAACAGAGTAAACAAGGCTACAATGAATTAAGTAGCTATTTGGGAGTTGTTCTAGTTTGTTATCCTTGCTAAAGTACAATAAAAGGACACAGTGAGGAATTAGAGTGAAAGCAAGCAGAAGTATTATAAAGAAATTATACAAGAAAATTCCAGGCAGATTAGAAAAGACTCTAAAATATGAGTAGTACAGGAAATGTTCTCGCCATAGGAAATAGATGTGTAACTGGGATGAGGGGCTATTGGTCAACAAGCTTATCATGCCACTCAAAAGTAAGCCAAGACACGGCACCATGAACTAGCCTACAAAAAAATATCAAGTTGAGAAAAAAGACATACTGCAATGAGAATTTTGAAAGACTTAAAGAAAATGAATTTTCTAGTTATGTCCTGATTTAACATCTATGTCTCCAATGGCCCATAAGGAATAAAAAAAAAAAACCTAATTTTACTAAAACCCACAGAAATGACGTGTTAAGAAATACTTTTTAGAAGTGACCTTTATATGTTTTTCTTAAATGTTAAAGTAGTGAGAACCAAGAGTAGGAAAGAATAATACTACCAGTTAGAGATGAGTGTCTTTTTTTAATATATGATTTTTATGTTTAAACATTTGCCTATATATGTCTGTTTAAAGGAGAGTATATTGTTTGTGAGCATATCATATCTTCCCTTGACAACAAGTAATTATCAATCCATCAAATTATTAATATTTTTACTTGTAGAAACTGTTAAAAGACCAATGAGATCTGCAGAGGCCAAAAGAGAACTTTATTTTCTAATAGCAATCTACAGATTAGGTGACACAGTCTTTGGTGCAAAACAAAAGTGTGCTCCATGAGAAGGAATCCAGGAGTAGGAAATTACAAAGGAATAAACCACAGGGGAACAGAGAAAATCCAGGGGAGTCTCAAATCAACAGTTTCTAATTGAATGGTTTCAGGTGGTCAGTCGGTTGACATCACATGGTCTGTTGGTCAGCTGGGGAATTTCCACCTGCAGTCTATCTCAGCACCAACAACAAGAACTGCTTCGGGTTGATTGCATAAAGGGTGGTCTTGTGACACTTTTACAACATCTTTCAGAGAACACTACATCATTCTGCCAGCATACAGGGCATGTGACCACTCTCCCACCCAGATACAGCTGCCTGGTTCTGCTTTTTAACTTTTGAGTCACTGGGGCATAATTTGACATAACTTTCTAAATTATTTCACCTTATGAATGAATTTGTTTCATAAATATTTCTCTTATTAGGTTATGTCAGATTTTCCCCTACAACAAAAATACTTTTGTATAAATCTGCGTAGACATCAATGATTTTGTTAAAAATCTGGTTAAATTTTCAAAATTCTTGGGTTCAAATAATGCCTATTTGGACATGTTACACATCTTGCCTATTGCCCTTCTAGTGTACCTAATCTCTATCCACACTGCATCAATGGCTGGCCTGAACTCTCCTTAAGTTGATACATGCAGGTTACACCATTACTTTGCCCTCATTTGATAGCATCTAAGACAAATAATAAAACCTCAGACCACTGGTCTTGGAATACAAACAAGAACAACCATTTCTACTCTCCTCCCCACCCCTCCAAACTCTGGCTCATGTGTTTAAAGGACCAGCATTCACAGTCTGTGGTCAGTCCCTGAATTATACAATTCTCTTTCAAAGTTTGGGAAGAGAGAATGTTGAGAAAGAAGTTGAGGCCTGAAGAGAGACTGGGATAATTTAGAATTGGAAGCAGAGACAGGTGGTTAAGATCTTCTCCAGTATCTGAAGAGATCCTTAGCCACGGAGTGAATGTCAAGTTAATGCAGAAGTTGTTGGAAAAGTTTCAAAGCCAAGGTTCAGATGGGACATGAGTTAGCTGTGATAGCTTCTGTAGCACTAGTCTTCATGCCAAAAATTTGGTAGAGCGAGATAATCCCTGCCAGTGGATTAAATTATTTTATAGGACTTTCGAGGAACTCTCATGTGTTCACTGTCACCCCCGTTTTTGTGCTCTCCTCTACCTGCATAGGAAATTACGGAATATTAGGCTTTCGGATTCAGTGTTAGTTTCTGGGTACTTTGGAAGTTCCAGAAAAGAGGAAAACAATAAATTTGGGGCAGGTAACCAATGAAACCCACTTTGCACAGCACTCAGAACACTCAATATGTGTGAATATTTTTAGGTATCATATCAAAGCAATATATATAGCATTTTAGAGAAAAAATGAGTAAAATTGTGAGTGTTCTGTGTTAGTGAGTCCCTTACCCACCTCGAGACATGACAATGTCCCAGGTTCCTGCTTGGAAAACATATTCAGATTTAAGAATTCTATCTCAACTCTTGGTTCACCCATGCCTTCTGCCTCTGATGGTGAACACTTTCATGCTAAATACTTCCAATGATGGAAGTATTTAGTGGAAAGAAACCATCCTCCAGGTACAGTGCTATCTGAGCCTCCCTTGAGGAATTGAAATAGGTATACAACCCTCCCCCAAACGTCCCCTGGTGTGGAAGCTAATGGCTAGAAATTCCCATGGGAATTTCTGTGCATTAAAAGGACTGGCTGTGCATTAAAAGATGAGTCAATATATCCTGAGTCACTCCCTCAGGTCCACATGTTATCTGTGGATAGAAATCATATTCCCTATATTTACAACACCCACCACAACACCACTCACAGACAATCAGATGAATAAATGTGAATTGGGTTCCCATTAGAGGGAATTAGCTATTTATGTTAGAAAAAAAGGAGTCTAATCAACTTGGAAAAAAGAGTAAGAAATTAAGTTGTTTGTTTTTTATTGAGAAGATTTCAAGCGCAGTTTAGCAGTTTTACATGTCTAGATTTTCACACTTTGACTTTGCTAATGAAGAGCAAACCTTATGTTATTACATGATTTTACATAATATTCTTTCTTTTTAACTTATATGGCTACATAGTAGGTATATATATTTATGGGGTACAGGAAATGTTTTAATACAGACCTACAATGCATAATAATCCCATAGAGAATGAGGTATCTATATCCTCAAGCATTTATCTTTTGTGTTACCAATTCAATTATACTGTTATTTTCAAATGTACAGTTGAGATATTACTGACTATAGTCACTCTGTTGTACAATCAAGTACTAGGTATTATTCATTCTATTTTTTTTGGTACCAACTAACCATCACCAACTATCCCCAACCCCCTTTCCAGACTCCACTAACCATCCTTATACTCTGTCTCCATGAATTCAACTGTTTTAATTTTTAGAACCCACAAATGAGTGAGAACATACAACGTTTGTCTGTGTTTGGCTTATTTCACTTAACATAATGATCTCCAGTTCCACCCATGTTATTGAAAATTACAGCATATCGTTTTTATGGGTGAATATTACCCAGTTTTCCATATGTGACACATTTTCTTTATCCATTCATCTATGAATGGACACATAGGTTGCTTTCAAATCTTGGTTATTATGAACAGTGCTGCAACAAAACCTGAGAATGCAGATCTTTCTTCAATATATTATTTCCTTTCTTTTGGGTATATACCCAGCAGTGAGGTTGCTGGATCATATGGTAGCTCTATTTTTCGGTTTTTGAGGAAGCTGAAAGCTGTTATCCATAGTGGTTGTACTAATTTACATTCCCACCAACAGTGTATAAGGGTTCCCTTTTCTCCTCATCCTTGTCAGCATTTGTTATTGCCTGTCTTTTGGATAACTGAGGTGAGATGATACCTCATTGTAGTTTTGCCTTACATTTCTCTGATGATCAATGATCTCAAGTACCTTTTCATATGTCTGTTTGCCCTTTGTGTTTTCTTTTGAGAAATGGCTACTCAAATCTTTTGCCCGTTTTTTAATTGGGTTATTAGATTTTTTTCCTATAGAGTTGTTTCAGCTCCTAATATGTTGCGCTTATTAATCCCTTGTCAGATGGGTAGCTTGCAAATGTTCCCCCATTATGTGGGTTGTCTCTTCATTTTGTTGTCTGTTTCTTTTGTTGTACAAATGCTTTTTAACTTGATGCAATCCTATTTATCCATTTTTGCCTTGATTGATTGTGCTTGCGGGATATTACCCACAAAATTTTTGCCTATACCAATATCCTGGAGATTTCCCCCAGTGTTTTCTTATAGTAGTTTCATAATCTGAGGTCCTACATTTAAGTCATTCATCCATTTTGTTATGCTTTTTACATAGTGAGAGATAGGGATCTAGTTTCATTCTTCTGCATATGGATATCCAGTTTTCCCAGCACCATTTATTGAATAGGCAGTCTTTCCCCCAATGTATGGATCTTGGCAGCCTTGTTGAAAATGCATTCACTGTAGGTGTGTGGATTTGGTTTTGGGTTCTATATTCGGTTCCATTGGTCTATGTATCTGTTTTTATGCCAGTACCATTCTG
Organism: Homo sapiens; assembly: GCF_000001405.40. NCBI lineage: Eukaryota > Metazoa > Chordata > Mammalia > Primates > Hominidae > Homo > Homo sapiens. Next base: position 81,642,580 of record NC_000002.12, on the reverse strand, counting down.
TTTTGGTGTCTATAGCTCTGTAGCATAATTTGAAGCCGGGTAATGTGATTCCTCCAGTTTTGTTCTTTTACTTCAAATTGTTTTGAATATTCTGAGTCTTTGTGGTTCCATATAAATTTTAAGGACTTTTTTTTCGTTTCTTTGAAAAATTTCATTGGTGTTTAGATAGGGACAGCATTGAATCTGTAATTGTTTTAGGTGGTGTGAACATTTTAACAATATTGATTCTTCCAAAACATGAACATGGAATATCTATTTTTCAGTGTTCTCTTCGACTTCTTTAGTCAGGGTTTTATACTGTTAATTATAGATATCTTTCACTTCTTTTGTTAATTTCTAGGTATTTCATTTTATTCCTAGCTATCCTAAATGGGATTACTTTTTTGATTTCCTTTTCACTGCTGGCATATAGAAATGCTACTGATTTTTGTATGTTGAAATTGTATCCTGCAAATTCAGTGAATTTATCAGTTCTAATAGATTTTGGGTGGAGTTTTTAGGCTTTTTGAAATACATCATATCATCCGCAAACAAGGATAATTTGACTTCTTTCCAATTTGGATGCCCTTTATTTCTTCCACTTGTCTGATTGCTCTGGTGACAACTTCCAGTGCTGTCTTGAATAATAGTGGTGAAAGTGGACATCCTTGTCATGTTCCAGATCTTAGAGGAAAGGCTTTCAGTTTTTCCTCATTCAGTATGATGCTAGCTGTGTGTCTATCATACATTGCATTAATTATATTAAGTTATGTTCCTTGTATACCCATTTTTTTTTTGCTTTTTATCATGAAGGGATGTTGAGTATTATCAAGTGCTTTCTCAGTATCAATTGAAGTGATCATATGATTTTTGTCCTTCATTCTACTGATATGATGTATTACACATTGATGGATTTGCATCTGTTGAACCTTCCATGCACCCCTGGCATAAATCCCACTTGGTCATGATGAATGATCTTTTTAATGCATTGTTGAATTCAGCTAGCTAGTATTTTGTCAAGGTTTTTCGCATCAATATTCAGAGACAGCGGGCTGTAGTTTAAGGTGTCTGATTTTGGTGTCAGGGAAATACTGGCCTCATATAATGAGTTTGGAAGTATTCTCTCCTCCTTCATTTGGAGTAGGATTGGTATTAGTTCTTCTTTCAATGTTTGGAATAATTCAGCAGTGAAGTCATTGGGTCCTGGGCTTTTCTTTACTGGGAGACACTTTATTACAGCTTTGATCTTGTTATTTGTTATTGCTTAGTTTAGGTTTTGGATTTCTTTGTGGTTCAATCTTGGTAGGCTGTATGTTTCTAGGAATTTGTTCATTTCTTATAGATTTTCAAATTTATTGACACGTAGTTGATCATAGTAGCCACTAATGATCCTTTGAATTTCTGCAGTATTAGCTGTAATGATTCCTTTTTCATTTCTAATTTTATTCATTTGGATCTTTTTTTCCTTAATCTGGCTAAGGTTAAACCAAATTGGTTTAACTTCTCAAAAAATGGACTTTTTATTTCATTGACCTTTTGTATTGTTTTATTTCATATTCACTTATTTATTCTCAGATCTTTATTTCTGTTCTATTAATTTTGAGTTTGGTTTGCTCTTGCTTTTCTAGCTCTTTAAGATGCATTGTTAGTTTATTTGATGTTTTTTCTCTTTATGTAGACACTTGTAGCTAGAAATTTCCCTCTTTGTACTGCTTTTGCTGTATCCCATAGGTTTTGGTATGTTGTGTTTATTATTATTTGTTTCAAGACATTTTAAATTTCTGTCTTAATGTCTTCATTGACCCACCAGTCATTCAGGAGCATGTTTAATTTCCATGTATATAAATAGTTTTCAGAATTCCTCCCATTTTTCATTTCTAGCTTTATTCTTTTATGATCAGAGAAGATACTTGATATTATTTCAGATTTTATGAGTGTTTTAAGGCTTGCTTTGTGACCTAACATATAGTCTATCCTTGAGAGTGATCCATGAGCTGAGAAGAATGTGTATTCTGCAGCCCTTGGATGAAATTTTCTGTAAATATCTATTGGGTCCATTTGGCATATAGTACAGATTAAATCTGATGTTTCTTTATTGATTTGCTGTCTGGAAGATCTCTCCAATGCTGAAAGTGGAGTGTTGAAGTCGCCAGATATTATTGCATTGGGGCCTATCTCTCTATCTTTTATATATTTGCTTTACATATCTGGGTGTTCCAGTGTTAGGTGTATATATATTTAAAGTTGTTATACTCTGTGGCTGAATTAACTCATTTATCATTATGTAGTGACTTTTTTTATACTTTAAGTTCTAGGATACATATGCAGAAGGTGCAGGTTTGTTACATAGATAGACACATGCCATGGTGGTTTGCTGCACCCATCAACTCGTCATCTACATTAGATATTTCTCCTAATGCTATCCCTCCCGCAGCCTCCCACTCCCCAACAGGCCCTGGGGTGTGATGTTCCTTGCCCTGTGTCCATATTTCTCATTGTTCAACTCCCACTTATCAATGAGAACATGCGGTGTTTGATTTTCTGTTCTTGTGTTAGTTTGCTGAGAATGATGGTTTCCAGCTTCATCCATGTCCCTGCAAAGGACATGAACTCAACCTTTTTTATAGCTGCATAGTATTCCATGGTGTATATGTGCCACATTTTCTTTATCCAGTCTATCATTTAGGGATATTTGGGTTGGTTCCAAGTCTTTGCTATTGCAAACGGTGCTGTAATAAACATATGGGTGCATGTGTCTTTATAGTAGAATGATTTAAAATCCTTTGGGTACATACCCAGTAGTGGGATTGCTGGATCAAATAGTATTTCTGGTTCTAGATCCTTGAGGAATCGCCACTGTCTTCCACAGGGTTGAACTCATTTACACTCCCACCAACAGTTTAAAAGCATTCCTATTTCTCCACATCCTCTCCATCATCTGTTGTTTCCTGACTTTTTAATGATCTCCATTCCAACTGGCATGAAATGGTATCTCATTGTGGTTTTGATTTGCATTTCTCTAATGACCAGTGATGATGAGCATTTTTTTCATATGTTTGTTGGTTGCATAAATGTCTTCTTTTGGGAAGAGTCTGTTCATATCCTTTGCCCACTTTTTCTTGTAAATTTGTTTAAGCTCTTTGTAGATTCTGGATATTAGCCCTTTGCCATATGAAGAGATTGCAAAAATTTTCTCCCATTGTGTAGGTTGCCTGTTCACTCTGATGATAGTTTCTATTGCTGTGCAGAAGCTCTTTAATTGATCGCATTTGGCAATTTTGGCTTTTGTTGCAGTTGCTTTTGGTGTTTTAGTCATGAAGTCTTTGCCCATGCCTATGTCCTGAATGGTATTGCCTAGGTTTTCTTCTAGGGTTTTTATGGTTTTAGCTCTTATGTTTAAGTCTTTAACCCATTTTGAGTTAATTTTTGTATAAGGTGTAAGGAAGGGATCCAGTTTCAGTTTTCTTCATGTGGGCCAGTTTTCCCAACACCATTTATTAAATAGGGAATCCTTTCCCCATTGCTTGTTTTTGTCAGATTTGTCAAAGATAAGATAGTTACAGATGTGTGGTGTTATTTCTGAGGCCTCTATTCTGTTACATTGGTCTATATATCTGTTTTAGTACCAGTACCATGCTGTTTTGGTTACTGTACCCTTTTAGTATAGTTTGAAGTCAGGTAGCATGATGTCTCCAGCTTTGTTCTTTTTGCTTAGGCTTGTATTGGCTATACGGGCCCTTTCTTGGTTCCATATGAAATTTAAAGTAGTTTTTTTCTAATTCTGTGAAGAAAGCCAATAGTAGCTTGATGGGGATAGCATTGAGTCTACAAAATACTTTGGACAGTATGGCCTTTTTCATATTGATTTTCTATCCATAAGCATGGAATGTTTTTTCCATTTGTTTTTGTCATCTCTTATTTCCTTGAGCAGTGGTTTGTAGTTCTCCTTGAAGAGGTCTTTCACATGTCTTGTGAGTTGTATTCCTAGGTATTTTATTCTTTTTGTAGCAATTGTGAATGGGAGTTCACTCATGATTTGGCTCTCTATTGGTCTATTATTGGTGTGTAGGGATGCTTGTGATTTTTTGCACAGTGATTTTGTATTCTGAGACTTTGCTGAAGTTGCTTGTCAGCTTAAGGAGATTTGGGGCTGAGATGATGGGGTTTTCTAAATATACAATCATGTCATCTGTAAACAGAGACAACTTGACTTCCTCTTTTCCTAATCAAATACCCTTTATTTCTTTCTCTTGCCTGACTGCCCTGGCCAGAACTTCCAATACTATGTTGAAAAGGAGTGGTGAGAGAGGACATCATTGTCTTGTCCCAGTTTTCAAAGGGAATGCTTCCAGCTTTTGCCCATTCAGTATGATATTGGCTGTGGGTTTGTTGTAAATAGCTCTTATTATTTTGAAATACGTCCCATCAATACCTAGTTTATTGAGAGTTTTTAGCATGAAGGGTTTTAGTTTTTAGTTGAATTTTATTGAAGTCCTTTTCTGCATCTATTAATAGAATCATGTGGTTTTTGTCATTGGTTCTGTTTATGTGGTGGATTCATTTACTGATTTGCATATGTTGAACCAGCCTTGCATCCCAGGTATGAAGCCAGCTTGATCATGGTGGATAAGCTTTTTGATGTACTGCTGGATTGGATTTGCCAGTATTAGAGGTAGCCAAAACAATCCTAAGCAAAAAGAACAAAGCTGGAGACATCACGCTACCTGGCTTCAAACTATACTAAAAGGCTACAGTAACCAAAACAGGATGGTACTGGTACCAAAACATATATATAGACCAGTGGAACAGAGCAGAAGTCTCAGAAATAACACCACACATCTGCAACTGTCTTATCTTTGACAAACCTGACAAAAATAAGCAATGGGGAAAGGATTCTGTATTTAATAAATGGTGTTGGGAAAACTGGCTAGCCACATGCAGAAAACTGAAACTGGACCCCCTTCCTTACACCTTATACAAAACTTAACTCAAGATGGACTAAAGACTTAAACATAAGACCTAAAACCATAAAAAAAAAACCCTAGAAGAAAACCTAGGCAATACCATTCAGGACACAGGCGTGGGGAAACACTTCATGAATAAAACACCAAATCAATGGCAACAAAAGCCACCTTTGCTCCAGTTCCCAAAAAGTTCCTCATCTCCATCTGAGACCACCTCTGCCTGGATTTCATTGTCCATATCATTATCAGCATTTTAGTCAAAGCCATTCAATGAGTCTCTAGGAAGTTTCAAACTTTTCCACGTTTTCATGTCTTCTTCTGAGCCCTCCAAACTGTTGCAACTGCTGCCTGTTACCCAGTTCCAGGTTGCTTCCACAACTTTGGGTATCTTCTCAGCAGCACCCCACTCTACTGGTACCAATTTACTGTATTAGTTTGTTTTCATGTTGCTGATAAAGACATACCCAAGACTGGGCAATTTACAAAAGAGGTTTAATGGACTTATAGTTCCAAGGGCTGAGGAGGCCTCACAGTCATGGTGGAAGGTTAAAGGCATGTCTCAAATGATGGCAGACAAAAGAAAATTTATGCAGGGAAACTCCCATTTCTATAACCATCAGATCTTGTGAGACTTATTTGCTCTCATGAGAACAGCACAGGAAAGACCTACCCCCATTATTCAATTAGCTCTTACCACATTCCTCCCACAAGTGGAAATTGTGGGAGTTACAATTCAAGATAAGATTTGGGTGGGAACACAGCCAAACCATATCAGTGTATGTATGTCTTCATAGGTGAAACATGTTTCTTGTAGGCAATAGATCATTGGTTCCTTTTTTAAAAAAAATCTACTCAGCCACTCTATGTCTTTTGATTGGACAGTTCAGTTCATTTACATTTACATTTAATGTTATCATTGATAAGGACTTACTCCTGTCATTTTTGTTATTTGTTTTCTGATATTTTTCTTTCCTTCCTATCTTCCTTTAGTTAAGGTGATTTTCTCTAGTGACATGATTTAGTTTCCGCTTTTTATTTTGTGTATCCACTCTATGTTTTATTTGGTTTATGGTTACCATGAAACATTCAAATACTATATTAAAACCCTTATTTTAGTCTGATAACCACACTGTTGGCCTAACCAACAAAAAGAAAACAAAAAATTATGCCTTTACTTCACCCCCCCCCACTTCTTACCTTTTCATTGTTTCTATTTGTTATTGTACTATGTCTTAAAAATTGTAGTTATTATTTTTGATTGGCTCATTTAGTCTTTCCACTTAGGTTAAGAGTAGTTTACATACCACAGTTACAGTGTTCTAATATTCTGTGTTTTTCTGTCTCCTATTACCAATGAGTTTTGCACTGTAAGATTTCTTGCTCATCAACACCCATTCCTTCCAGATTGAAAAACTCCCTTTAGCATTTCTTGTAGGACAGGTGTGGTGCTGATGAAATCCCTTAGCTTTTGTTTGTCAGATAAGGTCTTTATTTCTCTTTCATGCTTGAAGGATATTTTCACCAGATACACTAGTCTAGGGTAAAACGTTTTTCCTTCAGTATGATAAATATGTCATGCCACTCTCTACTGGCCTGTAAGCCTTCTATGAAAAGTCTGATGTTAGTAGTATTGGAGTTTCATTGTGTGTTTTTGTTTTCTTCTTACTGCTTCTGTGATCCTTTCTTTATCTTTGATCTTTGGGAATTTGATTATTATATCCCTTGAGGTAACTTTCTTTGGGTTAAATATGCTTGGTACTCTATAACATTCTGGTATTAGAATATTGATATATTTCTCTAGGTTTGACAAGTTCTCTGATATTATCCCTTTAAATAAACTTTCTACTCCTATCTCTTCCTCTACCTCCTCTTTACACCCAGTAACTCTTAGATTTGCCATTTCGGGGATATTTTCTAGATCATATAGGCATATTTCATTGTTTATTTTTTCTTTTATCTCTTCTGACCCCATATTTTCAAATAGCCTGTGTTCAGGCTCACTAATTCTTTCTTCTGCTTAATCAATTCTGATATTAAAAGACTCTGATGCATTCCTTCAGCATGCCAATTGTAATTTTTCAACTCAAGAACTTCTACTTGTTTCTTTTTAATTATTTCAATCTCTTTGATAGAATTCTGAACACCTTCTCTGTGTTATCTTGAATTTCTTTGAGTTTCCTCAAAATAGATACTTTGAATTATCTGTCTAAAAGGTCACATATCTTTTTCTCTAGAACTGGTCCCTGGTGTCTTATTTAGTTCATTTGGTGAGATCTTATTGTTCTGGAATGTTTTGATACTTGCAGATATTTGTCTGTGTCCAAGCATTGAAGAGTTATTTATTTTAGTCTTTGCTGTCTGGGCTTGTTTGTACCCATCTTTCTTGGGAAGAATTTCCAAATATTAAAAAAAAAAAAAACTTGAATGTTGTGATCGAAGCTGTATCTGGGCACCCCAAGCCCAGCAATGCTATGGTTCTTGTAGACTCATACAGGTACTATTTTGATAGTTCTACTCATAATCCAGGAGAATTCTCTAGATTACCAGGCAAAGACTCTTGTACTCTTCCCTTATTTTCTTTCAAACACACAAGAGTCTCTCCCTCTGTTCTCAACCATATGAAGCTAGGAGGGGAGTGACACAAGCAACCCTATGGCCATCATTACCATGCCTGCACTGGGTCAGACCAGAAGTCAGTACAGTGCTGGGTCTTACCCAAGTCCTGCTGTAAACACTCCCTGGCTATTGCTTATTTTTGCTCAAGGCTCTGAGGCTCTACATTCAGCAGGTAGCAAAGTCAGTCAGAATTGTGTCCTTCCTTTTCATGCAGTGAGTACCCCCAGGTGCTGGGTGGGTCCAGAGGTCCTCTCTGGGAGCCAGAGACTAGAATCAAAAGGCTTAGAAGTCTATCTGGTATTCTATTGTTCTGTGGTTGAGCTGGCACTCACTCCACAGGATGCAGTCCTTCCCACTTTTCCTTCTCCTTTCCAAAGGCAGAGGAGCTCACTCTATGGCCACCACCACCACAGACCCACACAGAGTATTGCCAGCCTATCACCAATGTTCCCGTAAGTCCCAAGGGCTTTTCAGTTAACTTGTGGTGAATACTGTCTGGCCTGGGACTCACCCTCCTGGGCAGTGGGCTCCCCTCTGGTGGAAAGCATGTCCAGAAATGCCATCCAAGAGCCATGTTTTAAAATCAGGGAACCCAAGAGCCTGGTTGGTGCTCTATCCTGTTGTGGCCATTCTGGTCCTAAGGTGCAAGGCAAAGTCCCCTTTAGTCTTCTTTCTGCTTTTCTCAAGTGGAACAAGTCTTGCCCCATAGCCACTAAATCTGGGAATGTGCTGAGTCTCACCTAAAGCCAGCAAGTCTCAGAATTTCACCCACAGCCCTCAACATAGTACCTGGGTATCACTGCTCTTTATTCCAGAACCAAAGTCTCCTCAATTAGCAGATAATGAATGCTACCAGGACTTGGTCCTTTCTTTCAAGGCAGCAGGTTCTCTTCTGGCCCAGGGCATGTCTAAAAAAGGCCGTCCAGGAGCTAGGGCCTGGAAAGAGGGTCTTGCAACTCTGACCAGTACCCTATCTTGTGGCCAAACTGGGGGGTTGTCAGTAGTTCCAGACTATTTTCTTCTACCTCTTCAGCATCTCTTTCAGTGATACAAAGTTTAAAAACCAAGTATTATGAGTGCTCACCTGATTTTTGTTCTTATGAAGGAGCTTTTCTTGTGTAGATAGTTGTTAAATTGGTGTCCTTGTGAGAAGGATGATTGGTGAACACTTCTATTCTGCCATCTTGCTCTGCCTCCTATCTCAGATAATTTGTATTTTATTTTTGTTGACAATGGAATTAAAGATTCAGGTTAGGGTGTTTTAAGTTATCTTATTGAAAATACTGGGCAAGTCATCTGAGTCATATACAAAGCACACTGAAATTGATAGAAAATGAACCTAGATATTCCAAGATTAAAGGCTTAAATTTAAATATGTGTCCTGATTTTAATAAGTTAAAGTTTGTTTTTTTATTTTGTTGCACACCAATGCCCACTACATATTGCATCTCAATTAAGAGGATGTTCTTGAAGTAGGAAGCATATTTCATTCAGTTATCTGTTCATTATACCTTCATTATTATAAACTTTATAAAGTGGTCAGTAATTCAGACCCTAGTGGAATTTATACAGTTCTACTTATTCTTGCTAAAGTGGCTGTTCTATCTGCCTTGAGTTTATACACATCTTATTCTCACTAAGGCAGTTGTTTTATCTGCCTTAGCCATGACAAACATGAATACATAAGAGAACATAAAAAGCATTAGATGTTCTGTTCTACTCTTCACCTGAAAGCTTAAAAGCATTTTTATAGCAATAAAAATCCTGACTATAAAAGAATTCAGCATTGCTTTGCAATTCTTTTATTAAAAGTAATGCTACCAGCATTTTATTAAATGGTTACATTTCTTATGTACTTAAACTAGCCAGGTAGATTTAATTATTTGATTGTCATCTTAAATGAGCTTTAACATATAAAGTAGAGAAGAGATTTGGAAAGCACCATGGACCCCTTCTTTTCTCCTTCTCTGTCCCATATTTAGTTCATTCCATGTGCCAAACGGATCCCACTACTGCCACCAATACATTTCACCGAAACTATACGTCGTTTTCATATTTTATTTCCACAACCTTGAAAAAGTTGTTTCATATTTGGATATTTTGCACTAATTGTGCCCTAGACCTGAACACTTTGAATGGAGAACTTTATGAGGCCCTCTTTTGTCATCAAGTCTCAAAGTAATTATCATTCATCAGTGAGGGATTTCCCAATCAACTAATCTTCATGAAAGTTGCCCCCCTGAGTCCCTATCATAACACCTCACTTTTATGTTTATAGAAAGAGATATAACCAAAATTATATTGTTCAACTATTTGTAATGAGAGTTTGAAAAGAACTGTAGAACAAGAGCACACCAAGATAGTAAAGAATTTTTATTTAATGAAGCTCATAAAATACTTTATGAACTTCCAGACCTTCCCTTCTGGATAGCACTGCAACTTAGACTGGCCACTTAACATCTGGATAGCACTGCAACTTAGACTGGCCACTTAACATTCCCTTTCATCAAGAATGCATTCTTACTGGATTCAATATTCTTTCTATTCATATCAGACATCAGGCAAACAGAGAGGCTTGGGTGATCTAGTTTGTTTTTAAATGCTCATTCACTATTCTGCATCCTGTCCTGTCAACTTTCAAGATAGAGTCTAAATGCACAAGGAGGTTTACTGTGTCATTGTGGCATTAAAGTATCAGTATCTGGGGGTGAAATAGATAATATTTGTTCCCAGACACACACAGATGTAACTGATCTTTCTGGATGTTTAAAATAGGGTTTGGAAACAACCACCAAAACCTGTGGTTCTTACTATGGTCTTAAATACATCTGTACATTATAGCATCTTCGTCCTGTTGTCAGGCATATTATGGTCTGTTTTCCATCACAATTGTCACATGTCAATGCCAGGTGTGTAAGATTTTCATGTACAGTTGTGTGCTGCACAGCGTATACAAAGGTGGTCCCTTAAGATTATGATACCTTATTTTTACTGTACCTTTTATACATTTATATATGCTTGGATACAAAAATATTTATCATTGTATTAAAATTGCCTATAGTATTCAGTACAACAACATGCTGTACAGCTTTGTGGCCTAACAGCAACAGGCTATACCATCTAGGTTTGTACAAGTACAGTTTATGATGTCCATGCAGTGATGAAATTGCCTAATGACAAATGTTTTTATAATATATCCTTGTCATTAAGAGATGCTGACTTTATCTATTTTCATGGAGAACCAGCTACACTAAATTATATTCATCCATCTGATTTCTTTCAGCTGTCACCTCTTCTGTGCTATATTAAGTGTGGACAGCAACTTGCCTCATGGTTCTTGAGTTTTAGGTCACCACGACTGATGCATTCAGGTTCTCACTTTTCTACACATCTTATTCAGATATAGGACTCAGAGAGTATATAGAAAACAGTTAACAAAGCAAGTCTGAGATAACTATTCTTAGAATTATCTCCTTGCAAGGTGATCCTTTGGCTTCTGAGAACACTTGGAATGTTCCCAGTCAACAGCTGTCTCACTTGTGCTTAGACTATTCATGTAAACAATGTAATTTCTCCTGAATTCTTGTTTTTCTTCTGAGAGTCTGAAACTTTGGTACACATAAGTTAGAAGGTGTCTACATGACGAAGCTCCAATACATATTTTGGAGAGTAATTGGAAAGTAAGTCAGTACTTGGTTTCCCTGGGTAGAAAGATCATACCCATGTTGTTGCATTTGCTGCTTGGAGGTGTATGCTTCATGTAAATCCTCATGAGAGAGAGAGAACACAAGGAAGCCAACATGATCCAGACCCAACCTGTGTCTTTTCCCTTATTATATGGCTATATATTCTTATGTCACTGTAATAAATCTTAGCCATAAGATGACTATAAGCTGAGCCCTGGGCATCCTTCTAGTGAATATCCAAATATGAAGATGATCTGAAGGACCCCCTGCGCCAAGACGAGTTAGGTAAGAAATGACAGTAAGAATAAAACAATGTCTAAGCTCCTTGCTTTCAATTCCAAAATCTTCTGGGGTTTCTAACCTAAGGGATACATTTTTTATATGCCTTTCTTTGGGGAAAAATAATTTTCTTAGAAAAGCACTCAACAATTAGCCAGGAACTTGTGGATCATTTTTGAAGGGCTGTATGCCCATTAAAAGTTATTTGCCTTTTATTCCAGTAGAAAAAAAGTATGTCTGTGAAAGATTCTAGTAAAGGGATCACATGAAAATGTGAGGGAAAAATGCATAGTAAATTGCATAGGTAGGTAGATATTTAGGTTACTGATCTGACACAATAGTTTAGGATGAAAGTGGCCTGAACTAAGATAGTCAGAGTGGAGAAAATATCTAAGAAATGTTTAAGAGGTACAATTTACACGTCTGCACAATGAACACCACCTGTCAGTTGCACATTGAGTAGTCTCTCCTATCACTTTACCTACCTGCCTTATATTAGGTATAATAAAGTTTGTGTGCCTGGAAGAAAAAAGAAAGTTAGACTTACTGTATAGCTTTATATCATAGAATATGACACAAAGCCAATGGTTTGTGTTTTCTTTAGATTTTATCTAGATTCTGCCAGAACCCTGTCCATTTTTATCCTATTACTCTCTTAAGCTTTACTATGTTCCATAAATGCAATTCTGAAGTTCTGAATACTGTTGAGAATAATGAATTGCACAAACGAGGTGGCCTCATTTCTAAGACATGGGGAAAAGAGAATTCTGAAGAGACTTAACTTCTCCAGTCTCTAACGTTCACTTTTCCCTTCCTTTCTTACAATTTCTTCTAGCCATGCACTTTGGTAAATGTTGGTTGTTAAAATAGGTAGGGATGAGGGGAAATATTTGCTGATTATACAGGAGCAGGGACTTGAGTAAGGACATGGATCAAGGATCCCGTTCAATGCTTACCGAATACACATTTTAAGCTTTTATCTTGAACCAGGCCACATGTCAGGTGGTGCAGGATTTTCAAAAGTAAATAAGGTATGAGCCTCACCTTAAATGAGTGTATAGTCTTTTGTGATTAGAGGATGTGAGAAACATGCCCAGGGAAATCATTTGTTTTCTTCTAATCAAATAGATATTAAGGTACCCTCTCCATGGCCTTTCTTAAAATGTATTTTTCAAAACACCCATCTATCCGGTCAGAAGGATGCTCTGACAGAGCTTCTATGGGCATGTATATTTAATAGGAGGCAACAATGTTTTCTGTGAATACATAATGAAAAATAATGAAAAGGGTTGGAGGGGAATAAGGTCCATGTTGTAATGTGGGAAAAAATAAATAGGACTTGAGAGGTGGGGAGCTGGGATTGGAAGAGGACACGAATCTTGTGTTAGAAGAACTTTAGTGCTCTTAGAAAAATTGAAAATTATAAGATGAAATAAAATGAGACATGCAGCTGAGAGAATTGGGAATTTTGAGATTGTGTACTGTTGTAAATGGATCTCGTTTGATGCACTAAAGGGTCATCATAGTAAAAATAGAAAGTCAATATTTATTTTGGAGTTTGGCTATGAAACAGTAAATTCAGTGTCAGGCAAGACCACTGACATAGTTCCAGTGTTGGCATGTAAAAATAGCTTAGAGAGGCCTAATATGTGTGCGTGAACTTGTGTGTACATATACGCTACCTTTGTGTGAAACTGAACTCATGATCTCTGCTGATCTGGAAGAGATGTAGAGGTTTCTCTTCTACCATTTTTGGTAGAAATGATTAGACTCCCAATTTGGCCAAAGACCCAGGAGGCTATAACAAAACTACATATAACAAAACTACATGTAGCCTAGATTGTAAAAAGGTGTGGGGGTGAAATTGAGGTACAAGCTTTCTATTTTTAAAGAAAGTAAAAGTCAGAGACTGTATCTTTATGGCAGTCAGTGAATAAAATGAAGGAAGGTTTGAGAGCTTCCGGAAGAGAGCTTAAGTACTTTAGCCACTTTAAAAATATTACGTAGCTTTGAAGCCCATGCGATGTTAGACAGCAAAAATGTTTAACTCAACATCCTTTTTTTTTTTTTTTTTTTTTTTTTGTGAGATGGAGTCTCGCTCTGTCGCCCAGGCTGGAGTGCAGTGGCGCGATCTCGGCTCACCGCAACCTCCGCCTCCCGGGTTCACGCCATTCTCCTGCCTCAGCCTCCTGAGTAGCTTGGGACTACAGGCGCCCACCACCACGCTCGGCTAATTTTTTGTATTTTTAGTAGAGACGGGGTTTCACCGTGTTAGCCAGGATGGTCTTGATCTCCTGACCTCATGATCCACCCACCTCGGCCTCTCAAAGTTATGGGATTACAGGCGTGAGCCACCGCAACTGGGCTCAACACCCTTTTATGATTGTCTGCAGCAGTCATTCAAATGTAGAAAATGGCAGAAGAGGAAACATTGGTAAGTTACTAAAGGATCAGGTTTAGCCATATCAGTACAAATGAAAACCAAAATTTTTAGAGTATATGATCTAGTAAGACACTCTTGATATAACAAATTGGGGTTTTTGGCTAAAAGAAGTGGCAAAGTCAAATCGGGATTGGTAGTGCATGTGGAAGAAATGGAGACCAAAATATGGGTCAAGAGCAGTTTAAGTAAGGGCAGGAATAGCAGACCTAATGACACTGTTATAGAAAGAACTTCAGAATCATTCTGAACATCTTCAGGTCATAAAGTGAAGTGCATATCAAATTACAGGAGTAGAAGAGCTTAAGAAACTAAGATCATTATGCTTAGAAAATGAATAGTAGGAAAAGCATTGATAAAATATCAAAGTGGAAAGGTTGTTGTAAAGGTTGGTAGGCAATTCTAATACAGAAGTTTTAATCTTTGTTCCTCATAACCCTCACTAACTTCTTGTTCATTTCAGCTCTGATTGGATACGTATTTGTTCCATATCAGAAGGTGAGATCTGCAGGGGCAGAAAATATATTTTATCTTCCTTCATGTCTGACATGTAAATAATACACATTTGTGGGAATGAATAAAATGTTTGGATGGATAAAATAATGAATGGATGAATACATTAGTAAAAGTATATGTCACAGGTATTGATTCTACAGGAAAAATGTTACTAATACTTAGGGAATTACAATGATGTAAAATTGTCATTGGAAAGCCTATTGTATAGTAAAATATTCTTCAAAAAGTTGGAGAAATAAAAGTAATTGTCCATTATTGAGAAGAAATTTTAGGGAAGGAGTGCTGAAGAAAGGTATTTTTAAAGTTGTATAAGATATTTTCTACTCTTCTGATTTTTTTAAATGATAATTTTGTTAATACATAGAATATGTACATTTATTAGGGGTACATGTGATAATTTAATACATTCATATAATTTCTAAAGTTCATATCAGTATAATTGGAATATCCACCACTTTAAAAATGTATCTTTTCTTTATGCTACTATCAGATTATTCTCTTTCGGCCATTTTGAAATATATAATAGATTAGTATGGCTTTAGTTAATAACAATCTATCAAACACTAGTTTTTATTCCCCCCATCAAATTGTATATTTATATACCCATTAATCAACCTCTCTTCATCCCTTCCCTCAGCCCTACCTTTCCTGGTCTCTGATAAGCATTAACCTAATATCTTCTCTATCTCCATGAGATCTATTTTTTCAGTTCTCATGTGTGAGCAAGAATGTGGTATTTTTCTGTGCTTGGCTTATTTCACTTAATGTAATAACCTCCAGATCCAATCATGTTACTGCAATTGACAGAATTTTATTTTTCATGGCTGAATAATATTCCACTGTGTATATACACCACATTTTCTTTATCCATTCATCCATTAATGTGCACTTAGGTTGAGTACATATTTTGGCTGTGAATAATGCTGTAATAAACATAGGAGTGCAAATACCTGTTTGCTATATCAATTTATTTTCTTTTGTATGTATACCCAATTGTGGAATTGCTGGTTGATCTACTTTTAGTTTTTTGAGAAGCCTCCAAACTTTTCTCCATGGTTTTTGTACTAATTTATATTCCCACCAACAGTATATGAGTATTCCCTTTACTCCACATCCTCGCCAGCATCTGTTATTGCCTATCTTTTTGATAAAAGCGATTTTAACTGGGGTGATCTTTTGTCATGATTTTGATTTGTATTTCTCTGTAACCACTAATGTGATGTTGAAATTTTTTTTCATATGCCTGTTAGCCATTTGTATGTCTTTCAGAAATGTCTATTCAGATGTTTTTGTCCCTTTTTAAATCAAATTATTGTGTTTTGCTATTCAGTTGTCTGAATGTCTTATATATTCTAGTTATTAAGCCCTCATCAGGTGGACAGATTGCATATATTTTCTCCCATTTGTGGGCTGTGTCTTCATTTTGTTGACTATTTCCTTTGCTATGAGGGAAGGTAAAAGTTGAGAACAGTATTTACATAAAAGATAGGAGTAATCACCATATTGAGAAGACTACTGAAAGAAAGTGAATGGGATAAGGAGTGTAGTCGAACTGGAATTAAAATAGCTTGAGAGGAGATAGAGAGGTGTAACTCATGCACAAGAAAGTGGGTGTGGGTTAGTGGGATGAAAGAGGCAGAAACCTAAACAGTGGGCAATGGGGAACAGAAGAACAGCCAAGCAAGCAATGAATAGCTACAATTAGCATTTGTTTTTAATATCAGATATTGGCAAAACTTCTTATAAAGGTTCAGATGAGCATATTAGATGAGACGTGAGACTTTGTCATAACAAAAGCGGTAATAAACAATTGATAAATAAAAGCATGGCAATGTTCTAATAAAATTTAATTTTATGGATAGTAACATTTGAATTCTATATAATTTTAATGTGTAAGGCACTATTATTTTGATGTTTTTAGCAACTTAGAAATGTAAAAATCTTAACTTGTATGGAATAAAATAAGAATGGATATATCAAATTTGATTCATGTTCCATAGTAGGTATATGCATATGTATGTTTCTCTATAATTTATCTAGTATATATGGATATCACTATTATATCTAATATATATGTAGTATATTATTACATACATACATACCTTCTTTTTAAAGGTTTTATTCCATAAGTATAATGAAATTTAAACTCTTAAGATTAATGAGGTTGATTAAAAAGGAGAAATTCTGCTCTAATAGTTACGACACGTACCCAAGGTTTTCTTCTTAAGTGGCTGAATGGAATATGATCTTTCAGAGATGCCAGTGCCCTTTCAGCTGACCAATCATAACAAGGAGAAATAAAATGCTCAAACTTAAGTATACTAAAGAACTAATTAAATAATTTCAATCTCAGCCTCAGGTTTTTTTTTTGTTGTTTTATTTTAAGATGGAGTCTCACTGTTGCCCAGGCTGGAGTGCAGTGGTGATCTTGGATCACTGCAACCTCCACCTCCCAGGTTCAAGCGATTCTCCTGCCTTAGCATCCTGAGTAACTGGGATTACAGGTATGTGCCAACACACCCGGCTAATTTTTGTATTTTAGTAGAGACAGGGTTTCACCATGTTGGCCAGGCTGGTCTTGAATTCCTGACCTCAAGTGATCTGCCTGCCTCAGCCTCCCCAAGTGTTGGGAATACAGGTGTGAGCCACTGCACCTGACTCAAGGTATTTTTCTTAATCCTCAAAGAAGTAATATCAATACTTAACAAGTATAACTTTTTCTTTTTTTGCAGTGGACTGGAATAAAATGCTTCTATTAACTCTATTAACAAATACAACTTCTATAAATAGTGCTTATAAATATCTATATAAGTTTAAATGTTGAAATTGACCTATCCCTAACATCCTCCCACCCAAGCAGCGGCGTAGCTAATAATTTGATGATTTGTACATTCTAAGTGTCTGGCTCCTAGCTTATGAACTTCTTACCCACAAAAGGTCCTTGGGAGACACTTTTCAACACACCATGGGTAAAAAACAAAACAACAACCAGAACAACAACAACAACAAAAAAACCACATACTCAACTCTAGAGCCTAGAAGAGCTGCCCAAACTATTCCTGGTGAGACAGTAGGGTGACGTCAGATAAATTTAGGGAATACCCCAGGAAAAGGTTGTGATGCCAAGTTACTTAATATCAAACAAAAATCACCACCGCCACCATTAATTGAATAGCTACAATATGCTAGACACTGAGGAAGAGTCATACATATATTTCTTTTCATTTGCAATGATTCTGAAGATGAATATTATCATTCCCTATGAGTAGTGAGTAGTAGAGCTGGGATTTAAACCCAAGTTTGAATCTACATAATGTGCATCCAAAGCTCCCAAATGTCAGAAAATCAGGAGTGCTAATTACTGAAGGAGAGAAATCCAGGTGGTTTAAGAGACAGTGCTAGATGGAGTTCAGATTATGGATTTAGATTTTAAAGTCAGCCAAACTAAACTCCAAACAGTGGTTAAATACCTTGTGGGAAGTTGTTTAACTTAGTTGTTTCCTAGATGAAGATAAATGTACCTGAAATGAAGAGTGGTTATGAGCATTTGTTTTAAATCTTAATATAAATTACATAAAATATGTCCTAATGATTTACAGGTTCTCAGTATGTGGAAGCTATCACACAGCTCCAGGTTGAAAGAAAGTAGAGCCACGGGCTGAACCTTTGGGGCCAGGAGTAGAGAGCTTTGCAAAATTCTACTCTGGTTACACAAGAAGAGTTTGCCTTTACCTACTATGGTTTATTCTAGGTACTTCCCTTTGAAATCCAACTACTAGCCTACCTCATTTTATTATGATTTGCTGTATTGTATTTCATAGACAGCGGGTTTTTCAGAAATTGAAGGTTTGTTGCAACCATGTGTTAAGTCTATTGGTGCCATTTTTCCAACAAAATGTGCTCACTTTGTATCTGTTTCATACTTCAGTAATTCTTGCAATATTTGAAATTATCATCAATTGTTACGGTGATCTGTAATCTTACTATTATAATTGTTTGGGAGTGCAATAAACCACACACATATAAGATGGAAAAATTAATCTATAAACACTGTATGTTCTGACTGCTCCATTAACTCGCTGTTCCCTGATTCACTCTTCCTAGGGTCTCTCCTGCCTGAGACAAAACCATATTAAAATCAGGCCATTTAATAACCCTACGATGGCTTCTGAATGTTCAGCTGAAGAATCCTATGTTTCTCCCTTAACATCAAAAGCTAAAAACAATTAAGCTTAGTGAGGAAGGCATTTCAAATGCTGAGACAGTCTGAAAGCTTAGACTCTTGTACCAATTAGACAAGTTGTGAATACAAAGGAAAAGTCTTTGAAGCAAATTAAAAGTGCTACTCCAGGTAACACAAGAATCATAAGAAAATGTAAGGGTCTTATATTTGATGGAAAAAGTTTGAGTGGTTTAGATTGAAAAATATTAAGAAAAAAACCCAAACAAACACAAAAAACACCAACTACAACATTCCCTTAAGACAAAGCCTAATCCAGAGCAAGAACTAGCTCTCTTCAATGCCATGAGGGCTGAGAGAGGTGAAGGAAGCTGCAGAAGAAGAGTTTGAAGCTAGAAGAGGTTGGTTCATGAGGTCTGAGAAAAGAAGCCATTTCTATAACATAGAAGGGCAAGGCAAAGAAGCAAGGGCTGATGCAGAAGCTGTAGCAAGTCATCCAGAAGATTTAGCTAAGATAATTGATGAAGGTGGCTGCATGAAACAGATTCATTATAGACAGAACAGGCTTTTATTGGAAAAAGATGTCATCTGGGACTTTTATACCTAAACAGAAGTTAATGCCTAGCTTCAAAGAACAGGCCGACTCTTGGTAGGGGCTAATGTAGCTGGTGACTAAATCGAAGCTAGTGCTAAGTTACCATTCTGAAAATCCTAGGGCCCTTGAGAATTATGCTAGATCTACTCTCCCTGTGCTCTATAAACGGAACAAAGCCTAAATGACAGCACATCAGTTTACTGTATGGTTTACTAATCACCACCGTGATCAGTCAAGCAGTGATCAACATCAAAAGATCCTCCACACACACACACACACACACACACAAAATTACTTGAAGGCTTTGATGATCATTAACATTTTTCAGTAATAAATTTTCAAATAAGGTATGTACATTTAGACATAATGCTATTTTATACAGTAGAATACAGTATAATTTAAACATAACTTTTTTTTTTTTTTTTTTTGAGCCGGAGCCTCTGTGCCCAGGCTGGAGTGCAGTGGCGCGATCCCCACTTAATGCAACCTCTGCCTCCCGGGTTCAAGCGATTTTCCTGACTCAGCCTCTCGAGTCCCGAGTTGGGAATACAGGCGCTCGCCGCCATGCCAGGCTAATTTTTTGTATTTTTAGTAGAGACGGGGTTTGTGTTGCCCAGGCTGGTTGTTGAACTCCTGAGCTCAGGCTGTCTGCCCTTCTCGGTCTCCCAAAGTGCTGGGATTACATGAGTGAGCCACCGCGCCCGGCCCCAAGCATAACTTTTATGTGTGCTGGAAAAACCAAAAGATTTGTGTAACCTACTTTATTGAGGTGGTCTGAAACCAAACCTGCAATATCTTCAAGGAATGTCTGTATAGCCTTTTGTATTCTTCTGTGTTCTTAGGATATGCATATATTTGTTCACGTAACTGACCATTTTACTGTTAATAATCATGGATTATTTTGCAGCCAATTTAAATCAAGTTAAAAGATGGCAAAACCCACAGGATGTACCTTTTTCAGGTTTTTAAAAATTGCATCATATTGCCTTGAAAAAAATATGTAGGGATTTATGTAATATATCCATTTCACTTTTATTTCCTGAATCAACACCTTACCAAATTTCATTTAGCCACATCCAGATGGTCCTCCTGAAAGATGCTATTACTCCACAATCTTTGCAAAGCCCTGGTAGGCCACAGCCAGAAAATAAAAAGTATTTAGCATTAAAATAAAGTTATTTCATTGTGTGGTTACATTATAGATTGATACACCCAGGGCAGAGATTCCAGCCAGCTAGGGTTTAGGAAGCAGGTGGCACAGGATGGAACGGAAGTTATCACTTAGAGTGGCCAACAACACATGAGGGTACCAAGAAAGGTAAATGTCGTTCAGGAGGATGCTGGGGAAAGAACACAGGAATAATAGAAAAATAGAGTTTCTAAACATGGTAGATATTTGCGTAGCATAATTTTAGTGGTAAAGGAATGACAAAGTTAAATAATCTGGGTTTTGTGACTTGGTAGTGTCTGGAAAGATAATTATGCAGTCATGTCATGTGTTTATTTTATCCTTGGCTCTTTTTCAGATGATTCTCTCTATTGTGTTTAACCTTATTTCCCATATCACCTTTGATTCATTTATTCTTCTCTTCTTATAAAATTTATCTTTTCTCTAGGTCATCTGATTATAGCTAAAGATATATCCCAGGGGCTTTATTTCCAATTCCATTGCTAGCTTATCTTATAACCTAGAACAAACTTCAGCACTTCATGCAAGTGCTTGAGTATCAGAGTTGAAACTTTAAGATCATTTACTCTAATGCTCTCTCATTTTACTGAATGAGAAAAGATAAACTTAAAACTTAGAGGTGACAAAAATGGCCTGATGTCAAGCAGTTTGTCAGTAGCAAAATCAAACTGAAGCCAGGTACCCCAATGACTGTTTTAGAACTCATAGTAGTAAACCATTTAGTTTTAAGTGACACTAAAAGAAGGAAAAATAGACAAATACTGTAGTTTCTCTTTAAAGTGGGATGTTTTAAAGACCAACAGCAGTATAGGCACACCTATGTGGGACACCAAGTTATAACCAAATATTTGTGTCGTGACAATATTAGATGAAAGGTTCAATAAATTCAATTGCTAAATGTATTCAGGTTCATATACCCTCATCAATACATTAATAAAACCATCTTGTATTTTAAGAATGTTATATTTGTATGCCGCCTTACTGTGAAATAAGACAAACATTAAATAAGACATGTTATATATTATCAAAATGGATGAGAAAATTTTCTAGCGTGAGTAGAAAGATGTGTGATCTACCTTCCTCATCAGTATTAATAAAAGAAAAATGATGAATTTGTCAATGGAAGTGGAAACTAAGGATAGTGTTGAATGATCTCTTGGGCACCAGAGAAATTTTGACTAATCAAAGTTGGAATAAAACCCTGACGCAATCTGTGAGGTATGTTCTATCAAAATAACCCCTCTGTGTGTCTCCAACTATTTAGTTCCAGCTCTGTGTGAAGTTAGCTCACCTATCCTCACTAAAATTAGGTAAAGTGGGAAAAAGTCCAGTACTTCTCCTTTCTATCCCCACATAGCTGAGATGAGGATCAAATATGATAATGGGTATAAAACAGCAATAAATTCACGAATTACTCCTCCCATATATATCAATGCTTTTACTATAATTTCTTACTTTTCCAACTATTTATTTCCAAGGGGCAAGATTCAGAAGGAAGAAATGAAATAGAGACTTGTTATTACATTTCAATATTCATTGCTTCTTCGTCTCAGTGTCTTGTTCAACTGGTCCTAGAATTTATTTGAAGCCAAGATAGGAACATCCTGTATATCAAGAATAAACTACTTAACAACACTAAAGAAAAGATGTGTTAGATATCCCTGGGTCAGATGAGCAGGTATCTATCTGGCTTTGTGTGAGTGGGCTCAAAAGCAGGGATCTAATTCAAGTGCCAGAAAGGCCAGGAAAGACTTTAGAGGGAATAAGTAGGCTTGGAAAGTCTATTTTCATTTTCATATATTGATTTCTAACATGGTGCAAACCATAGGTCATAATTTATCTTAATACTTTTAGGAATAGTGCTTTTAGGACAGATATTGGAAAGTGTTTGTTAGCAGGTTTCTAATCAATATTGTTTTATGTATTCTCTTGGAACATCATTTGGTAAGAGCAAAATCCATCCCTGCCTATGTTGTTATTTTTTTCTACAAGCTCTGCCTGTAAATATTCAATGGGAAAGCATTCTGTAAACCAAAGCACCGGATAGAAAGTTTGAAAACTGGAATGGAGAAATCTTTCTAGTAATCTGGTGATAAGTCATGCATCTGAAATGCTTTATGATCTTGTTATGGAAATGATGAGCTTCTAAATGGATTACAATGTGCCCTACATTGTTCTGTTTCTATTTCCTTACTTTGCACATGCATAAATGTCCCATTACAATTGATGGGAACTTACTTAATGTTGACATAAATGTGTTTTTAATGAAAACTGTTGATATATTTGTGTCAGTTTTTGAGGTGATTTTTTCCCCCATAGTCAGAGGGAGGGAAAATAAAAAACCATTATGTTAGGCAGAAATCCTAGGGTCCTTTCTCCTACTAGATATTTTTGCCAGTGGGTACTTTTCCCTGTCACTTTAGACATTCTAACAACCTAGCGACTGCTCTAATGCTGAGAGAAGTGATTGTACTAAAAGTCATAGAAACAAATTCCTGTTAGTCACCTTAATACTGCTTTCAGAAAAAAAAAATGGTGATTTTGTTTTAAAAAATTGAAAAAGCCATTTAAATCACTACTTAGTTCAATGATACTTTAATCCTTTTTTTTTTTTTTTTTTTTTTTTTTGAGAGACAGAGTCTCGCTCTGTCACCCAAGCTGGACTGCAGTGGCACCATCTTGGATCATGGCAACCTCAGCCTTTCTGGTTCAAGCAATTCTTATGCCTCAGCCTTCCGAGTAGCTGGGACTACAGGCATGCACCACCACACCCACTACTCTTTTGTACTTTTATTTATTTTTTTAATTATTATTAAAGTTCTAGGGTACATGTGCACAACTTGCAGGTTTGTTACATATGTATACATGTGCCATGTTGGTGTGCTGCACCCATTAACTCGTCATTTACATTAGGTGTATCTCCTAATGCTATCCCTCCCCCCTCCCCCTACTCCACGACAGGCCCCAATGTGTGATGTTCCCCTTCCTGTGTCCAAGTGTTCTCATTGTTCAATTCCCACCTATGAGTGAGAACATATGGTGACTGGTTTTTTGTCCTTGGGATAGTGTGCTGAGAATGATGGTTTCCAGCTTCATCCATGTCCCTACAAAGGACATGAACTCATCCTTTTTTATGGCTGCATAGTATTCCATGGTGTATATGTGCCACATTTTCTTTATCCAGTCTATCATTGATGGACATTTGGGTTGGTTCCAAGTGTTTGCTATTGCAAATAGTGCCGCAGTAAACATATGAAACATATGAGTGCATGTGTCTCTATAGCAGCATGATTTATAATCCTTTGGGTTTATACCCAGTAATGGGATGGCTGGGTCAAATGGTATTTCTAGTTCTAGATCCTTGACGAATTGCCACACTGTCTTCCACAATGGTTGAACTAGTTTACAGTCCCACCAACAGTGTAAAAGTGTTCCTATTTCTCCACATCCTCTCCAGCACCTGTTGTTTCCTGACTTTTTAATGATCGCCATTCCAACGGGTGTGAGATGTTATCTCATTGTGGTTTTGATTTGCATTTCTCTGATGGCCAGTGACGATGACCATTTTTTCATGTGTCTGTTGGCTGTATAAATATCTTCTTTTGAGAAGTGTCTGTTCATATCCTTTGCCCACTTTTTGATGGGGTTGTTTGATTTTTTTCTTGTAAATTTGTTTGAGTTCATTGCAGATTCTGGATATTAGCCCTTTGTCAGATGAGTAGATTGCAAAAATTTTCTCCCATTCTGTAGGTTGCCTGTTCACTCTGTTGGTAGTTTCTTTTGCTGTGCAGTAGCTCTTCAGTTTAATTAGATCCCATTTGTCAATTTTGGCTTTTGTTGCCATTGCTTTTGGTGTTTTAGTCATGAAGTCCTTGCCCATGCCTATGTCCTGAATGGTAATGCCTAGGTTTTCTTCCAGGGTTTTTATGGTTTTAGGTCTAACATGTAAGTCTTTAATCCATCTTGAATTGATTTTTATATAAGGCGTAAGGAAGGGATCCAGTTTCAGCTTTCTACATAGGGCTAGCCAGTTTTCCCAGTACCATTTATTAAATAGGGAGTCCTTTCTCCATTTGTTTTTGTCAGGTTTGTTGAAGATCAGATGGTTGTAGATGTGTGGTATTATTTCTGAGGGCTCTTTTCTGTTGCATTGGTCTGTATCTCTGTTAGTAGAGACAGGGTTTCACCATGTTGGCCAAACTGGTCTCGAACTCCTGACCTCAGGTGATCCACCTACCTTGGCCTCCCGAAGTGCTGGGAGGTACAGGTGTGAGCCACCATGCCTGGCCACTTTAATTCTTCTTAAAAATGCAGAGAAAAATCCTGAATCTCAACTGAGTGAAACCTAAGGAATTGAAAGCAGAAATGTATTTCTCTGAAGATTTTATAATGGTAACAGCAAAGAGAAGGTAGAAACCAATAAGAATTGAGAAAAATGAGATACTAGCCAGCATTTGGCTAATAGCCCAATAGAGTCCTAGAAGATAAACCTGAACAGTAGAGGATTATTGACTGACTTAGAAGGTCAAACGAGCTGGATAAAATTTAAGAGATTACAGTGAGTAAACCTGGAATTTGATGGCACGGGGTACCGGAGAAGATGTGGTAAGGCATCAAGCTACAATCAGAGAGGTTAGTTAAAACCTGTCAGGAGTAACATCTATTGGTATCCTCACATATTCATTTACTTCTTCCCAGTCTATAGCTGTAAAACTAACTCCACCCTGCTTGTTGGTAAATGTTGTTCTTTGAAAATAAGTTCAGAGCTTCTGGGTTTCTGGCTACATTGGCAGGAGATGGGGACATGGACACCTAAAAAATGACAAAGGAAACTCAGGAATAAATTGGAAGCTGAAAACTGAATGATGAGATATTTTCAGGTACCTTCCATTGCTATGACGTTGTTCTATATCCTCCCCAAATTGGAGCCTGAAAGACAGGTTCTAGAGAAACTCAATGTCAGGGTTAAAATACCTTTAAAAAGTCTGAGATGCTGATATGTGGGGTTTTGTTCAAAAAAAGACAAAACAAAACAAACAAACACACAAACAAAAAAACAGCACTCCACCCAGTCACCTTATATTCAAGACCTCCAGTCAGCATGCCCCATCTGTTAACTTGTGCTCACAGCCAGCCTCCCAGTGTCTTATTCTTAATTATAATAAAGAGTCAATGATCACCAGATGTTTGAGAGTGTTTACAGGATAAGGAGGACGTTAAAAAATTGACACAATGCAAACAGTATAGGAAGCAAATAAAAACACAATTAATAGTTTCAGATATATAAAGTAAGCTCTAACATTTAGGCAAAAGAATACTGCTACTAAGATATGTAGGATAAAAATATCATTTGAAATAAATGAAACTAAAGTAAAATAGGTAAAGAGTTTTGAATATAAAGTCAAGGAGATATCCTAGAAATTAGAACAGAAAGAACGAATGAATAAAAAGATCATTAAAGGAGGCCCAACTACCAGAAACAATATAAATTTTAGAGAAGGAAAAATAAAGGTAGAGAAACTTCAATACAATAGAAATAAACATGCAAGAACTGAATTATGTGTATTTTCTGACCAAGGTATTAATAAGTAGACAGTATGTTGAGTGATTGATAAAAAGCTCACTGCAAGTCAAATCCTTATGAAATTGAAGATTATCAATAAGTTAAAAGATCCCAAAAGCATCCAGAGGAACAAAAGTAACAGATCACATCCAAAAGAAAGGAGAATATAAAGAGCTTTGTTTCTTACCAACAGCACATTATTTTGAAAAAAAGTAAGATAATAACTTGAAAATCTGAGAAAAGTTTATTCTAACCAAGAATTCAATATTCTGACAACAATGAATCACTAAGAGTATATATAATATAATATATAACATAATATATCTTATATATTATATAAGATATAATATTATATATATTAGTCCTTTAGAGAATAAATGTTTGCTTACAATATAATATCATGACATAAGTTTCTCAGAGCTAAACACTGAAAAGACAAACGGACTGAGGGGAAAGTTCCAAGAACATAATGGAAATGATACATTTGGTACTATTTTTGACCTTGGGAATAACTATGAATGAATCCATGGTAGATTTGTTTGTAAAAATTCTATAAAAGAAAGTCTTATGTGAAAATACTACTAGGCTCACCAGCAAGGAATATTTATGAAATTATAGTCATGTCAATAAAGAACTGAAATAAAAATTAGGATATAATTAGCTTAAGGATGGAGGATTGAAAGTTGTATGAAATTGTAAGTTTTAAACAATCATAAAAGTCAGTAAATATAATCTAGGTGTATCAATAAAGAATATCAATTGTAAGCAAATTATTTGCAAATATGAAGACAAAGCTTTGGAGGTTAAACTGAATATGGTGGCCTCCAGAAGATCAGGACAGGTGTCGCAAAGAAATCAAAGCAGAGACTGTTGTACTTTGTAATATACATCTTAGTAATAATTGTTTCAAAATGTGTACATATATAATTTGATTAAATTTAAAAAATAAAATAAAAAGTTCTCATTAATATTGAAGTGACACTTGGGCCTGAAACCAGCAAATACATCGATAAACCTCTGGCAAATACAACATTCTCTACTATGAATTGTGCTCTAGCTTTGTTTAAAGTGAGAATAAATGACTTATATTGTTACATATGCATATAGAACACTTCGTGGGAATCAGAGCTGCAGTATACACTATTTCTACAGACCTGCCTTGATCTGAGAATATTAAGCGCACCCATTTGATTTATTCAGATGTGAGACTTGACTATTGTTTCTAGAACTCTGATTACTCGCACCCTTTACTTCTTTGGATAGTGCATAATGTCAAACTTGATGATTAGCGTGGGTTAATGGTGCTTTCTTTGTCTGGAGAACTGAAATAGGCTAATTAGTCACAAACCTCAATCTATGCACACATAGCTACATTATTATTAAAACTAAAAGACTATTCAAAATTGTTCTGGGACAATAGTTTACCAGGATGGATCATTGAGAGAAAGCTTACATACATTTCAATTTACCCTTTATCTCAAATACCAAAATGTGGTTTTATTCCCACCCTTCCTCTCAGTTTTTCTTCCAGAAATTATAAAGATATAGCTACATGTTTCAATAATTGAATTCTACTTAATTATATAGCATACTACAGCAGAAAGCAATAGAAAAAAAGATCACTCAAGTTGTCAGTCACCTTTTAAAAAGGTTGAATAGAATTTTAAGTGTCAACAAGATTGATTTTTCTTGTACCTCTGCTGTATGAAAACAAGAAACTCACTTTTCCTATGTTCCACCACATCTACTCACCACAACTAAATCAGCCAAATTATGTTTCCTTTATGTATATTTATTTTGAAAATCATAGTGTTCAAATGTGACACTTTCAGGCTGCTGAACACATGTGAAGGTTATATTTCTAAGACTGAGAGTAGCTGTAATTCAGATCAGAAACTGGTCATCTTCTGGGTAAAGCCAGTTCAAAGATGTGGCTTATTTGGCCAATACAGTCTCCCTTCCTTTCTCCAAATTTAAATGACATGATCATAAGAAAATAAGATTTTATATTAAAAACAGGACTTATGGCTTATTTTAGAAAAGGCCTGTCTTCATAGCAGTGTCTGTGAGGGATAGTGGGCTCCTATATTAGGGTGGCTTGAGCCAATTCATTTGGCAACAATTTGATCACTTATGTTACCCATCTGGCCCCAAAAATTATTTAACATTTTACTGCTATAATGAAATACAAAAGCAAACGATCAAAAATAATCTCTAGGAGTGAGAAACTTAACCAGATGAAGGGTTTAGGGCATGGTCCTATACCATACATATTCTATCATTTGGTCTGTTTTCTAGTTGATCAGGAAAAAGGGGATACATTGCCTTTGGTACTTAGTAGCACAAAGGAAAACATAAAAACAAAAATTGTTGATGGAATTGCATGTGTTTGTTTGCTTTCACGAGCTAAAACCCTTGGTGGTTTCCGTTTGCAGTTCACTTTTCCTCACTGATATGGTTTGGCTCTGTGTCCCCACCCAAATCTCATGTCTAATTGTAATCCCTATGTGTCAAGGGATGAGCTTGGTAGGAAGTGATTGGATCATTGGGGTGGATTTCCCCTTCCCTGTTCTTGTGATAGTAAGTTCTCATGAGATCTGATGGTTTTAAAGTGTGTGACTTTTCTTCATTCTCTCTCTCCTGCCACCATGTGAATAAGGTCTTTGCTTCTCCTTTAACTTCTGCCATGACTGTAAGTTTCCTGAGGCCTCCGAGTCATGCTTCCTATTAAATCTGTGGAACTGTGAGTCAATTAAACCTTTTTTCTTCATAAATTACCCAGTCTCAGGAAGTTCTTTATAGCAGTGTGAAAACGAACTAATATGCTCACTTATCTCTTAGGCCATTCATTTGGCCCTTCAATTCACATATTATTTCTCAAAACACTCTTTCTATTCCCCCCATACTTTGCACAAATCTTTGTTCTCCCTGGAATGTTGCTCTCTTTCTCTTTTTCCATCAACCACATTCACCCAGATAACTACTTCTTGATCCTTAAGACAAACTCATGTCTCCATTGTATTAAAAAAATATATTTCAGCCCTGCACATGGGACAAACACTTTTCATGCCAAGGTAAATGTGCCTTCTCTCTGCTCCCAGATCAACTATATTATGTGCAATTTGTAATTGTTTACTTTTCTGTCTACCATACATGACGGTGGATAACTTAATGACAGGCACCCTGAGCATTATTATTCATTTTCATAGTCGGAAGTTCTAGACCGTGTCCTGGCACATAAGACATCAGGAAATGACTGGTAAATTAATGAAGAGCAAGAGGCCTAAAATTCCATAGTTAAAATGTAATCCACTTAAGGAAACTCAATTCCTGTGAAAACGCAGACAGTCAAATGAAAAGTATACTAATTTTGCTTTTTTCAATCAATTAGACTTGAGTGAGAATGATGCCTACAGTTATAGGTGCTCATAAAAAGCAGTTGGTAGGAGGGGAGAATGGAACAAGAAAAAGGATAGTATACGGAATGAGGACACAGTGAAAGGAAGGTGCAAAAACTTTTCATAGTTTTTTTAAAGATTTATCTTGTTCAGAGCTCTATATGGAGAAATAGAAGAAAAAGTATATTTGACCTAGATATTGACAGTACTTGTCTTTTTATCATCATCATCACTGTCCCTTTCAAACCTGGTTTGAAATTTGCCCATATTTGTTTGGCACAGAAATCTTATTTGAATTTTATGCTACATGAATTCAACTAAAGTTTATCTGGTACTCTCCCCACTAGGGGAAAAAAGTTCTAGGGTAATTTTTAAACTGCAGATCTACAAATGATCAAATTCCAATTGAACATGAAACTTCTCATATTTATGATTTTCTCTTCCCTTTCAAAACAGCCAACTGAATATTATTTGAGTCCAATAAATTGAATGTCAGTGTGTTACAATGTTTTCCCCTAGATTAATTCCTTAATTTCACTTGACTAAAAAAGGATACATAAAACCATCTAAGACAACGCTCAGCAACTCTTCTGTATTCCATGTACCCTAGATACACATTCATACATATGAATAAAGACAGCTTTTCAAATGCTATAGTTTTACTGTTTTGTTGAAATTAAACGTGATAATTTTGGATATTGTTTTTCTATGGCCTCAGTTTATTTGTGGAATAAAGAAGGTGTTAATGACATCCTTCTCAATCTAAATATCTGGATTCTCTATCCCATGCAGATAAAAAAAACATTATTTAATTTTCATAGAAAAAGATATATGCTTTGCTGAATCACCGTAGTTTGTATGACATGGTGCTAGGTATAGGCAAAAGCTTGGCTATATCCTGACACTTGGGTAGACTAAGACAGCTTCTTTGGCAAATAGCCATATGTCTTTTTCTGTAAACAATAAGTTGGAAATGGTATAAATGAGAATAAATGCAAAGAGGGCTTGATTGGATTTGTGTGTTTGTATACCTGAATTAAGTGACAGGTACACACAAATTGTATTAGGAAAATAATGTATAAATTGATTTAGAGGTCAGAACAAAGGTAGATTTCTTATTGTGGAGCAAACTAGTGTCTCAATGTAGAGATTTTGTCTGTAAAGTGTGACTTATGTGTTAATTCCTTTTCATGAGAAGTTTTCAAAAAAATGTGAAAAAGCTTTTCTTAAACATACTGTAAATTCTCCATGTTATCCTAACTTGCCGTATATCTGAATCACCTGAAGAGATTCAGATTTCTAGACCAGTCTCAATCCCACTGAATCAATAATTCTATTAATGGGTCCCAGGTTTCTGTTGTTCTCAATTCCCTAGCTGAATCTGAAGCTTCCCAGTCAGTCCTGCTCCATATTACAGCACTTGGGAACCAAGTCTTTAGATGACTCAGGTCTCTTTCAAGTCTAATGTTCTATAATTAGAAATCCTGAGCCTAGGGGAAGAAGGCTAGATAACTTGCACAAAGGGTATAATCTATATTTCATTGCTGCCCTATAAGTCAAAGGTAATTTAGAAAGACAAAAAAAAAATGCTGTGCCATCTTTAAAAAAAAAATTAGACCCTGGGAATATCCAAAGGATAACAACAATAACCTGATTTGTTAATTGAATAGACACAATATTCCTTTGGTCATTATTAATATATTCTTGGCTGTAACACTTAACTTGATATCTTATTGTTCATCTGCACATTTTTCTCCTTCCTATCTTACTCTCTCCATTGATATCAGGAGGTCTTCATAATCAGAAAATATGTGCACCTTTAGCTAAATCATCTTGTTGGATCAAGCAGCTCTAGAAAATCCCTTCTTAGCTGATAAAGTTATTGCCATTCATAGACATTATCATCCCTGCCTTGGCTTGTGCTTCATTATTCTGCAATTACAGGGTTAGCCTTTACATTCAGTCAGAGCAAAGTACCAGCAAATGCTTCTATAAAACCTATTAACTCCACTAATTCCTTGTACCTTTTGAATGCAAGAGGATTTGGTTCCTAATTTTATCTTCAAGGTGCTCAATGTGCCAGTCCATTAGCAAATTATACCTGATGTGTGGCTTTGGTGTCAGTTAAATTTTATTGGCTCTGTTGGTCCTTCCAGATTGTGACACTATTTCCTTCTTCCTGCTGCTTTTTGAGTATTTGTGCAAAGATGAGATGCTACACATCCTGGCTTATCTCCTAATTAAGCTGATTATAACACCACGTATATGAGGCTAATTCTTCTGGCTTTATTTTAAATTGATCATTCTGTTCCCTCTACAGAAACTACATTTTTATCATGCTAATGGTCTGCCCAGGAAAATGCAAACACAGGTGGTTCCTGTGAAATATTTGAATCTCAGGACCCATGGCTTTTGCCAAGGTGAGGTTCAATAAGTTTGCCTCTTTATTAGTCAGGTTAATAAAATAAGGCATCTATTTATTAGAAGAGGCAATGTTAACCAGCAGACACTCAGACCAGCAATCAGGAGAGCTGAGTTCAAATGCAGCTATTAATACTGGTTGACTGACTCAGTGGTCTCCTCATCTGAAAGGTAAGGAACTTAACTACGTCAAAGGTTCTCAAATGCCAAGAGAATGTAGCAGATCAAGGACAGGTGTTAAGTTGTAGAATCATAAGGTACTATTAAACAATATGTAGGTAAAAAACTATGTTCATATTGAGCTTATTGACTTCTCAAAACATTATAATGCATCCAGTTCTGAAAATTAGTGAAATTTAGAAAATATCTACAACCCCATAAAATTATGTAATCTAAGAACTTGACTGGGGAAGAAGGAAAAATTACCTGAATAAGGCTTCCCCATTCAGTTTTATTCTCAGCTTTACTGATCATCCCCTACCAAAAACAGAAAAAGAATGTATGATGTAGAAAATATAAAGAGGTGAATGGTCACAAAAGGAGGCAGTGAAATCTTTGTACCATGTTATAAGGAAATCTGACCAACAAATGGAGAATATTGTTTCCTCTTAAGCATGA
Organism: Homo sapiens; assembly: GCF_000001405.40. Classification (NCBI taxonomy): domain Eukaryota; kingdom Metazoa; phylum Chordata; class Mammalia; order Primates; family Hominidae; genus Homo; species Homo sapiens. The sequence continues at coordinate 81,610,136 of NC_000002.12, read as the reverse complement.
CCCTCAGGGAAAAAAAAAAAAATCCTCTTTGAAAAACAAATGGCATCTAATCTTCCCTGTGTTGAGGTGGCTGGAGCTGCAATTTAAGGGTCATAGACTTAATGAAACGAAATTGTGCAAACAACATAATATCACTCCTCTGTTCTAGTGCATGAACTATTTGTTCCTCATGGGTGCAAAAGCCCTGAATTTATAGATTTTCTTAATAAGGCAGAAGCAGGCCGGGCGCGGTGGCTCACGCCTGTAATCCCAGCACTTTGGGAGGCCGAGGCGGGCGGATCACGAGGTCAGGAGATCGAGACCATCCCGGCTAAAACGGTGAAACCCCGTCTCTACTAAAAATACAAAAAATTAGCCGGGCGTAGTGGCGGGCGCCTGTAGTCCCAGCTACTTGGGAGGCTGAGGCAGGAGAACGGCATGAACCCGGGAGGCGGAGCTTGCAGTGAGCCGAGATCCCGCCACTGCACTCCAGCCTGGGCGACAGAGCGAGACTCTGTCTCAAAAAAAAAAAAAAAAAAAAAAAATTCTGTGAAGAAAGTCATTGGTAGCTTGATGGGGATGGCATTGAATCTGTAAATTACCTTGGGCAGTATGGCCATTTTCACGATATTGATTCTTCCTACCCATGAGCATGGAATGTTCTTCCATTTGTTTGTGTCCTCTTTTATTTCCTTGAGCAGTGGTTTGTAGTTCTCCTTGAAGAGGTCCTTCACATCCCTTGTAAGTTGGATTCCTAGGTATTTTATTCTCTTTGAAGCAATTGTGAATGGGAGTTCACCCATGATTTGGCTCTCTGTTTGTCTGTTGTTGGTGTATAAGAATGCTTGTGATTTTTGTACATTGATTTTGTATCCTGAGACTTTGCTGAAGTTGCTTATCAGCTTAAGGAGATTTTGGGCTGAGACGATGGGGTTTTCTAGATAAACAATCATTTCTTCACAGAATTGGAAAAAACTACTTTAAAGTTCATATGGAACCAAAAAAGAGCCCGCATCGCCAAGTCAATCCTAAGCCAAAAGAACAAAGCTGGAGGCATCACACTACCTGACTTCAAACTATACTACAAGGCTACAGTAACCAAAACAGCAAGGTACTGGTACCAAAACAGAGATATAGATCAATGGAACAGAACAGAGCCCTCAGAAATAATGCCGCATATCTACAACTATCTGATCTTTGACAAACCTGAGAAAAACAAGCAATGGGGAAAGGATTCCCTATTTAATAAATGGTGCTGGGAAAACTGGCTAGCCATATGTAGAAAGCTGAAACTGGATCCCTTCCTTACACCTTATACAAAAATCAATTCAAGATGGATTAAAGATTTAAACGTTAGACCTAAAACCATAAAAACCCTAGAAGAAAACCTAGGCATTACCATTCAGGACATAGGCGTGGGCAAGGACTTCATGTCCAAAACACCAAAAGCAATGGCAATAAAAGCCAAAATTGACAAATGGGATCTAATTAAACTGAAGAGCTTCTGCACAGCAAAAGAAACTACCATCAGAGTGAACAGGCAACCTACAACATGGGAGAAAATTTTCACAACCTACTCATCTGACAAAGGGCTAATATCCAGAATCTACAATGAACTCAAACAAATTTACAAGAAAAAAACAAACAACCCCATCAAAAAGTGGGCGAAGGACATGAACAGACACTTCTCAAAAGAAGACATTTATGCAGCCAAAAAACACATGAAGAAATGCTCATCATCACTGGCCATCAGAGAAATGCAAATCAAAACCACTACGAGATATCATCTCACACCAGTTAGAATGGCAATCATTAAAAAGTCAGGAAACAACAGGTGCTGGAGAGGATGTGGAGAAATAGGGACACTTTTACACTGTTGGTGGGACTGTAAACTAGTTCAACCATTGTGGAAGTCAGTGTGGCGATTCCTCAGGGATCTAGAACTAGAAATACCATTTGACCCAGCCATCCCATTACTGGGTATATACCCAAAGGGCTATAAATCATGCTGCTATAAAGACACATGCACACGTATGTTTATTGCGGCACTATTCACAATAGCAAAGACTTGGAACCAACCCAAATGTCCAACAATGATAGACTGGATTAAGAAAATGTGGCACATATACACCATGGAATACTATGCTGCCATAAAAAATGATGAGTTCATATCCTTTGTAGGGACATGGATGAAATTGGAAACCATCATTCTCAGTAAACTATCGCAAGAACAAAAAACCAAACACCGCATATTCTCACTCATAGGTGGGAATTGAACAATGAGATCACATGGACACAGGAAGGGGAATATCACACTCTGGGGACTGTGGTGGGGTTGGGGGAGGGGGGAGGGATAGCATTGGGAGAGATACCTAATGCTAGATGACACATTAGTGGGTGCAGCGCACCAGCATGGCACATGTATACATATGTAACTAACCTGCACAATGTGCACATGTACCCTAAAACTTAGAGTATAATAAAAAAAAAATAAATAAAAAAAAAAATAAATAAGGCAGAAGCAATGTTACAAAGGCTCTGTTATCTAGTATTATATCTATTTGTACCCTTTCAACATTTCCCATATACCAAGGGCTGGGTTGGTTACTGTGGACTATAAACTTTCTTCCCTCAGCTATTCATGATGGGATAGGGAAAAAAATAATAATATTTCAATACAAGTGTGTGTATTCACACATATATAACAAAAACTAAAAGACTTAATTTTTGCAACAATATATAGCATCAATATGCAATTGCAAAACAGAGTCATTATAAATATGGCAATGATTTTTAAAAGATTTAAAGAAAGAAGTGGGCATATTCCACAGTGGAGCAGAGTCTTACTAGCATTGATCTTGGGTAGAGAAGTGGGAGAAATTCCAAGGAAAGGAAAGTATGAACAGAAGTAGAAGAATAAAGGTTGTATCTTGGCCCATATTGTCTTCAGTATTTAGAATAAAGTAGGTGCTTAACAGATATGTGTCGAAATTAAAAGAGAAAAAAGAAAGCATTTAGTGTACCTCGAGTACAGGGTAAATTGCAGTCCATGCAGGGCATAGAAAGCCTGAGTGGCTGCTTATAAGTTTCAGGAGGTGTGATGGTTAGTTTTAGGTATCAACTTGACGGGTGTTTTATTGACGGAATTAACATTTAAACTTGTGAACTTTGGGTAAAGAAGATTGTCCTCCATAATGTGAGTCAGTGAACCTTATCTGTTCAGTTAAAGGAATGAAAAGAACAAAAAGACCGACCTCCAGAGCAAGACTGACTTCAGACTGGAACTGTACCATAGGTTGGCTTGTGTCTCAAGCCCACTGGCCCACACTGAAGATTCTGACTTCCCAGCTTACATAATTACATGAGCCAATTCCTTATGATAAATCTCTCTCCCCCATCCCCAAATTTCCTGCACACCCCCTTTCTCATCATCTCTCACACATACACACACATCTCCTACTAGTTCTGTTTCTTTGGAGAACCCTAAAACACAGAGCCTTGAAATCCTTACCCATGTTTTAGAATTTTTTATTCTATGTGTGCATTTTAATAAAGGGAATATATTGATTGTATAAGTGCTTTGAAATATACCTCTAATCATCATTAGGATTCTAGGAAAGGAACTAAAAATTGATTGTTGAGAGCCAGTGAGAAGGGATGATTTGAAGCTAAAATACCCTTTTAGATGAGAAGTGGCTGAATTTTGTATGCAGTCAGTATCAAATGACTGGGGGAAAATGGGATAATTTAAGTAATTTTGCAGAATTGAAACTATGGATTTACCAACTGACTGGAGATGGGGGATTGAGAGAAAGGCAAGGAGTGAAGACAAAGACATTTTGAGTTTGAGTTCCTGAAATTATGAGATGTCATTTGCTGAAGTAGAAAACATGGGAGAGGGAGATTTACACAAAACATTGATTAGAGCTACTTATCTCTAGTAGGGTTTCTCAACAAAGAGTATCAAAACACTGAGAACAATCTTGCTTCAGTTAAGTGCAGACTCCAGAGCAGAAACCATAAATCAGAAAGCGTTTTGGGAGAGTCCTTGAATTTAGAAGATGAAGAATGTTCAAACCTCTCACTGGAATCATTGGAGGTATTTAAATTTTCCCTTTGTCATATCTATATGCCCCGGGTAGGTAAAGAAAATCTAATATGAAAGTGGGGGTAAGTGGGTATTCCAAAGTTAATGTTGCTGATTTGAAGCTTCCAGGAGGAGGAATGAAGATGTCACAAATAATACTAGTATGCTGCATGTGCTCTCTTGGCTGTATTTAATACTGTTTGATCCTTTCTTTCATCATTCATACAAATGACATATTAAGGTTAATAGACTCCCCTCCATTCCTAAAAAGATAAAAGAACTGTATGTCAGGAGTTGGGGTAGGGAAATGGTGTCTAGGTAGAAGAGTCATGGAATAGGTGACTCAGCACTAAGCTTTAGGAAAAATCCTTTCAATATCACTCTGAGTTTATTTTTACCTTTATCATTTCCTTTAACCATTAGTTTGTCAACATCTTTTAAAAGCTAAGAAGCAAGAAGGATATTGCCCTGATGATAATCTAGGTAGAATCTCTTTAGGGAAAATACGGCCCATCCCATTGTTTAATAAGAAAATTTTAGGATGCAAATCCTAGCTATTGACAAAGCAGAAATTTCCTAAAATATACTCAGTGGGCCACGTCCTATTCTCAAGACTTTATATGTACAGGTGTTTGCATTCCTAAAAATCATGTGCACAAATACAACAGAGACTAAGGGGGAAAATGCAGCTGGAATGGATCACTTGACCTTTGAAACTTTGTAACCAGTATAACAAAAATTGTAACAATCTTCAAATACCCAAGAATGACTGTAAAGAAATATTAAGTTCCTAATGAAAAATACCATAGTAACACAGAATTTTGTCTTTTAAGAAAATGCTGAATGTAGCTGATGAAAGAGGATGAAAAGTAGGGTTGAATCTGAATTATGAAGAGCAAAATGTACAGAGTTTGGGAAGAATTGAGAACTTCTAAGACAAAGCCAATGGCTAAATTGATCTAAGAGGAAGGATTGGAGTGACTTTTTGTTTACTCCAGTTTTGTACAACTTGCTGTGTTCAGTTGTGCTAGCATACTTTTCTGTGAGCTGTTACATATTAATATAAAATATAAAAGGATTGAAAAAATTATATACAATACACTTTCCCATTTACCAAACCTATAGAAATGAATTCATTACAATAGAAATAAGAAGGTTAGCAGATCATGTTGCATGCTAGTCAATCCTGACAATAATTCTATAAAGTAGTTCCTATAATTATTCATATTTTACTCAGGAGAAAATTTAGACACTGAAGAGTTACATCCTTCCTAAGAAAATCCAACAAGTGGAAGAGTTGAGATTAGAAGCAGGAAAGTTTTGCTCTAGACATCTAAGTATTTAATAACTGTGATGCTCTACTGCCCATCAATGAGATTTACAATATATTTGGGAAGTGTTTAATATTCAGGAATTTAAGAGCCTCACCTCTATTCCACATTCAATATGAAATACAAACAAATTGGAATAATATAGTTACATTTTGACAGGTAGAATTGACTGATAAACATTCAGGAGAACATGTTCAAAGATATTTGACAGTGGATAAATGGGCAGTTGGCTTGAACTTTAAGAGCGTTAGGAGTGGGAGTAGAGAAGCAAGAATCAACCCTGAAGAGGTAGCTATTAAAACTGACAATGATGTTGCTCTTACTAGGGGGGGAATAAGTTGAAATCCAAGAAAGCAGTGCCTGGAAGAGAGCCAGGAAGATGCATGAAATTAAAATTTATGGAATATTTTAATAGACCTTAGAAAGAAAAGGGACTTGGTTATACTAATTTTATGGAGAACTTGAGAAGAATGAGAAGAGGTCATTGACTTTGATAAGTAAAGGATCTAAGTTAGCATACCCACACAGTTCACATTCCATTTCTTTGAAATTTCATGGTTCAATACACGCTATATATATTGGGAATGTTTGGTACAGTATAACCAAAGGGTTGATTCATAGTTGATCAGATCAGGTATTAACTGACCTAGAGAAAACCAATTTATAGTAAGAAAATAAGAAAAAATAAATATGTTCTAATCTACTTTCCAGGGAATTTAGATATGAAACACTAAACAATTTAAGTTGTTAGTTCTGGGAGCTAAATTCCAAGATCATTAGAGATAAGTCCAGAATGGGCATTATAGAAATTTAATGTATATGCAAGCTAGAGTCCCAGAGGCAAAAGAGGAAACCAGGTTGAAAGAAGAAGTGAACAAATATTTAAAATGTCTCCGTGCCTCGAAGCACGGAGAATAGTTGCCTAATGATTCCTCATTTTCTATGTCATGTGTCTTTACTTACATCACTGTGTACCACAGAATTCCTGTATCTTTGCAATACTACTTATATTTGAACTAGTTTGAGTGGAGTTCTACTTGCCTTAGATATATTTTGGTTGAGCTAATGCAGGTATTAGCTGCAAAGTGTTTCTGCTACTCACAGACCTAAATCAAGGATTTTCCAGGTCTTCTCCAGTCTTTGTTCCTATAAACATTTTTCTGTCAGCTACTCTGTGCCATCTGTGCCATGAATAGGATGGCCTTTCCCTTTTTCCAGAAGGGATTTCTTTCTGCTGATCTGTCCCTCTAAGCCATTAGGGTGTGATTCAATATTAATTTCTATAAGAAAGGCTTCTATTAGCCATCTGTGCTGTTGTTACAGACAGGCAGTGCTCCATATTGCATTTTGTCAATTGTAGTCATAAATGGTTCATTAACTCAAAATCCAACATGATCTAACATTAACATTGGCCTTTCTTCTGTTTATATATGTTAACAGAGTTATTCACATACTTTCTTTATATAAATACATCCAATTATGTTTTATTACATGTCTATGTTCACAAGAGACTTCCAAGCAGGAAAAAGATGAAAGAATCAGTGAGTGAATACTTCATTTCTTTTTTCAAGATATTATATATTGATGTGAGGTTATCAGTCTCAAAGGCTATTCCAGTAGTCTCCTTAGTAGATGGCAACAGCAGTTCCCTAAATGACGTTGCCCATCCTAAAAAGCTTCTTTATTTCTAACTGTTCAGAGACATGTGGGTTGACCTGCAACCTGCAAATGCACCAGAAATTGAAGTTAAAAGTATCAGGCTCAAACTTTTTTTTTTTTCTGGGCTTTGTCCTACAGCTTTCAGAGACCTCTCATTCTCCTCTTGCTTCCTTACATTCTCACAACTTTGGTGCATTGTTTTTGGGTAACAATCTTTCCTCCTGTTTTAATCTCTAGATTCATACAAGCCTGCTCAGCCTTCCTAGTTTCTCTAATAAGAGAGGGACATCAAATAGTGGCCATCTTTTCTACAATATAAACTTAGCCTTTTCTCCTTTGACCCTTTCTTCTGCTATGTCCATTTCTCTACAAGCAGAAAGAACATGTAACTGTTAAAAGCAGAGAGAATCATGATTTCAAAAAGCAGAGCTTATGCTACATTAACCTTGGGCATGTATTAAACTTGGGCACATATTAAACTTGGTTTGAAAGCAAAGATACCATTTGATAAGTACTCATTGAATGTTAGCTACTTCCAACCAAGTGAATTCTTCCAGGCTGAAATATTAATAGGTACTATATACTTTGGGCTTCCCATATTGTAATTCATTCAATCCTCACAATAACTTTGACACAGATTATTATAACAATCTCCATTTTACAAATGGGGAAACTGAGGCATAGTGACATTCAGCAATGTAATAAAGATTACATAGTTAATATTGGAAATGCAGTTTGGGCTTAAATAGCAGGGCTTCAGATACCACGTATTTGTTTATTTTGTTAGTTTCCAGCTCATCTTAAAATTTATCAAGGAGGCATCCTCCATGGCCAGGTGTGGTGGCTCATGCCTGTAATTCCAGCACTTTGGGAGGCCAAAGTGGGAGGATTACATGATGCCAGGAGTTCAAGACCAGCCTGGCCAACATGGTGAAACCCTATCTGTACTAAAAAAAATACGAAAATTAGCTGGGCATGGTGGCACATGCCTGTAATCCCAACTACTCAAGAGTCTGAGGCATGAGAACCGCTTGAACTTGGGAAGCAGAGGTTGCAATGAGCCGAGATAGCACCACTGTACTCAAGCTTGGATGACACAGCAAGACTGTCTCAAAAGAAAAAAAAAAAAAAGAAAGCATCCTCCAGATCATTGAAAAGATGGCAAGAAAGTATAATGTGTGTACTGAGGAGATTACAATTTAGGAGAGGGCTTGGTTTATTTATTTTTCGTTTTCTAATTGCCAAATGAACTGATGGGTCCAGCTGGAAAGCTCTGACAACATTTTGATCACTAATATTTACACATTCAAACCGCTCAGCTGCTGCGTGTAGAAATTTATTGGAAATGTCAATCTCATGCACTAGACTATTGTTCATAACAAGCTGAATCATGAAGCCTTAGAATTGAGGCCATACCTATAAAAGTGATAAGAAATTCTTTAATCCTCTGAAATTCTCTAACAGTCATTTAAGAGTTAGGAAAGTAAAACAGCATGCTAACTTGCATCATGATAGAGAAAGGATGTTTCCAGCTATCAGTGCCACGGTAAACTAAACTCTAAGATGGAGGAGTTTTAGAGCCAGAAAAGACAGGCAGAGAATGTTAGAACTCACAAGTCAAAACAGTGGCAGGGTCATGTCCAGGCATAGTTGTCAGTTTGTCACAACTGTACACTCCAAGTCCAAGATGTAAAGTTTAACATTCAAGATTTGTAAAGAAACCTTAGGTCATAAATAAAAGTAAAGCTAGGTTTTGTACTCGGTAAAAGTTTGGTGAAAATAAAATAGAATTATTTTAAAGAACTAAGACCTCATTCTCAAAGAAAAATCTTTTAAAAAAACTTAAAGGCAATTATTTACTTTAACAGCCAAACCCTGACACATCTGTGAGTGAAAGGGAGAGATAATAACAGTAGGCAATAACATGAAGTGGACTCTTCCCAGCAAACTGAGATGTATGAGCACCTTACTTTAACTTGATCATATAGCTGTACCTTTATATTCCAATCTATTTCCAAAGTGATACAGAAAGTTTAAAATAATTAAAATAAATCTGTGCTAGAGGCCACAATGTCTAAATTCCAGTCCCAGCTTAGTCACTAGTCAGATATTGACAATCACATAATTCTTCCAATACTTTGTTCTCCTTCACCACAGGCGTACTTACAGTCCTAAGTTTAAAGCACTGCAGAAGTTCAAACGAGGAAATGCCCTGAATGATAAACCAGATCACATAAACCTACTAACATGGAAGGTTTTCAAGGTAGGTGAGATTGGCTGCTTTCTTCAGAGTGATTTCAGGGCCACCAGACACACTCTTCAGTCCTCAAAATACCTCTCCTCGTCTGATATCTGAGACATAATGTTAAAATTAAGTCATTTGTTGGCATACATCCTACAGAAGCCATACTCAATTTTCACTTGCATGTACATTAGTATACATTTTGACCAGTGGATATAACTGTTTATCATAAGGACCATTAATTTTGAGATTGGATTTTAAAGTAAAAAGAGGAGGTCCAGGTGTCCCCACGGAAAGCCAACAGGGTACAAAATATGAAGTGAAATTAACTGAAGACAAATTGTCCACACATGCATGTGGCTGGAAGTAGTTTTACATAAAAAGATATTCAAACCAAGGTGTAAAAACTTTTGTCTTTATGACACCAGTGCAGTGTTTTCAGGAGTGAAATATTAATTTAATCAGTAAGTTGTCTTGTCTAAATGGCCTGGAATGATTGGTTTGACAGACATTTTTATTCGCTTGATGAATCTGACTGGCTGATCTGGCAGTGCATAGAAGCAACCTAACATCAATGATGGGGATATGGCAGGAGAAATTGGAGTTGATTGATGGTATTCACAAAGTGAAGGTCTTTGATGATTGACTCTTGATATAGCAAATCTCAGAAGCCTCACTCACAGATCCCAATCTTCAATGTTTCAGTGTTTATTAGGTATTGGAGCTGAGATTCTCAGTGAGGGATTAGACACACCAAGTGTCAAAGAACTGTTGGGAACCATGCTCTAAGTAATTTATTACTAATATTAGTTAAAATACGTAAGTGTGCAAATGACTTACCATTACATAATTAAATCTAGATTCAAATTATCCCTTGTAAAAGATAACATCCGTTCTTTGTTCTCTATATATTTTTTCTTGAGGGAGAGGAAAGCTTGTGGGTATCTATAATCTTATTACATCAATTTGAGAGTCTCCTGTGAAGACATGTTGAGAACACTCTAGAGGACCAACAACTTACACTGCTTTGTATGTCTTAACTCACCATTACCAAATTATTCAGGAGTTTCCTTCTGTGAATGTGGCTGGTTTGCCAATACAGAAAATATTTCTCCACTTTCAGAGCAAGTTTAACAAATTTGACTGACTTTTTCTAATATTCTGTCCCTACCCTGATAGGAAGCGAGCCACACTAGATATTTAGTAAACACAATTTTGATTTTCAACCTAGACCCTTTTGTTAAAATTAAAATGTACAGAAGTTGCTTCAAAATCTTCTGATAAAATTTAAATGTAAGGAGCTAATCCAAGAAACAACTTGTTCTTACAGAAGACTTTCTTAAATGTAAGTCATGAATTCTGATGAGATCTGAACCAGTGGAGCATCGGAACAGTGAAAAAAAAAAAAAAAAAGTATAAAATGCGATTCTGAGCCACCTGCCCGCAAGCAGAAGGCATGAGGAGACAAATTGCTTCCAGCCACAATGGAAGAGATGCCACTCACACAAATGGGCTTCAGAATGTACACGCACAAACTCACACACCCATACACACCATGTACACACAAGGTATTCTGTTATTTCTATACTTTGTATGCAATTTAGATAGTGTGTCTTACCTATTGAAGGAAAGTAATATAAAAAGCAATGAAAACTACGGAACAAAGAAATGTGAAAGATTAGAAGGCAGGTTACATTTTGTCTGTCAGATTTCCACGTTCTTGCTGCGAAATTATTCTTTCTGGTACTTTGCTTTCTTAACATATATTAGCTCTCACCTGAATCTTTCACAGTGCATTTAGAACTAAATAAAGCATTACTATGTTCCTCTACGTGAAATGCTCCCTTAACTGTTACCTCCAGCAGTCATTTAACTGAATTTGATATGGAGGACACATTGACATTGTAAAGGTTAATGATGCAATGATTAACAATACTCATTTTCAGAAAATGGCTTTAGTCATTGTTTTATAGAACAAGGGGAACAACAATTTGTTCAGTAGTATTAAGTGTCTGGGAGAAGTGTCTCTTTTTATCCTAAATGAGGAGTATTATCGTTGTCCTCAAGCACATGAGTGCTCACAAATAATATGTAAAGTGGCTCCTGTTATGTCTTCTTCTATAGCTGGGCACAGAAGGGTTAAATGAGTCAAGTGCTTTCCTGGTGTAGGTGCAGCCCAGCATCAAATAATTGGAAATAGTCCAATCAGATAGACAGAGCTTGGTATTGAGAGTATGTGGTGACAGGCGGCATGAGCAGCTTCAGGTCTGAATTTACAAAGTGAAATTCATCAGGCAGATGGAATAGGGCAACGTAAGACCTAGGAAGAAGCAATATTTGGAGTTCCTTATCCTAGGCCAGCAGCGTATTCGAAACATGAGTAAAAATAACTGTGAAAAGGTGAATCCTAGATAAATTTTAGAGAATTTAGATTAAAAAGTGAGTGTTCATCTTTAAACAAAAGTCAGAATTCTTTATTAATACTTAAGTTCAATATAACAGCTCAGGATTACTGCCAACATGTGAGTGTTCCATGTTCCAATTTATCAGCTTTTTCTATATGTCCCCTTAGTATCAGTAATAGATATATATTACTATCATTCTCACATTACAGATGCAGCAACCAAGACAGAGCAGCGAGGCGGCTTATACAAGGGTCACAGCTCCTACATAGCAAATAGCCTACCCAGGTATGACTTTTGATAAAGGCTCAGCTCAAAACGATTAAATAGCAGTTTTCCACTTCTTTGATTCTTTCATCATTGTTGATATTGTTATCACTATAATGAGTAGCAGCAGCAACCTCACCTTAATCTTGTTACACAGAGACTGTTCCCTGATTTATTCGCTCTTCAAGGTTCCTATTCCTGAGAGTCATCCAAAACCATGTTCCCCATCAAGAACTGTGGCTGTTAGAATTATATCTCAATTTATCTAAACAATCTAATACTGTTGGGGAATTTATTACTCATTGCAAGTTCCAGTGAGGAAAACAAAAGCTCCCTGGGTATTCCAAACAGAGGAAATTTAAGCAAAATACTTTGTTACACAGGTGATGAGCAAGCTAGGAAGACTATCAGGTGAAAATGAGGCTTCTCTATGGTAAGCATCAGCTGAAAGGACTAAAAGACAATAGTGAGAGTGTGTGTTTCTGTAGCTAAAAACTTGAGGCCATCTAACAAGGGCTGAAACCGGGTCCAGGGACATTAGTGCAAGCTGGGACTGCAGAAAGGTTTGTCAAATTGCCAAGCATCACCCCGTAGTTATAGCTGAAGCACAAAAAAAGGCTCAAGTCACCTCCAGAGGTACTAGTGGAGGCAGGGAGTGTTAGGCAGAGATGCTCCGTTTTCCCCCTTCCTCCTGACCTCAGGAGGAAAGTAGCAAACTACTGCATCATCAGGAAACAAGCTAGCACAGTAACCTGGGGAATTAAGCCTCAGGTTTACGCACTTTGCCCTACCGAGCAGAGCAGGGAAAGGGTGAGAAGAGAGTCCAAGGACAAACAGAATAAGCGGCACAACAAACTTCAAATGAGAGCTGAGCTGCCTATTTTTTTTTTTGAATGGAGGCGACCCCATCATCAAATCACCTAAACTGACTTTTTCATGAACCAAATAACCTGTATTATCTCCCTATCAATCACTGCTGCATCAAGTTACAACGTATGTATTACTTACAGTTCTGGAGGTTGGAAGTCTGAAATAGGTCTCACTGGACTAAAAATCAAGATGCAGGCAGGACTGGATTCTTTTCTAGAGTTTATAGAGGAGAATCCATTTCCTTGTCTTTTTCCTCTTGCAGACACCGACTGAATTCCTTGGCTCACAAGCCTCTTCCATCTTTAAAGCCACCAAATCTCCTTCATACTATCTGACTACCTGACATGCGCTTCTGCTTCCCTTTTAAAGGCCCATTAAGGCCCCACCCATTCAAGAACGCTAGTGATTACTTTGGCCCACCTGGATAATTCATGATTAGTTAATTAGCAACCTTAATTCCATCTTTTACCTTCACTCCACTTTGTCTTGTGGGGTAATCTATCACAGTTTCTGGGGATTTGGGAGTGGCTACCTTGGGGTGGGGGGGCATTACTCTACCTAACACATAGTCTATTATTTTAATTGTACTCTCTCAGACATAATCTCTGATGTTGGCCAAAATTTATTGTGCTTATTTCATGCAATATAGTATCAGACAAGCAGAAAACTCATTTAATTTATGTTAATGAAATTTAATTGAATTTGACCAAAGGCCTTACTAAACCTACAATGGCATGCTGGTACCTAGACATCATTTTGGCTGCTTGGATGGTTATGTTCCTATTTTGTTTTTCCCCCAGGATTTTCTTTGTTCCAGACAGCTGAGCGTGCTTATGATTGACTTCTATTTAGGCAAGGTGTCACTATTCTAAGCCCCAGAACTGAATAAAATGAAGGTCTACTTTCCTGTAAATTCAGATAATTGCGTATTAGTATAACAAATTAGTTCAGCCCCAATGGATTTTATTTGTTTGTTGATCGCTATTGTTCAGTTGATTTGGCAAGGATTCCGGAGCTGAAAATGGCTGTTCGGGAGCACAGACCCACACTCTGGAATCCACTCTAGGGTTCTTTCCTTGGAAATAGGTTCTAGGTTTTAATTCTCACATTGAAATTCTGTCCTCCTCTCACAGGTACTGATCCTGAGATAGATGAATTATTGGGTAGTGACATACCTATGAAGTGCAGAGAAACAACATTTGTCACTTTCTCCAAATACTCTTTTTTACTATAATTCTTTTTCTGATAATTTCACTGGTGGCTGGGAAGATACTTTGACAGTGGGTACATCCATATAAAGGTTTGAAATATTACATTTTCATTTAACTTATGAAAAATGCTCAATGAATATGACAACCCTACTAAAAAAAAGTATTTTTAAATGCTTTGTTTGATTGTAATGAAACCTAGAGAAATTCAAATCCTTTAAATTTAATTTTGCTTAATTGTATAATATGTTTCACACATGATAGATCTCATCAATTCATTCAAATACGTATATCTTATTAAAAATGAGGGCAATCATAGTGATTTACAAAAAAGTACAGTTTCAATTACCTGTGTTAGAATGTTTTTCCTACTTTGTAGCTCTGTGATTTTGGGCAAGTTATTTAACCTCTCCATGTACATATTTTTTCTCATATATAAAGTGAAGAAATATACTATTACCCATTTCATAAAATAAATGTCAAGATAAAATAAGTGAATATGTGGAAAGCATTTAGGATAATGCCTTTCACATAATAAAAACTATATATCTTTTCTGTTATTATTAGAAGAGTGGATGCCTATTTCATTCAGATTTTTTTCACTCAATTGAGGATTACATGATAATGTATAAAGTGTACAATACATACCCCAGAACAAGGAGGGTGATCCATTGTCTTTTGTGCATGAGGCTTTCTACTGAACAAAAGCTTTGGAACTGGTCCATGATCTGCCTGCAAGGCTCTCTTTGGAGACATACTCTCCCTTAATTTAATTTAAAAATTGTCTATCTTGCTGAAAACCCCTCCATCTTAAAGCAAATGAGGAGTCCTTAGTCTATGTTTTTCTTTTCATAGGGCTAGATATATTCTAAAATAATGAAGAATAACCAATTAAAAATAGATGGACTTTAAAATTAATCATGAAAACTAGAGATGCAGCATAAAATGAATAGCAGCAGTTCTGGGGAGGAAAACTGAATTGCTTTTGTGAATGAAGGTATGGCCACATACATGGTAAACCTTAAAAATGCATAGCAAAGCCTCCAGCTCCCCAAATATTTCCTCTTGTATATTCAGAATAATGTTTCAGGTTCCACTATTAAAGCTTCAATAATTTCTTACCCAGTACATCTCTTAAAGCAATTCAGAACATTGCAATGCCTAATAAGAAATGTAACATTTTTTTCTTTCTTCCTTTTTTTTTTTAATCTTAGCTGACAGCTCTTCAAGACTTATATGCAGCCAGTTTGGGCACAGTCTTTTGGAAACTAGGTAAGCTTGGGGCATCTAAATTATTGAAAAGGTATTCAAGGCAAAGACAAGGAGTTAAATGAACAAGTTTTCAAAAAAAAAAAATCCTTCAAAGAAAAACTAAGCTTTTAATACAATAATAACTAGGGCAGGCACCAAGTAGAAGGAACCAAAACTTTGTTTTCTGATTGAGAATTAGCAGCTGATATATCCTACATAATGGAACCAAAAGTGTGATTAGACCTTCATGCTCTTCACACAAAATCATAAATTTCACATGAGGAAAAAAGTTAGCTTGTTTAACTTAATAATGAGTTACTTTTCTTTGCTTCTCTGTATATCCTATGAATAAAACATACTATAAAGACAGAAAGTAATCAAATAGGGAATATTTAATATTAAATAATTGTATGAATACAATCAAATATTAAAGGGCTAGAAAGTGATCAATGCTACTTTGAACATTGTTTCACTGAATAATTTAAAATACGTTGTGTATTAAATTGGACAGCAAATTGTCCAATTTAATATACGACATATTTTAAATTATTATGTGCTACCCTAAGCAAAGAATTTCTGCATCATTTATGTGTGTGTGTGTGTGTGTGTGTGTGTGTGTATGTTAACTAAAGTTTTAGACCCCTTTGTCTAATTTATCCCCCTTCTTTAAAATAAAAAATTGACTTTACCCATGTCATGCCAGCAGGTTCTCTTCTTTGATATTTCCCCACAGCCACCATAGGTCTTAAAAACATCATTCACAAAATTTGAAAAAATAATAACAGCTGAAAACATTACTCTCCCAAAATTATTTATTTCCATAATTGTCTCAGCAGGAAGAAAAAGTAATTTCTGGTTTGGCAGATTTTAATATTCAGTTGGAATAACATCTGTTAAGGGTTTTTCCCAGTGTCCCACAAACTACAATTTAGGATTTTCATGTTCTTTGATTATGTCTGACAATATGTGTCTCTTTATCTGGCTTTTGCTTTCTCTTCTCAGTCACCCTAATATTCCTTTCCCAGCCTAGGTTATCCCATTGCCTAGCAACATCCTTTCCTCCTGCTAAATATCCACATTTCACATCAGTTATTTCTGGCTTCCTCCTACCTTAATTATTATTTTGTTAAACTAAATTCCTTTATGATAAACTAGTCTTTCATCAGAGCTATGGTTCTCAAACTTGGCTGCCTAGTGAAATAACCTGGAGACCTTATAAAAAGGCCTAAATCTGGACCTGGTGACATTAAATTAAATCAGAGACGGCGGAGGTGGTGCCGTGACAGTTTTCTAAGCTCCTCAGGTGATGCCAATATACAGATAGAGTGGAGAATCACTGTGTGAAGCTTTCATCCCATAACCCTGAAGAATTATTTAATCTTTATTCATCTCCCTTTCAAGGCATCCATTAGCAGATTGAAGTAGGACAGAGATTTATCTCTTCCTTTGGTGATTATAGGTAAAAGTAGTCATTAACGTGATCACGGCAAGGTCCATCCACAGTAAAAAAAACAAGCTTATGTATGTGCAGCTTCAGTACTTTTAGTCTACTATCAGATATTTTTCGTTGCTTAAGAGTCTTACTCATTCACTGAAGTCACTGGAAAAATTTCAGCAGGACAAGAGTATAAGCAGAGTTGCTCCTTAGGGAGACAACTCAAATGGCAATAGGTACAAGAGGAAGTGGAGAATCCCGGGACTAGCCCCCCAAAAAGTGGGTAAACTCAGAGAGTGATAATGAGTGCAAAGATGGTGAGAATACACCTTTCACTTACTGCCATCATCTGCTCAATGTTGGCAAGTATAATGAGTGAACAGACTTAGCTTTGCCTATTCACTGAAATACAAAAAGGACAATCCCCCAGCAGTGGTTTCCAAACCTAAAGGCAAATTATCATCACTGAGTACTTATAAAATCCCCACGTCCATTACATTCTATGCTAATTAAATCAGAATTAGGGCTGAGGCTAAGGCATCAGTGTTCTTTAAATTTTTCCAAGTGGTTCCAATATGCATCCTATTATGGGAACCACTCTGCTAATAAGAGCAGAACTTTTCAGAGAACAATTCAAACTTGTTTGTATTCTGGCTATGGTGTTTGGCCATGTTGAGGGGGTAAAGAGAAGCATTCCAACTCTTCCCTCTACTATCCTCTAAGAGGCTTACACCTGTACTGAGACTGGTTGACTACGGATTGCAGAACTGATTTCTGATCATGTATTTTCTGTCTTCCTAGCTCTGCCCTAGTCCCTTCACTGCTTTGTCTTTAAAAGGACATTGCAAATCATGTGGGGAATTATTAAAAGGTGACATGCCCCAAATTTGATTACATGGACCTAACTCTAGACATTATTTTCTAGGTAAGTAATCAGTTTTTCCTTTTAGTAGTCAATAAATGGAATCCAATTGTCAAATATCTTCAAGAGCCACGTTATTTCATCAGTCCAGCCAGTAATGGTATGCAGTTGACTTGATGATTGTCCTTTACTAGAGCCTAGAAAAATTGAGATTTTTTTACAGTTGTCTTACCCCAAAGCCTTTACAAACAGTTATCTCATGGTGCACAACATCTCATAGTAGTAACTGAGAAATTGGGAAGAGAAAATAACTTGTGTTCCTTTCCATTCAGAAAGTTCAAGTCCAGTTGAGGAAATCAAACATACATTTAAAGGTATTTTAGTGATTCTCAATTTTTAGGATGGCTATGAACCACCCAGCACGGTAGGAAAATGTAGATCCATAGGCATTATTTTTAAAATGTATGGTTTAATAGTTCCTTTGTGTTTTCCTGTAATTTCCAGGTTTATCAATCTGCTTTGATAATTATGCTGTAAATAACTTTCTAAGTCTCAATGTGCTTGTATATAAAATAGCAATATTAATAGCACCAACTTTTTATGGTAACTGAATTATATAATTTATGAAAAGCACTTAACAGCGCTAGATATATGATAAGTGGCAGCCAAGTTACAAATGTTATATGTCAAGTCATGCGGTATTGTGTTAGATTATTTTATATTATAAATAAATGCAAAACATTTTATGTAAAGAAGCTTAAACTATAACAAGTGAGGGGATGCAGACAAATGGTCAAGGTCAGCTGGAGTTAATTAAATAAGGCTTCATCATGTTGGTAGTTTTAAACGGCCTTGAATACGCAGTAAAAAAAATAGCAATTGCTCCTCTTAAGAAAAAATGACACTTTACCATAAATGAGAACATCACAACTAATTTAGCTGAATCACCTTGTTATTCTTACAAAAAGTTCCAGCTTTATGGCAACGTATTATAATATTGTAATTTAACATTTTTGAGCAATGCTTTTTGAGAACCATCTTATATCATTAAGAGTTTCTGGTTCGTGTGCATATTTTGATCAAGTAAAAGGCAAAGTAGTATCAGTCCAAAGCTGTCCTTGACTGTATGCATGTGGACATAATGCAATGGAAAGTGAAGAAACCATCTTGGCTTTTACAGTAATTGCAAGAGCCAGTGCTATCCACAGGGACTTTACCAGCTCCAAAGCAGTGGCTACAGTCATTTGACTAAGTACTCTGAGTTAAGAAAATATGCAAATATTTTGTACAGTCTAGAATAGAATATCATCATTCTAGTCAAGTGGATACATTCTCTTGTAATGCCTACGAGAGCAATAATAAAGTAGTTGTCTGAAAGAAAAAAACAGTAACAAAGCACCAAGAAAGACCCTACAGGATTCAGGGTTTATACCTCTCTAAAAAGGCAGGTTATGAAGAGCTTCAAGCCCCAAGCATTGATGTCCACACTGACTTTTTTCTCAAACAGAAAGAATGCCTTATTTTATTTAAGACAGGACATAGAAATCTATAATCATCCTGAAACAACACCAGGCATTTGACTTGGTAGACTGTGGTAAGACTCTGTGTAGGCACTCTCTTTTGAGGTTTTATATACACAAATTTATAGTAATCTCAATCCATTGATTCAAATCACAAATATTTATTGAGTACCCACTATATACTAGTTAAGGTTACATGTGTCTTGGGAAAATAAAGACAAATAAGACCTTCTATGCAAAAATTATGTGCAATCTAGGGGAGATTGACATGTGCCCAAGCATAATAGAAAACATAAGTGATACTTGATTTTTTTAAATGATGTCTGCATAAAGCCTTGGCATTAAAGCAAATACTTCAATGGAGGTAGAAACTGTTATAAAAATCTAGAGAACATTTTCAATTTATAGGTGCCTCTCATGCCTAAATCCTGAGTGTGGAGAATAAGAGTAAGCAAAGATGGTTTTAAAATGCCCCCATGGTGATTCTGATAAGCTCACTCTCACCTGTAGTAAACCACCCAATTAAAGGGAAGAAGAGTTCTTTCTGTCTAGGTGATCATGGAAGGTCTTAAGAAAGGGTAACTTGGAAATAATTCCTTAAAGTATTTCAGAAAAAGCAATCTTTGAAAAGAAAATATGTATATTTCACAAGAATATATGACAATATCAAAAGCATGGGGCAGAAAGTTCATGATTACTGATTTTGAGAGGGCATCTACCTTAAAAGCCTTTGCAAACGTACTTTCTGTACAGTGATGCTTTCGTGTAATGAATGGGAAAGGAGAAGACAGACACCTCAAGACCACCTTTTTACTGAGAGCATCTGCAGGGACACTGGTATGGTTAAACCAATATGGTATGTGCAGGGCCAGCTTCATGGGTGTGTGGCCAGTGCAGTTCTAAGGGACTTGCACCCAGGGGGTTAATGCTCTGCTGTTGTCTTGAAACTATTAATGATTTCATCTTTGAAATTTGTGGTTTGCAAGTGAAATCCAATGGGACAATGGAACAAATACTGGCTTTTAATCTTGGTTCATGGGCAATACCATCTCCCTGCCTCTCCAGCACAGATTCTCAACCACTGGCTCCCAGCGCCCTGAGGTCTGGGCTTGCGCAGCCTTGATATTTTCTCCCCTGACCAAGGATTAATACAGCTCTCCTCCTAGAGCAGGGATTGCATTCAGGAGGAGACCTGCATGCAGTCATGGTCCTTCAACCCTAGTAGGGGCCTGGGCAAAGTCATGAGGAATCTCAGGGTTGGATATGCACACTCCATGGTGCCTCAGGGTGACATGATCCCTGTCCTAAGCTAGCAGCCCCACAGCTGTTGGGAAAGTGACTTAGTGGGGATGAGGCTCTGGGCTGGCCCACCCCAGATGCAGGTACTGAGCATGTCTGATTTGTAATCCCTTGAGGATCAACTATCTACCATGGGCTGGGATGACAAGCTGAGGGAAAGGGAGATCGAATTCCTCATTCACGGCCAATAAACATGTCAGTTCAGCAGCTGGAAGGAGGGAGAACTCAGCAGCTGGTAAGTCACAAATGGACACAGATTCCTGGGCCAGTGCTCTGAGTGCATGGGAGACTGTACATAATCCCTGCAAATATCTGCATGTTGCAAAGAGGGTTATAGTAAATGGAAACTTTTTTTAATGCAATGTCAAAAAAGAGTTGTGAGAAGAAAAAAAAGTTTTATATTTTAGTACTTTTTATGTTTTTAGTGTACAAATACATTATAAACACCCTCCCACAAAGGTATCATTATCCCCATTTTCCTGCTATTACAACAAGGAGCCCTGAATTTTCATTTGCACTGGGCTGTCCAAATTATGTGGCTAGTCCTGGATCTACGATGGCTTTTATCTAAGTAGCCTGGGTCTAAATAAGGCCATAGGGCAAAATTCATGTGCTTGCCAATATTTGGTCCTTTTCTTTTTTGGGTATATCAATAGATCATATTCTAGCCCCTTGCGTAAAGACAAGTTTTGTAGTGAATTCTCATGGACAGAACATGATTGGAAGTGAGGTGGTCACCTACAAGCCAAGAAAATGAACAGGTGGGCCTTCTCTTTTGCTTGGTCCATCTTCTGGTTACACAGGAGACTGAGTTTCCAGATTGATGGATCTGGGACCCTCAATGACTTCATGATACAGAAACTCACCCCAAGGCTTCTCAATCCCCATGGACCCAACAGACACCAAATTCAGTGAAAAATAAGTTTTAGTTGTGCTGAACAATTTAAATTTGGGAGATATTTGTCACTTAATTACTCTACCTCAACTTAATACAAGTCATGAAAAAAGTCACCAAACAGTACTTATCTGTCTCTACTTCTAACCAAAACACAAAAGCTCTGTCTTAAATCAAATTCCTTTTGAAACCTTTTTGGAAGTCTTAGGGTATGAGTTGCATATATTCTGAAAATTGTACTATGAAAAAATCATGCTAACTTTACCTTCTCTTCTTCTCTTGTCTTAATATATCTTTTTTAAAAAAAAAAGAAAAAAAAGATAAGGGTACTCCATTTAACCTTGGGATGTAGGCTTCGGATCAAATTCAGAAAAGCAGGATGGCAACAGATAGACATGATAGAGAGGAAGCAGGGAAAGTGTTACTTCTGCATGTGAATTGGAAAGTTAAAACAAATCCATCAGAACTTATATAAGAATGTGACTCATCAGTTGTTTGCATAGCGTCCAAGTAAAATTTGAATCTATGAACTTAAAGAGAAGGAAATACTCCAGATCAGTAGATTCTATGAAAAGCCTTGAACCTTCAAACCTTGAACCTTGCTTGTCCATGCTTTCAGCTTCTTACATACTCAAATTTTATTCATGGACAGATGTGCTGCTGAAAGGTTGAACTCTGGTTGTCAGAGCATTACAATGGAAATGGCCACATTCACAGATGAAAGGCATGATTATTGTTCTATTTCTAAGCTCCATGATTATTGTAGGTTAAAAGAAAAATTAGCTTTGAATTTCTGTCTCAATTAAGCCATTTGATAACCACGACGAAATAAAAACACAGGAGTTTACCCAAGTATATATTTGGATTTCACATAACCCATGGAAGAAATAAAAATCCTAGATTTAGTCATCTCTTTCACCTAAAACATGAAACCAAGGCATAAGCTCTATTTTACAATGTTTTAAATACAAGTAGTCCTCACTTGGCACAGTAGTATGGGACTGTAAAAATGCTAATAAAACCTGAAATCTACAAAAGGATCTTAATAGTCAATGTGAAATATTTCGATTATTCCATGACCTTTACAATTTTTATCAAAACATTAAATCACTGTCAGTTATACATTTATAGAACATTTTTTAAAGTAGACCTAATATCTTTGAACACCATATTTTAAAATGTTAGAAACATGGGAATTAAAGTTTAAGAATAGTTTGACGTCAGGCACAATGGCTCACGCCTATAATCCCAGCACTTTGGGAGGCTGAGGTGGGCGGATGACGAGGTCAAGAGATCGAGACCATCCTGGCCAACATGGTGAAACCCCGTCTCTATTAAAAATACAAAAATTAGCTGGGGGTGGTGGTGCGCACCTGTAGTCCCAGCTACTCGGGAGGCTGAGGCAGGAGAATCACTTGAACCCAGGAGGCAGAGGTTGCAGTGAGCTGAGACTGCACCACTGCAGTCCAGCCTGGCAACAAAGTGAGACTCTGTCTCAAGAAAAAAAAAAAAAAGAATAGTTTGAACATTGCTTCCCTGCCTGTTGTTGTATAACATGATAAAGAACAGGTATCTCTTCTATGCCTTGGCAAAGTGTCATATTCCTTTCTAAGGTTAGATCAGCTTCTAATATTTAACTTCTTGTAATTTCAATGTCATAAAATATTTTCAAGTGCATTTTTTACACAAGCACAAACTTTGCTGTCTAGGTGTGAACTAAATAACAGATGTTCAGTGGCCAATAACCAACAGACTTTGAAAAAAATTATATGATTGGTCAGTCTTCATGATGTGCATCTGTCTTTGTGTAGTGATTGATAGACCGAAGAGCTATAGCAGTGAAGTTTGTACTTCTATCCAATTACAGTGCACATAGCATGTTTACTGAAATCATGTTGTTGGGGACTGGTGTTACTTAATTAAAGCATTGTAACAGAAATGTATGCAAATTGGAATCCTATAAACAGAGGGCTGCCTGCATTTTGAAACATTTTTAAATATATAAAATAATTTAGTTTCAGATATTATTCAGCATTTTTGCCCATGTTTTCCATAACAAACACCTCTTTAACTTCTTTTATAAAATCACTATTTTTATCAATTAATGTCCAAATATCAGATATGAATGAGTAACAGTTGTTATAAAATATTATGTATTGCTGGCCAGGTGCGGTGGCTCACGCCTGTAATCCCAGCAGTTTGGGAGGCCGAGGCGGGTGGATCACGAGGTCAGGAGATCGAGACCATCCTGGCTAACACGGTGAAACCCCGTCTCTATTAAAAATACAAAAAAATTAGCCAGGAATGGTGGCGGGTGCCTGTAGTCCCAGCTACTCGGGAGGCTGAGGCAGGAGAACGGTGTGAACCCGGGAGGCAGAGCTTGCAGTGAGTTGAGATCTCGCCACTGCACTCCAACCTGGGTGACAGAGCGAGACTCCGTCTCTTAAAAAAAAAAAAAAAAAAAAAAAAATTATGTATTGCTTCACCTAAAGTCAGTTGAATTGAGCAAAACTGACTCATTTACTTTATTACAAGTTAACTAATTGTCGAATTACATTGTACAGCATCAAACACATGGACCCACTATTTTCATAGAAGAAAGCAAACCTAGATGGACTACTGTAATAAAATACTTTATTACAGTTCCATATAGGCTTAGAGAGGGCATAGATGTTATAGCTCAGCACAATAACACAAGTTCTGTCTCCAGTTCACCTGAAACATTAACGTTAACTGAATGACACACTTGATATTTTTAGTCCTTTACTGCACAGTTTCTCTTTGCAATTTGCAGTGTTTTGGATTTTCCCACGTGTTAGAATTGGATAATATGGATCATGTAATACAGGGATAGAAATCTTAGACATGTAGTTAAACTGCCATGTGAGTTGCATCCCTGATGCTCTCTAGGGTGAAGATAGGAGAGAGGAAGAAGAATAACGTTTATTAACCTGTATTTGCCCTTTATACATGCTATTTCACTTAATTTTCATAGCCACCATATGATGAAAGCATTGTCATCCCTATTTTAAAATAAGAAATGGAGTCTCAGAGAGAGAATGTACATTGCTGAAGGACACAAAGCTAGTAAGCGATGGCCTGGAGATTTATGTCCAGTTTTGTCTAATCCCAATATTCACAACGTTTTTTATACCAGCAGGTAAAACACTTTTCCATTCATTGCAGATATTTTATTTGATGTATAATTGAAATGATGAAATGAGACAAAAGACAGCCAGTTACAATAATCACAAATTCATCAATGTCATGTCATAATATTGTGTTGTGCATCATAAAAACACCTACAGTGATTACGTTCTTCGCATTATCCCATAGGACTACACCAAGGCCTTAACAGAAGTATTTATTGACAGATCCTGCTTAATCCCAAATGGATTTAGTGGTGACACTGAACATCTGTGGTTGTCCCCTACTATATATTCAGCTGGTCTTAAGCAAGGCTCTTGGAAGGAGACGCACAATTCCAGCCCTGCCTAACTGAACTTGTTTTTAGAATATAATGAGATATTACAATCCAAGAGCCTTATAAACTTCAACATGTTCTATGGAATACATTATTAAGAAGTTGTATGTATTTTTTGCAGGTAACAATAGAGCGACATTCTCAATAGGTAATTTAAAGAATAATTTGATTTCATGTGCCTAGATCACTTGAGACAAACTCCATTTGCTCATACACAAATGTGGTTGATCTGAAAAAAATCATTCTCACAAGTGCCTCTAAAATTTGCTATATAACAATAAGTAAGAAAGGTAGCCATCTAGTCACACACTGCTGGCACTACAGAATTAAGGCATGCTGCCTCTAGGTGGGTCTCCATTCTGATATATTCACTGGTCATTATTTTGAGTGATATAAATGAGTAATACCTCAGAAAGCTAGCAAGCTAATGTTTTCCTGAAGGCAACGCATAAGATATTTTAAGAAATAACCTTATAGCAAGTCTAACATTAATGTGAAATACTGTGAATTGAAAATCCCTGAACTGGGAAATAAGAGAAATGCCAGTTTCTAGAGACTGTGGAAATCAACACATTCTACTGTATCTGTCCTCACAACTTCAACTTGCTATGTAAATGGAAAAATAAATTTATGTCTTTCAGGTCTAAAGCAAATAAACCAGAAGTTTGAGTTACATATTGCTATAAAAAAGGGCCAATGAATTGGTGTCCTTGGCGATAAATAGTAAGAACAAACATACACATATTTTTGGCCATTCAGACTTATTTTTATTTACTTATAACATCCATTTTCTTTTTAGAGGTTTTAAGGTATCTCATTGAAAATTCTAACAAAAGCCCTTGAGAGATACAAAATAACACTGTAAACATTTAACACATAACATAACTGAGATAAGGAGTCAGTAATTTATCCAAAACAAACAGAAAAAATAATAATAAAGTGGATCCTTGTATAAGATAATTTTAAGCCCCTGGAATTGTTTTCTCTAGTACAATTGTACAATTACTGAACATTGACAAATATTGATTGCTTAGAATGTACCAGCACTTGCTAAGTACCTTTCTTAAGACCTGCCATCCTTTGTAAGTTGATTTTCTTCAGAGGGGATCCTGAAATTAAATAAAATAATCCCAAATTCTTTTAGAATTACATTGAAAAGATGATGTTGCTTTTAGAATCAGATTGTTATAGGACTTTTGGGGTGTCGATTTTCTGGCCAGAAACCTCTGTGGCTGGTTGTGCCTTTGCTCGAGTTCTTGCTTGCGTCCGGGTAGAATGAGGTATGCAGACAAGTGGAAGGTGAACAAGATGAAAAGAAGCTTTATTCAGCATTACAACAGATCAGAGGAGACCCGCAGTGGGTAGCTCCTCTCTGCCAGCAGGTCATCTCTGCAGCTCTCAGCAGAGAAGGTTGGTAGCTCCTCCTGGCAGCTCTAAGCAGAGAGGGTAGCTCCTCTCTGCATCTGGCCTTCCCGTCATCTCCAGGTCTCAGCAGAGAGGCGTACTTCTCTCGGCAGCTGCCTATCCTGTCGCCTCTCTGACTCCTTCACCTCTGGCCTTCCTCTGCCCTGCTCAGGCTGCGCCCAGGGCTTTTACGGACCTCAGAGGGGAGGATGTGCTTGCTGATTGGTCCATGGGTGGCTATGGGTGGCCCAGAAGAGGCCCACGAATCCCCACTCTGGTCGGTGGGACTGGTAGCCCAGCCACCAGCCTTCAGGCCCTCCCTGGCTTGAAGGTCCCCTTACTTGGGATCTGCCACCTTCTGCCCAGGAATAAATCTGCCTCCTGCTGCAATTCACGGCCCCGGGGCTCAGCACCAACCCCCACTCAGATATGAGAGCATGCACCGGGAGCCGAGAGAGGCCAGGCAGAAGAAGCAAACACCTCCAAGCCTGCAAGGATATGGGTCTTTCCTGGGGCCCCCAAGGGTGCAGGCTGCAGAAACACCAGGGTCCTGCACCTGGGAGGGCGGTCGCAGCTGCACCCGGAAGCTCCCAACCTGCC
The DNA here is from genome assembly GCF_000001405.40 of Homo sapiens. NCBI lineage: Eukaryota > Metazoa > Chordata > Mammalia > Primates > Hominidae > Homo > Homo sapiens. The sequence continues at coordinate 81,583,341 of NC_000002.12, read as the reverse complement.
AACCTGGAGCCTCCGATCCACAGCCACAGTTTGGGCAGATGCAGGGGCACCTGGGGATCTCTTTCCCCACATCAGAAGGGGCGGAACTCCCAACACCTCCGTGAAATGTGCAGCCCCAGTCGCACCTCTGTGTTGCAGCAGGCGTGATAGCAGCAGCCACGACAGCAGCAGCCACTGCCATCAATATCACGGGTGTATAATCTGTAAGCATATTAGAATAAGCTGAGGTCATATACATCATTGAGAGCTGTAAGAGGAGAGAGGTTGGTGTGTCAGAGATCTTATAAATGGCACAGTTTAGGGTATTGTCAACATTCAGGATGTGGCCATGGCAGTAGATTGCTGAAACAGAGTAGAGATGATAAAACCAGGGGAGTTGAAAAGAGCAGGAAGTCTGACACTATGATTCAGAAAAGGTTCCCTGGATAGAGCTTTACTCTTTCAGATCATGGCCAGTCTCAGGGGGTTCACAGCATGCTGGATGTTCCTTTCTTGTCTCATCTGTTTTGTTTCTCCCTTTTTGCAAAGACTGGCTCTAAAACTGGCAAAGTTGATCGAGCCAGATATTTTAAAATAATTTACAACTCTTTCTCGTTGCTTGATTTTCACAGTTGATTAGTTCCAGATTTCAGTTATTTTATATCTTAAATCTCAGTTGTATTTCTCTTCATCCCTTTCCCCTCTGTCTTTGTTTTTCAAAGCTGCTTTTCAAGCTTTCGTATTTCCAGTTGGACTATTTTTAAAGCCTTATAACACCAACCTTCATTTCAATTAATCTAACATGACTGTTGTAGTAATCTTCCAAAAATGAACCATTTTTTTTTTCAAATTCCATAGCTACATATTGCCTCAATGCTCTCTGAAAACTCCAGTGTCATCATCTCTCTGTATCGTTATCTTACTAATGGAATTATTATTCCACTGGATTTTCTAAGTTGGATCTTCTTCCTCTTCCTTAGTTTTTTATGTAGAATTTGCTGATTTTTCTACTTTTGATTCAGCTCAAATCAAATGTGGTTAGTGCAATTTCAAAACCATTACAGTTTCATCCTTAAACACAAATTCTTTTTTTAAAGTTCACACCAACATATATTTTGTCCTATAACCCTCCTTCAGTGGCTTCCCTAACTGGTTCTAGAAGAAGAGGTTCCAGAAGTTGACTTAGTGATAGATGGATAAAGATTGAACTTTTGAGTTCCAGATAGCCTGTGAAAAATTCACCAGGGGATTAACTTCTTCTCTGCTTTTTCTTTTTTCTTTTTCTTTTCTCCCTTTAGTAATTTATTTTCTCGTCCTTTTCTTTCTCCCTCTTGCTGTATCCCTCCTTTTTTCTCTCCTTTCCCTTGCTTTTCTTGTTTTCTTTATTTCTCATCTAGCAAGAAGGAAGACAGGGCAGACTAGTGAGGTAAGGAGATTACACAGGCAATTCTACGTCTATGAAGATCTAGGAAGAACATCAAACTCTTCACTTCAGTGACCTGCAGAAGTATAGATCCTGTTCTATCATTTCTATCAGTTTTCAAGTTTCACCCGTTCTCCTGTACTCTTCTTTCTGTCATGTTTCTACTTTCTTGTAGAATTCTTCATTCTGGTTCATATGTAAAATTGAGGTAAGTTTTTTAGTTAAAGGGGAAAAAACTTTTTTTTACAATACATTATGAGTAGAGTAGAATTCACTGACATTTCAGTTGGGAAAGAATTGGGATGGATGAGTGCTAGAAGATTTTTTATTGTACCAAAAAATATTTTTCAAATAGAATAGAAGGTTTCACCATTTTTAAAATGGTTTTCAGCCTCCATATTATAGGTGAATTTTACTGTCATTTCTCACCTTACACAATTTCTCTTTGTTTATTTCCCCTCATTTTTCCTATGCATGTGTTCTCCCTTCATGTTCCCCTTCTCCTCTTCCTTTAGCCCTTTAAAATCAGGAGCAAAGATAATTTTGTTGTTGTTGATTGTCTTATAAGAGTTAGCTTCCTTCATCTCCAGGATCTTGATGTCTGTCTCCCTCCATGCCCATGTAATTTATGAAGGTAACTTTATGAACTGTAAACAGTCAAAAGTTCATGAATAGAGCTGAGAATAAACTTTTATTTTGAGATTTCTCTTTCCCTGAATTCACTTTGCCTTACTTTTACAGCAGGATCAAGATGCTGTGTTCCCTATTGTTCCTCACTTAACATTTAATTACCAAATCCTGACACTCTCTTGTTCGTTTAACGGTCAACTTTACTGAGCAATTTTCTCTACAGTTTTTAGTTTGGTGCTAGGGATCTTGAGAGAAATATTACAGTGATTATGTGATGTGAAGCTTAAATAATTTTAGAGGCCTTCTTTTACACAAAATGGTGATTATAAACAGGTATGACATTAAATATTTATAATCAGTAATCACAACAAACTGCAAATTTTAAAAAGCTAACCAATACCATGAACAACTTAAAAATAAAACACAAAATGAGATAATATTTGTATTCATTAATAGCCTTGCCGTACTCTATTCCATTCCCCCTTCCCTGTCTTACATTTTTGGCTGCAAAATCACACCCTTGTAAGACAAGACGTTTATACTAAGTTCTATATAGAATAAAAGAAAATAATGCGTTATTTTACTATGGTATTTGTTTATTCACTGTAGTCTCTTTATTTCTACTTCACAAGTCATTACTGGTGATATCATGAACATTTTTAGGATTCTTGTCAAATTTAGGAAAATGTCTATTGAGCTTCATTCACAGATGAGTTCTGAGTTTCTTGACATTGCAAGTTTTCTTCCAGTGACTAATCTAAATACTCTTAATTGCCGTCACTTGTTAACAAGTTTCTTGTTCATGTCTTATTGTGGTTGTGTATTATACATCTTAGGTTGTCTTCACTGGCCTCTGAATTTCCTGACAACCTCTCTTTAGCCCACGTCTTTATGCCAGTAGCCATCAACAACACCTGACTAGAGGACAAGTGTGATAGGGCCACTGGTATTGCGACGGCCTGCACTTAACAACCTGACACTTGGTCAAATTTTACTACAATAGATGACCAAGTCAACACATTGCTAGGGCTCCTCATAAGAGAGACAGGCAAGCAAGGGGTCTTGAAATGAAAGTTTGTTTAACTTCATGGCAACTTGTTAACTCTTTCTCTCATTCCTGCTCTTAAGAAACTTCCAGAACATTATGATATTTGATCCACATAAGAAGCTTTACATCATGAATTTTGTTTATGTTTTCCTTCCCTGACAGTAATAGTTGTATACATTACCCATATCTTGGATGACATCCCAATAATAGTTAACAATAGTAATATATAATAGTTCCTCTGAAATAAAGAATTTGTATCAAAATACTGGAAACAACATAATTTTATATGTGGACACAGTAATGCGATTGCCAACCTATGCAATGGAGTCTTGCATTAACAATGATATCCTATAGCAAAGTAACTTAAATTACATTTAAGTTGATGAATTGATTGCCCTTAAATAAAATTAGCATATATCAGTAGTAAATAATGAATCTGATTTTCTCCTTCAATGACCTCTTCCCTCTGGTACTTAACTTTTAACTTAAAGTTGTGAAAATCAGGGAAGAAGTTCCAGGCAATACCCACACAGCCACAAATCCAAACGCCTCATCTCCCCCACATCACTGCTTCGGGTACCATGACTCTGTTGAATAATATCACTTATCTCTCTATTTCCTGAGGCAGAACACAGGAAGCCAGGATACTCACATTGTGTCCACTTGCATATGCTTTCTCCTTTTTAGTTTCATGGTCAGTTCCCTAGTTCAGGCTTTTCTGTTCACGTATCTGCGTTAGAATAAAAGACCCCTTCTTAAGTTGACCACTACCTCTGAGATGCTTTCCTCATCTGAAAATGAATTTGATTTCAGCATTATAGAAATGTACTTTGCAAGACACCTTGGATGTTATTCCTGTTCTTAAATTTCATCAGTCTTCTCATGGCTTCCAAGAAGTAATTTGAATTTATTTTCACAGGTTACAAGACACTTTATGTTCTGCTATGGCCTCTATACCTTTTAAGACTTCACTTCTACCAATGTATCTCTTGTTCAAGCCTTCAGAAATATTAAACTCCTTGGAGAATTTTGAATAATCTCTGACACATGTTCTCTTTTTCTGTAGCAAGTTAGTTACACATGTGTATCTCTGATCATTCTTGTTCATTCTTGAAGTTTTTATGTGAAGTCTGCACTTCATGAGCTCTTCCCTGATTTCCCCAGGAAGAATTAAATCCTTTTATGCCTGCATGTTGAGGGAAAATTTACATCTAAAAATTTCTTACAGAATTATTTTCTCTTATGATTTACATATCCATCTCTTCATGAGACTGTAATACCTTAGTCTACTATCTATCTAACTATATTGACCTATCTATACCCATTTATACATTTATATCTAATATCAAACTAAATGTCTGGGATGTAATAAGCATTTAAACATTTGCTAAATGAATTACGTAACACATTTGATTTTTTTTCAAATGACTGTCAGCATTGATACTTTCCTCAAAGACCCCAGTTTTTGTTCTTTTGTTAACCAAAACAAATTTTTGATAAAATCATACCTATCTTGTTACTGTAACAGCTTTACAGCAGATAAAAAATAAAAAATAATCTATCATAACTGCATCCATTTATATTACTGAAATAACCCTGCCTGTATTTATTGAGTCTGAAATGGAACTATTTTAGAATCTATGTAAAAGGAGACAAACATGATGATTTAGACATGCTGACTAGCTTCTTGGCCACTATATTATTCATAACTTGGTGTCTCCCTTGACCCTAGTAGTTCAAACTTGTGAACAACAGTGTTAACTTAGTTTCAATAGATGACCAGCTAAAAGATGCTGACACAGTGTCTTCTTAGGAACACTTTGGAGAATGACTTCAATCCAGAAAACTGAGGCTCAGCCTGTAATCTCTCCAGTTCCAGTCAAGACTTTAATCCTTCCACTTCATCTCCACAAACTCTCTCCTAGCCATCCATACTCCTCTTTCTAATCCACCTAGATTATTTAAAAGGCCATATTAAGTCAACTGCTTGACACCAGTCTCAGCTATTCCAAAACTACTGATATGGGCCACTTTTATATTTTATCCACTATAATTTGTATGCATGCCATAGTCTTTTACTTTCAGTTTTCATCCTACTGACCCAATACCTTGATCACCTGCTTCTGCACTTGGAAGGACCATGAGAAGATTTTAATACTCCTTTGTCTGCTCTTCTCCATTTTCCCCATGTAGCTGTTTTATTTGTATAAAATTGCCATTCTTATCTATTCAGAGCCCAGAAAAGTGTCTTAAAGCAAAGTAGTGTATTGGAGAGGCTTTGAATTAGGGAATAGAATTCTTATCCCAGTTCTGCCAATGATCTCTTTATATTAGACAAGATATAGCATCCCATGCTTTTAAGTTTGGATTAGATATTAGAGAAATCCTGTTCCTCTGTTACCACTGAGAAGACTCAGCACTTCAGAGAGTATAAGTTATATGCAGCCACAGCTAGTTTAATGAGTCTGGTCTAGAATTCAGATCTCTTGGAGCCACCAGCGGTTACCCTTGAATCTATTAAATGTCCTGACCTTTGTTTTCTCTTATTTAACATGAGAATTATATCATCCATTCTCACCTCATAAAGTTGTTGTAAGTAATTTAAAAAATCATGATGTGATGCATTTGATAAACAAAAGTGTCCATACTAATATGCAATATTGTTAGTGCATGACCTCCTAGAGCCCTCTTCTTTTTGTGGAATCAAAGATTATCCTTATTTCACTCTATTCTCTTAAACTGGGTTTTGATTACTAAACTCTCCCCAATTTTTTGTACACAGCAACTATATCTCTTAACATGGTAAACAAACAGCAATCTCTGTGCATGCACTCTTCCCACCATGCATTTTCCCCAAACTAGAATCATCTAGAAATAGATGCAAGAAATGTATCATGATGGAGCCATAGATATCCTGAGTCTGAGACTGTAGCACAAACATGAGCAACCTTCGGGAGAAAAAGAAGGTAGGGACCAGAAATACAGACTAGAAGGAAGTAAAAGCAGAGTAAGAATTGTTCCTCTTGGAAAAATGGTAAATAACAGTCATTGTGCACCTGATATATGTTGGGCGCTGTTACATACATTTTCACATGTAACATTCACAAAGTAGATGAGTAGGATAGCTGGAGTCACTCACCTAAAGCAAATAGAGCCAAAATTTAAACTGGGTCTGTCTGTTTATCTGTGCAGATAAATGAAATAAAAGCAAGGAGCCAGGGAGCAGCAGCTCATAGGCACTTTCTTGAGCTAAATATACAGGAAAATAAGAAGATTCCCCAGATTCTGACAAGGACTTCCTGAGGGAGAACCAAGGCACTTGATGATGATGATGACTGCTGAGATTGTGCAAGAGGCCTAGCCCTGAGGCTGTCCCAGGAATCGAGCTACAGGCTTAAGAACAGAAAAAAAATTTCTGCATCAGCCGTGAGGTTAATGAATGTAAACTGAGGAGTAAAGTTAATGCTCTAAGACAGATGAAGTTCACCCATCCACTGCAATTTTTGGAGGTGAAATTAATCCTAGTTTCTCTTGTCAATATTACTTCTCTTCAGAATATCTTATACAGTCTTATGAAAAAAATCTCAAGTAAAAATCTCCAGCCCATTTTGTGTGTTTCCACATGCCTGATAGATTTATCCACTTAGGGGTTTCATGGTAAATTATACAAAGTAAGTAGAAAGAATAATTATTTAATATTTCCACCAAATTTGTATCTTTAACACCATGACCTTTGTCAGTAAATAACACTTTGAAAAGTTTGCATCCTCCTTGTTTTCAGCCCCATATACAACCTGCAGCAAGTCTTGTCAATTCTGTCTTTAAAATACATTCATTCACTCCTCTGTGACTCCATTCTCTTCACCATTACCATTTTTCTCATGGATCATTTAAAAAAGCTGTTAGTATTTCCATGCTGACTCTTGTTCTCAATTTCAAATCCATTCTTCACACTTTGGACAAAGCATCTTTTATAAATGCATAGCTGATTATGTCACTCCTAGCAGTAATTTCCCATTCAGTTTAAATAAAGTTCAAATACATTTATGCTGTAATTTCTGTGAAAGATGCCCCTAGAGTTGTGCAGTGCACAGCCTGCATAGCCTATGCTGAGGAGATACAACTTTCTTCTAATGTATTATTTTATCAACCTGTAACTCTCTTTCCTAATCCTTATATAATTGGAAGTAATATTTTGGGCTGATAATTTATTTAAATCTTATATTTCTTGATAGACTGTTAGCTTCGTTAAAACCAAAACTAGTCTGTGTAGCCCACCGCCAAATCTCTATCTCCAAGAATACCCTAAACCAAACTAGTGCCAATAAATATGTATAGAAAAAAAATGAATGACTAAATGGCTTACTGGATGGCTAACAGTCCGATTAATTGAATAATTCACTTCTGAATAGTTTCAGAGAGATCATTACTAGGTTTGCATTTTTTGTGGAATAAAGATAAAAAAGCTCTTAAATTTTTGGTTAAGAGAGTATTGATATCCCTGTAAGGATGTCTAGCTTGTTTTTTATGGTGATTACTTCTGTGATGCCTTCTCTGAAGATGCTAGCCCAAAATGATATCTTGATTCTCTGACTTACTCTAGAACTTATTATCTGCACTATTCCTTTCAAGCACTGATAATATTCTACCCCATCTAATTACCAAGAAGACACCTAGATTTATGTAATCAAGCCCTTATATATCAGCTCCAGTGGGCTCCTAGACTTCTGGAATTGAGTCCAAGTTTGCATTTGTTTTGCGTTCCTGACAGAGTAGTCTCTGCTGTGTAGCACTTTGCTGTGTGCATAGAAAATAATCAGTGATCATAACATGTATGAATAAGTGAATGAATGAACAATTTGCAAGCAGCTGCAAGTTTCAATGTTCTTTAAGGTGAGGATGATAAAATTCCTGAACACATTTATCTTTCATTGTTTCAGAATTTTAAAGAAAAAATAGGAGAATTAAGACCTTCGTGTGACATCCTTTATGACGTCTGCAAGTATGCTACATATGAGAGCTAGATACTACTTTTTTCCATGAAATTTGATTTGTCTGGTAAGTTTTCTTCTCTTTCTTTCTTTTTAAAAAAAATCTATAATATTGACTTTTGTTTTTAATTTTATTTTCTTTAAGGAAATATCTTAGTCTTACTTCAGTTTTGAAGAAAAAGTTATAAATCATAGCCCTCTTGTCCTAGTCCATCAATTTCATCATTTTTTGTAATTCAATATGCTTAGATTTTTGTAATTATAATATATAAATAAGTTTGTTTTACAGTTTTATGATTTCATTTGAGAAAGTAATTATTCCATGAAAATTTTGTTTTCATTATGTAAGAGACACATTCATGAAAACCTTGGTATCAAGAAAATTAGTTTTATTTTTGCTAAATTATATCAGTTTTGCATTAGGTGGGCAGTTAGCCAAGATGGCCGCTAGCATTGCTTTCTCCTTTTAGCTTCTGAAAAGCTACTAATATTTCTGATAGATTTATCTCCATTTGCTATTAAAGCTCAATGGACAATGACTGCTAATATTTAGTTTGAAGACGAATGTAATTGTAGGAAGAGCATAGCTTTAGGCATTTATAAAAGTCCCGGTTTAACTCATGATTTCAACACTTACTGTCCATGTGATCTAGAAAAAGTTACTTTAATTGCTTGAGCCTTAGTTTCTTCATCTGTAAAATGGTTATGATAATTCCTATTTTGAAGTATGTTGTGAAAAAGCGGAAGTAAAATGTATGGCAATGCAAATTAAATGCTAATTTCTTTCTGTCCTCACACCCACATCTCACCTTTTCTTTTTTTTTTTTTTTTCCAGATACAGGGTCTCACTCTGTCACCAAGGCTGGAGTGTAGTGGCATGGTCATAGCTCACTGCAACCTCAAACTCTTGTCACCCTATCTTCATACTTTTTTGGAAAACTCTTCACTCCCCCTAACCTGTAACCTCACACGTTTTCAAAACAGCGGAAACTAAACAGAGATAAATGTTGGTTTCAGTTTGACAGCCAAAGATGTTTAATTCTGTTGTATCATTTTTTCTTTAAAAACATCTAGGAGAATTAAATTAAAGAGTGTAAGCCTGGCAATAATTTTAAACATATTGGTAATCTTTAATAATAACAACAGCAGCAATAAAAGAAATCATAAACTCCACTATTTATCAAAAGCTCATTATGTAGAAGGAACTGTCCTAAATATTTTACATAGATTATCTCTAATACTTAGAAAAACTGTATAGTAATCATAAGCTCATAATTTAGAAGAAACAAGAAACAGATTCATATGCCCAAGGGTATGCAGCATACAAATGTTACAGACCAAGCAGCTCCTATTCAGAAATTCCCAGGTCTATTTCTTATGTTCTATTCCGTTTATACTATTTTCCCCTAATAAACATCTATAAATCAACCTATAGTATATGACTTGATTCAATGAAAGCATTCATTAAAAAATGAATAAAATTGCTGTTTAAAGATACCTACCGTAAATCACATACACATTTATAAATTGTACACATAACTCATTTTGTGTTTTAAGCAGTTGTCTATCACTATTGAAGATTCAGGAGACATTATTGGTGATATCGTACCGAGCTTCTATCAGCACACAATACTGATCACTGTCCTAACACTTTTGAAATGCTCTTACTGCCATTGGAGACTTAATTGACAAAAGGCTGAGAAGGGAGTACGACACTGATTTCCTTGCTATCCAAGGCATTATGTAGCACTGACAAAGAGACATGTATAAAACCATGTCAAAGAAGTAATTATTCTTCTGAGTTCAATTGATTAACAATGACATCATGCTTCAACAACTCACATAAGTTAATTTTTAATGCGTATATATTTATTCATGTATTCACTTATGTATGTTTGACTCCATATTATTTATTCAGACATTATTTTCTAGATCCAATACTTGAAGCAAGCAGTACTAGGATAATGAATGACAGTGCTTGATGTTAGCTCACTGCAGTAAAAATGCAGTTCTATATGATGCTGCTCGTTAAATGTTTCAATAAGGAACATCTATGTTCCTTTATTATTAGTGTACCATGTATGCTGTGGTATTAGTGTACCACGAGAGTCTGTAGAAAATTGGGAGTTAGTTGAGGCATTAGAAAAGCAATCTTAGATTAAACAAAAAGGTGATAGAGGACTTAATCAAGAATAGAGGGATTGGAAAGGGAATTCCAGGCCAAAATAGTATTATTTGCAAACATCTTGAGTTAAGAGAGAACCTGTGAAATTTGGGAAGCTGAGAAAAAAAAGAGAGAGATAGAGAGAGATAATGGCATACCATCTTTTCAAAATTTATTTAAAATCAAAAGAAAGTCAGAAGAGTTATAATTCAGTTTAGATGTTATTATATGCAAGAAGCTGGCAACTCCATTCAAACTGGTAAATCCATAATGAAACTTGGGGACTTGCGTAAATATAAATGCCGAGGTTGGAAGGGCTTCAGGGTGACTCAACCCAGTGTCTCTGGTCCTATTTCCCTGAGACTTCCTCTTTTATACTCTTCTGCCTAGGTTGTTTTCTGGCTGATGCTGGATTCCTCAATGGGCAATAAATTGGTCTAGAATTCCACACTATCCAGATATATTTCCCTCATAATATCGCCCATATTTCATTGTCTTAAATATGATTCTATCTCCCTACAGAAGCCAATCTTTTTATTATACAAAACAGGGAAGTACCTTGTTGATCAGTCAAGTTGTTGGTCAAGCGAACTAATGATTATGATAAAGGGAATAGGATTAACTTTGAACTAATCGGGTAAACCTGTTGATTGGCCAGCAAAGTGATGAAGGAAAATATTAGTTTCCTCAAACATCATGATATTCAGAGAGAAGAACGGGATATCTAGAAGGTAATTACTAGGAAGGGGGAGAGGGTAAATGGAAAGTGGACAAGTAATACTGTCCACTGCAACTCTCGGAAAGTAAGTTTATATTTTCATTTTAGGAAGATCACAAGGTCTACAATGTGGAAAATGTCCAGCTGAAGGAAGATGGAAAGGATTGGAAACAGAATATGTTAAACTTTTTGCCTTATCCACTTAGGAGTTGATGATGCCTAAAATAAAGATATGAAAGAGATTGAGAAGTAATGATTAAATGGTCAATTTTCTAACTTGTATTTTTAGCTGAGATACATGAGAGTATCATAAACGGTTTTGGACAAACATAAAAAAGTCCTCTGTATCTAATTACATCTTTCACAAGATGCCAGTACAGTTATGGTTATATTTTTAAAGTACTTATACATCACTATTGAAAGTAGTTTTGATATAATTATATATTTCTATATAATTTATTTAGGTAAATACAATGTTTACTGGCATTTTATTGAAATTCTATATAATAGGATTTTAGTTCTTAATGTTTTAGATTCTTAATGTATTTTATTATATTCAATATTATACTAGTATTTCAGTTGTTTCTTTTCGCTTATTTTTTATTATAATTTATCCTGAAAACATTTTCATGAATAATTCTTTCTCTGTATGTGCTTGTTTTTCTTTATAGAGATTTTATAAATTAATACAGGTCTGTATTTCTGCCTCTTACCACTCATTACAGAAGAATCCAGTTAATTATTTGGTAATTGTCTATTTACATAAACAATTAGGGCTATATGTAGCAAATGCTCATATGACTGATGATGAGAATCCATACTGAATTCTAGGTCAGTAAGCTATGAGGAAAAAAGATTGTTCCAGTAAATCTCAAGAATAATTTATATTATTTCTTTCTCATAAAAAAGTAAAGCTTTCTTGGAGTTCAGAAAACATTCCTCATCCTCCTTTCCAAGACTATTTCATTTCTTATGGCCTATAACTAACATTTAAATATAGCGTTTCTTCCTAAAAGTCCCAAACAAAACATTTTACAAATTGCATACACACACACACACATATATTTATATAATTTTTGGAACTGCATAAACATTGTGTCCCAAACTGTTTTCTGAAGGAGGTATAGGTTTTTATCATAAAATTTTATATTCAGAAAGGAAAGCTTATCAATGCTTTAAAAAACTGAGATTTAGGTAGTCCAAAGAAACATGCCATGATTCTTTGCCTTCCAATACTAAAGTTCAGGACACTTGAAGAAAAAATGTGTTTTTAATCTCTTTTTCTCCCCCCCAAAAAAATAAATTCTTGGTAAGATTGCCTGGTTACTGAGTGCAGACAAAATGTGGTAAGTAGAGACTCTCTCTAGTGCTTGCAGGGATCAGCCTCCTTTGTCTTCAAGAACCCAGCATAATTATGCTGTCTACCCCTTTCTCTCTCTCTGGGTCCTCAGCTGGACCTATTTACAAAACTTTATCTTTGTTAATTACATCAGTCTTTGAATGCTGGGAATATAGTATGAATAGAAAAGTAACTTCGTGTGGTACTGTAATTAAAGGGCTTAATGCTTCACCTTGCAGTTATTTTGCTATAAGTGTTTTAAAGCTGATACTTTATTTACATCCAGAGTTAAATTAAAGCAGAAAACTGACAGCATCTTAGCACTAGACTGCAAGCTTCATGTGGACATCTTTTCATTATTGTTTACTGTTGGAATTCCACCACCCAGAGACTAGCATATAATGGACATGAAACAAATGAATATTTGATGAATGAATGAATATAATAACATGCTTGCATACAAGGATTTTTGTTTGTTTGCTTATTTTAATGGTTTTGTTATGAAACATAAGAAACATAGAGAAAAGTGCACAAAACATGAATGTCCAGCAGAATAATTTTTGATAAGGCTAATGCCAATGTAACCAAACACAGATTACAAATTAGAAAATTCCTGCCAGCCACTGTGGCTTATACCTGTAATTCCAGCACTTTGGGAAGCTGAGGCAGGAGGACTGCCTGAGACCATGAGTTCAAGACCAGCCTGGGCAACATAGCGAGTTCCCCATCTGTACAAAAAATAAAAATAAAAAAATAGCTGAGCATAGTGATGCAGCACCTGTAGTCCTAGCTACTTGGGAGGCTGATAGGAGGATTGCTTGAGCCTAGCAGTTTGACACTGCAATGATCTATAATCACACCACTGCACTCCAGCCTGGGTGATGGAATGAGACCCTGTCCTTAAAAAAAGAAAAGAAAAGAAAAGAAAAAATTAAAATAAGGCAGTTTCTAACCCATATGTGCTCCAATGTTAATTCATATCAAGCATTTTATGATAATATCTTTGTTTTTACTCATAATTTTTGTAATTATGATCCAATAATCTTATGATCACTTATCATTAGAGAAACACAAATCAAAACCACAATGAGATACCATTTCATTCCAGTTAGAATGGTGATCATTAAAAAGTCAGGAAACAACAGATGCTGGAGAGGATGTGGAGAAATAGGAACACTTTTACACTCTTGGTGGGAGTGTAAATTAGTTCAACCATTGTGGAAGACAGTATGGCGATCCCTCAAGGATCTAGAACTAAAAATACCATTTGACCCAGCCATCCCATTACTGGGTATATACCCAAAGGATTATAAATCATGCTACTATAAAGACACATGCACACGTATGTTTACTGCAGCACTGTACGCAATAGCAAAGACTTGGAACGAACCCAAATGCCCATCAATGATAGGCTGGATAAAGAAAATGTGGCACATATACACCATGGAATACTATGCAGCCATAAAAAAGGACGAGTTCATGTCCTTTGCAGGGACATGGATGAAGCTGGAAACCATCATTCTCAGCAAACTATCACAAGGACAGAAAACCAAACACCGCATGTTCTCATGCATAGATAGGAATTGAACAATCAGAACACTTGGACACAGGGCAGGGAACATCACACACCAGGGCCTGTCAGGGGGTTGGGGGCTGGGGGAGGGACAGCATTAGGAGAAATACCTAATATAAATGATGAGTTGATGGGTGCAGCAAACCAACATGGCATATGTATACCTATGTAACAAACCTGCACGTTGTGCACATGTACCCTAGAACTTAAAGTACAATTTAAAAAAAGAAAAAATTAAAATAAGGAAGTTTCTAACTCATATGTGCTCCAATGTTAATTAACATCAAGCACTTTATGATAATAATATCTGTTTTTACTCATAATCTCTGTACCAAAAATGTCTTTCTAAATGCTGTAATTTATATTAAGTGCTCTAATTTGCATTTTTCTATTTAAAGAAAATTTTTTAGGAGTATCTTGCTTGTTTTCCCAGACCTGAGTATGGTGAAGTGGTCATGGATCATAGCTTACCATAACCTCAAACACCAGGGCTCAGTTGAGCCTCCTGGCTCAGCTTGCTAAGTAGGTGGAACTACAGGCACCTGGCACCATACCCAGCTAATTATTTTTATGGTTTTGTAGAGACAGTGTCTCTCTTTGTTGCCTAGGCTGGTCTAGAACTCTTGGTCTCAAGCCATCCTTTCACCTTAACCTCCCAAAGCTCTGGGATTGCAGCTGTGAGCCACTGTGTCTGAACCACATTTTTCAATATTTTTTAACTTCATACAAATGCAATCAAATAGTAAACATTTCTTGTGCTGGGCTTTCCCCCCGCTCTATATTATGAGTTTCAACAATGTTAGTGCAAATAAGAGTAGTTTGTTCATTTTTTCTGTTATCTGTTATATTACATTTGTGGTAGGTAAAACCATAAATGTGTCCTACTCCGAAGATTTTATGCCTTACTCCCCAGTATTGGAAACGTAATGAGATATTACTCCCATGAAAATTTTACCTTACACAGCAAAACAGATTTTCCAGATGTAATAAAAGTTACTAATCAGTTGATTTTCAGTTAATCAAAAGGGAGATTATCTGAGTGAGCTCATTCTAATCACAGGACCTCTTTAAAAGCTGAATTTTCTCCAGCTATTCCTAGATGAGGACAAAGAAATTTAAAGCATAGGGGAAATTTGACATGAGGATTTTTCAATGTTGCTGACATTGAAGGACCTGAAAATGGGCTCAAGGACCTTAGAGATACCTGGTGCTGCCAGCCAGGAAGACAATGAGGACCTCAGACCTTCAAACACAAGATATTTCATTTGCCCAACAGACTGAATGAGCTTGCAAGTAGATAAATCTAGAGTCTCCAGAAAACAGGTTAGTGTGATTCTAATCAAAGAACTTCATGTAGCCAATCCAAATTTTGACCGACTGAACTGTAAAATGATAAATGGATACCGTTTAAATGGATCAATTAAAGTTTTGATAATTTGTTCCACCAAAAACTAACACAACATTGTAACACTCTCACAAGTTATACATTGTAATGTTGATGAGTATAGGCATAGGAGTGTAAATGCTGAATATTAAAATACACCATTCTACTGGGTATTCAGTAGTTTATCATTGGGGTTTATTTAGCATTGTATTTATTGTTAATGAGGTTGAAAATCTCTACTTGGATATTCTGTTTTCTGAAATGCATGTTCAAATGTCTTATCTATATTTTTAGTAGAAGCTTTGTTTTTACCTGAAATGTAACCTCTTAAAAATATTTAAATGTTCAACAAATTGTTTTTGACTAAAGTCACAAAGTTTTACAGCCAGTCTCTAAAGCTTCTGAATCTTACCTGAGACTTTAAGCCAGTTGATTAGTAACATTCATTTTCCTGTCACCACAGCCCCTGACAGCCACTGTTCTACTCCTTGAGTCTGTGGGTTTGGCTATTTTGACACGTTATGTAAGTAGAACCATGCAGATTTTTTATTTCTGGGACTGGTTTATTTAACTTAGCATAATGTCCTCAAGGTTGATCTATATTGTTATATATTGCAGAATTTCCTTCTGCAATATTAAAATCTGAATAGTGTTCCATTGTCTGTATATACTACATTTTCTTTGTCAACTTGTATTTCAATGGACATTTGGGTTGTTTTGACATCTTGGCCTTTGTATATAGTGCTGTAATGAACATGACAGTGCTAGTATCTCTTTGAGATCCTTGTTTAAATTATTTTGAATACCCAGAAGTTGGATTGCTGGATAAAATAGTACTTGTATTTTAAAATTTTTTGAGAAACCTCCACACTGTTTTCTATATGTAGTAGTTCGTTCTCACACTGCTATAAAGAAATACCTGAGACTGGGTAATTTACAAATAAAAGAGTTTTAGTTGGCTCATGTTTCCACAGGCTGTACACGAAGCATGGCTGGGGAGGCCTCAGGAAACTTATCATGGCAGAAGGTGAAGGGGAAGCAGCACATCTTACATGGCCAGAGAAGTAGGAAGAGAAAGAAGGAGGAGGTGCTTCACACTTTTAACAACCAGATCTCATGAGAACTCACTCACTATCATGAGAACAGCAAGGGGAAAACCGTCCCCCATGATCAAATCACTTCCCACCAGGCCTCTCCTCCAACACTGCATATTATAATTTTTTTTTTTTTTTTTTTGAGACGGAGTCTCGCTCTGTCGCCCAGGTCGGACTGCGGACTGCAGTGGCGCAATCTCGGCTCACTGCAAGCTCCGCTTCCCGGGTTCACGCCATTCTCCTGCCTCAGCCTCCCGAGTAGCTGGGACTACAGGTGCCCGCCACCGCGCCCGGCTAATTTTTTGTATTTTTAGTAGAGACGGGGTTTCACCTTGTTAGCCAGGATGGTCTCGATCTCCTGACATCATGATCCACCCGCCTCGGCCTCCCAAAGTGCTGGGATTACAGGCGTGAGCCACCGCGCCCGGCCTGCATATTATAATTTGACATGAGATTTGGGTGGGGACACAGATCCAAACCATATCAACATAGTAGATGCGTCATTTTAGTTCGCACTAACAGTACACAGTTTCTTTTTTTCATATTCTAACAGCGGTTGAAATAAAAAAAAATAGCTATGCTCACAGGTGTGAGATAACATCTCACTGTGGTTTTGATTTAGACTTTCCTGATGATTGGTGGCATTGAGCATTTGTTTTAATAAACCTGTTGGCTATTTGTATGTCTTTGGAGAAATATCTATTTAAGTTCTTTGCCCATTTGTAAATTGGGTTATTAGTTCTGTTTTGCTTTGTTTTTTGTATTGAGTTGTAGGAGTTTCTTATACATTTTGGAAACTGATTACTTATCAAATATGCATTTCAAAAATATTTTATTCCATTATTTAGACCTTTATCCTCTGTTATTTTCTTCTTTGTGCAGAAGCTTCTCAGTTTGATGTAGTTCTACTTGTTTAATTTTGTTTTTGTTGCCTATGCTTTTAGTGTCATATGCATAAAATAATTTTCGAAACAAGTATTCTGAAGCATTTTCCATATATTTCCTCCTAGGAGTTTTAAAATTTCAGATTTTACATTTAAATATTTAATTCATTTCTATTTGATTTTTTTATATGGTGTAAGATGAGGATCTCACTTTTTCTTCTTCATGTGAATATCCAATTTTCCCACCAGAATTTATTGAAAAAACGTAATTTTTTGATCATATATTATTAACTTCCTTGTTGAAGATCAGTTGACTATATCTGTATTCTGTTCTATTGGTCTATATATCTGTTTTTATGAAAGTACCATACAATTTTGGTTATTGTAGCATTGTAATATATTTTGAAATTAGGAAGTGTGATGCCTTCAGCTTTCTTTTTCTTTCTAAAGATTGATTTGGATAGTCATAATTCTTCAAGGTTTCATACGAATTGTAGAATTGCTTTCATTTCTATAAAATATGCCATTGAGATTTGACAGGGACTCCATTGAATCTGTAGATCCCTTTGGGTAGCATAGATATTTTACCAATATTAAGTCTTCCAATCCACGTACACAGGATGTCTTCCCATTTATTTGTGTAGTTTTAAAGTTCTTTCATCAATATTTTATTGAGTGTAGAGCTCTACATCTCCTTAGGTAAGTTTATTCTTCAGCATTTTATTCCTAAGTATTTTATTCTTTATTCCCTCATTAATGGTATTGTTTTCTTCATCTCGTTTTTCAGATTGCTTGTTGTTAATATATAGAAACACAACTGCTTTTTGTGCATTGATTTTGTAACCTGCAGCTTTACTAAAGTCATTTACCAGATCTTACAGTTTTGTTTTTGTGTTTAATTTAGTCTTCAGAGTTTTCAATATATAAGATTATGTCATCTGGAAATATAAACAATGTCCTTTTTTTTTCTTTCCATTTTGGATGCTTTTCTTTTTTCTTGCATCATTGCTCTAGTTAGGGCTTCCAGGGCTATGTTGAATAGAAGTGGTGAGTGTGAGCATCCTTGCCTTAGTCCTGATTTTAAAAGAAAATATTTCTGGTTTTCACCACTGAGTATGATGTTAGCTGTAGGCTTTTCATATATGTCTTTATTATGTAGAGGTATTTTCCTTCTGTGCCCTGTTTGTTGAGAATTTTAATCATAAAACTGTTTGAATTTTGTCAAACGTTATCCTGCATCTGTTGATAAAATTATGTGATTTTTTAATATGTATTTGTATCAAGGATATTGACCTATAGTTTTCTTTTCTGGTGGTGTCTAGCTGGTTTTTGTTTCAGAATAATGCTGGCCTCATAAAATTAATTTGGAAGTTCTCCCTACCCTTCAGTTTTTTGGAAGTGTTTGAGAAGGACTGGAATTTATTTTTCTTTAATGTTTGGTAGAATTCACGAGTAAAGCCATCTGTTCCTAGAGTTTGCAATATACATTTGAACTAATCCAAATGCACTTTCGGATTATCTTGAAGGATAATTTGCAGGGTATAGAATTCTAGGCTTTTTTTCCCCCCATTCAGCAAAATTCACTCTACTTTTTGTCAGGCATGACTTCTAAAGAAAAATCAGATGTTATTCTTTTCCTTGCTCCTCTATAGGTAAGAATTCCCTACACCCCTGGCTTCTTTACACTATTTTTTATATTTGATTTTCTATAATTTGAAAATTACGTGGTTAGATGTAGTGGTTTTGTTTTGTTTTGTTTGTTTTGGCATTTATCCTGCTTGGAGTTTTCTGAATTTCCTGAATCATGATTTGGTGTCTGACATTAATTTGAGTAATAATCATTAATGTTTCAAATATTTTTTTCTGTCCTTTTCTGTCTTTCTTCTTTTTCTGGAACTTCCATTTTGTGTATGTTATGTCTTTTGTAGTTGTGTCATAATTCTTGGATATTCTGCTCTGTTTTATTTTTCAGGTTTTTTGTTTTCCTTTTGCTTTTCGATTTTCATGATTTCTATTGAGATATCTTCAAGCTCAGAAATTCTTTCCTCAGCCATTCCCAGTCTACCATTAAACCCACAAAAAAACATTATTTACTTCTCTTACAGCATTTTTGATTTCTAGAATTTATTTTTGTTATTTCTTCGGATTATTATTTTTTTTTCAGAGATCTGATGTTTCTCTTGCCTATGCTGGTGTAAAACTCTGGCCTCAAGTGATCCTCCAACCTTGGCTTTCCAAATTGCTGGGATTACAGTTTCTTTTTTCTTAATTAGTCTAACAAAGAGTTTGTCTTTCTCTTTTTTTTTTTTTTCAAAAAAAGTTTAGTTCTGTTGATTCATTCACGTTGTTCTCCTTTTTATTTAATTTACTTCTGCTCCAGACTTCTCAGCAGAAACCCTACAAGCTAGAAGGGATTGGGGCCCTATCTTCAGCCTCCTTAAACAAAACAATTATTAGCCAAGAATTTTGTAACCAGTGAAATTAAGCTTCATAAAAGAAGAAGAGATACAGTCTTTTTCAGATAAACAAATGCTGAGAGAATTTGCCACTACCAAGCCAGAACTACAAGAACTGCTAAAAGGAGTTCAAAATCTTGAAACAAATCCACCAAAATAGAACCTTCTTAAAGCTTAAATCTCACAGGACATATAAAACACAAACAAAAAATCAAGGTATTCAGGTGACAAATAGCAACATGAATGGAATAGTACCTCACATCTCAATACTAACATTGAATGTAAGTGGCCTAAATGCTCCACTTAAAAGATACAGAATGGAAGAATGAATAAGAATTAACCATCAAGTTTCTGCTGTCTTCAAGAGACTCACCTAACACATAAGGACTCACATAAAGTAAAGGTAAAGGGGTGGAAAAAGATATTCCATGCAAATGGACATCAAAGGCAAGTATCCCTCACCCCTGTTCCACCCTTTCCCCCAAATCCCCAAAGTCCATCATATCATTCTTATGCCTTTGCATCCTCATTGCTTAGCTCCCACTTATGAGTGAGAACACACAATATTTGGTTTCCCATTCCTGAGTTACTTAGAATAATGGTCTCTAATACCCTCCAGCTTGCTGTGAATGCCATTATTTCTTTCCTTTTTATGGCTGAGTAGTATTCCACTATATATACATTATATATTTATAATATACATAATATAATACGTATTATATATTATATAATATATAATACGTATTATAATAAAATATAATTACGTATATTATATAATACGTATTATATATTATATAATATATAATACGTATTATATATAATACGTATTATATATTATATAAAATACGTATTATATATTATATATAATACGTATTATATATTATATATTATGTAAAATATATATTATATATTATATATTATATAAAATATATATTATATAAAATATATAATAGATAATATTAAATATATATTATATAAAATATATATAATATATATATTATATATTATATATATATAATTTATATAATATATATATTATATAAAATATATAATATATATAACATATATTATATATAATATATAATATATATTATATAAAATATATATCTATATCTATATCTATATCCATTATATACATTATATATTTTATATATATCCTACTATATATAATATTTTATATATATTCCATTTTCTATATGTGTATGTGTATATATAGCTGCTGATAGAATAGAAAAACAACATCAGTAAGGTCAAAGTAGATGTGAATTAGAAAATTAACATAATAGTATTTCATTTTATATATATATATGTATACACATATACACACACACACATATAGTATGTATTATATACTATATACATATGGAACCAGACCAAATGCTGATCAATCAATGAGTATATAAATAATCTGTGGTATATATATATATATGAGATATATATATATGATATCTCATATATATAATGGAATACTACTATGTATCCAGAGGTTTTGATAGATGGCATCACTATTATTGTTCACTTCAAGGAATTTTTAATATCAATCTTGATTTTCTTGTTTACCCAATGATCATTCAGGAGCAGGTTATTTAATTTCCATGTATTTGCATGGTTTTGAGGGTTCCTTTTGGAGTTGATTTCCAATTTTATTCCACTTTGGTCTGAAAGAGTACTTGATATAATTTCAATTTACTTAAATTACTTGAGACTTGTTTTGTGGCCTATCTTATGGTCTATCTTGGAGAATGTTGCATGTGCTGATGAATAGAACGTATATACTGCAGTTGTTGAGTAAAATGCTCTGTAAATATCTATTAAGTCCATTTGTTCTAGGGTATAGTTTGTTTATTTATTTATTTATTTTACTTTCTTCTTATTATTATTATTATTTGAGACAGATTTTCATTCTTGTTGCCCAGGGTGGTGTGCAGTGGCACAATCTCTCAATTCACTGCAACCTCCGCCTCCTGGGTTCAAGTGACTCTCTTGCCTTGGCCTCTTGAGTAGCTGGGATTACAGGCATGCACCACCATGTCCAGCTAATTCTTTGCGTTTTTAGTACAGATGGGATTTCATCATGTTGGCCAGGCTGATCTCGAACTCCTGACCTCAGGTGATCCTCCTGCCTCAGACTCCCAAAGTGTAGGGATTACAGGCATGAGCCACTGCACCCGGCCTATTTATTTACTTTTTGAGATGGAGTCTCAATCTTGTCACCCAGGCTGGTGTGCAGTGGTGCAATCTTGGCTCACTGCAACCTCTGCCTCCTGGGTTCAAGTGATTCTCCTGCCTCAGCCTCCCAAGTAGCTGGAATTACAGGCACTCATCCCCATGACCAGCTAATTGTTTTGTAATTTTAGTAGAGATGGGGCTTCACATGACCTCAGGTGATCCATCTGCCTCAGCCTCCCAAAGTGCTGGGATTACAAGCATAAGCCACTGCACCCAGTCGTGTCTAGTTTAAATTCATTGTTTATTTGTTGGCTTTCTGTTTTGATGACTTGCCTAGTGCTGTCAGTGAAGTGTTGAAGTTCCCCACTATTGTTGTGTTGCTGTCTCTCTCACTTCTTAGGTCTAGTAGTAACCATTTTATAAATTTGGGAGCTCCAGTGTTAGGTGCATGTATATTTAGGATTCAAAAAGATCAAATATTTCCTCGAATTTCATCGTCACGTTGTCTTTGACCAAGGAGTATTACTTTGTGGACATTTCTTAACTTCCAAACATTTAAGAAGGTGGGAAACTTGCAACTGTTTAATTTCTGGATTAATAGCATTATGGCCACAGAAATTTTTCTCCAGTTGAAATTATTTGATATGCATTATGATTTATTCTATTTCTCATTAAATAGATAATTTTTGTAAACATTCCCTGTGTGCATTAAATCTCTTTCCTTCTGCATTTGTAAAAATGTTCCTCTGAATTTTTCTGTAAGGTCAATTATGTTAATTTCCTGATTCACATCTTCTTTAACCTTACTGATGTTATTTCTCTATTCTATCAGCAGCTAAAAAACATGTTAAAACTCTTCATTATAGCTTTGCCTCTTTGGCTTCTTTTAAAAATTCTGGAAGATATGCTTCACACATTTCAATTTAGGTTATTAAATGCATACACATTTAAAATTATTTTAGCTTACTAGTAAAATATTTTTATAATTAACAAGTCTTTTTTATTTCTAGCAATGCTTTATGACTTAATGTTTATTTTATTAGCTTAATATAGCTATGAATTAATTAAGATATTAATATATGCTATCTTTTGCTGGTTGGGATGATATAATATTTTCTCTCCTGTATTTTTATGCTTTCACAGGCTAATGTTTCAAGTGGCTCTCACAGGAAACATTTGAGTTGAGTTTTATTATTTTACCCAATCTGATAATATTTGATTTTTAATTGGAAGAACTTAGTCCATCTACATTAAGGTGATAGCCAAAATTATGATATTAAATCTATTACCTCATTATATATTTTCTATTTCTACTTTCAGTTTGGTATACATTTACTTTCTTGATCTGTTTAAGATTATGTGTTTATGTGCATGTAAGAGATTTTATTTTGCAGAGAAGTTTTAGGTTTACAACAAAATTGAGTGAAAGGGAAAAATTTCCCATGTATCTACTGCCTCCACATATGCATAGCTTCCCCATTATCAACTTTCCCCACCAAGGTGATATATTTGTTACAAGTGATGAACATACATTGACACATCATTGTCATCTAGAGTCCACAGTTCATATTAGGGATCATTCTTGGTGTTGGACAAATGTATAAAAACATGTATCTACCATTGTAGTATCATAAACAGCAGTTTTACTGCCCTAAAAAGCCTATGTGCTTCACTTACTCATCTATCCCTCTCACCAATTCCTGAAAACCACTGATCTTTTTACTGTCTTCATAGTTGTATCTTTTTGTAGAATGCCATATAATTGAAATGATACGGTATGTAGTCATTTCAAATTGGCTTCTTTCACTCAGTAATATTCCTGTAAGTTTCCTTCATGTCTTTATAGCCCATATCATTTTAATATTGAATAATATTTCAATGACAGAATGTACAGGTTTATTTATCTATTAATTTTCAAAAGGACATCTTGGTTACTTCCAAATTTTGCCAAAATAGAAGAATAAAGCTTCTATAAAATTCTGTAAACGGATTTTGGTGTGGACATAGTTTTCAACTCCTTTAGCTATATATCAAAGTAATGTGATGGCTGTATCATGTGGTAAAAATACATTCAGTTTTGTAAGAAACTGTCAAAGTGTCTTCCAAAGTGGTTGTACTATTTTGCATTCTTGCCAGCCATAAATGAGAGTTCGTGTTGTTCCACATCTCTGCCAGCATTTGGTGCTTTCTTTTTTATTATTTTTTTACACATGTAGGTTAACATTTTATTTATTTATTTATTTATATTTATTTTTATTTTTTATTATATTTTAAGTTTTAGGGTACATGTGCACAATGTGCAGGTTTGTTACATATGTATACATGTGCCATGTTGGTGTGCAGCACCCATTAACTCGTCATTTACATTAGGTACATCTCCCAGTGCAATCCCCCCCCCTTCCCCAACCCCACAACAGGCCCTGGTGTGTGATGTTCCCCTTCCTGTGTCCATGTGTTCTCATTGTTCAATTCCCACCTATGAGTGAGAACATGTGGTGTTTGGTTTTTTTGTCCTTGCGATAGTTTGCTGAGAATGATGGTTTCCAGCTTCATCCATGTCCCTACAAAGGACATGAACTCATCCTTTTTTATGGCTGCATAGTATTCCATGGTGTATATGTGCCACATTTTTTTAATCCAGTCTATCATTGTTGGACATTTGACTTGGTTCCAAGTCTTTGCTATTGTGAATAGTGCCGCAATAAACATACGTGTGCATGTGTCTTTACAGCAGCATGATTTATAATCCTTTGGGTATATACCCAGTAATGGGATGGCTGGGTCAAATGGTATTTCTAGTTCTAGATCCCTGAGGAATCACCACACTGACTTCCACAATGGTTGAACTAGTTTACAGTCCCACCAACAGTGCAAAAGTGTTCCTATTTCTCCACATCCTCTTCAGCACCTGTTGTTTCCTGACTTTTTAATGATTGCCATTCTAACTGGTGTGAGATGTTATCTCATTGTGGTTTTGATTTGCATTTCTCTGATGGCCAGTGATGATGAGCATTTTTTCATGTGTCTTTTGGCTGCATAAATGTCTTCTTTTGAGAAGTGTCTATTCATAGCCTTTGCCCACTTGTTGATGGGGTTGTTTGTTTTTTCTTGTAAGTTTGTTTGGAAGTTCTGGCCAGGGCAATCAGGCAGGAGAAGGAAATAAAGGGTATTCAATTAGGAAAAGAGGAAGTCAAATTGTCTCTGTTTGCAGATGACATGATTGTATGTCTAGAATACCCCATCATCTCAGCCCAAAATCTCCTTAAGCTGATAAGCAACTTCAGCAAAGTCTCAGGATACAAAATCAATGTGCAAAAAATCACAAGCATTCTTATACACCAATAACAGACAAACAGAGAGCCAAATCATGAGTGAATTCCCATTCACAATTGCTTCAAAGAGAATAAAATACCTAGGAATCCAACTTACAAGGGATGTGAAGGACCTCTTCAAGGAGAACTACAAACCACTGCTCAAGGAAATAAAAGAGGATATGAACAAATGGAAGAACATTCCATGCTCATGAGTAGGAAGCATCAATATCGTGAAAATGGCCATACTGGCTCAAGGTAATTTATAGATTCAATGCCATCCCCATCAAGCTACCAATGACTTTCTTCACAGAAGTGGAAAAAACTACTTTAAAGTTCATATGGAACCAAAAAAGAGCCCGCATCGCCAAGTCAATCCTAAGCCAAAAGGACAAAGCCAGAGGCATCATGCTACCTGACTTCAAACTATACGACAAGGCTACAGTAACCAAAACAGCATGGTACTGGTACCAAAACAGAGATATAGATCAATGGAACAGAACAGAGCCCTCAGAAATAATGCCACATATCTACAACTATCCGATCTTTGACAAACCTGACAAAAACAAGAAATGGGGAAAGGATTCCCTATTTAACAAATGGTGCTGGGAAAACTGGCTAGACATATGTAGAAAGCTGAAGCTGGATCCCTTCCTTATACCTTATACAAAAATTAATTCAAGATGGATTAAAGACTTACATGTTAGACCTAAAACCATAAAAACCCTAGAAGAAAACCTAGGCAATACCATTCAGGACATAGGCATGGTCAAGGACTTCATGTCTAAAACACAAAAAGCAATGGCAACAAAGCCAAAATTCGCAAATGGGATCTAATTAAACTAAACAGCTTCTGCACAGCAAAAGAAACTACCACCGGAGTGAACAGGCAACCTACAGAATGGGAGAAAATTTTTGCAATCTACTCATCTGACAAAGGGCTAATATCCAGAATCTGCATTTGGTGCTTTTAGTGTTCTGGATTTGGGCCATTCTAACAGGCATGTGGTGATATTTTATTGTTAGTTTAATTTGTATTTTTCTGAAGACAAACAATGTGGAGTGCCTTTTCATATGATAATTGGATCTGTATGTCTTTTTGGTGAGGTGTCTGTCAAAAGTTTTCGCCCATTATAGAATTGGTTTGTGTCTTTATTGTTGAGTTTTAACAATTTTTTTGTATCTTTTGGATAGCAGTCCTTTATATGATATGTTTTTTACAAATATTTTCTCCCTGTCTTTGTCTTGTGTTTTTATTCTCTTGACAGTTTATTTCAAAGAGCAGATATTTTAGAAATGTTAATGATCACCAGCTTACCAATTCTTTATAGATTTTACGATTGGTGTTGCATGTAAATATATATATTTACATATTGTATATATAAAAATTTAGATCTGCACTCCATTTTGTGTTTATTTTTACGAAGGGTGGAAGGTCTGTGTCTAGATTCATTTTTGTGTGTGTGTGTATGTACATGCCAGTTGTTGCAGCATTGTTTGTTGAAGATTTATCTTATTTCCCTTGTATTACCTTTCCATCTTTGTCAAAAATCAGTTGTCTATATGTCTGTGGGTCTATATCTGAAAATTCTGTTCTGTTCCATTTATCTGTCTACACTTTCACTAAAACTATATTATCTGGATTACTACAGCTGTAAAGTCTGTTTTGAAGTCAGATACCATCAGTTCTTCAACTTTGTTCTACTTCAATCTTGTGTTGATTTTTCTGGGTCCTTTTTCTCCATATATAAACTTGAGGATCAGTTTATCATTATCTACAAAATAACTCTGTAGGATTTTTATTGGGATTTAATTGTATTTAATGTATTAATACCTTAGTTTATTTATAGGTCAAGTTGAGAAGAACCAGTATCTTGACAATTTCCGAGTCCTCCTATCTGAATATAAAATATAGTTCCATTTATTTAGTTTTTCTTTAATGTCTTTCATCAAAGTTTTATAGTTTTTCTCATATCTTGTACATATATTCTTAGATTTATATTTAAGCATTTAATTTTGGGGGTACTAATGTAAATGATTTGTGTTTTTTTTTAATTTCAAATTCTCTTTATTTATTGCTAGTATATAGAAAAGTAATTTATTAGTTCCAGGACTGTTTTTCTTCTTTTTTTTTGGTAAATTCTTTTATTTTCTACATAAACAATCATTTCATTTTTGAGAAAAATCAGTTTTATTTCTTTTTTTCTCATTCTATATACTTTTAAATTTTATTTTCTTGTCTTATTGCAGTAGCTAGCATGTTCAATATAACACTGAAAAGCAGTGATGAGAGGAGACTTTTGCCTTGTTTCTGATCATAGCAGGAAAGTTTTGGTTTTTTTACAGTTAAAAATTTTGTTAGATGCAGGTTTTTGTAGTTGTTCTTTAACAAGTTAAGGAAAATCTCTTCTCTTTCTATTTTACTGAAAGTTTTTATTATGAATTAATATTGCATTTTGTTAAACACTTTTCTGCATCTACTGACATGATTACATAATTTTTTTATTTACTTACATCACTAAACTGTAGTTATGTTATATCAACAGATATGATAGATTACGTTAATCAGTTTTTGGATGTTGAACCAGCTTTGCATAAAGGGAGTAAATCCCACTTGGTAGTGGTGTATAAGTCTTCTTATACATGTTGGATTCAACTTGCTAATATTTTGTTGAAGATTTTGCATCTATGTTTATAGTAGATATTAGTCTATTAGTTTTCATTTCTTATAATATCTTTGGTTTTGATATTACAGCCTCCTAAATGAGTTAGGAAGTATTTCCTCTACTTCAATATTTAAAGAGATTGTAAGAAATTAGTACAATTTCTTCCTAACATGTTTAGTAGAATTCACAATTGAACCCAAATTAGCCTTGTGCTTTCTGTTTTTATATGTTCTTATTTATTGGTTCAGTGTCTGATATAGTTGGGATGTTGTCCCTGCCCAAATTTCATGTTGAAATGTAATCCCCAATGTTGGAAGTGGAGCCTGGTGGAAGGTGATTGGATCATGGGAGCAAATTTCTCATGAATTGTTTCAGTACCAACCACTTGGAACTGTACTTGAGATAGTGATTGAGTTCTAGTGAGATCTGTTTGTTTAAAAGTGTGAGGCAGCTTTCCTGTTTGTCTGTTTGTTTTTCAGACTTTTTTCCCTTTGCTTTTCAATATTGATGGTTTCTACTGAGACATCTCCAAGCTCAGAAATTCATTCTTCAGCCATTCTCAGTTTACCACTAAACCCATCAAAAACATTCTTGATTTCTCTTACAGTGTTTTTGATCTCTAAAATTTATTTTTGTTATTTCTAAGAATTTTAATCTCCATGTACAATGTCCATCCGGTATTACATGCTGGGTCCTTTATCCATTATAGCTCTTGGCATCTTAATTATAGTTATTTTAAATTCCTGTCTGATAATGCCGACATTTCTGCTATATTTAGGTCTGTCTCTTTAATTTTTTATTTAATTTTATTTAATTTTTAATTTAATTTGCTCTATCTCTTTAATATTTTTAATATGTCTTGTAATTTTTTTCTTGATGGCTAGATAAGATGTACTGGGTAATAGAAAGGCTATAAATAGGCATTCAGTGATGTACTGGTAAGGCCTGGGAGAGTGGGAGTGTTCTATAAATCTTTAAGTGGGTCTGTCTTTTATTGAGCTTGTACCTCTAGGCTGTGAGCTTCACATGTGTTTCTTAGGGCTGTTCCCCACTTTGGTGGGACTCAGTCACTAGAGTGTTTCTTTTTCTTTTTTTTCTTTTTTTTTCCTATATGGAAGGCTAAAGCTGACTAGAGCTGAGTAATTTTCATTCTCCAAGGTTAGACTTTAATAACCCAGCAGGTTAGGCTCCGGTTAGTTTTTTCTGAGAGCAGAGCTTGTTAAGAACAGAATGCTCTGGCATATTTTTAAATGGTTCCTTTACCCCTCTCCCTCTAGAGGTACAAAAGGTTTTGTTGTTTGTTTGCCATCAATATTCATCGTGACAACCCGGTCCAGCTCTTAGCGGTAAAAATCACAGAAGCATCGGAGCTCCTGTCTATAGTCATAGTGTCTAAAGAGACACTATGATTGTGTCTCTCTACAGATTTTCTTTCAGGCTTGTGGATGCTGAGCCTCCAGTAACTCAGTAGTTATAATTCCAGTTCTCCTGCCTCAACACTTGTTCCTGCAGAGGTTAGGGCTATCAGTCTTTCCAATTTGGGAGCAAATCGTTTTCCCTGTGACCACACCTCTCTGATAGAGCTAAAAGTAGTTGATTTTTCAGTTTGTTCAGTTTTCATTTGTTTTTAGAATGCAGAAACAACTAACAGCTTCTTACATGCCAAACCAGAAAAAATGTGGGTGGGTGTTTAAATTATTATTATTTTTAGTTATTTGGGACATCACATACACTTCTGTTATTTTATTTATTACTCTGAATTTAATGCTTTGCAATAAAGCTTTATGTCATACAGAAATGTTCTAGGGCTGTGCTGTCCAATGAGGTAGTCATTTGCCACATATGGCTATTGAGCACTTGAAATGTGGCTAGTGTGACTTTTTAATTAAAGTTTAATTAATCTTCATTTAAATGTAAATAGCAACTAAACTATTGAAAAGAATAGCGTCAAAACTATAATCTGAAACCTTGACATATCATAATCTAGTGCAATTTTGTTTTTTTATCTTATTCACTTATGATATTTAGTCCTTCAGAAACTTTAAATTATTTACTACCTTTCTACTAAATTAAATACATTCATATATTTACATAAACACCGCCACATGTGCAAACATATATATGTGCGTTTATGAGATAATACTTTTGTATTTTCAATGGTGTGTATATAAACAAAAATGTATGTAAAACATACATATATATATATACACACATACACATATGTATGCATATGTATGTATGTGTGTACAAGTTTATTTGCAATTTCATTGCTGTTAATTTCATTCTGCATCCTTGAACTTTCATTTGGTGTCATTTTGCTTCCACTTAAAGCACTTTTTATTATTTCTTTTAATGAAGTTTTTCTTGTGACAAAGTCCTGTTAACTTTTGTGTGCCACCTTTGTTCTGGAGGGATGTTTTCCCTAAATATACAAGTCTTTCAGCACATTGTAGATTTATGTTTTATTTTCTCAGTTACAAAGTCTAAATATTTCTCCTTTGAAGATAGTCAACACTTTTTCCTTTCCTTAGATGTTCTACAAATTTTTAGTGATGTGTTTTTGCATGTAGTTTCTTTTTATTTGTTGCCTTGAGGGTTTTTTGTTTTGTTTGTTTTTATTTTTGTTTGATTTATTCAATATGTGCTTAGATTTGTTTCACAAATTTTGAAAACTTCAGGTGTTACTTCTTCATATATTACCTCTTTTCCATTCTCTCTTCTCATTTTAGCATTTTGAATAATTAGATGCTTGACCTTCCTATTGTATACCTTATCCTTGTAACATCTCTCTACTTCATGCATTTATTTCTTTGAGCTTTATTTTGGATATTTTCCCTTCACTTATATTCCAGTTCACTAATTCTTTTTCAGAGATATCTATTGTTTTCAATCAAGTTTTATTTTTAATTGTGGTTATTATTTTGTTTGCTGTCCTAGAAATCTTACTTGGTTCTTTAAAATATCTGATAAGCATTCAAAAAATAGTTGACAGCTCCCTAAAAACTGCTTTAATTTTGTATTTTAGTTTGCAAACATAAGAAGTGTAGTTTTTCCAAATTCTGTGTAGTATAGTTCTAATTTCTAGCTACATATAGTTATTGTCTATTGTATGTAATGATTCTTATTCATGTTGCCTTGCCTCTCTGTGTCTCTAGTTATTTTTGGTTAAGTTTGAAAAATCATGACAAAAAACATGTGACCTATGATATTGTTTATTGACTACTTTTTTTTTTCTTTTTCTTTTTTTTTTTTTTTTTTTTTTTTTTTTTAGATAGAGTTTCTCACTGTCACCTGGGCTGGACTGCAATGGTGGGATCTCGGCTCACTGCAACCTCCACCTCCCGGGTTCAAGTGATTCTCCTGCCTCAGCCTCCCGAATAGCTGGGATTACAGGCACCTGCCACCATGCCCAGCTAACTTTTTGTATTTTTAGTAGAGACAGGGTTTCACTATGTTGGCCAGGCTGGGCTCGAACTCCTGACCTCATGATCCAACCGCCTCAGCCTCCCAAGGTGCTGGGATTACAGGCGTGAGCCACCACACCTGGTCTATTGAGAACTTTTATTTGCTCCTTTTTGGTGCCCAGGGGTGCTAAAACCTTACAGAATGCCTTAATCCAGTTTTGAAGATTGAACTATTTCTACGGTGGCCTAGAAACAAGTTACTCGATATTAAGCCAAAGTTTGCACAAGTGCCTGCTTATTGCTATTTAATTATTGTCCCAATGATGTTAATAGTTTGGATCTCTACTCAGGATATGAGGGTTTTACTAAAACACCACACAGGTGTGCCTTGAATGACAACATTTATACCCCAAGCGGATGACGTTGTAAAAATCCAATCTCTCAGTTCTACTTCTGCATTGGCAAATAGCGAAGAGCAACAGTAGCCACAAAAATCATGGATTACTAATCTGGGTGTTTCTCTTCTGCCTTCTGCTTGATCGTGGCCTGATAGCTTTGGAAACCAAAACAGGCAAACACATGAACAAATAAAACCTTACACACTCTTCTACAAAACCCTGTGTATAGTGAAGCCTGTACCTAGAACAAAAATTCAATGGAATTATGCTGACTGATGGGATACCAGCATAATCTCTGGAGCCGGGAAAAAGACAAACTACCAAAGATCCCACACTTTCCAATTTTTCTCACAGTAATGATAATCTAACGGCTGTCAAACATATGAACTTCAGGATGAATAAAATATCTTAGTGGCTTACTTCAGATAGATTTCACTACTTGTTACATCTCCATTTATTTCTTGAGAAGATAATGAGTCATAGAAGAGACATTCCAGGAATCTAACATTGCCACTATGATTTTGACATAAGAATCTTAATGTAACTTTATTATAATTATTCTCTGAATGGAAAGTAGACTCTTAATTTAAAATTATCTCCTAAATCAAAATGTTCTTTCTTATTCAGACAAATGACTTCTATAATTTATGTCATATTCTTGTGTTTGTCTGATGTCTCCTATACTATTTTATTTCAAAAACATTTATATTCTGAATATAAAACAAAATTTGTGTATATATATATATATGTGTGTATATATATATACATATATATGGAAATATTTTCTGTGCATCAAACACATAGGAATTTTTAAACCAAACAATTTAGGTAATTACATCTTCAAAGACACAAATTGTAAAATTAATGATAAACCTTCCCTCTACCTTTTGTTGAAGCTTATTCCAAAGCAGAGACTTGAATGATTTTAATTGGACAAAACAGCCCACATAGTAAGAAATTATTATGTACAACATTCAAATGAGTAATCAATTAAGAATTACAAAATTAAAACCAGAAAAATAAAACAATCTTCTCCTGTGGAAGGACATCATATTGAAGTCTTTAAAAACCCTGCTGTGTTGCATACCAGGCTTGCTCCACTAAAATGTAGAGTTGTGATTAGATAATCAAAGCTTTGAAGATATTATTCCGCCAAGTGAGAGACCTTAATAGTATAATGAAATAATTGATTTTCATTAATTATTTAAAGGTTGGTCAAAAAAGGCAAGATTACGCAATGAGTTTTGAATTTTCTGAATGAAAACAGCCTATGACATATATCCCCAGCAAAGCAACATGTGTCTATGACATCCTGGGCTAGCCTGTCCGTTATTTAGTAAACTATGAAAAAGAGGCCTTTGTGACAAAGGCTGGTAGGCAGAGTGGAAAAAGCACTATTTGCTAAGCTTAAGGAGTTCCTACTTTAATTTCATGAAAGAAGAAAATTAATGTATGTTTGCAATAATGTGGATTATGTAACAGTGTGGATTATATCATATGCAGTCCTAGAATGAAATGCAAAGACAATAGCCAGCCTCATGTATTCCAAAGGGTTGACATAGGTGGTAATTAGAGCATTTAATGTGTAAATGCTAATTAACTCATTTAATCTGTAACATAGCTCTCCTATGAGTTAGAAAATGCTGTTCCTTTATTCTTATATAAAAATGAAAAACACAGAAGCTTAATAAAATTGTCTAGGGTGTCCTAAAGTTAGCAAACACAAGAGCCAAAATTGGGATCCACCTAATCTGGCTTCAGAGTCAGCTGTTTTAAAACTGCATTTGAGTTATTTTTAAGGAATAAGGAAATGTGTAATAAAAGATCAAGAGAAAGCCACCCAGGCTTTCTTGAGATGAGACAGCTAGCGTCATGAAAAAGTAAGATTCCAGAGAGTGCGGTCAGAATTCACTGAGCACCATCAGGAAAACATCGATGCTGCTTGAAGAAGGAACACACAGTCTCCAGCTCTGTGAAGCTTTTCCTGAAGAAGAGTAGTCGAGGATATGGGCGGACTTGGAGAAGAAAGGAACAGCATGAATATTCAATTGACTTTCTAGCTCTCTGACTAGGAAGCATACTTTGTATTTTTAATATCATTTGGGAGGTTAATAAGGAGCAAGTTGCTAATGGAAACAACCAATTTCTCTGAGCTTAACTTCACATAAATAAAACCTGATGCAGACGCAGTGCTACATTTCAGTACAGTCCCAGTGCACCTCCAGGACTCCAGCTCATTTAGGTTATAGCACAAACTCTGGGAAAACACAGTTTATCTGTCAAAATAGCAGGTTATGCTGAGGTAAGTGCATGAACACAACATAACTATATTTCTAACACACACACTCACATCTGACTTGGATGAGCTGGGGGTTTTACTCATCACAGTTACTCTGGAATCTAGAATATTGGAGGCTTCATTTTGAAATATACTTCCAAGACTGTTGAAATAGGAGGATAGACTATGGAGAATTGCATACTAGCTCTTAAAGCTTCCAATTAGGAAGGAGATCCACAATTTTTTTTGGTCAAAAGAAGTAATATGGTCATGCCTACTTTCCAAGGGGGCAGAGACGTGAAATGCTCTAATGCTTGGAAATACATGGTCATTGATACAAATGTCTGCCATGCACAGAGTAAATAGGATACAAAAGCCCTGGAGATTTTGTGGCCTTTTGTCAGCCAACCAGGCATTAAAAATGGGCCAGAAAGTGAGTATATTCTAGGTGGTGTAACCTAATGGGTTTTCTTTCAGAAATAACATAATATAATGTATTGAGGATCTTGAATCACTCAATTCAAATAGATGGTAGAGATTTCCATACTGGAATAATAATGAGTCTTTTTTCTCCTTTATGCAGACAGTAAAGATTGTTAATTGACTGATTCACCAATTTTTACTGTATCAACTAACAGTGGCTCTTTGATGAAAGAAACAGGAGCTGAGAAGAAACCAAACTTACAACATCTGCCAGGACCAGTGATCTACAAGGGCTTGAGATCTGAGCAATTTCTTCAATAACTCAGCCAGGCATGAGCAAGAACACTTGAGGGCAATGAGCTGTTCAGCTACTGATGTATTACAGTTGGCACCTGTGGAGAGACACCTGAGGTGAGAAATGAGATGCAATTTCCAACACATAAATAAGTTCTGCCTGCAAAGTCTTTACTCAGAAAAGAATGCACAAAATAACCTTATGAAGCTATGTTCCTTTCCTTTGTCAAATTGATTTTGTCATCCAAAAATAGTCATGATATTTTCTTTTCACACAGTAAGTTAAAACTTCAATTAAAGCCTCTTTTAATTACATAAATATATACTTCACTATATAGTGATTGGACAAGAACAAGTAAATAAATCTCATATCCCATTTTTACTTAACTGAAGTAAGTAAAATATAATATTTAAAAGAAATTATTATCTTATGACCATTTAGGAGGATCATTCAACTAGATAGATAATTTTAATACTTTAAGAATGGTTGGAATTTGGAATGTTCATTCCACAAATTCAAAAATCCCTGATGGCTACAAGCAGCAAATTTAAAGACATTCATATCATACATATTTCTTCTGTATGTCCTTTGGAGACATTTATTCTTAGCATAAAGTGAGAGCTACTTTTATTATAAAGACAAGAAATCTGAAATTATGCAGCTCAAAAAATAACCATTTGATTACACATGGAAAATACCTTTTAAAGATTTTAAAATATATCATTTCATTTTTAGAAAAGAAAGGTATTACATGTCTTAGGAAAGCAATAGGAAAAAATATTTAAACAAGCTAAAGTCAATATTCCTTAAATTTACATTTCCCAGATACAGACATAGGAGATCTGAGTTCAAACCCTAACTCTGCCACTTACTCTCCATGGAAGTTTTGCCAAGTTATTTAATTTCTCGGAGCTGCATATTTCACCTGCTATTTTTATGAATATTTGACATATATTTTTACAAATTTGTACTGTGAATTTTGACCACAGACCTAAATAAGAGACACTCTAGTATACTCTATTATTGTATAGGCAATAATACATTCATATTTGAGGCCATAGCAAAAATTTAGTAGTGTATAGAGACACAACTGGCAAAGTGATAGGGGAAAACCATGGCAAAAATGAAGAAAAATGAAAAGTTCTAGAGGGACCATAGGTTTCGTTTATTAATAATTGGTTGTAAATATTGATTGTATTAGTGTAAGACAAGTTTTTTTTAATGTGGTGGTTTTTAAAAGAAAAAAAAGAGATCTCCCCCCTTCTCATTTTTTTAACCTTACTAATCCAGGGGTTGTGTTATTGTTACACACACACACACTCACAGACATACATATTAAAGCTATCAGTTCATCTGATTTCTAGTAGTTAATTGATTCCTAGCAATAGTGACATTACATTAGACAACCTGAGAAACTAGATTCATAAAAATTGCCAAGAAACTACTTTTGCCATTTTCTAAGTAATTTAGCATTTCTAGACCAAAGGAGGACTAACAATCTTTGCCTTTGACATGTAACAAGTAACTTTTATCTTCATGGGAAATGCCATGAAATTATAGACAGGCTTGAACTGTGATTGAGAAACAAAAGGCCACCTTCTTATTTTTTATTTATTCAAAATAAATCTGAGGTCACTGTGGAATAATTTCCTTTAACCACGTGAGGGTATGTGTTACCTTTAAGGAGGATAATAGTCGCCTTTGTCTCCTGTCTCAAGCCTGAGCAAACATAAAATCAGTAATATACATGCATCTCTATCAAAGACAATAGGTTGTTCACTGATATTCAGTTTTCTTCTATTTCAGGGCATAAAATAAAAGGTACCTCCCTACCAGCTTCAAGTTAGGTAGAATCATGTGACTTGCTTCTATTAGTAAAATGTGAGTAGATATGGAGTGATATTCCAGTTCTAAGAATTTAATGCAAGGGCTCCTGGGATTGTAAAAGCCTAGGCTGATGAGGAGGTGGAATGCAACACTTTTCCAAGCAGGAAAGTTGGTCTGGACAGTAAGCATGTACAAAATATAAGCCTCTGTTCTCTGAATCATTGAGATTTGGAAGCTCATTTGTTTACATGGTTCAGGCAAACCAGTCCTGACTTATATAATCCCTTTCTCCAGCAGCTTCCAGAGTATCCTCCTGCCTATCAGTTTTTTTTTTTTCAAGAAAGGTGATCAATAACTCATCCTTTCAAACTAAGTGCATCCAGCTATTCTTTTCCTTATATATGCTACAGTTCTAAAACAGCTGATTCATGAGAAGATAAATGAAAAGCAAGAATTATTGTTTAAATATACAAAATAAGACAACTTCCAAACAGAAGTTTAATTTGATATCATCTTTTCAGAAAAGAAATTAATTGAAGCCTCAGTTTTCCTTAGGCAGAATTCTTGATTACTCATAAAATGAGCCTAACATGCTCTTTCCTTAAATCTGGGCATATTTGCTCTTAGGTAGCTCTATATACAAAAAAGGCATTATGGATGATTTCTGCAGTATTCCCTGAAATGGTTTTGCTACTCTCTCACCTCTATCACCAGTATTTATGGCATTACTGTCTATTTCTATTGCTTTTCTGTTTTAAAAACATAAAATTTCTACAGCTGCTCCTCCAAAAATAAATTATTCAGCAATTTATTGAATTCTTAATAAGTATTAGACCTGGGATTAGGCATCAATTTGAGATGGTATTTGGTGCTATTGTACAGATCTTAACAACATGTAATCCTTCTCCTCAATAGTTTACAATCTACTTAGACAGCAAAGCTGTATGTAATAAATGCCCCCCACAAAAAAAAAAAAAAACAGCCAAACAAAAAACAGCAATCAGTATATCTAACCACATCAAACCCGTAATATTGCCAAATAAGAAACTGCATGGAATGCTGTTTCTCTGAGCTGGCATTTATATTTCTAAGGCAATAAATGAGTCACTTATCCTCTCTTGATGTCTTAGGCTCCATGTCTGTAAAATGAGAGATTGGACCAAATAATATCCAAGGTTCCCACAAACTCTGCAAAACTGTAATTCAGAATTATAAAGCACACGATGGTACTGATATTTCTATCTTTAGAATTTGTTTATTCTATCCACAGAAATGGTGTTTCTGAGTCCTAATTTATCCATTTTAATATGCGGTATACCCAAGTATTAGTTCTGAGTCTGGACAGATTCAGCGTTTGGTTTTACACAACAAAGGTAAATGTATATTCACTCAGAGCCTTCCAGCATGATGTGATGCTTAAACAGGATTACCATTTAATGTCTGGATGTTGAGAAACACCTAGATAGAAAGTGACCTATGCTTACAGGCAACCCAAGGCACAGGAGATAGCAATGAGGCTTCCCAGACTGATGAAGACTTGATTCACCAAATTTATTAGTGGCATGTTAAAAATGATATAGAAAGAAAATTCTTTGATCTGAAAATTAGAAAAGCCCAGTACATAAATCACTGAAAATACTACCCCTTTTCACTGATAGCTTTGGAATGCTATCAATGTCCTTTCTTCCCTATATTAATGTATTATAACTAAAATATTTCTGTCGAAAAGGCAACCTCTAATCGGTTGCCTAACTAAAGTTTTTTTTAAATTCCTCATCAGCCAATTCTGACTTGAATCACTGTATCTCCTCCATAATGAAGTATGTCTCCATTTCTGCTGCTTATATTTTAAATATTTATTCTAATATTCAGTTGAGGGAAAAATTATATTGAATTTTGGCAAAAAAGAAATGACTACACATATAGTCTTTGAAAGTTGCCAGCAGGGTATTTGCTAACCATAATTTGTGTTGGATTTTAATGAGTACTTTAGTTGATTTGTTATCTTATCTGCTGGAAATATTTAATTCTTTTTTTTTTTTTTGTAAGATACAGAATCTCACTCTGCTGCCTAAGCTGGAGTCACTTATAGCTCACTGTAGTCTTGACCTCCCGGGCTCAGGCAATTCTTCTGCCTCAGACTCCCAAGTAGCTAGGACTACAGGTGAATATCACCATGCCTGGCTAATTTTTAAAATTTTTTGTACAGACAAGTTATTTCTATGTTGCCCAAGCTGGCCTCAAACTCCTGACCTCAAACAATCATCCTCCCTTGGCCTCCTAAAGTGCTGGGATTACAGGCAGCACTTTACAGTCTGGCTTTCATTCTTGAACAGACTTTTTTACTGTTTGCTGGGGAAAACCATGATAAACTTTGAAAAAAGATGATAAAGCAAGGAGAGATTTTTAAAGTTAAGTGTGATTAAAATATTTTTAAATGAATCAACAAAAGGTAAAAAGGAGAAAAACATTGGTAGAAATAAAACAGTATAAATTAACTATACTGCAAACAATGAGCAAAACAGTTGAGAAATTTAATTTAAATACAATAACACACCATTGTATAGAACCTACTATATTCCAGAGACTGTTAAAAAGAATTTACAAATATTAATATATTTAGTTTTCACAATATCTTCATGAGAGAATTGGCACTATAAATCCAAATTAACAAATAATGAAGAGACATAGAAAGTCTTTGTGTTTTGCACAAAGTCATGTACCTGGTAATAAGTGGCAGATTCAGAATTCTGAACTTCTATATTCTGACTGCCTTTATTAACTAATAATGTAATTGGACTAAAATCTTAGTTTAAAAGATAACAACAGCAGGCTAGATTCCAAAAATATAGTTTTATGCTATCAGCTGCAATCAACCTAAGACATGAAAAAAAGAGAGAAATACTAAGAAAGATAATAAAAAGGAATTATTAGGCAAATACTAACAGAGTTGGTGTCATTAAACAAATAGTTATTAATAGCAAGTAAAATAGAATTTATTTTATTTAACTAAAATAGATTTTAATAAAGAAAAATTATTTTAATAAAGAATATTACTTCATAATATTAAAAGCTTCAAATTTTCTTGATGATTAAAAACAATGAATCTAAACTCGTCTACACAAAGAACGACATATCAAAATAACTTGGACACAAACTGATGGAACTATAAGGAGAGATTGATAAATGTTTTAGCTTTTTTCCTAATTAATAGATTTAACAAGCAAGAATACAAATAGAAATTTAGAATATTTAAACAATTATTTTAACTAACCTAACTAGTGGATGAATATAAATATTGCAACCAACAATTGTAGAATTCATAAACTTTGTTAAAAATCTGCTGTGTGCTAGGTATACAAGTCTGACAAATTTCAATGGTTTGAAATTCTACATATCAGAAGTCCAACAACAATGTATTTTGATTAATAATTACAAAAATTATGATTAGCAATTTAAAAACAATTCTAAATAACTCACGAATTAAATAATTATAATGGATATGAAAAATATTTGTAATGGGATAAGAAAATTAGTATAGTTACAACTTAGGGATAATGCTAAGGTATCAATTAAATGAAATTTATAGTCTTAAGTATATGCATTCAAAATGGTGAAAAATTCAAAAGATTGAACTAAGTAACCAATTTCAAATGTGGAAAGGAGAAAATCTGGAAACATTTCAAAGAAGTAAAAAAAGGGAGAAAGGAAGAAAGAAAATAATAAATTTATACAATTCATTGAAATAAAAATCAAATGAGGAACTAATACATTCAAAAGTTTCCATCAAAAATAATAGTAAATGAATAGCAGTCAGCTAGATTGAGGCATAAACAATATTAGCAATTTTTAAAATCATGAAATACTATAAAAAGCTTTATGCTGATGCATTTGAAAATCTAGATAAAATCCATAAATCCTGAGAAAAATACAACTTATTACTACTGACACAAGAAGAAAACAAACATGCTCAGAAAAAGAAAATATTCTTACAAATCAACTACAGGGCCTAGTTGCTTTATAATTAAGTTTATATATTCTAAGGTAATTCCAATTTTAAACAAAGTCATATACGGAATAGGAAAGAAATGAAATGAAAAAAGAAGTACTACTCAATGTATGAAAATGAGAAGAAATGAAATAAATGAAGAGAGAAGTAATACTACTCAATGTATGTTATGATGCTTGTAAAATGTTGACACAAAAACCATTGATAGTACAAGGAAAAAAATCCATTCACATGGAAGAAAAATCTTCAGTAAAATTAGCCAACTATATGTAGCAATATATAAAAGAAATCATACATTATAATTTTTATTTCTGTAATGCATATGTAAGAAAATTATACAAGAAAAATATAAATTACCTGAAATACTTTATCAAAATACATATTTTTGTCACATTTTAGGGTTGAAATTTCTGAGAAGGGAGGAATAAAATGGGCAGATCGGAGCAAGAATACAGGGGTTTCATTATTATACATCACACTGGCCTCTGCATTTACTATTCAACTGGGTGAAGATAATCAGAAACAATATGTGATGAATCACAGATTGGGAGTCAGGTAACCAGACTTCCAGGATGTGTCTGTAACTGCAGGGCATTAGGTACATCTTTCAATTGTTAAACATGTTTAACTAGGATGTGAAAATGTTTACTTAGGAGTTACCAAAGAAAATTATTATGATAGGTGGAATGGAATCAAGGGAGGAAGAGGAGATAATCCCCTGGTGTCTAAAATACATTTTTCCTGCTTTCATGAAAAAGAAAATCTAAGATCTCTTTCTACCGTGTTTGTTTATAACTGCTGCTTTTACTATGAAAAATGAGGTGGCACTTTAAAAACACCATTTGATTCTCTCACTAGCCATTTACAAAACATTTCTTTAACTTTCATTGTTAAAGGATAAGATCCATACATTCTTGAATTGAAACCTCAGTAATATTGTTCTAATCCATTTTTCAGGTTTTTCCCATTATTCTTTTCTATGAATACTGCTCTGTTCCGGTTGACTTAGTCTTTCCCAAATGCTTCTTTCATTTTCCTGTATCAGTGTTTTGCTGATACATTTATAATGCAGAAGGCATTTTGGTCATGTCCCTGCTTTGAAATACTACTAATTCTTCAAGATCCAGCTGAAACAATTCTGATTACAGAGATTCACTCAGTTGTACTTTTCCTGAATATATTTCTTCTTTCTCTACTAGATAGCAGCAGGGTGTGTGTACAAGGTAAAGAAGTGGACTTAATGAAGAGGGGAAAAACCTTCTATTTTATTTAGTATCTAATGAAACTGGAAACATTAAATATGTAGATTAATTACAGTAGCATAGGTATACAATCTGTAAACTAATATATATTTATGAGGATGAGTTAATTTTTTATTCGTAGGGGAGTATGATTAACATATAATACTCAAGTACTTAACCCCCTTGATAAAGCCAGTTTTCAAGCTAAGCTTTGTCTCACTTAAATGGTAGTAATAATTAATAGTACTTACATCATAGGGTTAATATGGATATTGAATGAGTTACATAGCAAATTTTAGGAAAATGTAAAGTTATTAAAATAGTATTTGACCCATGGTAAATATTTTATGGGCTAGTTATTTTTACTACCGCCATTTTTTCAAGTTGATGTCTATTTTAATGGAAAACTGTCCACCTGCACTTCAAGAAGTAATTTCTATAAGCCATATATTTACTCCCTAAGCAAAGACTGTCTGTCAAACAATGAGAAGCAAAAGAATAACACAACAAAACAAAGTTTTCACCTGACTTCCCCAATGTATATACCCACACACATTTCTTATACTCTTTCCCTTCCTTTTCAGTTTTGATATAGCAAATGTGTTATATATATTATTATTTCTTTTCTTTATTATTTGTGAGGGCAGAAAATTTGGTCTATTAATGTTCACAGTTGTATCTCCAATGCCTAGAAGAGCCTAGGATATTAAAAACAAAATAAAACAAATAAATATAGTTTAATCTATCAGATAAACAACAACAACACATATTATTTTCTACATAAATTTAATGACTTGTCTCTTATACCAAGTGAATAAGTCTTACAGTAAAATCTTGTATATTCTGGAATTTGTGGAAACACACATCTTGATTAGCTTTTCCTTTTTCACCTACAAAAATGTAATTTGTCACGTTATTTCCTATTCTCTCTTTGCATCATCTTACACACAACAAATAATTAGCAAATATTTGAGTATAATCTGACATTTGAAAGAAGAAAACCAAGATAAATAAACTTCCTCAAAAGAAACAGAAAACTGAGGGAACAAAAGTCAACTTTTAAAGTTCTGATTTTGTCTTAAGAGAAACTACAAAAATATAGACTATTCTTAAAACAAAAACATGTTATGAATAAAGTCCAAAAGGTAAGAGTTCTTAGAAATTTGAATACAATTTTCAAAATAGTCATAATTATAACCATAGAAACCTGAAAGGTAAACTTGGGGCTACTTCCCAAACTGTGGATCAAATATCAAGGACAGTGAAAATATAGAACAGATAATAGAAAAGAACATTAATTCAGAATTCACAAAACTGGATTTATGGGAGTTTCAGAAAGAGAAACAGAAAAACAAGAGATTTATCAAAGAACCAATGTGAAATTGTTTTCCAAAGTGAAATAGAGATACACATCAAAAATTTGAAAAATTATTCCAAGTTTCAAGCAGGATAAATAATAAAAGACTCATATTCCAAATTTAGATATATTTTAAAATTTCTCCATACTGATGAAAATAGAGAACAACTTAAAAAAATTAAAATAAAGACAGGGATTAGATATTTAATTGAGTACTTTGGTTGTTAGAATGCAATGAGGGAAATTTCCTTACAATTTTGAGGGTAATGTTTGAATCTACAATTAGATGTGTGAGAGCAATATCATGAAATTTACCAAGATGCCAATTCTCATAAAGTCTATCTAACAGATCTGCTTAATCATAGGAAGTCATTGGAAGAAGAGAGTAAATCAAGAAAATGAATGTAAATGATCCAGGGGAGAGTGAATTTAGACACAGATAAATGAAGACCCAGGATGCCACCTGTGCAGCTGGATTTGAGAGCATTACATCCAGGCACATTGAGAGGGACTTCAGGAGGAAGGTCTTGGACGAATAAGGAATGCCATGAGCTAGAGCAGGGGTCCTCAACTCCCGGTCCAGACTGGTACTGGTCTATGGCCCCTTAGGAACCTGGCCGCTCAGCAGGAGGTGAGTGGTAGGGAGTGTTACCACCTGAGCACTGCCTCCTGTTGAATCAGCAATGCCATATATTTTCACAGGAGCGCAAACCCTAATGTGAACCGCGCAAGCTGGGAATCTAGGTTGCGTGCTCCTTATGAGAATCTAACTAATGCCTATTTGATGATCTGAGGTGGAACAGTTTCATTCTGAAACCATCCCCACGCCCACCACCCACCATCCCTGGGAAAATTGTCTTCCATGAAACCGGTCCCTGGTGCCAAAAAGGTTGGGGTCCTCTGAGCTAGAGGATATGTTTGAGAATTTTGAAGAAGCTTGGATTATGAAGACAGATGTAGCAAAAAAAAAAAAAAAAAAAAAAAAGTCAATTAAGACGCTAGGAAAAAAAAAATTTTTAATTACCCAAGAAAATGATAGGTAATTACAATGTTCTACTTAACTACAATAAACAATATTCGCATAAGTATAAAAATATAAATACTAATTATTGATTTTATTCCCTTATAATGAAACAATAGATGAAATATAGAGTACTTGGGGTTGCAAACTGAATGTAAGTATAATCAACCTTGATATATGAAAATAAATATTCAATTTACAGCGGTTGGAAGGTTAAAATGGAGAAGGTGAGGAAAGGTCACAAGAATAAAACTTTCTTGTTACAAAAAGCATAAAACTTTCTCTTTTTTTGTTTGAGAAAGAGTCTCACTCTCTCACCAGGCTGAAGTAAAACTTTCTTATTACAAAGGGAATTTTTTTTTCCCTAGGGAAGAGAGAAAAATGCATGTTGGGTAGAAAACTAGTTATTCAAGCTACAGATTGATAACCAATATAATAAGTACAAATAGGATTTTAGTGATATCGAGCAAGTGAGATAAATTCTCACCCATCACTGTAAAAAGTCAGTAGTTTATTCAGCATATGAGTCCATTTATAATAGTATAAGCTCATTGTGTATGGGTGATAATTTTTTAAATATAGAAATTAAAAATGTAAACAGCAATGATTATTTGTAGGGCACA
This sequence comes from Homo sapiens, assembly GCF_000001405.40. Classification (NCBI taxonomy): domain Eukaryota; kingdom Metazoa; phylum Chordata; class Mammalia; order Primates; family Hominidae; genus Homo; species Homo sapiens. The sequence goes on along the minus strand of NC_000002.12, from coordinate 81,538,636 downwards.
ACACTGGAGATAGATGCTTGGAAAAACGTGTTGCTTTTCATAAGTTGATTTTTGTATCATTTGACACTAAAGTATTTACATTTTAATTAGATTACAAAATAGTTATAAGGGGATTATATTATTGATTATTCCTGTGTATCACTAAACTACCTGCCCTGCACACAGTAGCATTTTGTAGATGTTATCATTGATGTTATAAATTAGCTTAGAGAATAATGTAATATATACTAACAAATCTTTTGAATTATAGATTATCATTGAAGAATAAAGTGTGATTCTTCATTTATTCATTTTTTAAATGTCCACAGAAGCATTATATAACTTATGTACATGCTTTTCTTTAAAAAATTTATCATAGGCATTTTACAGTATTTTTGGTAGTACAAAAGTGACTTTGATCTTATTATATAGGAGCAGCCAAATATACAAACAATACTAATAGTCATATTAATTTTATAAACAGCCATCTTAGTTGAATCTCTTAGGTTTTCCAAGGATGCATATGTAGTCATAACTAGTATCTTTTTACAAAGTATCTTAATTGCCATTGGTAACATTTCCAAAATAATGCTAAGTAGTATTAATGACAGTGGATACTTATATCTCACTTTGGTGGTAATGCTTCTCAATGAAGATAACTTCTCTCCCTTGTTTTTTTGTTTTTTGCTTTCTCATATTAAGTATTTTCTTTTAAGAAAATGTCCACCCTTACCCCACCCCAACATCTTCCCCATCTCTATCTCCATCTCCACCACTAAAGGCACTACTTTATTTTTCCTTAGAAATGACACTTAAGTACTTTTTGTCAGGTATTGAGCTAATATCACTGTGCTTGTGATTTACTAACATGATACATTTTTGTAAAAAAGCAAACTAAGAATTTTAGCAATTGAAATAGTTTAACTAGCAAGAAAGTTATCTGTTTCTTGAAACTTTAAAATAATTTAGCCAGCATAGCTGTTTTTGGAAGGTCTTTCTTTGAAAGTTTCCTCACAAGCCTTTTGTTTGGATGTCAGGAGACATTTAGCTGTCACTACTCAGCTTTAAGCAGCCACCCAACTAGCTGCGGCTTATTCTTTCCTACATCTTCTACCCCTACCTTCTCAGATGACTCTCCTAACTGACTTGGGTGGTGGGTGGAGAAAAATGGTCTCATCTTTATCTCATCTTCAGTCCCATTTTGTCTGCAGTTAGACTTAGTAGAAACTGTCTCACTCTGAGTAACATTATTTTGCATTGGCGTGACTCCACAGCTGTCTCTCACACCCCACGTTAAGGTATTTATGAGACCTCTTAGAACTAGCTCACTTTCAGAATGCTACATTGTTCTGGAATTATGGGTGGTCCAAATCAAATCATGCTGTTCTTCACTCAATAAAGAGAGATTGAGGGTGTCCTGGGTGCTAAACGGTTCGCAATACCATAGCCTGGACTTGCCTACATGAATGCTTTAAAAGATGTTTTAACTTCTTTATTTCTTTTTCTTGTATCTGCCAGGTAATATTTTTCAGAGCATATGGTATGCAATTATGGCCATTTTAAAGATGAGTACAGATAGTTTTTTGTGTCTTTAATTTTTACTAATTTCAGTGGGCTTCAGAAAGTAAGAAAAGTAAAATAAAAGAAGTAATTCAGGTCAGGTGCGGTGGCTCAGGACTGCAATCCTAGCACTTTGGGAGGCCGAGGCAGGCAGATCACTTGTGGTCAGGAGTTCGAGACCAGCCTGGCCAACATGGTGAAACCCTGTCTCTACTAAAAATACAAAAATTAGCTGGAAATCACTTGAACCCAGGAGGCGGAGGGTGCAGTAAGCCGAGATTGTGCCACTGCACTCCAGCCTGGGCAACAGAGCAAGACTCCATTTCAAAAAAAAAAAAAGAAGTAATTCAAAGGGGCTCCTTCATGAAATCTCCACACACCTTATTTCTGAACCTTATCTCTTTTTGACCTCCAGAGAGCTTGTGCTTTTATGTCTACCCAATTATTTAGCAGCTCTTCCTAATTCACTGGTTCGCAAATTGCTCTGGAACTTGGTTAATTTCCTTCCCCAGTCTTTTGGTTTCCTTTTGGCCCTTCTCTTAAACTTCTCGTCTGAATTCCCCACATAGCCTTTATGAGTGAAATTTGCATTTAGCAGATTGAGTTGGGTGTTCTTGGGGCAGGATATCAGAGGGCTGTCTTGGAATCTCTTTAGTGCAACATTCCCAAAAAATTTACAGAGCTCTGTGCAGAGTAGCTTCCCCCTTTATTTTGTATTTTGCTCCATGTGATAGTCTCTGGAATAAACTCTGCCATGCATAAATATTCCAGAAATATTCAAGACACTATATGAGTTAGATCAGTTCGTGTCTTTGCTTTGACTTTGAAAGACAAATTCTGAACAAGGAAAAAGTATGACTTTCCTTTTATTCATTTTGCTTTGAATCAGGGCTAACAATGCGATGTGTTCCCATTATTCTATATTGTAATATCCCATATTATATGCTTAGGTAGTGTATTTTATAAATTGCTATAAATAGTACTGACTATGTTATGCATTCTTGAAATTTCACAGTGGTTTCTGAACCAAAGATGTACTGATTTAATAGGAATAAATTTGAGAGAAAAGTCTCTGATTTTCATTTCTTGCATTTTATTTATCCAAGTTGTGGCCATTAGTTTAAAATAATTCATGTGATTTTTATACACATTAGAAGTGTGAAGGGAACTGTAGACACAATTGTTCTAGGGAAGGTTTCGGTTTCAGCTGTCTGTTATTACCCAAGTCCAAAAAGCACCAAGGTCTGGCTACCTTTGAGTGTTCAGGACCAGGATACCCTTCTGCAGATCAAAGTCTGAGAGTCTAAATTTTTAAATCAACTTGCTAAGTATGCAGACTAATGAACTCTGTTGTTGTTGCATGCCTATAAATTTTTTACTATTTTATATCTACTATATGTAGATATAAACATACATATATGTATACATATATACACATATATTCTAATATGCAAGCTTTATCACACCTCATTGTATCTGGAATTTCTATTCTCTTTATTACTGATGAGAGTTTAGGTTCAGGCCGGGCGCTGTGGTTCACGCCTGTAATCCCAGCACTTTGGGAGGCCGAGGCAGGCTGATCACCTGAGGTAAGGAGTTCGACACCAGCCTGGCCAACATGGTGAAGCCCTGTCTCTAGAAAAATACGAAAATTAGCTGGGCGTGTTGGTGTGCTCCTGCAATCCCAGCTACTCGGGAGGCTGAGGCAGGAGAATCGCTTGATCCCAGGAGGCAGAGGTTGCAGTGAGCTGAGACCAAGCCATTGCACTCCAGCATGGGCAACAAGATTGAAACTCCATCTCAAAAAAATAAATAAATATATAAAACTTTAGGTATAATAAAATGTTATTAATTGAACTTTCCTTTCACATAGGAAAAGTTGTTAGCATTTGCTAAGTTGTACCTTTCCTTGATATTTCCACATTAATATTTCTCTTTTCTAGGAGTCTCTACGAGAATATATGGCATGTTCAACTCCTTTACACTGTTTTTTAAACATGTGTTGCATGCATGTTATGCTTTCAATATTAAAAAAAACAAACTGTTTTGGAGCAGGAGTTTCCTCTTCTGCGCATTTTGGTATTCCATAGAGTACCAAAGTTAGAAATAGAGCCATATATATGTACGTATATATGTGTGTATATATATACATACATATATACACATATATGTGTGCATATATACATATATACACGTGCATATATACACATATGTATGCATATATACACACATGTGTGCATATATACATATATACACACATGTATGTATATATACACATATACATACACATATACATATATGTATGTATATATGCACATATACATACATATATACATACATATATGTATATATACATACATACATATATGTACAAACATATATATGTATACATATATATTTTATTATGTATTCAGAAGAACACTCAGTGTAACATTTTGGTAAGTTTGTTTTACATGTGCATATTTCAAAATGTATTTTTTAAGTCATCTTATTATATAATGTGGGTCTTTTGAACTTCCTCACGTTTCTGATGTTATTTTTCTAATATTTAGTCATGATCTACAATAAGCCAGTTTGAAAAGGAAAAGGAAAGAGCTCATCTGGAAAAGGAAATATAATAAACATTTAGGCAGCTCGTGCCCTGCTCATGTCTATTAATGCTGTGTATTTGTAGTGAAGACATTTATTCTCTGTGTCTCTTTCTTCAGTAACCTTTTCACTCTTATTCATTTCCTTAAAGAATATTTCCCTGTCCCTTCCTATCCTGTTAGAATTTTGATTATACAGATGATATTTCTGTTTACTCTAATAGCCAATTAGCCAACAAAACAGAGACTCAAGAAATAGACATTTAGCTGAATTTTGCCATTGGAAAAGGAAATTCTGAATAGCGTAGCACCCCACTGACACCTGTCAAGTCAACTCAAGAGTAATTTATTGAGCTTGTTACTTCATTTCTAACTCTGGCTCTATTTCTAACTTTGGTACTCTATGGAATACCAAAATGCACAGAAGAGGAAACTCCTGCTCCAAAACAGTTTGTTTTTTTAATATTGAAAGCAGAACATACATGCAACACATGTTTAAAAAACAGTGTAAAGGAGTTGAACATGCCATATATTCTCGTAGAGACTCCTAGAAAAGAGAAATATTAATGTGGAAATATCAAGGAAAGGTACAACTTAGCAAATGCTAACAACTTTTCCTATGTGAAAGGAAAGTTCAATTAACATTTTATTGAACCTAAAGTTTTATATATTTATCTATTTTTTTTGAGATGGAGTTTCAATCTTGTTGCCCATGCTGGAGTGCAATGGCTTGGTCTCAGCTCACTGCAACCTCTGCCTCCTGGGATCAAGCGATTCTCCTGCCTCAGCCTCCCGAGTAGCTGGGATTGCAGGAGCACACCAACACGCCCAGCTAATTTTCGTATTTTTCTAGAGACAGGGCTTCACCATGTTGGCCAGGCTGGTGTCGAACTCCTTACCTCAGGTGATTAGCCTGCCTTGGCCTCCCAAAGTGCTGGGATTACAGACGTGAACCACAGCGCCGGGCCTGAACCTAAACTCTTATCAGTAATAAAGAGAATAGTAATTCCAGATATATTGAAGTGTGATAAAGCTTGCATATTAGAATGATGAAATATGATATATTGATATTTGTGCTGGAACTTGTTTAAGTATGCATTTTGGTATACTAATGGATGAGATTAGCCCATGGTCTTAATGTTTAATTTGTATATTCAACATGTCTAAACCACTCCACTTGGATGTATTTTTACCTGCCTTTCTCCCACATATGATCTGTGTAATCATGATGGCTCATCCTTCAAATGTATCTCAAACTCATCACATTTCACTAACACAGCTATGCTAGCCTAAACCACTAACGTCCCTGTCCTGTAGCAGCACACACACCCCTCATTCTTTTTGGTCTTCAGACATACTAACCCAAAATTCATCTACCAGGAAGTAGCCAAAGTGTCTTTCTGAAAGCTTAGAACAAGTAATGTTGCCTCTCTACCTAAAAGCCTGCAAGGTTTCTCATTGTGCCCAAAATAAACGCCAAAGACTTACCATGGTATACTGTATTGCGGCTTCATCTGATACTTCTCTTCTCCTCACCTTTCTCAGCCACACTGAGATGCTTGTCATTCATTGAGTACCCTGACATTTTATGACACTGATATCTTTACAACCTTACATTGACTGTTTTCTCTATCTAGAGACATCTTCTCTCAGCAAGGTAGTGCAGCAGTTAATAATGTGGATGCTGAATCCTGACTTGCTGGGTTAAAGGCCTAGCTTTGACACAAGCTAAGTGCATGACCTTGGAAAACTGCCTAGTGCCTGTGACTCTCAGTCTGTCAGTCAAATGAGGATAATAGTCACACCTACTTCAGAGAGTCGTGATGGGGATCAAATGATTTTATTTGTGTAAGATGCTTAGAAGGTGGCTAAGTAGAGAAAGTGGCTGAATACTGTCTGTCATTGTTATCTTGTCATGAAATGCCCCCTCCTCTATTGTCAGACCGCTTAACTATCACCTCTACAAGGTCTTCTCTGTCCACTTTATAAAACAGACACCACTCACTCCCTTTATTCTCGTTTTATTTTTTGTCATAGCAGTCACAAGGAGTAGAACTTACAATATCTTATTGTTTATTATTTATCATATGTTTCACTCTCCAAGATATAAGTTGTATGAGCACAAAGGCTTGGCCTTTCTTGCTTATCATTTTATTCCTAGTTCGAGAAAGATTGCCTAGTGCATAGTAAGTACATAATAAACACTTGTAAAATGAAAGAGAGAAATTGGAAGTTCCAAAATACAGCCGTAAAAATTTTAGTGATTTTGTTTCCTAGTCAATATTCCACTAAGTGCTGGGTTTGTGAAATATACAAAGAAAATCACAGAAATCCCATGGCTCAGGTAATATTTTTCCCCCTCTGATCAAATTTCATTTCTTCAAAGAGTATGTGAGCAATTGAAGAATCTGCTTGTTTACATGAAGTGATATGAAACATATTGAAATCTACCTCAACCATGTTACTTTCAGACTTGAAACACACAGTTTCTACAACACCAAATGTCTCCAAAAAGTCTCCACATACCAATGTGTTAAAGCAGCTATTGATTGTGGGTGGAGCCCTACTATACTCTTAGAAAGAAGAGTCCTTGGAGCTAAGACTCCAAGCAATATAAGCACAATATTTGAAATGATTAAGGAATATATAAAATATTATCTAAGGATGGCCTTCAAAGAAATATGGGCTAATCTGGACCTTTAAAATATAACAAATTCAAACTAAAATTATTTGATGATGGTGCCTCAAACAGTTTAATGCTTAAACACCTCTCACTGTGCATAATAATGTCAAACCTGTACCTGGCTGCTTCAATAATAATTTATGGTTTTAATCCAACTTCTCCACAAACAGAATATTCTGGTATTCATTAATTATAAAAGAAAAACAAAAAAGTTAACTACTGAGTATGGATTTTGCATTATGCATTCTGATCATGTTTGCTGACTTCACTTGCTATGCTGGTCATGTTTCTCTGGGCTCTCTGCTGTGTATTAGAACATGCAGAATATTTAAAATTGAATATCTAGTTTGTCAAATATAATTTAGAGTTTGTTTATGGGGTCTCGTTTCAAAACTCTAATTAGAGATGGTTCTGAAAAATAAAATAAGCTGCAGCTAAAGACAAGAATGATTGGTGTCTGAGCAGTACTGCTCTCATTCATGGAGTCTGCTGATGCTTGAGACATTACCCCATCAATAATTTGTTTTTTACTTTTAATGTACCCTTAATTAAAATGACTTTACATCTAATGACGTATAATTTCCCCAAGATATGGAAAATATCTGAAATAACCTCGAAGTCAGTAAGTTAAATATCTGTATGGATGGATAGCATAGTTATTAGCATAATGAAGCCCATGTGACCCAGTAATCACAAATGCTAGACTATGACCTGGCACAGCCATTGTCTGACCATCTTGCCCTAATCAAACAGATCAAATATGTCCTCTCGATATTCACAGAAATGATGTTAGAGTGAATGGAAGGGCGTGTTAATCATAACATCTCTAAATTTTAAAGAGCAATTTACAATATTTATCAGTGGATATAGAGTCACCTAAGAGACAGGGTATATTATGGGTCCTTTTTACTAAAGGTTCATGATCCTAGGTAGGAGTGTCAGAGAGTAGACAGTGAACATCAAACAGTCTAGCTCATATAAGGGCTCAGAAAATTGATACTATGTTCCTTTATCTGAAAAAAAATAAAAAACTGAGTCATCTAATCCTCAGGAATAAAAAAAAAAAAGCTTTTAAGAACATCTTAGTTAGACAGATACTGCCCTATACAGTCACCTAGTAAGTACTGTGCCTGTGACCAGTTGAGTTACTACTTAGAAAGCAGAGCCAATGGAATCAACAGCTACATTATTTGGTTCTAATAAGCTCTCCTCTTTCACCTGAATGTGAGCTAGTTAACTTAACCCTGTGCCACATTATGTTTGAATTCCTCACCCTGGTCAACTATCCTTAAAGCCTGCCAGAAAAATAAATAAATAAATAAATAAAAGGTTAAATGTGGGACAGGATGTTGTCGCCTTGGGTCATAGAATTGATGAGAAGAAAGTAAGAGGCAGCATAGAGCTCATAAAGCATGCCATCCATATCATTGGTCAAAAACAAAACTGATCTGGACACAAGAAATGTAAATGGGAAAAAAGAGGAGCTGGGACAAACTTTACAGAGTTTGCATAGCCTGAACCAAAACACGAAAAAATGGGCAAGCTCTGAAGAGCTGGGGAAAATTTAAGCTATGAAGGAAGGGATTCTACTAGCCCAAGGTGCTCGTAATTACCCACGGAACTGAACTGACTGGAAGTGCTAGAACGATGATTCTCAATACAGGCAGACATGAGCAGGGTCTCTGTATTTACTCAAGAGCACCGTGAAAGTGAGCCACTCTGTGTGAAGTAATTGTGTCCTATCCTGCTGCTATGTTAAAACAAAAACAAACAACAAAAAAGGAAACGTTAAGAATTGCTAAACAGGAAACAAAGGTTACTTCTGAATTCCAAATTAGCCAGAAAAATAGTGGGTTATCTGATGAAGGCAAATTAAAAAAAAAAAATCATTAACCTAGTACATTTTACTAGTCAGTAACAGTTGGAGATTTGATTCTCATTGTTTCAGTCAATAAGAAGACTGCAGTACTACCTGAACATATTATGATGAAATGAATCCTCGGGTTATTTGCCATATAAACAGGCTTTAGTTATGGAGACATGACTTCAAGGGAAAATAACACTTAGTCTTGTGGTTATGTCAGATTTATGCCTCTTACTGTCCAATTACAGCACCTCAAGTTACTATTATCATTTTCTTCTCTAGCATTTTTTAGGTTTTTTTTTTATTAATTTAACCTGTTTCTCATTAAAGATGACCAAAATACCCTTACTCAAACCCATATTCCCATCTCAGTCACAAAAAAAAAAAAAAAAAAAAACCTGAGCAATAAAAGTGGTAGTTCATGAAGACAGAAACCTACTTTGCAGTTTAATCCAAGCTAACTCATGCAAGCTAGCCAGCCTCAGTATTAAACTGAGAGCTGATAACAACAAGAAATAACATTCTGGATGCATAAAGGAGGTAAGAATAAGTTGGCAAAGGAAGGGAAAAGGACAGATACTTTAAGAGAATTGGGAATTTCTCAAATGAAGTGAGGTTAACTTAAAAGAGACTATTTCAGGGTCTTATTTGCATTTGGTGGCAAGAAACGGCTAATGATTACTCTAGAAGTAAATTCCTAGAGGAAGTCCCCTTGTCTAGAAGTGGTACGTCAAAGTATATACTTTAAATGGTCTTTGTCCTGCATTTGACTAGGGTACTCCAGGTATTGAGTTAGTTTGAATTTCACTCTTATTTTCAGTTTCCCTTCCTCAATTGACCACCTTAACCAATTTTCTCATTTCTCTGTTAGAGCTATTCTCCCCGGCATTTTCATATCTACAGATAGCAATGATCTATGCATTGGGTAACTTTTCAATACCTTCTATTAATAAGGGGAAAGACTAACCTGCTGTACCCCACAATACTATGAACAAATTTAAAAAGGAAAACAATTTATTCCCTTCTCACAAACAATCTCAAGGCTGGTCCTGATCTTAATTGTCATCCTGGGACTCAGTTTCTATTAATTTACAAACTCTGCTATCCCTTAGTATGTTGCATCTTATGGGAAAGAAAAGAGAAGACTGGTCCAGGCCACATTCAAAACTGTAAAGTTAAAGATGAGTCAGAAGTTTTATATATATATATCGGCTTATATCCCATTGGCCGACATTTAGTCAAATACCAAATCTAAATGCAAGGGAAGTCAAAGAAATATTGTGTTTTTCTGAGAAGGCCTTGGCTTAGTCAGTTCAGGCAGCTATAACAAAGTGCCATAGACTGAGTGGCTTATAAAAAAATACAAATTTATTTCTTACCATTCTGGAGGCTAAAAGTCCAAGAGCAGGGTGCCAGCATGGTTAAGTTCTGGTGAAAGTCCTCTTTTGGGTTGCAGGCTGCTGATTCCTCATTGTATCTTTACTTGCGGTAAGAAGATGAGAGAGCTCTCTGGTGTCTCCTTTAAGGGTGTTAATACCATTCATGAGGGTACCACCTTCATGATCTAATTAACTCTCAAAGGCCTCACCTGCTATTATCACTATATGGGGGTTAAGATTTGAACACAGAACTTGGGGGAGGGGCACAAACATTTAGTCCATTGCAGTTATGTTTCAGGCTACAAATTTATTGCTATAGGTTAAGGTAGAATGCATTCCTTGGCCAATAAGTAGTCCTTACAACATGTTTATTTATGTAGAGAGTGATATCTTAATGAGTTCTTCAAACCCACTATGCCTATGTAATAGTCACCTATTGCTGCATTTAAAAAGACACCCTGGAACACGATGGCTTAAAAAAAACAAAGTTTATTAACAATTTCTGAGCATCAGGAATTCAGAGACTGGATGGTTCTGACTCAAGGCTTCTCATGAGGTTGCTAAAACCTTTACTCAGGTAGCATATGCTTCTAGGCTGACACACTCGCATGGCAGTTGGCTGGAGTTCTCAGTTCTTTACTGGCTGTGGCTAGAAATCTCAGTTCCTGTCAACATGAGCCTCTCCACAGAGATTCCTCAGTGTCCTCAAGACATGGAAGCTGGCTTCCTTAGAGTGAATGTGTGAAGTGGAGAGGGATAGATACGAGAAGAAGAAGACAAAGAACAAAACAAAACAAAACAAAACAAAAAAAAGAAGTAGCAGAAAAAAAGAGGAGGAGAAGGGAAGGAAGTGGAGAAACAGCCTAAGATAAAAGCCATGGTCTTTTATAACCTAATCTCAGAAGTATCTTCACTTCTGCCATATGCTGTCGGTCACACAGGCTAACCCTGTGGGGTACAAGTTGGAATAGGACTATACAAGATTAGAGAAAGTGGCGGGGCATGGTGGCTCACGCCTGTAATCCCAGCAATTTGGGAAGCTGAGGCGGGTGGATCATGAGGTCAGGAGTTCAAGATTAGCCTGGCCAGCATGGTGAAACGCTGTCTCTACGAAAAATACAAAAAATTAGCCAGACATGATGGCATGTGCCTGTAGTCCCAGCTACTTAGGAGGCTGAGGCAGCAGAATTGCTTGAACCCGGCAGGCGGAGGTTGCAGTGAGCTGAGATCGCGCCATTGCACTCCAGCCTGGGCAGCAAGAGCGAGACTCCGCCTCAAAAAAAAAAAAAAAAAAAAAGATTAGAGAAAGCAGAAGATAGCATTATTAGGGGCCATCTTGGAGGCTGACTACTACAACTCCCAACATTATGATCTTTCTCTTCACAGGCTAAGATTAAGGATTCATGAAATAATTTTTAAGATATTCAAGATATTAATATTAACATTACTGGAAAACAAGAATATTGGTGTTTAGTTAAATTTAAAACATGGGGAAAAATAAGAATATTGGGTCTATTTATCACATAGGTAGAACTGTCACAGTCCTTTGCTACCAGTGAAATATTTGCTCTTCTTCAACAATGTTTCATATTCTTTGTCTTTTCTTGATTCCACTCCTCCAAATGCTAAATCTAATCTCCTTAGTCTTCTTTGGGGCCAATGAGTGAGATGCAATAAATTAATTTTTTCGAAATCATTAATGGGTTCCTTTTCTAGGAAAAAAAAGTGCTCTCCTTTGAAAGGGCTATTTTGAAGTAGTTATTTAAAATATTAAACAAAAATCCAAGCAGGCCAAGTTTTTTTTTTTTTTTTGAGATGGAGTCTCGCTCTGTCGCCCAGGCTGGAGTGCAGTGGCGCGATCTCGGCTCACTGCAAGCTCCGCCTCCCGGGTTCACGCCATTCTCCTGCCTCAGCCTCCCGAGTAGCTGGGACTACAGGCGCCCGCTACCACGCCCGGCTAATTTTTTGTATTTTTAGTAGAGACGGGGTTTCACCGTGTTAGCCAGGATGGTCTCGATCTCCTGACCTCGTGATCCGCCCGCCTCGGCCTCCCAAAGTGCTGGGATTACAGGCGTGAGCCACCGCGCCCGGCCCTGCCAAGTTATTTTTTAAAGTTTATGTTATAATTTATTTCATCCCATTGACGGATCTTTTAGCACCACTTATTTCACAGCAGTCTAAGCAGATTATTGTAAGCTTTGTCATGTTAGAGGGTCACTTTGGAGCGTGACTTATGCTTTTCTAATCAGGACACAGGAGGTAGTATTGTTTCTAAGAAAACAGAACTGAAAATCAGCAGATTTGAGTTCTAGGCCTGCCTATACCATGAACCAACTCTGCTTAGATTGCAATTAAGTCATTTAACCTTTTGGAGCCTCAGTTTCCTCATCTCTAACTGATGACTTAAGTACAGCTATACCTTAGGATGACTTATACACCTAAATTTCTCTTAATTGATTTAGGCTTTGGCCATTGAACCAAATGAGAGAGATTTATGTTTATGAATGAACATAAACATATGTTTATGAATGAACACAATGCAGAATGCCAACAAATCAAGTCATACCAAAATCATGTCTAAGTCCAAGATTATTTAAAACCCTTATACTCTCCACAGCTCAGCATCCTCACCTATAAAGTAAGGATTGATCTGTAACCCTTTCCTGACCAGCAGAACCTACAGGGAACTAATAAAACTGAATCTGAATAGAATGCAAGTTCTTAATGATTAATAATAAACAGAGTGATCCAGGCCCAGACGAGCCAGGCCACTCATTACCCTGGAGGAGAGTCACAGGAATGTATTGCCTGTTCTCTGTTTTCTTGAGTTTATAAGACTGTGACTGCATTATTCTATCCTCTAACAAATGAAGAAAACTATACACAGGATTTTTTTTTCTGCTTAAACTGCCTTCCAAATACTTGATATTAAACTTGATGTTAAAATAGAAAGAGATTAAAACCAGATTGAATTTAGCTCACTGGTTTCGCCTCCCAAGGATATTTCTTGTCTTGTCTGTTTGCTTTGCACTCGCCTCTTTTCCATCTGCCCGCAAATGTTCTTCATACTTAGAGTAGCCGCCTTGTCCTCTAAAGACTTTGTACTCTGTAATGGCCTCTCTATGACCCTGGGTCCCATCTACCTCTCCAATATGTTATGAATTTGAACTCTAAAGTCAGTTACCTCTGCCCTTTTCATATTGGTTGTTATCCTTTTAGTTTCTTTATCTCTTCTGCTGTAAATTATTTATATTTGTAATTCCATTATCTGTGAATTGTTAAGATTCTTTGGGATACTTGTTTATATTAAAGATGCTCTGTCAAATCAAAATGTGTGGCACGGCTTGCCCGTTCAGATGCAAATGCTCTTGTGGCATTGCTTTATCCCCTGCAACTGAATTGGCATTGTTTCAAGATTGCGTTTTGGAGACTTTATAAATTATTCTGAGAAGGAGGATGGACAGGAGAAGCAGGAGACCTGGGTTCTAGTCCAAGCTTTTCCATCACAGAACACTTCAGTGTAGTTTTTCATCTCAAATTCACTTAAACACTTACTAAATACATATCATGAGTCAGGTTCTGTACTTAATTCAGGATACTAAAAGAAACATGAATGGTTCCTTACCCTGGTGAGACAGAAATGAAGAAAAAATGGCAATACAATTCAAAAGGGCAGTGAATGGCAATACAATTCAGTCTTCTATCAAGTGCTAGAGTAGCACAAGGAGGAAACAGACATATTTGTCTGCAGTGAAAAAAATTTTCCAAGACTACATCACAAATAAACTAGATGCAGAAATGAGAAGCAGTTTTCCAAACAAACAAACAAAAAAAGGAGTCAGATAAGATAGACAGGGCAGCATGTGTATGGAATTAGAAAAACAAGTGACAATTTCTTGTTAAATTGAGGAAATCATATAGGTGGCTGGCTCCTCCTCCCACAATCAACTCCAGTAAAACTAAAGAGAAAAAGAGAAGTATGAATTTGAGGAACTATATGAAAGAAAGGAAAAGAAAAAGGGAGGAAGGAAGGAAGGGAGGGAGGGAGGGAGGGAGAGAGAGAAAGAAGAAAGAAAGAAAGAAAAAAGAAAGAAAGAAAGAGAGAAAAGAAAAGAAAAGAAAGACAAAAAATGAGAGAAAGAGAGAGGGAAAGAAAGAGAGAATGAAAGAAAGAAAAAGCAAGGAAGGAGAGAGACCGATCGCTGTCTTGAATTGGTATGTATTTTAGAGATGAGGTGGGTAGTGGGTGGCTGCAGGTGAGGTCTGGAGGAAACAGTAGAGGGCTTTGGAGGTGTTATTAAGTTCAGCTTTTACCACTTCCTGGGGCTACCTTAAAAGAGCCAGTGTAGGCCCTTCTTCCACACAGAGGTCATTAGCAAAACCCCGGGTCTGGAGTGAGTAGAATTAGGGCTTTGCAAAAGCCTACTGAGAAATCAATGTCAGCCACTCATGGTGTCGCCCTTTCCACTCCCTCCCTTCCAAACACACAGCCTGTATCAAGAAAGCTTTCAGATTTTAAGGAGGTCAGGTAGATTATGACCTATTTGCCTCTTGCCCAATATGCTGTTTCCAAGGAGTTTAAGGTGAGCCCTTGACCACAGGTTTTCTTCTGCACTGTGCCTATGCTATGCTTTCCTGTAGTACATTTCCTTCCCTATCTTTTCACTCATCTAGAGGGACCTAAATCGTTGGCTGGATTTCTGCCCTTCCCTGCCACACCTTAGAAGACACAGGATTGGATACAGAAAAGTGAGTTAATTTACATAAGATCACAGGCTAGTAAGTGGCAGCGCCGGGCAATGAACCAGAGGATCTGATTCCAAGGCCCCATGTTATTCTACATGTATGTCATGCATTAATATATATACCCACCATGACATGGAGAAAATGACTACATGTAAAGCATCTTACACACTTAAGCTAAAGCACAGTCCCAGATAAATGATGGTCTGAGCTGTGTACTGACCATTTGGGCACATTTAAACATGATGGTGCTTGTTCCTGGTTGGCAGAGGAATGGGGGGACAGGGGGCGATGTGCAGGCTTCTCACTGCAGGCCAGAAGAGGGCATGAGTAGCTACACTAGAGCTGAAATCTGGCCTCTAGTCTTGGAAAAAATCAGCCTATCTCGAATTCCCAGGGTAGGTATATGAGGAAGAAATTAAGCTTAATGAAGTGTCTAGGCACATAAGCCTACTCCAGAAGCACTGAGAAAGCACTAATTTGAATGTAAGAAAGTACAGTGTTGCCTATCTCCCCTTTCTAAAAGATAGGGAATTTGGAGTTAGGCACTGTAATTCTGGCTAAAATCCTCAGAATGAACCACGGACTGCATATAAAAAGAAAAGGTGACTTGGAGCATGTGATAGACAAAACAATATTCAATGTAACAGTAGGGTAGCCTTGATAAATAGAAAATTATCCATATTGCTGGGTGCCTCTGGACCCAGGGAGGAGAGCACAAGTGGCTACAAAAAAGAGATGAGATGTAGTAAGAGAGATTTGCAAGTTTTACAACTTGAGGGAATGGATCCAGAAAGAGAAACCATTTTAAGGAAACTTTGTTGCTGAACTTGTGGGCATGGAAATGACAATTTTGGTAAAGAATCAGTCCAAACACATATTAATTAAATTTTTTTCTGGCCAGTTCTCTATTAATTGACCTCATGAAATCTACTCTTTTGTTTTTTGAAAATTCTTCTTAGTTTTTTTCAGCACATACTCTGGCTCTACTTTCACTCAAATGCTTTTGACTTTACTTATTTGTGATTTTTCTCTTCCACGATGGCAAAGATGAAGTCTCTTTTATTAAAATAATTACCTATCTGAATTTAAGATACACTTTACATGATATACCCATGACTTGCCAGGATATAAAATTCTGAAAAATAAAAATAAATAGTAGTCTTGTTATTAATTATACCTTATATTTGTATAACACTCTACAGCATGTAAAATATTTTGTATATAATGAATATAAAACTCAATAAAACCTTATGTTTTAGGCAAACTTTATTAAATACATTTTATAATTCAGGAGGTTAAGCTTCCAAGAGTTTTGCAATCCAAGAGGCTAAGCTTTAGAGAGTTTCAGATGGAGGTTACATAAAAATAATATTTTAGTGAACTCATGCTAATATCTAACAACCATTCTGTTTTTTACAAGAAGCATGCAATGTAAGCCATCTCAGGGCAGGAGAGCTGTCTTATTATTTGTATACCATTGTTGCTTAGAGCATTTTCTGGTACTTAGAGTGAAATATTTGTGGGGTAAATTATTGTTTAATATAATTGTTAGTGCATAGATGATAACTTACCTTTTGACTATAAATCTGCCTCAGTTCTTCTAAGAAAGCAATGCAGAACAACAAGGTCATCAAAAAATGTATTGATTATAAAGAAAGCAAATTGTCTTACTGTTTTCTACCCACCATGGCCCTTACATAATCAATTAAGCTTCAGATGAGAGAAACTCCAGGATTCACTTAGCCAGGGCCACTTCATAGGGAGCCACCCATCTCAACAAAAGCTAGACGAAACATACTTAAACAGTAATTCTGAAAGAAACTCATTTCCAAACACTTGAGCCCATGTCATAGGATGAAGATAAAGGAAAAGGGATGTAGAGTATATAAGACAAGTTTCCGTTGGGTGCCAAATGACCCATAGTCATTTCTCTTTATTTTCTTCCATAAATCAGTCACTTAGACTGTCCTCTGTTGCTCAAATACGTACTTACAAGTGTTTGTATTTCTATTTATACTTTTCGCTCTTCTTAGAATGCTGTTTTCCTGCTATCTTTTCTCTGTTTACCACAACCTTCCCTTTCCTCACTCTTCGTTAAAGTTCATGACAGATTTTCTCAATGAAAAGAAGCCCATTTTTTTCCTGCACACTTTCATGTTTCTTGTATATTACAGAACTTATCAGAGTATATTTTATATTGCAATTGCTTGCATCACTCTCTGCCCTACTAGAAGACAATGAGTTGAGGGTAGGGGCTATCTCTTTTTATGTTTTTAGACTTTAAGTGGATATCATGGTATCCGACCTCTAGTAAAGGCTCAACAATTGCTGGATTCCTTGAAAATAAATGCCAAGAGACATTCCAGTTCAGGGAAGTCCTTGTGTTTTGTTTTGTTCTTGTTTTTGTTTTCTAAAGTACAATCCTTGCACAAAGCTAGCCCTTGTTCTCGAGAAAACCTCATGAAAGCTGCAGCTTGGTTAAAGGAGCTGCTCAAGGAGAATGCCAACCTGTAACCTCCACCACATCCATCCTTTCATGGGAAGACTGTACTTTTGCAATGGCAGCAGGCCAAAAGGAGGAATGAGAGACTGTAATTTGTGAGGTATCTGCTTTTTCTTAGGTGTAGTTCTCAGGGTAGTTCAGTAGAGGCGTCTTGGAAAAACTTGAACAAAACTTAAGGGGTGGGCTGGTGAAAGAAGCAGGAGCTCACACTTAAAGGGATCACGTGTAGCATAAATGACTGGTAGAGCTCCAACACCCGCACAATGGCCAGGGGGAAACCTGTGAATCTGTTCTGACTTCTCAGGCAAAAGGAACTAAGAGAAAACAAGGTAAGTTATGCGTGAAGCACGGATTGGGAGTTACTTCTATTAAGGATTTATGGTGGTGGAGAAGTCTGGGACATAGAAAAATTGGGAATCAGGCAAGACCTTTATAAAAAAAAATAGGCAATAAGATTCAGGGTTAAACTTAGCAAATAATAACACGTCACAATAAGAAACATTTAAGAAATAATTAATTAACAAAAACAGGTAATTAAAATCAACACGAAAAATAACTTAAATGGCTGGGTGCAGTGTCTCACGCCTGCAATCTCAGCACTTTGGGTGGCCAAGGTGGGTGGATCAGTTGAGGCCAGGAATTCAAGAACAGCCTGGCTAACATAGCAAAACTGTGTCTCTACTAAAAAATACAAAAAAGTTAGCCAGGTGTGGTGGTAGGTGTCTGTAATCCCTTCTCAGGTGGTTGAGGTTCAAGAATCATGAACCCAGATGGCAGAGGCTGCAGTGAGCTGAGATCATGCCACTGCACTCCAACCTGGGCAACAGAATAAGGCTCTGTCTCACAATAATAATAATAACTTAAATGTCTGTTTATAATTAAGGTCATAACAGACAACTGTTTTTAACATTCTCAACTGTTGGACATTGAATTTTTTTATTATTGGTTCACTTTCCAAGATCTATATCATCTTTGATCAAGTCAGACATAGGTCAAATTTTGAATCAGAAAACGTCAAACTTTTGTGTCTACCTTTTCCTGTTAATAGGGAGTTTCCTTATTATTTTAATCTCATGTACATCTTTAGAACAGAATTTTATTAATTTTGACCCCTAGGGAAAGCACCTGTATATAGTTTCTCTATTGCAGATTATTCCCCCCAAAAATATGTCTCTTAATTTAACCAGATGCATTCAGTAATGATTCATTATTTTCTTTCACATTTCACATACAATCTATCAGAAAATCTAGTCATATTTATCAAAAAAAAAAAATCCCTCACCTTTTTACTAACTTCTCAGAATCACCCCGACACACTGTCTGATCCAAGCTTCCATTGGCTCTCACCTGACTTATTACAAAAGCTTCTAACTCTTTACCCTGGCTCCCGCCTATCCCCAGACTAATGCTGATTATTCTTAAAACTGCAGCTAGAGCTAGCCTAGCAAAATGTAGTTAGGTAATGGCATTTATTTTTCCTCAACCTAGCCCCTTTCTTTGAGCTAGATTCAATTTGTGTTTTCTTTCTTTTTCTGGCATTTGATTGTCTGTTTAGCAATAGTATGTGTTGGCTTTAGAGGAGAAAAACATTCTCGCTTGTGTACATAAAATGGCATATCAACTCATCCTTTATAGATGCGAGGTATATTTTACTTCCAGCATATATAGAGAATGAGCGGTTCTTATTTATGCAAATAAGCTACTTCAAATACATAATACATAAGACACTGACCTCAATTCATCACTGGTATGTTTTTAATGTAGAAAACATAGAATCATGCTAATTCTACTTCTTAATTCCTTTTACAAGTCATATTTCTTTCCTGACATTAGCCATATTTATTCACAGTGATGACAGTTTCATTTAATTCAAGCAATCTACAATACTTTAAACAGGAAACTAATTTTAAAACCTCTTCCTAATATTTTTTAAGATTAAATGCTGTTAATATGCCAGAGGCAATAGAAATTATTATGGTGAGTACACAAAATAAATCATCTAGCTTACATCTTTCCCAATTAAAAAATAATAGTAATTCTATTACGTTTTTTATGAAGAATAATGATAATATTTTCAAGTGTCCTGATGTTGATATCAGCAACTTATATTTCCAGATATTTTTAATAGATTTTCTGAAGTTATCCTGGTACTAAAGTCAGCCTAAAAGAACGTCATTGAAAATAATAACTGAATTTCACCATAATGAATGCATGAATGCCCTTATGTGAATTTGTTTATCAGATATTTTCCAGCATGGTATCTGAGTAGATTTGTCTGAAAGGAGATTTGTTTCAGACTAATGAGTCCAAGTTCAGAGGCACACTCAAGCTGGAATCCTAGGTCCCAGAGGGCAATCTAAGGCCACTAGACCCCTTCCTGGTCTCAGTCTATGAGTCGTATCCCTACCTGACATCATTTACTCCCTACCTCCCTTACTGTGGTTATTTTTTCTAATATACAGACTCTACCACTTCTCCTCTGTGAAATTCACGCCAACACATCTGTCCAGGAGCTCTTCTATACGCCTGTGAGCATTTTGCCACATTTTTTTGTCAGCCTACATTGCGAGCCTCATTATTTACCCTGTTTTCACCCTGTGCTCCAATCACACCTGTTTACCACTTCTCAAATATGCAGTGTGTGTTTTCATATCTTTGTTGATGAGGTTTTGTTTGTCTAAAATGCGTTCCTGCGCCTCAAAAATCCTCAAAGTTTTTTGCATGTTTAAAATGCCATGTTTATTAATGAAAAATTCAGATCAAGCTGCCTTAAATCTTTTATCTTTTGAGCAAGGTGAAATTGTAAATAAATAAAATGCAGAACAGTTGAAACAAGAAAATAAATCATCTGTTCCCATCATCTAGATGTATAAGGAAATGTTAACAGTGGTTGTTGCTTTCATCTTCCCCCCTCTCTGAGTAAATTTGTTTTTCACACAGTTATTATAATATAGTGTATATTTTATTTGTGTTTTCTTGTAACATTAGCTCGGGTATTTCTCTGTGCCATCATGAGGACTTTGAAAACATTGCCTTATGATTTCATTTCCTCCATTGAGTGTCCGTACAGGCTTACGGAGATCTCTGAGCCTTAAATGTATTCCCATTTCCCTGTACATTTTCATCTTCCCATGGGGAGGCTTGCTTATGCTCCTTTAGTATCCTTTAAAGAGAAAATCTGAATTCTAAATTCTCTGTGCCCTACGGTTCTTAGCTATAGTCCCGACTGTGGGGCTGTTACAAATAAATTACAAATGTATGACGAAGAGTGCTCGTATATCCCTCATTCAGTTTCCCTTACTCAACCACTTACATAACCATACGGTGTTTATTTGCCTTATTAAACTTGGTTAAATGTCCATTCTTTTTTTTATATTCTTTTTTTAAAAATAATTTTTATTGTGTATAATTAAGGTACACAACATGATGTTATGGGATACATATAGATAGCGAAAAGGTTACTATAATAAAGCAAATTGATATATCCATCATCTTACATTGTTACCCATTTGTGTGTGTGCATGTGTGTGTGTGCGCGCATGTGTGTGGCAAGAGTAGCTAAGTCTACTCATTTAGCATGAATCCCATGTTTACAATTTAATTACCTATAGCCCTCATGTTGTACCTTGGATCTCTAGACTTGTTCATCCTACATATCTGCTACTTTACATTCTCTTACCTACATCTCCAATTCTGCTCTCCCCACCCTCAGAGGAGTAACTACTGTTTTGTTTTCTATCACATATTAGTGAGATCATGTAATATTTTTCTTTCTGTGTCTGGTTTATTTCACTTAAAATAATCTCCTTCAACCTTATCTATGTTGTGAGAATGGCAAGATCTCATTCTTTTCAGGGGGCTGTATAATATTTCATTTTCTTCATCCATTTGTTCCTCAATGGACACGTAGGTTGTTTATCTTGGTTATTGTGAATAATGCCACAATGAACATGGGAGTGTGCAGATATCGTTACAAGGTGGTGATTGCATTTGCTTTGAGTATATGTTCAGAAGAGAGATTGCTGGGTCATATGAGAATTTTGTTTTTAATTTCTTTAGAAACCTCCATACTATTTTCATAATGGGTGTACCAATCTACATTCCTACCAACACAGTACAAGAGTCCCCTTTTCTCTACAACCTAGTCAACATTTTTTATCTTTTGACTTTTTTTTCTTCTCCTTCTTTCCCCCCTCACTCTTGACTTTTTGATAATAGCCATCCTAACAGGTGTGAGGTAGTGTCTCATAGGCATTAGATTTGTAATGTCCATTCTTTCTACCAATTTTTTTTGTTGTTGCTATTTGTTTGTTTGTTTCAAAATCAAATCCAGGATCTCACATGAATTTAGTGGTCCTGTCTCTGTAGTCTCCTCCCACTTGTAACAATTCGTCACTCTTTCTTGTTTTTCATAACATTTTTTCATGTTTCTTCTTTAATATTTTTCAACTCACTTTTAAAGGGTCAGTTAGTATGCTGAATGTCCTTCAATTTGAAATTGCCTAACATTTTCTTAAGATGAGTTTTAAAGCTATGCATTAGTGGGAAGGATACAACAGAGTTGATGTGCACTGCACATCATTTCAGAGGGTACGTGATGCTGTGTTTTACTGGCAATATGAACCCCAAGCAGTTGACTAAGGTGAAGGCTGCCAGGGTTCTCCACCTTAAACTACTTTTTCCCTTTGTAATTACTAAACATGTGGGGGAACATACTTTGAGGTTATGCAAACATTCTGTTTCTGCTGAAACTTTCACCTACTTATCTTAGCATTTATTGGTGGATCTTGTCCAGGAATTTATTACTGTGATGTATTAATGGTGATTTTCTATTTTCCTCATTATTTATATATTTATTAATTGAAATTTCTTGCAAGAAACACTTGGCACATCTCCCTGTCCACTTTTTTTTTTTTTTTCTTGAGTCAGAGTCTCACTGTGTCACCCAGGCTAAGGTGCAGTGACATGATCTCAGCTCACTGCAACCTCCACCTCCCAGGTTTCACCAATTCTCCTGTCTTAGCCTCCTGAGTAGCTCAGATTACAGGCACCTGCCACCACACCTGGCTAATTTTTGTACTTTTAGTGGAGACGGGGCTTCACCACGTTGTCCAGGCTGGTCTTGAACTCCTGACCTCAGGTGATCCACTCGCCTTGGCCTCCCAAAGTGCTGGGATTACAGGCATGAGCCACTGCGCCCAGTCTCCCTGTCCACTTTTAATTTATTTGTTTTTTAAATATTTATTCATATAAGTACGAACTTATGGATTTTTTTTAGTACATTCTTACTTTCTGGCACTGCCAGGAGCTCCAGGCTTGTCTTTATTTTCCCCGCCCGAGCCCCACCATCAGCCAGTTTACTAAGGAGCCCTGATTCATTGTAGTTGAGGATGGTATTAGAAGCCAAGATCTGGGTGCTGGCTGTGCTCATTGCTAATGGATGTCACTGCCCCTAGTCTCTCACAGGGGATAGCACTACATTTTTGAAGCACAGGAAGGCATTTTAGAGAAACAGAAATGCATCCACAAAGACTTTCATACGTATGTATATGCGCACATAAACTCATGCATATACACATCTATATTTATATCTGTATCTATTTATCTTTCTGTGTGTGTATGTTTTCATGCAGCCTATACTGATACCTTAAGTTCCAGTCTAAAAACACAGGTTTTATTTTAGTTCCTACTTTTTCCTTCATTGCAGATGCTTTCTCCAGCATTGAGAAACATTACTTTCATTATTTACAATTTATTTATTCAACACCAGCAAAAGAATAAAATGGTTTTGGAATTCCTAACCTATATCCCTGTGAGAAAACAATGTACCAACTAGGGCACAATGTTTATGGTCAGTTCTCTTTGTTTTAGCCTCACAGTATCCTTCCTGATTCATGTTTGCAACTCACGGCCCACATCCTCTGTGAGACCTACTCCCATCAATGACTCCTCTGCCTGGGTTTCCATGGAGATGAGACCACAGCTTTATGAGGGTCCTGTTGATCCCTGGGATATAGAGAGAAAAGACCCATCTCTGTCCTCAAGGTGTTTATTGCCTCAAAACTGGTGTTGTCTTTCTGTTTGCTCACAATACTGGATCATGTGGTCATAACATGTTACCTGGCATTAGAATGATTTTCACAAATGTTATGTCAATAAGTGAGTGAGTGAATGTATATTCTATGTAAACAAGAGAAAGAAAGGGATCTGGAAAGTCATATAGGGGCTGAAGACACAGAATCATTTGATGGTTAGGAGTCCTGACTTTGGAGTTGTACATACCCAGGTTTGAATTCCAATTCTGCCATGTACTGCTTAGCTGTGAGAACTTAGCTGCATAGGAGTATTAGAAAGAATTACAAGTATAAGATAGCACTGAAAAGAATACATTGGTGCAATCAAATTGTACAGTATGTTTTAGAAAACCCAGCAAATGTTAGTGCTAGCAAAATCTATGACAATCTATTGGTTATATGGCAGATTAAGATATTCCCATCACTCAGAGATGCAAACATAATGTTAAAATAATTTAGGCCTATACACACAGACATTTAGGTTTAGTTCACTTGGCATCATTAAATTTGAGTATTGCTCTTGAGCTTGTTTTTTCCTTAAGAAGATAAAGTAGAATTATTTAAATTCCCTTTCCCATTCCAGCCAACCTTCAACCCCAAAGTGATTTTAGACTGTTGCTGGTTATGGCTGATACGCAAATTACATTTGTGAAGTGGCAATTAGCAGGGCCCCTTAGAAGACACAAATTATTGTGCTCCCTTTTATTTTGTATTCCTCTCTCCCTGTCCTTGGGCCTAAACTTGCAAACTCTTCTTTGAGTGGATAAAAAAGCCCCTGGTTCAGCTACAGGTATTTTCAAGTTTAGTGATTTGTTTGAGTAGACATCAATGAAATATTCCATGAAGTGTTCTGGTGATCATTAAGGTGACTAAAATAACCAGATAAAACTTGATAGTACTATCAGTTACTTCTTAGATAATTATGATGTTTGCTGAGGAAAAACTTTTCAGAATTAGTAATAATAATACAAAAGCTATGAGTCCTTTCTTCAATATGGATCTATTTCCACAGCTCTCTGTTTTTTCCATCATTCCTAATCATAGGGTCATAAACCTTGACTTGCTAGATATAGTGAGACAGAACAAAAGCTATAGATTCTCCAGTAGTGTCTATTCCACAGAAGCAAGCACACTGAGGACATACTTGAAGCCTATGAATCCCATGAGGCCCTGCACAACTAACCATCCTTTTCACTCTGAGGTGAGGGTTAGCTGTGAATACATTTCGTTGAAGGAAACTTTAAGAATCTATAATGATGAAGCTCTGGTTTTCATAATTGTATAGTAATCTAAATAAATAAAGGAAAATTATTTACAGAAAGGACATATGCAAAAGTGTGAACAAGCGTAAGAGGGCTTCTTGTGACCATGCAGAGACCAATAGCTAGTAGCACCAAAACTGAAAGGATGAGGACAGTGGTGCTCAAAGCTTGAAACTCGGACCATCAGCATTAGCTTCACCTGGGAATTTATTAGACATGCAAATTCGCAGAATCCACCCCTGAATTAGAAACTCTCATTAAGACTGGTGTGCAGCAATCTGTTTTCACAGGTGACTCTGATGCATGATAATGTTTGAGAAACAGTGGACTAGAGGAAGCAGAGGTAGCTGGTGCCCAGAAGAGGAGGGAATTGTATAGAACAATGTGACTTACTGAGGATCATAGCCCAAGGTAGGATGAACATACATACAGGTTTGTGCTAGTTGAGGTTTATCCCTATTGCGCAAGTAGAACCATTAGTATTGCCTCTTTCACTTTCAAGTATGTCCCAATTTGGAAAAGAAATTATGTGGTCATCCCAAAACAAGTGTTGTGTTGCAGCAAGAGAGCTAGGGAAAAATACGTGTCTCACCCTCCTCCCTCTTTCTCATCTTATGGAAGGATCCTCATTATCCAAATTCTTCTAAATCCTACTGGCAAATGAACTCTAGACATAATTTACATAGGCCAACTATAATGGACACAAAGCAAGGTAGAGAAGGGGGAAAATGGACCTGAAGTGGCAAAGGAAGCTGTTTGTTATATCTAATGTTTGTTTTCTTCATTGATTTCAAAGAAAAATAAGAAAGCAATGAATTCATTTCTTTCTTACTCCATTACTTCATTTATTCTTCTATTGAATCTTCAATAGATGGCATTTCTTTTTTCCCAGCTAGCAAATTATTTACTTCTAAATTTCCATGGAGTTTTTTTTTTTGTTGTTATTCTTCTACTTATGAACTACAGACAGGATCAAGATAATAAGATGTTCTCTAAAATGTTATTTCTTTTAGATTAAATATGTTGCACTTTAACTCTGATCTCCTCAAAATCCAGCTTTTAAATGTTATATTACTTCATCAAAGAAGGCATAAGATCGTAAGCTCTGTATCACATGTGCCCATATTCTCTCTTTTGTAGGCTTGAGTGATGAACTACAATATTTTGATTCAAGTTATTTTAGATAATTTAAACACATTGCAAATGTTGAACTGATATCAGCTAAGGCTAGCTTTTTTCTAACCCTTTGTCAATCTAGAAAGTTGGCCACAGTTTCTAACCATTCCCATGACTTGTTGCTCTCTCTTCCATTTCACTTTGTATATCTTTATTTTGTGCAGTCTCAGTCTCACTGGTAATAACTTAAGTGCAGAAATCTGCTTTTACATTGTTATTATTGGCTTCTTTAAAGAATTTTACTCAATATTGAGAGGGGAGTACATCCCAAACTCTTTCTCCATCATCCATGTAGGCTTATGGCAGTACATCCTGTTTGGCTCTACAAAGCATGGCACTATTTAAAATGCTCTTGCTCATGTATTCATTGTTTAAATATTTATATTCATTATATTATAAACTGGGGGAACAATATTCTGTTTTGCTTATTGCTGTAGCCCTTGTGGCTAGTATATGGTAAAGGTACAATAAATAATAGCTGAATTAGTAGTTAGTACATAAATAAAATAACAAACAATTGAATAACACTACATATATATTTTACCTCCTTAGTTTTTTTCCTCACTGATCTTATTATCAATTTTTAAAATTCCTTCTTCTATTCTTTGCCCTCCCCCTTTCTCTCCCCTGTTCTTTCTCTTCTCTTTCCTTCTCCTTCTCCTCCTTCTATTTCTCCTCTGTCTTCTCCTTCATAGAACTATCTCCTAAGTTCAGGTACCCCTGGAGTTTCACCCTAAAACACTTAACAATTTTTTTTTTTTTTGAGACAGAGTCTCACTTTGTCGCTAGGCTGGAGTGCAGTAACGCAATCTCAGCTCGCTGCAACCTCCGCCTCTCGGGTTCAAACAATTCTCCTGCCTCGGCCTCCTGAGTAGCTGGGACTACAGGCATGCACCACCATGCCCAGCTAATTTTTGTATTTTTAGTAGAGGTGGGGTTTTACCATGTTGGCCAGGATGGTCTCGATCTCTTGACTTCATGATCCACCCGCCTCGGCCTCCCAAATATTTTCCTGTTTTTTGTTTAATTCAGGGCTTCCTCTAAATGGAATTCTTATAGAGTCAATTTTTTGTATCTCTTACACAGCAATTATTTATTGAGAGGCAGCTCTATTAGTGCTGTACTAGCAAACATTGATACCAGGAGGCCTGTAGCAGACATAATTGTTACTCAACATGGTGGGAAAAGGAGATATTAATCAAATGATAAATTATGTATTTGGATCATTATTACAAACAGAAATTAGTACAATGAAGAAAAGTGATACGAAACCATGAAAGCATACTGTAGAAGGAAACACATAGTCTAGAGATTCACAGAGGGATTTCCTCGGCAGTGAATCTGAGTAGAGAAATGAAGAAATACGAGAAGTTTATGAAGCCAAGAGAGAATGAAAGTCTGCTTGAAGTAAAGGAAACAGTACATGCAAAGGTGCTGATTTAGAAGGAAACATGGCAGACTGTAAAAATTAAAATACTGGTGGTAACTGAGGTACTGTAAACAAGAGTTAGACATGGGTAAGATCATATACAATTACAAAGTCATGTAAAATCAGATTACATATTTTAACTTTATTATCAGAAAAACAGAAAGCCATGTAAAAGTCTGACTGTCGACTTTTAAATTAAACTATCCCTTCATCTGCAATGCAGTGTAGAGAACAGATTAGAAGGCACCATAAATAGGTATATAGAGACCAAGTAAGAGATTTTTGCAGTTATCCAGGTGAAAAACGATGGCAGCTGATGACTGCAGAGATCAAAAGAATGGACAGATTTCAGCAATCATTCAGAAGAAAAATAAACATGACTAAATGAGAATTGTGCTTCTAGGATGGCTGTTTTCTGGGCATTGTGGAATTCAGAGAACATAGAGCTGTTTAGAGTAGCTGCCCAGAAGGAGTAGTGATCTTCAGCTGAAGGACGTGCCTCCTCAAAAGTGCAATACAATCTCTGGTATCCCATAAATAGTACTGTGATTTTCTGTTTTTCCAGCAGTATATAAGCTACTATTTAAAATATATAAAATATGTAAAATTAATACAGTGACTAAGCTCAGACTAAGAGTTAAAATATTGCAAAAAAAAAAAAAAGGAGATCATGCTAGAGCATTTCATTACAAAAATAAAAAATAACGTATTTTTTCCATGCTACTAGGGAGAAGCTTTTAGATTTGTTTGTTTTTCTTTTAAAAACAATGTGGGTATGAACATTTATTTCTGTATCTCCCAAAGTGCTTATGTGAGGGTTTCTTAATATTTACACTACAGCAGTGCAAAACAGTGCTTTACATCTTCCCCTAATGTTGGAATTGGCATAGTTAAAAAAAAAAAACTGTAAATCTAATAAGAAAATTGTATTCCATGTAATATTTATTTTATTTTTAAGAATAATTTGATTATTTTGCGTTACCATGATTACTGTTAAAGTTCTGAATCTTGACAACTGTTTATCAGTCGATCATGTTTCTTCTATAAATTGCTTGTTTGTATCTTTTGTGTATTTTCTATTGAGTTGTGTGTGTGTGTTTGTGAGTCTGATGGATTCGTAGACTGTATTAACATAGTGTGAATTTTGTCTTTCTCATACCAGTAAGTGGTAAATATTTTCTCCCTATTCTGGTTGTCTTTTCATATTTTCCGTTATATTTGGGTTGATTATATTTTATTAATGTTAAATGCAATCAGTTTTATTTTATACTAATGCTTTTTGTCTCTTTTTTGAGAAATTCTTTCATTTCCCAAATGTATATAGATATTTTCTCATATTTTGAAGTTTATTTTTGTATTTATTA
This sequence comes from Homo sapiens, assembly GCF_000001405.40. NCBI lineage: Eukaryota > Metazoa > Chordata > Mammalia > Primates > Hominidae > Homo > Homo sapiens. The sequence goes on along the minus strand of NC_000002.12, from coordinate 81,510,029 downwards.
TTTAATGCACTTAGAATTTTTATTAAATGTTGAGAGTGACTTAATTTAATATTATCTTTTATGTGGAAACCAATTATATTAGCAGTGCTTGTTGAACAATCTTCTTTCTCAAATCTTCTACATTGCCACCTAATCTACATGCCTAAGATTTAGGCATGCAAAATGTTTCTGGATTTGACTTTGTTACATGGGTTTGTATCTGTCATTTTCCTTTATTTTAATTTCTATCATTTAATGATACATCTTGATCTCAAACTAGGACACAAACACCTTGCTCTTATTCAAAATCACTTTATTATTAGCACTTTAATTATCCACATGTCACTTAGAACTAGTTTTTCAGTTTTCTTTGGTTGTAATAGCATTATATTTATAGAGAATTTAGAAATAATTGACATTTCTAAAATATAATCACCCTCCTCATGAATGTTGGGTATCTGTTCTTTTATCTTAATCCTTTTTTAGTAGTATTAATTTTCTTCATAAGTCCATTCAGGTTTATATTAATTTCATATTTTTTTAACTCTGAGTCAAATTACATAATTTTAGATCTTTTAAAATATAATTTTATTTTCTAATTGCATGCTTAATATAGGTAAATTCTCTTATTAGTATAAATGTAGAAGAAATAATTATCATGCCTACAGATAGTAATATTAGACTTTCTATTTTTCTAATCTTCATATATTTCATTCATTTTTCTTCAGTTCACTTTAGGAACATCTAGGAAGTACAAATTAAGAAGAACATTAATATTGGCAATTATTATCTTATTCCTGATTGTTAACATGAAGTCTTTAAGATTTTACCATAAAGATAAAAATTGCTGATTAATTTTGTATTTCATCAGGCTGAGTATATTTTCTTCTAATTAAATTTTAAAAGATTTATACATATATATAACTATGTTAAATAAATGATATCCATTTTTCTGCATTTTATAATGATAATATGCCTCTTCTTTTCTACTGTTTGCAAATAAAGTTAAATATATATGTATATATACATATACATGTACAGTGATAGGCCCTCATAGATTTGATTTGATGATTAGAAATTTAGGATTTTCTATGTGCGTGTGTGTGTGTGTGTGTGTGTGTGTGTGTGTATATATATATACCTTTTTTTTTTTTTGAGATGGAGTCTCACTTTGTTGCCCAGGCTGGAGTGCAGAAGTGTGACCTCTGCTCACTGCAACCTCTTTCTCCCAGGTTCAAGTGAGTCTGGTGCCTCAGCCTCCCAAGTAGCTGGGATTACACACACACCCCACCATGCCCAGCTAAGTTTTGTATTTTTAGTAGAGATAGGCATTTCACCATGTTGGCTAGGCTGGTCTCAAACTCCTGACCTCAAGTTGATCCTCCTGCCTCGGCCTCCCAAAGTGTTGGGACTACAGGTGTGAGCCACTGCGCCCAGCGGCCACATGTATATTTATAAGTAATATTGTTAACTAATTTTTTGGTATATTGTGATGGCTAATTTTATGTGTAAACTTGACTGGGCCACTGGTTGCCCACATAGTTGGTCAAATATTTTCCTGAGTGTTTCTATGAGGGTGTGAGGGTGTTTTGGATGTGATTAACATTTAAATCAGTAGACTCAGTAATGCAGATTGCTCTCCCTAATGTGGATGAGCCTCAGTCAGTTAGTTGAAGGCCTGAGTAGAACTAAAGGCTGATCCTCTTCTGACTAAGAGAGAATTCCTCCTGCCTGACTGCTTTCAAACTGGGACATTGCCTTTTTCTTACCTTCAAACTTGAACTGAAACATCAGCTCAACCCGGGTCTTGAGTTTTCTGCCCTCAGGACAGGAGCTAAAGCATCTATTCTCCTGGTCCTCAAGCTTTTCAGCTCAACTAGAATTTGCACCATTGGCTTTCCTGGGGATCCAGCTTGTTGACTCACCCTGCAGATATTGGGATTTTCCAGTCTTCATAATCACGACAGTGAATTCCTTTTAATACATTTCTTTCCATATATACATCCTGTTGGTTTTGTTTATTTAAAAAATCCTGGCTAGTAAATCTACCGTCCTTATCTAATTTGGGTATAAGGTTATTTTAGCCTTATAAAACTAGTTGAAAAGAACTTTTACTCTCTTTTCACTCAGTGGAATAGTTTGCATAATATAGGAATTATTTCTTCCTAAAATTTGTGTGACACTGTCAATAGAGTAATTTAGGCCTTGTGTATTCTTTCAAAACCTTTTCACTTTCTTTAGATGCCAATATGGTTAGAAATAGACATTCTGGAAAACACTCTCACCTTAATTACTGAGCACTGCTCAGTATCTATGTTTTCAAATATTTTTTAAATAATATCCTCTTATGTTGCCTAACTCTTCTCTTTTCTAACTAAATATGACCTTTCTAATAATGATCATTAGGGTTTTTCTCATTTTTCCTGGTCAATCTTCCAGAGGCTTATCTATGTACTTTTTTGTTTTAAATAATGTACTTACAGCCATTTTCTCCTCTTTACTGTAAGAATGTTTTTTATTTAGTTAATACCTACCACTATCTTTATTTAATTCTATTTCTTCTTGCAGTTTTTATGTTTTTTCCTTATTCTAACTTCCTAATTTAGATGATTATCCCAATAAGCATTTAAGATAAAATTACCCTGAAGTACTACTTTAGCTGCACCCATGTGATGTTATATAGAATTTTCATTTTTTTCTTTTGATTAAATTTATAAATGTTTTCGTGATATGGTTTGGCTGTTCCCCCACGACCCCCAAGTCTCACCTTGAATTGTAATAATCCCCATGTGTTAAGGGCAGGGCCAGGTGGAGATAATTGAATCATCAGACTGGTTTCCCCAATACAGTTCTCGGGGTAGTAAATGAATCTTAGGAGATGTGATGGTTTTATAAATGGGAGTTCCTCTGCACAAGCTCTCTTGCCTGCCACCATTTAAAACATTCCTTTACTCTTTGTCTTTTGCCATGATCGTGAGGTCTCTCCAGCCATGTGGAACTGTGAGTCCATTAAACCTATTTCCTTTATAAATTACCCAGTCTTGGGTATGACTTTATTAGCAGTGTAAGAATAGACTAATACATTTAGTCAAATATTTATTATTGAATCCAAGACCTATTTAGAAGGAACTTTAATAATTCTCAAATATAAAAGCTTATGTAAAATATCTTTGGTTTCTGAGCATTTAAAGGAGTTATAGAGAGTACGAGCTTATGACATATGGTCCTTCAAATTTATTGAGCATTAATAAAGTACCACCTGTTCCATTTTAAGAAAAATATCTCACGTAGGAGTTAGAAAAAATTTTAACCTTCTAATTTGCAAGTTCTGTGTTCTAGAATGTCTGTTCAAAACTTCTGTATATCCTTATTATTTTTTGTATTTAATGTGTTTCTTTCTTTCTTAGAAAACTCTTCTCCATTGTGTTGACACATTCGATAATATGTTCTTGAAATTTCTCCTATTAGGTATATTTTTGCTTTATATCTTTTGAAGCTATATTATTAGGCATAAAATAGCTTAGAGGATTTTTTGGTAAATTGTTTATTATTATATGCATCAATCACTTTTTTCCTTATTACATCTTTTATTGTTATAAAGTCTATTACTTTGCTATCAATATACCACATTAATGTGGGGGGGTAATATATACATCGTATTCCTTTTGCTATAGTCTGATTTTCAAACTTCATTTGCTTTATATTTTATGTTTAGCTATTTTAAAAAGCATAAAATATCAAAATTCGAATTCAAAGAATTCAGATATTAATTTTAAGAAATATAGATTACAGCGAAACTATATATTAATATATTTACAGAAACAAAAGCAGAATTGTGTAGTTCCCCTGGACATTTCAACTGATGCTTTTATCTTGAAAGTTTCTTTTTTCTTTAACCTTCTGGTTTTTTTCTTTAGATGTACAGAAGACCACTTGGTTTGTGTGTATGCCCTGAATTACATTTCTTTCCTCTCAAATACAACATTTAATTTCAGTGTTTCATTTCTGTAATTTATTTGAGTTTGATACTACCTCACTTCTGCTAAATGTAGGCAACTTTGCCAAACATTGGACATATAAACATTGGCATATACGCTCTACTTTTGAGGGCCTTTGGTCTAGTCGTTTAGGCCATTCATGAATGTGAAAATATAAATAACAGTAACAGCACTGCTTAGTCTACTATACACAAAGTGACAAATGAGTGGTCCACATGGCTAACTGCTAAGAAGGTTCATTATCAGCCTCTTCTTCAAGCAGACAGATACTTAATTTTTATATCCCTCAGGGTTCATTGTTTGCAGTTTTCCCTTCTATTCAGCACAACTGTGGCAGCTGGAGTAATGTTTAATTGGAAAAAAACAGATCATCAATGTCATCCTGCCATCAGCTGGATCATCTGTTAGAAGTGCTTAAAAGCTGCAATTTTATGGATGTGTGGGTGTATTAAATTCCAAACAAGTTCAGGTCAAAACATTTCTCTAAGTAGGAAAACAAATTAAAATTCCATCACCTAGAAAACTTAAAAATCAAGAATCTGAAGCAATAGTTATTTTTTAAATTAACATTCATTTTGACATTTTCAGTAGAATTGGGTTGCTTTCCTCTGATATGTATTTGTAACTATAAAGTAAAAAATAATGGATAATAGTCAATGGACAGCAAGAGCAAGGTCTAATCCTTTCTAATTTGCAGTCCGCAGAACAGTTTCTGAAATAACAGACATACTATTTAGTATGAAATAAATTACAGCCCCTACTCTAAAAGGTGATTTACTACAAAAATAACTAACTTTTCATGATCTATTAAATTATTTGAATTTCTGTCCAGATAGAGATGTATAGGGATGCATTCTATAAATCCTTGTTTTTACTTTACCACTGAATTGTTTGCTTTTCTTCCAAGTTATCAGCATTCTGGTAATCATCTCTCACTGTCTCATCCTGCTTATTTTTAATTTTCTCTAATGTCTTTGAAAAATCGGCCTTTAGTTTAGACATAACAATTTTCTTCTGCTTTTCATCATGCAATTTATTAATGCTCAGCCATAGGCTTTGCACAGTTAATTCAGTGTATAGAATTGGTTTATTTTTATTTCTTTTCTCAATTCACCCCTTTCTGTCACTTAGGTCCAAACAAAGGGCAACTGATCTGTGATTCTGTGATTCTGGAAAATTATCTTCCTCTCATTCCAGTGTCCACTGATATTTCTCACATGCAAAACATTGAGGGGAGGTTTAAGTAAATCTGCTGTGGCCTCCCATTACTTTTATATTTGAACTGTTCCCTTATTCACTCAATGTTGAATTTGTTGAAAGAAAAAGTAATCCCGTGTTCCTGTTTCTCTAAGAAAAGATACATCAATTTGAAGAAAATATATTGATTTGAACAGCTTTAGAAAAAACTGTTTTATTTGTAACCCGCTTCTTTTTATGACTCCACAGTCAGTGATTCCGTATCTGCTATTGTACAGCCAATGAAGGAAGACAGGGTGGTCATATGGCGAAAGACATACAGTTCCACAGCCCTGATGTGGTCTTATTTCTTTGTTCAGAAAAATTTTAAAACATTTGCAGAACAGCAAAGCTCTGATTCAAACTGGCAACTGACTACCAATCCCGGCATGGAACACAATTGCCTGTGTAAATTTCACATATCATAGGATTGAATTCGGGAAAGGGGTATATCTATGATCTAACTGCTGCTAGAATCAGAAGTGAGCACAGAAACTGAAATAAGTAAGATTAAAGATGATCACACACCAAACAAACAAAAAAAAGGCAAAAGCAAAAGTAGTTTTAAATATGTGCCATTATATGGAGAGGGTGATGAGAATTCTGTATAATATAAAGGTTTGGGTAACAAAACATAGGCATTATAATATTATCCTGGAACATATTAAAATTTTAAAAGTACTTTTCTAAAAATTATTGAAACATTTCTCTGATTCTTAACGGAATATAAACTCGTTTTTCTCATTAGACTTCCTATTGTCTCATAAAGGTAAAGTGAATGTTTTGTTTTCTAAATCTTTGATTTATACACTTTGTAAAATGGTCTGAATTAACACAAACACACACAGACATACACACACACAAGATTTTTTATATCTTTGGATAAATCTTACATTCTTGTTCTGTGTTTCTTACTGAATCATTTCTCCAATATTTGGACAGAAAGCAAATAATAAAATCTACTGTTAGGTTGAAGACCTTATCCACTGAAATATGTTTTACTGAAATATTTTTTGCAATGTTAATGGGCAGGTATGATGTGTACACGAGTAATTGGGGGAAGGGGGCCTCAGTATTTCAAATGCCTTTGACAGGTATACATGTATACCCCCACATATGCACATTAAATGCCAACACTTGATCAAAGAAACATTGCAATCTGAATTCTGAAAACAGGAAGTCCAGGGGGATATGATTAATTGGACAAAATTAAGAAAGAGAGAAAAAGAGATATAGCATAAGCCTGATTATAAAAATCCCAAGATACCAGAATGATTTTTAAATTAGGTCAAATAAATCACAAATTTTATACAGTAAAAAGCAAAATTAAGATGTTTGCTACTCCCAAGAGGTTAAAGAGCCTAGAAAGAAAAATATCTGCAAAAAGAATTTAGAAAAAATTATGGATAAAAAGTTACAATGAGTTTTAATTTGAAAACATTTTTTGTTTCAATTGTGGTTTACCAGAGAGCTTTATAAAACATATGAGTTACTTTACAGTGTTAGATATCTACACCAGGAATTATATGGTATTTATTGAATGAGTTTCTTTCTACAGGCTCAGAATTACCTATGAACATCAAATGTATTTGATAATTCAAAAATTACAAATTAATTAATTTGATTATTAATTTAATTACTATGATAATTGGCTGAATATTCTGAAAATACTTGTGTATATTTGATTGAGATGGGGGTAGACTTCAGATCATGGAAGACACATAGTGGTGAGAGGGTTGATGCTGGGGTGAGCCTACCTGTTGGAACCCTGGCTGTACAACTTAGATGCTGTGACTGATGTTGAGTTTAAGCAGTTCTTAATCTCCAAATTCAGTTTCCTAATCTCTAAATTTGAAGATAAGATTATTCCCCTTACATTTATTGTTTAGCATAATAATAATCTACGCTATTTTGTGCTCACTAATACTAGCACACAATAAAAGTTGACTCTTTTCGTGAAGCTATTTATACCCCACCCCCTTATTTTCTCTGTTGGTTAAATATCAACTCAAAGGGGAGAAAATCTTCTGTTTTCTCTAATTAGTTAGAGTCTAGTGAATAAAATAACACACAAATTCCTTCTTATGACAGTGTTGTGTTAACCTTTCTTCACCTACCTTCTACACTAAATATATACATAGAGCACTAAATAAACGTATTCTGTTCTAAATCACTATGCATATATAATTATTATGACAAAAAGTTTGGGAAGAATTGTGACCTAATATTCTAAAATGTAGCTGGATAGGTAAATTGTCTCAATTCTTCTATACACAATTTTCTTGCTGCCAGAATCCGCAGGGCTCTTGAAAGATAAACCAGAATTTTAATAGAAATCAGCTGGTGTAGTCAACATAGTTAGTTGGATTGGACCTCACTCTCAGCTGCTGTTGCCACTTTGAATGTTCTCCTGTTTTGACTCACTTCGATGTGTTCTTTCCAGCTTTTTACTTCAACTCCGCAGTCTATTCTCAAATTATGTTCCTCATCTGGTAAATACTTTCTAATGGCTTCCCAGACCACTTAAGATAAAGGCCTACGGGGAAGGCTCTTCATGACCTCCTTCCACCCACTCCTCCTTCACCTTTCAGATCTTATCTCCTGCCATTCTCCCTCGTGCTCCACCTATCCACACTCATGTCCTTGGTGAGCCCTCAATGTATTCCCAACACAGAGATTTTGAATTTGTTGCTCCATTAACTATGTTGTTTTTGACCCAGATCTAGAATACTGGGTTCATTCCAGTAGTAGAGATCTTTTTGTTGTATCATATCAAGTGTGGTGGAGAGGACAATGCTCTGCCTCCAAAGTTGTCCACATTCTATGCCCCAGAGCATGTCAGAACATGCGTCTATGTTGCCTTACATAACAAGAGACTTTGCAAAGTGATTAAAGATCTGGAGATGGGGAGAGTATCTCGAATCATCCAGGAGTGTCTGATATAATCACAAGTATCCTAGTAAGAGGAAGGAAAGAGGCTCAAAATTGGAGAAAAGGCAATGCAATGATGAAAGCAGAGGGAGAAGAGACAATGTCAAATGGAGCCATAAGCCAAGGAATAAGGACAGCTCTAGAAGCTGGAAAAGGCAATACAATAAATTGTCCCTCAGAGCCTCTGGAAAAAGCACAGCTGCCAACACCTATTTTAGAAGGTCTGATCTTCAGAACCATACTATGATGAATTTGTCTTGCTTTAAGCCTCTAAGTTTGTGGTAATTTGTTAAAGCAGCCAGAGGAAACTAATACATCGCGTTTTGCTTGATAGCCCCTTTGTGTAGGATTGAGTCATGTGATTAGTTCTGATTACTAGGCTGTGAGCAGAAGGGATATGTATGGCTTTGAGACTGAAGCATGTATCATAAAAACTGATGTGTGACTCTCTAGTCTCTCTCCCACAGTACAGAGACATCCAGAGCCATGTGCTCCTGTGCAGTACAAATAAGATGGAGCTGCCACCTGCCTTGGTGCGTCACTGACTATGGGGAGCAGAGCACCTCACCAACCCTTACTGAACGTGCAACAAATGCAAGAAATCATCTTTGGTTGAATTATCTCACTGATATTGCAGAGTTAATCTGTTACTAGAGCATAGACTGTCGCTGTGAATTATATGGTTTTCCTTAAGCTCCTTTGCCAAGTGTCACCTCAGAAAGAACTTCCCTGACCACATTTAATTTTTTTTGTTTTAAATCTAAAAGCAACATCTTTCTCTGGTAATAAATTTCCCTTGCCTTGGTTTATTTTATTTTTTTTTTTCCAGTGGCAATCTTCACCAAATGGTGCTCTACATTTTTTACTTATTTATTTTTTATCGTCTCTCCAACAAGAAAGCTCCAACACAGACGAGATTTTTATCTGCTTATCACTGCTTTTTCCCATCACCAGAATAATACCTAACAGGTGATAAGAGCTCAGTAAATGATCACAGAAAGAATAAATGGGCTTGTGAGGTGACTATCCATTCATTTTTGACCATTTTGTTGATGATTAGAGTTGTTTTAACTCATTTCCTGACTTTGACTTCTGCCCCAGGCTGAATAAGCCCACTGCTTTATTTCTGAGCCATTTCTTCAATTCTTCTCATCTACAAATTTTACTTTGCCAAGTGTGGTTAGAGTTCTTCCAATTCTTTTGTCTCCCCTGCACTTTGATAGAAACAAAAATATGAAGTACAGAACAAGGAATGAGAATATTTGGACCAAAAACAAACCACATGCTAAAACTTGGGGTACAGAAATAAATGTAGCCAATCTTGAAGGAGCTCTTAATCATGAGAGGGATGGTATGCAATCAGGACACAGTTACAACCAGTGACTACAAACATTCATTACCTGTTACCAAAATACTGAGTTTAGTAAGGCCCAGAATCTAAAGACAATTTTCTGGATGATGTTATGTTTAAATTGGGTAATTTGTCATTTATTCAGAAAATTTATTTATTGACTACTCACTACTTAACAGTCACTCTAATAAGTGCTGGAAATATAATAGGAAGCACAACTCACACGATGATTGCCCTCATACAGCCTAGTGACCTATGGGATTAGTAAAGACTTGGGAAGAAAGAAGAGCGACATTCTTTTCAGCAAAAATTGCAAGAGAAATTGCATGTTGGTGATAATAAATTGGAGATGATCTGAAATGTCTAAGTTACAGGTACATGTGGGAGAAGGAGCAGTATATAGAGAAAACCAGTGGAGGCCTTGTACTAACAATATGTCAAAGGCTTTAGAAGTTTTTCATGAAGAAAATTTGGGGTCACTAAAATGATTTAGAAGAATAGCATGATCATGTATACAATTTAGAAAAATTGTTCTGTAAAAAATGTAGTAGATAGATGGGAAGAGAACAAGACTATGAGTAGGTGTCCTATTAGAATTTCATTATAACAATCCTGGCCAGGTGTGGTAGTTCATGCCTGTAATCCCAGCAGTTAGGGAGGCCAAGGCAGGCAGATCATCTGAGGTCAGGAGTTCGACATCATCCTGGCCAACATGATGAAACCCCGTCTCTACTAAAAATACAAAAATTAGCTGGGTGTGGTGGCACATGCTTGTAGTCCTAGCTACTTGGGAGGCTGAGGCAGGACAATCTCTTGAACCCAGTAGGCAGAGGTTGCAGTGAGCAGAGATCACGCCATTGCACTCCAGTCTGGCAACAGAATGAGACTCCGTCTCAAAAAGTAAATAAATAAATACATAAATAAATAAATACAAAAATGATCTGGGTGTGGTGGTGGGTGCCTGTAATCCCAGCTACTCAGGAGGCTGAGGCAAGAGAATAGCTTGAACCTGGGAGGCGGAGGTTGCAGTAAGCCAAGATCCAGCACTCCAGCCTGGGTGACAAAAGCAAAACTCTGTCTCAAAAAAAAAAAAAAAAAGAATTTTTGATAACAATCCTAACAATAAATTATAAGTTTCTCTGAAGATAGGCATGGCTGTGAGTATAGAGATTAGCTGAATGATATAGTGAAAGTTAAGGTTTCAAACCTCAAGGGAAAAGATTGGTTTAGAAATAAAGTAAATCAAGATATTGGACACAGACCTTTTATTGTGAAATATCCTGATTGAGACCAGGCAGGTGGTAACCTTAATTTAATTGGTATTTTCTATGTGCTCTGGTAATGATTTTCTCCCTCCTGGATCTCAAGCCATATGCTATGTTTTAAGTGCTTTTTTTTGAGATCTTCTTAGATAATGCCTGTTAATTTCAGAAAGATATTTAGTTTATCACAAATCAAAACATTTCAGCCTAAATTGAACTTAAGAAAAAAAACTGTGACAATCATAATTTGAGGCAATGATGATGTCTGCTTTGATTTTATGTTTGGAACACAATTACTTCCAGTGATGGTGGAACTTACAAAGTTCTTAATCCACTATCATTGATTTTGCTCAGTGACAATTTTTTGTTTCAATCTATTGATCATAAAAAGTTGGAACTATATCCTGACAAGTTTTTGAAAATATGAATCTGTAATGAAACACACAATAATCACACCCAATTTTAAAAGGGTCCTAAGAGAGAATGAAAAGTAATCCTCTGATAACATATAATGCTGAGAATTTTGGCTTAAACCAAAAACTGTGTGACCTAAAGGAAGCACAGAGTAGTTTAGTAAGCTGTATAAAGGCTCTATAATTCTTGTAACATCTTTCTGAAGCTCTATAAAGAGTTTTGCCTATAAGCCAGGATGAGTTATTCTTTGGTCCTTTTCATCTTACCCATCCATGCTTTTCTTGGTCTTAGAAGAAAGAGAAGAAAATAAAAAGAGAACACGGGGAAAATTCCACCAAAGGAAAAACCAAAGGCTGTCTCTTTCTCTCATGTATAGACAGGAGCTCAGTCACTCCTAAGCCTGGTACTCTCCCAGTCAGGAGAAAGCCTCAATCCTATTAGACTACACCAACTATGAGGAGGAACCAACATTCAAAGGGGGTATTTGCAAAAGCAGAGCAAATATTCACAGAAACACTAAAACCTGTAAATGGATGCTGTTAATTCTTAATCATAACAAGAGCTTTGATTTAATGAGTGCTCATTTGTACTGAGCCTGAGCTAAGCTCTTTACATACATTTTCTCACTCAGTCTTAACAAAAGTCATATACACAGCTAAGTCTGTATTAACAAAGAGGAAAATGAAGTTCACACAACCTAAATCATGTTATTCGTTGAGAAAGTAGGAGAGCAAGATTTGAATGTATAGCTTTCTGATTTCTTCACTCATTTCCAAACCATTGTATTACGATACCCTGGCCTAGGTTTTAACCCCATAATGATCCAGGGTAGTAGCTCTCAATGATCCAGGGTATTAGCTCTTCTTTTGCTCACTATAAAGGACTTTGAGCTTTCCCAAGTGGATTGAGTATATCATTAAATTATTAATATCCCATGCAGTCAATCAGCTGGTTTTTCAGACTAGGATTCCAATAAGTAACAAAATTGAATTAAGTTTCCCAGAAGTTGGGATGAGTGTGAAGGTGGTAGATGTGATGAACATTCTTACCAAAGGCTAAGAAATGTAAAAAAGCAAGGAAGTGCATGTTTTTGACACTCAACCCTTTTTTAGGCCGTATCTGTGGTCATTGTGTTCCTACCAGCTCCTGGACGGGAGAGCAACAACCAGCACTACAGACAGATGCCTGAATATGTGCTGATGCATTTAAGGAGGAAGGAGCAGGATAGTTGGACCCATATTATATCTACATGGGCAGGGATCATGCCTTCTCTATGGCATGGTAGGAGAACCACTGCAAGTGACTAATTATTAAATATTCATAATCTAGAATACACTGGACTCTGATTGAAGCTGGACACCTGGAAAAAAAAATAAAATAGCAGGAAGTAAACGAGCCCATATGGTGGTGCCAAGTGGCATCTAGTCCACAGCAATAGCAAAAGATAAGCCAATCATAAAAAAGAAAAAACTCAAGAAGTACAACACCTAGTAGAAACAGCCAGGAATAAGGAGAAAAAATAATCAATGAATTTGATGTACCCTGGGAGTATTTTCTTCTTTTAATTGAAAATAACATGTCATCTTATGCCTTCATTAAAATTGATGACCATTCATGAAAGTGGTGACCCTCGACCACCACTGTCCCCACATCTGGAGCAATATTATCTTCACTAAAATTCATGCATATTGCAATCTAGATGGTACGGGTTCTTTTGTTTGTTTTCTTAGTTCCCTGCAATCTCTCCCTTCATTTTTATTTCCCTATCATTGACTGAATTCTTTGATATGTTGCTCTTCTGAGTCTCACCATTATAACACCCATCCTAAATACCTGCTTTTTGGAGGAGCCCCACGCTCTTTCCAATTATTGAAATATTTTCCTAGCAACTTCATTTAAAGAACCTCTTCAGATTTACTCATTAGGGTAATTGTGACTGCTGAGGTAAACCACTGTGTTATCTTAAGAGGTGAATGTAGTCACTGGTTGAATTGAATAATTCTAGTAAAATATATAACAAGAAGAAACAGCCTACTAAGACAAGTTCTATTTAATTTTGGCCAGAGTGAGTGCTGTGAGACTTCCAGAAGGAACTCTAACTGACATACACTGTAAAGAGATGCTGAGAAGTCAGATGTTATAACAGGAGTTTTCTTTGCATGAGCATTTAATGAGTCTTTTAGGAAAACTTTTGAAGAATCATATCAGGAATGTGGAGTGAGTCTCTCGACATTCTCTCCCAAATGAAACTTGGTGCACACATCTCTTTCCAGTATTCAGAAATGTGCCCTTAAAGTGCATCCTGAGGAAGAAAAGAGATGAAGGGTCTCGACACTGGACTGAGAGATGGATTGATAATAACAAGATAAAACACTGTTTCTTTGAAACAATTTATGGTAGCAATTTAGTGTTCTCTGCCATGTTGACATACATATTAAAAATGTAGCCAGTAAGGTAGACTCAAAAGTGAGAGACTAAACTTAATATATTATTTGTAACCTTGGAGCATCCATAAGAAAAGAGAGAAGGGCGTCTACAGCCATACCACCCTGAATGCGCCCTATCTCGTCTGATCTCGGAAGCTAAGCAGGGTCAGGCCTGGTTAGTACTTGGATGGGAGAAAAGAGAGAAGGGCTTTGTTGAATCCTAATGAAAGGACCCAAGAAACAGAGAACACTCTTGCACTTCTGTGAGCCTTGCTGCAGTTCTGATAGAGCTACTATTAAAATGAACAACTTTAGCAGAGGCAAAGGGAGTGATGGCAGCAAAGGTAAGCATACATATTAAAAATGTAACCAGCAAGGCTGATTCAAAAGTGAGGGACCAAGATTAATATATTATTTGCAACCCTGGAGCATCCATAAGAAAAGAGAAAGAGAAGGGCTTTGTTGAATCCTAATGAAAGGACTCAAGAAGAATACTCTTGCACTTTTGTGAGCCTTGCTGCAGCTGTGATGGAGCTGGTATTAAAATGGACAACATAAGCAGAGACATAAGGAGTGATGGCAGCAAAGGTAAGCATAAAGACAAGGTGTGACTCTGGCAAGGTTTAAACCAGGAAGCAGGAATAACATTAGCAGTGACTTGGTAGGGAGACATTATAAGGCACGAGCAGTGACAACTAGTGAAACTGGTTCTGCAACAGAATCATACAAGTTGAGAAAAACAAGCCTGTACCAAGTGGATAGCACCAGCAAGGATGAGAGGTGAGCTCCATTACAAACAGGAGATAGAACTGAAACGGAAGAGTCATGGTTGCAGTGATACCATGGAGAGCTGACAGAGAGGCAAAGCACATTCATTCTCCATAACTATTTCATCTAAATTTCCTTTTTGTTCCCCTGACTGATATGGACAGTGGAAACAAGAGTTAGACTAATAAGGACAGCAGAAAACATAACCTCAGTATTTATCTTTGGTATTTAGTCAGAGCACTCCAGGTTGCCCCTGCAAAAGAACCTGAAGAATTCTTTTTTTTTTTTTTTTTTTGCAGTTGAACTTTAGCAACAGAATTGTACAAAGTAGATTCATGGATGTTTCGTTAACTGTAGAGCATTGGGCAACAGTAATTAAACATTCTGATTTTATTTTGCTAGAATATAAAAATTAGTGATATTCATACATAACTTGCAGGGGCATTCTGGGGATTAGATATGTGTGGTAATATTTAGCATAATATTTTATTCATCATAAATATTTTAAAAATTATAGTTTCTCCTCTTCCTCCCCCTTCCCTACTTTAAAATAAAGACTAGATGATGAGATTTTGGTTAACAGGGAGTACATGATAGAAAGAATATTTGACTTGGTGATTTGGTTTCTGGAACTGATTCTGTTATTAAACAAATCAAGAATAATTACAGATTATTCTTAGTCTACAATTAAATTTAGTACTGCTATATAAGAGACTATGAGTAACGTAACCTCTCCAGATTTCAGTAAGTCAACCAGATGAATTCTGAGGTCTTTGTTGGCACTAACACTGGGACTCTCTGTCATAGAGTAATTGTACAACAGGATTGATGTACCACCTCTGCCTATGAGAGTGGTTCAGTATGTTGTTAAGTTAGAGATGAAGAAAAGATAAATTCCTTCACCAAGCTAAAATTGCCACATATTTTACAGACATATTTAAAATATATATAAATGCAAGTATCCTGCCAGTAGTGTTAAATTCACCATCAGGTATTAGCAGTTTCAAGGTTCTATAGAGAAAATTGGTTGGCCGGTTGGAGTCAGTCATTGTCTTGAATAAGAATGGCACATACGTATAGTCAATGGGACAAAAACCACTGTGCGAGAAATACCTGGCCTTATGCTTCAGAGTTTTAACGGATTGTTGGCTGGAGTGAGAAGAAATTTATTCCTTTTACATCTCGCTGTGAAATTAGTCTAAAGCATTGTGGGAACTCACTCATTCCTTTACAACATCTGGAAAGAAGACTGAATATTGATGATCTCTTTGGACTGCTATGTTTTGTCGAGGGTGACGGTTTCTATATTCAAGGGAAAGGTTATTTGAGAATAATGAAGACATTTCACATAGCAAACCCCAATACACATTCAGATAAAAAGCTGAATTCTTGTCCTCAGGTTGTGCAATTTAATACAAAAGATAGAAGTAAAAACGTAGAGATCACTGCTGTTCTGCTGCCAATTCATCACAGAAAATATCTCTCAAGGCTGCTGGATGGTGTCATCTGCAGCACTGTCATTTGCTTAGGGAGGGGCACACAGGTTAAAGCTGACAGAAAGGTAGGCTGAGCTTTCCTATGCTGTCCTTTTTATGCCATTTTAATTCCATTGCCTGGAGTTGTGTCAACTTTTTCTTAACACTACATATTCATTTCTTACAATACATGGTTATAACAACAGTGAATACGCAGCCTCTATACTGCCATTTTCCCACTAATTAATCAGTTATGATTGACATTCAAGATACATACAAATGTAACTTTAGGACTGTTCCAAATACAAAACTGTCAGCACTCATTATTGATCTGTTGCAATTTGTGTTCAATTATGAATTCATTTAAATCTATAGCTTTATGTATTACTAAATTACTGATAAGGCCTGTGATATGGTTTAGCTCTGTGTCTCCACCCAAATCTCATCTTGAATTATAATCCCTGTGTCGAGGGAGGGACCTGTAATCCCAACATGTCAAGGGAGGGAGGTGATTGGGTCATGGGGACGGTTTTCCCCATACTGTTCTGGTGATAGTGAGTGAGTTCTCACAAGAACTGATGGTTTTATAAGTGTCTGGAAGTTCCTCCTTGTGAAAAAAGATGCCTGCTTCCCTTTTCCCCATGATCGTAAGTTTCCTGAGGCATCCCCAACCATGCAGAACTGTGAGTCAATTAAACCTCTTTCCTTTATAAATTACCCAGTCTCAGGTAGTATCTATAGCAGTGTGAGAATGGACTAATACAACTTGACTACTCTGACAAAATAGGGTCTCTTCTCTCTCTGGGCCCGATACGACCAAATATCTGAACATTATTTTCCTTTTGCTTTCATTTTCCTATAAAAGTTATGATCTCTTCAATATTGTTTTTGCTGATGATTTTCATGAACTACATTTTTACAATATTTTTCAAAATCTATCAAGACATGTAATCAAGCCCTTTAACATAAGAGGCTTAATGAACGTAAAGTTACTATTAGAAAGAAGATGTTCATGAATTCCAAGAATACAAACTTCCAGAGGTAAAATGTCACTCATTAGAATCACTGTAGAGAAGTTATTTTTGCTCTTGATTTTTGCAGATGCACTACATGGAAGCCTTAGAGTAGAGATCATGGGGCAATTGCCTACCCTGTCTCATATAAGTTTGGTCTTTATTAAAATTACACAATGTATATCAAGAAAAAGTAGAATTATATCATCTAATATACTACACAATATCCCATTGAACTGAGTAGCAGTGATATTTATTAATTTATTTAACAAAGATGCATTTAGTACCAACTATGAACATGATTCTGCTTGTGCGTAGCCTGTTGCCTTGTTATACTATAAAATTTCTAAAATAATAACCTGAGATCTGCTTTTAGGATCCCAGCTGCATCCTCATAAACTGATACAAGAAATTGAGTAAAACCGGTCAAGTGACCCAACTTTGCTTCACTTGAGAGGTGGTAGGGATTATATAAAACAGACATCATCAATTCTAAATCAGCCAGCCACATCACCATGTAATTAGCTTTCAGATTTGTAAAATTAAACATCTCAAGTGCTCCAGACCTTACTGAGTGACCAGAGTCAAAGCATTGTGATAAGGAGGTCAATGAAGGCCACCAAGTTGAGTATCTCCATTCAGACAAAAGAAAATGTCTATGAATACTGTATGTATTTCCAGTTGGTCACTCCAATCTCTACCTCTATCCCACCCTAAACCCTCTTTATCACTCCTATTAAAGCAAGAGGGGGCACTAATCTTAAACAGACAGTGTGTGCTCCCAGTGCATTCTCTCCTTCATCACTCATCACGTCTCTGCCCTTATTCAGGCCATAAATGCACTTTCTGACCCTAAAAGGTTCACAACCCCCCCAAAATATTTAAATTGAAAACATCACAATATTTAGGCTTCTATGTCCTGGAAATTCCTTTTCCCTCATTTTATTTAACTTCTCTTTACATGATACCTTCCCCTAGAAAGTAGTTTTGCATTCCAACAATGACCTTACAAGGCCCAATGGGAGGTGATATTTTTCAGGCTAAGTAGCACCATCTGGTTAACTCAAGGAAGGTGGTCACTTAGTCTGCCTTTTTACACAGCCCACTCTGGCAGAGACAGAAGTGACCCTGGGTTACAGGTAATCTCTCTTGCTCTGCTCTGATTGTTTCTGAATGTGCAGGTGCTGAAAAATCAATAAACAAATTATGTGTGTATGTATATATGTGCTCATCATTTATATATACATATATGCATTTACTTTTTAATAAAAGGAGGGTTGGAGGATGAGATTACTATATAATCAAAGTCTGTGGAACCACAATATTCATCGAAAACACAATAGTAAGTAGAAGCAATTCTTCTTTTTTTTTTTTTTTTTTGAGACGGAGTCTCGCTCTGTCACCCAGGCTGGAGTGCAGTGGTGCCATCTCGGCTCACTGCAAGCTCCGCCTCCCGGGTTCACGCCATTCTCCTGCCTCAGCCTCCCGAGTAGCTGGGACTATAGGCGCCTGCCACCACGCCCGGCTAATTTTTTGTATTTTTAGTAGAGACGGGGTTTCACCGTGTTAGCCAGGATGGTCTCGATCTCCTGACCTCGTGATCCACCCGTTTCAGCCTCCCAAAGTGCTGGGATTACAGGCATGAGCCACTGCGCCCGGCAGTAAGTAGAAGTAATTCTATTGTATCTGATACAACAGAGTCAAAAGTCTTTTTTAAATTTGTTGCTTTGAAAATTGTGACTTTTTCTATTTTGAAATGGAAATTTCATCACCTTGCTGTCAGCCATTAAGACACTAAGAAATATACAGGGAAGTGGGAGACAGAAAGAAGAAATAGAAGTTATACCTAGTTGCTTTAAACAGAGTGTGAAAATAAAAATTCATTAACATATGCTTTGACCAAAGTGAAGCAAAATAGCTGGATTTTCTGAGTCATAAACCAGAATACCAAAAATCATAGTGAGGCCAGTCTATGGGAAATAATTAAAATACAAGCAAATGATTATTTTGTGTAAGGTGCTCTGCTAAACACATAAAATGCATGATAGATTTAATCTTCACAACAATTCTGCCAGGCAAGTGTTTTCATATCTCTACTTTAGAAATAAGCAAAAGATTAATGAAGTTAGAAATCTGCCCCAAGTCACACAACTAGAAATGATAGAGTGAATTTAGAATGTAGATCTCTCCAATTCTAAAGCCCAGCACCTAAAACAGTGCAAGATATAAAGCAAGTTCTTAATAAATATTATCAGTGTTATTTAAATACTACATGGTACTGTTTTCTGCCTGGCTATAGCAGGCCATGCACATAGGTAGACCTGACTGCCACACAGCTATTGTAATTTGTGGGTTCTGCAGGCTCCATTCAAATGAATAATATACTCATTCTCAGATAAATTTTATACCCCACTCCTAGCTTATATCCCTTTAACTCAATTACTTTATTTACAGAAAAGTCCAAATCATCCTGGGGAGCATAACCCTTAAAGAAGAAGCTTTATTGAGACTATATTGAAATTAGGTGGAAGAGGAAGCAGCATAAACATTATAACAAGGTGCAGAACTTACTTTGTAGATAAATTCCAATGCTATCCCCAACCCCCACACCCACTGAGGACCAATAGTAATGACTTCAGAGTGACTTTCCCTATTTAAGAGACTAGGACAGGCTTCATAAAAATAACAGTGTTTTCGGGACTCCCATACACCTTGTTTATTCAGAAGTAAGATTACAGACAAAATGCAGTTGGTAGTTGACATAAAAGAGGCTAGGGAACTTAGGGACTGGGCAGTTGATTGAGTAGGAAAGGAAGTTATTTTCCTTCTCTCCAACTTGGGAGGTTAGCTTCTATGTAGCTAGGTAATTGTCCAGGACTAATCTAGATAAAATAATAAATGGGGCTATGACTCACATGCTTTTCTTTGCCACATAATGAAATGTTTTAATGCAATATGGCAAAAATGAACATCAACTTTAAAAGGTATAGAAAAAAAAGAGTTTATGGAGTATTGGGGTAGCTGCCTATCAGTATTACCTATAGATGCAAACTTCCTGGCTTCCTTTTCCTATAACCCCTTAGCTAAGATGATTTTGATTCTAAATTCAAGTGTGAACCTTACATCTGCATTTGCAGTTGTTAGTAATTTCCAAATTAAATAATTTGAGTCAAAGACAAATGAGAGGAGCTGTACAAATTGTCTATCAAGCTATCATTTTACATGAGAAATTCTACAATCCACTAATGTGTTGTTCTTTTCTTATTTTTCAATTCTCCGTGGTATTAAATTAAATAATACATACTCATAAAAATGCAAACAGTTTTTAACTATGAAGTGTGAAAATTCATTTAGTTCCACCCTAATACCTTTTATAATTTTCAGAGTTTTAGCCCTCAATATACTTTACAAACGCACGCAGATTATGTATGTATTTTCTGTAAAAACAGGAGTATACTGTCCATATTATTTCATAAGCTGCTTTAAGTTTTTCTTACTTTTTAATTGCAGAAAAATACATAAAACATAAACCTTACCATCTTAATCATTTTAAATGTGAAGTTCAGTAATGTTAAGTACATTGACATTGTTGGGCATCCACCTTCCAAAACTCTTTTCAACTTATGAAACTGAAACTCTATACCCATTAAAAAACAGCTTCTCATTCCCCTCTCTCCTGCCCTGGCTTCTAGCAACCATCATCCTACTTTCTCTATGAATTTGATTACTCTAAGTACCTCACACAGTACTTGATTTTTTTGTGTGGCTGGCATATTTCACTTGGCATAATATCATCAGGGTTCATCCATGTTGCAGAATTTGTCAAAATTTTGCTCCTTTTTTAAAATTGAGTAATGTCCCATTGTGTGTGTATATCCCATTTTGTTTATCCATTCATGTATCAGTGAACAGTTGGGTTACTTCCATGTTTTGGCTGTTGTTCTATAATACTTCTATGAACATGGATATATGACTATCTCTTTGAGACCCAGCTTTTCATTTCTTTAAAAATAAGAAGGAAATATACCCCAATCCAGAAGTGGGATTGCTGGGTTATATGCTAATTCAATTTACTGTTTTGTGAGGAACCACCATACTGTTTCTATAGCAGCTGTATCTATTTTACATTTCCATCAGCAATGTACAAGGGTTCCAATTTTTCCACATTAAGGCCAACACTTCATTGGGTTTTTTTTCCATTTTACTTGAAGAACTTTTTTTATTATTATACTTAAGTTCTGGGGTACATTTGCAGAACATGCAGGTTTGTTACATAGGTATACACGTGCCATGGAGGTTTGCTGCACCCATCCAGTCCTCAGTAGGTGATGTTCCCCTCCCTGTGTCCATGTGTTCTCATTGTTCAACTCCCACTTATGAGTGAGAACACGCAGTGTATGGCTTTCTGTTCTTCTGTTAGTTTGCTGAGAATGATGGTTTCTAGCTTCATCCATGTCCCTGCAAAGGACATGAACTCATCCTTTTTATGGCTGCATAGTATTCCATGGTGTATATGTGTCACATTTTCTTTATCCAGTCTATCACTGATGGGCATTTGGGTTGGTTCCAAGTCTTTGCTATTGTGAATAGTGCTGCAATAAATATACATGTTCATGTGTCTTTACAGTAGAATGATTTATAATTCTTTGGGTATATACCCATTAATGGGATTGCTGGGTCAAATGGTATTTCTGGTTCTAGATCTTTGAGGAATTGCCACACTGTCTTCCACAATGGTTGAACTAATTTGCACCCCCACCAACAGTGTAAAAGCATTCCTATTTCTCCACATCCTCTCCAGCATCTGTTGTTTCCTGACTTTTTAAGGATCGCCATTCTAACTGGCATAAGATGGTTTTTCACTGTGGTTTTGATTTGCATTTATCTAATGACCAGTGATGATGAGATTTTTTTCATGTTTGTTGGCTGCATAAATGTCTTCTTTTGAAAAGTGCCTGTTCATATCCTTCGCTCACTTTTTGATGGGGTTGTTTTTTTCTTGTAAATTTGTTTGAGTTTTTTGTAGATTCTGGATATTAGCCCTTTGTCAGATGGATAGATTGCAAAAATTTTCTCTCAATTTGTAGGTTGCCTGTTTACTCTGATGATAGTTTCTTTTGCTGTGCAGAAGCTCTTTAGTTTAATTAGATCCCATTTGTCAATTTTGGCTTTTGTTGCCATTGCTTTTGGTGTTTTAGTTATGAAGTCTTTGCCCACGCCTATGTCCTGAGTAGTATTGCCTAGGTTTTCTTCTAGGGTTTTTATGGTTTCAGGTCTTAACGTTTAAGTCTTTAATCCATCTTGAGTTAATTTTTGAATAAGGTGTAAGGAAGGGGTCTAGTTTCAGTTTTCTGCATATGGCTAGTCGGTTTTCCCAACACCATTTATTAAATAGGAAATCTTTCCCCATTGCTTGTTTTTGTCAGGTTTGTCAAAGATCAGATGGTTGTAGATGTGTGGTGTTATTTCTGAGGCCTCTGTTCTGTTCCATTGGTCTATATATCTGTTTTGGTACCAATAACATGCTGTTTTGGTTACTGTAGCCTTGTAGTATAGTTTGAAGTAAGGTAGCACGATGCCGCCAGCGTTTTTCTTTTTGCTTAGGATTGTCTTGGCTATGCAGGCTCTTTTTTTGGTTCCATATGAACCTTAAAGTAGTTTTTTCCAATTCTGTGAAGAAAGTCATTGGTAGCTTGATGGGGATGGCATTGAATCTATAAATTACTTTGGGTGGTATGCCCATTTTCACAATATTGATTCTTCCTATCCATAAGCATGGAATGCTTTTCCATTTATTTGTGTCTTCTCTTATTTCCTTGAGCAGTAGTTTGTCGTTCTCCTTGAAGAGGTCCTTCACATCCCTTATAAGTTGGATTCCTAGGTATTTTATTCTCTTTGTAGCAATTGTGAATGTGAGTTCACTCATGATTTGGCTCTCTGTCTGTTATTGGTGTATAGGAATGCTGTGACTTTTGCACTGTGACATATTATAGTATGTCATTTTGGTTTTGTTTTGCATTCCCTAAAGATCAATGATATTGAGCACTTTCTCAGGTGCTTATTGGTCATTTGCATATCTCCTTTGGAGAAATGTCTATTCAATCTCATTTTTGAATTGAGTTTTTATTGTTGTTGAGTTTTAGGAATGCTCTCTACATCCTGGATGTTTCTCTTACCAGATACATAATTTGTAAATGTTTTCTTTCATTCTGTATGTTGCTTTTTTTATTTCATCGACAGTTTCCTTTCATGCACAAAAGGTTTTGTTTTGTTTTGTTTTGTTTATTTTTTTGAGGTGATATCCCATTCTGTCACTCAGGCTGGAGTGCAGTGGCCCAATCTTGGCCCACTGCAACCTCCGCCACCCCAGTTCAAGTGATACTGGTGCCTCAGCCTCCTTAGTAGCTATAATTACAGGCTCTTACCACCATGCCAGGCTAATTTTTGTATTTTTTGTAAAAATGGGGTTTCACCATATTGGCCAGACTGGTCTCAAACTCCTGGCCTCAAGTGATCCCCCCACCTCTCCCTCCCAAAGTGCTGCTATTACAGGCGTGAGACACCTCACCTGGCCAAAAGTTTTTAATTTTGATGAAGTTCAGTCTGTCTATTTTTATTTAGTTGCCTGTACCTTTGGTATCACATAAGATAATCCACTTTAATCTACTTTTCAATATTAGATATAATTTCTGGTCACTACATATAGATAGGTATCACTGTTTTTAATTGCTATGTGGGGTTCAACAATATGCATGTATGATAACTATGTATTCCTTTATCAATGAACATTTGTGTTATTTCTAAAATTTTATTATTATAAAATCTGCTGTAATAAATATCATTGTCATATATTTTTTCATATGTGTAAGTTTTTCTATATACTGTTATTAGAAAGAGTATCAATACTTTAAAGGGAAGGTACACTTTGTTATTTGGATATATCCTACTAAATTGCCCTTAAGATTATACTATTTATAATGTAACATTTCCTGCATCCCCCTGACTACAATAATTACTATCTCTCATTCTAAATTTTTAATGAAATGGGTCAGAAATGACATATTATTATTGCCTTAATTTGAATTATCATGTATTTTAATGTGTTAATACAATTTTATTGCTATTACTTCAAGGTATTATTCATTTGCTTTTAGCCCATTTGTTGTTTTTATTATGTTTTACCTTAAAAATTTGTAGATTCTTCTTTGTTATAGATATTTCTTTTGTATTTTTTTAAATTTTCTTCAAATTATGGTGCTATTGTTTAAACTTTTAATGAAAAAAATGTTATGTTTCTTAACCTTGTTTTGCCATAGTATTTGTTAATGCTTTTATACTCAGACAAGTAAATATTTTATTTTGTTTCGGAGTATTGTTTATGACTTTGGAAAACTTTTCATATCTCCAAGTTTATAAAAATATTTTCTTACATTTTTATTCTACCATATGCTAATGATCACACCTACCAAGCCTAGTAAAATGTAAGAAGCAATACATGAGAATGTGAATACCAGGAGGCAGAGATCACGGGGGTCTATTTGAAAGGCTGGTTACCACAGCCTATAAACAAAGTCTTGGGCCATATGATAACTTTGCTAGTAATGTAGGCATTTAATGTTATATCCCCATGGACATCCTGAAAGCAGTAATTTTCTAGAAAACCAATTATTTAAGCAGGTATTATCCACTAGTTTTGTAAACACATACAGATATACAAACATAACATATATTTGATTTGATAGAAAACAAATTTTTTTGAGCTTAAGAAGCCACTGATTTTAAATTACACCACTATAATAAAGAAAAACAAAAGGGAAAGAGAAAGAAAAAAGAAAAGTTACAAATTATAGAGAAAAGAAACAAAAAGTTACAAATTATAATTTAAAGACACATCAAATTTAAGGTCGGATGTTTAATCAACATCTTAATGCTTTATTTTAAAATGTCCACATTGAGATTTATGAGATATAATAGGTTATCTGTTAAAAAACTAGTTTCATCCACAGAACTTTCAATCACTCTAAAATATGCATAATTACCTTAAAGTAAATTGATTAAATTCTCCAGTGGAAAAAAAATAGAGTGACTGAATGGATTTTTAAAAATCCAACTAAATTCTGCCTTTAAGGGACTCACTTCCCCTTTGAGAACACACGTAGACTAAAAATAAAGGGATAAAAAAAAGATATTACATGTAAATGGAAACCAAAAGAGAATATAAGTAGCTATACTTATTGTTGTAGTACATTTTGGCTGGTATAATAAAATACCATAAGTAGGGAAGCTTTTAAGTAACAGAAACTAATTTCTCACAGTTCTGTAGGCTAGGAAGTCCAAGATCAAAACACTAGCAGATTTAGTGTCCGGTGAGGGACCATTTTCTGTTTCATGAATAATATCTTCTAGTTGTGTCCTCACAACCAGAAATCATTTTCCTCACAACAGAAACTATTTTCTGTCTCATGAATGATACCTTCTAGTTGCGTCCTCATAAAGGGGTGAACAAGCTCTTTGGGGTCTATTTAATAAGGGCAATAATTATATTCATGAGAGATTTGTTCCCATGACCTAATCACTTTCAAGTGGCCCAACATCCTAATACCATCATCTTGGGGGTAGAATTTCAACACATGAATTTTGGGGGGAACATCAGCATTTAAATCATAGCCTTTGTATTAGACAAAATAGACTCTAAGTCAAAAACTGTAAAAAGAGACAAAGAAGGTCATTATATAATAATAAATGAGTCAGCTCATTAAAAGAATACAACAATTGTTAACTATATATGCACCCAACACTGGAGCACCTATAAATGAGAAGTAAATATTAAAAGTTCTGAAGGCAGAAATAGAGAATGATACAATAGTAGTAAGGGACTTCTATATGCCACATTCAACAATTTGTAGATTATCAAGATGTAAATCAATAAGAAAACTTTGGACATGGGTTTCACTTTAGACCAAATGGACCTAACAGACAAATACAAAGAATTCCATCCAACAGCACCAGAATACACATTCTTCTCAAGCACACATGGAACATTCTCCAGGATAGATCATGTGTTAGCCTACAAAACAAGTTTTAACAAATTTAAGAAGATTAAGATCATAGTAAGTTTATTTTCTGACTATAAGTTTATGAAACCAAACCAATAACAGAAGGAAGATGAGTATGTTCGCAAATAAGTGAACATTTAATACCATACTCCTAAACAACCAATGGGTCGATGAAGATATCAAAAAGGAAATGGAAAAATAATTTGAAACAAAAGAGGAAATATAAGGTACCAACATTTATGGGATGCAGCAAAAGTAATTCTAAAGGGGATGCTTCGAGCCATAAAGGCCTATATAAAGAAAATTAAAAGTCTCAAAAAAAAACCCTAACTTTACATGTTAAGGACCCACAAAAATAAAATAAGCCCAAAGTTAGTAGAAGGAAGAAAATAACAAATACCAGAGCAGAAATAAAATAAGATTTTTTTTTAAATAGAAAAAAATAAACTGAGTTGGATTTTTGAAAAAATAAAATCAACAAACAGGTAGACTAAGAAAAAAGGAGAGAAAGGAGAGAAAGAGGGGACATTACAATTGATATCACAGAATCTAACTGATATGCAAAGAATCTAATATGGTTTGGCTCCGTATCACCACCCAAATCTCATCTTGTAACTCCCACAATTCCCATGTGTTGTGGGAGGAACCTGATAGGAGTTGATTGAATCATGGGGGTAGGTCTTTTCTATGCTGTTCTCGTGATAGCGAGTCAGTCTCCTGAGATCTGATAGTTTTAAAACAGGAGTATCCCCGCACAAACTCTATTCTCTTGTCTGCCATCATGTGAGACATGCCTTTCACCTTCCACCATGATTGTGAGGCCTCCTAGCCACATGGAACTGCAAGTCCAATAAACCTCTTTATTTTGTAAATTGCCCAGTCTCTGGTATGTCTTTATCAGCAGCATGAAAACAGACTAATACAGAATCTTAAGACACTACTATGAACAACTGTACACCAAAAATTGGATATCCTAGATGAAATGGGTAAATTACTAAAAAAAAAAAAAAAAAAAAAAAAAAAAAAAAAAAAACCATGACGTGTGTTTACCTATGTAACAAAACTTTACATGTACCCCAAAACCTAAAATACAAGTATAAAAAATTAAAAAAAATTAGTAATCAAAAACCTCCCTCAAAGAAAAGACCAGGAACAAATGGCTTCATTGGTAAATTGAACATCCTAACATTTAAGGAAGAATAAAGGCCAATATTTCTCAAACTCTTTCAAAAAATTAAAAAGGTGAGAATACTTCCAAACTCACTCTTCGGGCCAGCATTACCCAGACACTAAAGCAAGACACAGATACTACAAGAAAAGGAAATTATATGCCAATATGTGATGAATGTAGATGCAAAATTCCTCAATAAAATACTAGCAAACTGAATTCACCATCACATTAAAAGCATCATACACCAGGATCAAATTCCTGGAATACAGGACTGTTTCAACATATGCAAATCTCAAATATATACAGAACACTAAAATAATAAATAATAAAATGATCACAATAGATGCAGAAAAAGCATTTGACAAAATTTGCTATCCTTTATGATAAAAATTGAATAAATAAAATAGAGAAGGGATGTATCTCAACACAATAAAGGCCACATATCACACGCCCACAATTAACATCATACTCAATTATAAAGAGATGAAAATTTTTTAAGATTAGGAACAAAATAAAGAGGCCCACTCTCACCACTCTTATTCAACATAGTACTTGAGGTCCTAATCAAAGCAATTCGTGATAGCAGCAGGAGGCAGACCAATTCTTAGGAGGAATGGTTGGGTCCCCTGTGAAACCCGACCTTCAAGCCAAAGACAGCCTGGAGCCTAAAAACCAGGCTACCAGTTCCAAGTAGGATTGGCAACCTGGAGTAAAAACTTTCTTGATGCCTTTCAGCCAATCAAATGGTGTTTTTCCAGGCCTGCCCACGGACCAACCGGCATATACTTCCTCCATTTGTGAGCCCATGAAAACTCCAGGCTCAGCCACACGTCAGGATTACCCACCTGCGGGTAGGGGCAACTCACTCCAGTCTCCTCTCTGCTGAGAACTTCTCCACTTTGCTCACCCTCCAGCTGTCTGTGTAACCCCTTTCTTCTGGATGTCACACAAGAAGTCAGGACCTGCTGAATGGCGGGCGTGAGAAGAGCTGTAATATTTTCCTGGCTGCCTCACCCAGCTGCGGACAGGAGCGAAACGGGCTGTAACACGTTCCTGGCCAGCTCCCCGAGCTGCGGGAGGTGACGTGCTCCTGTTCGTTGGACTGAGGGAGGGAAGAGCCGCGACCCTTCTGGAAGGCAAGACCCTGGGACTTCCTGGGTCAGAGCTGTAACACTATAGACCTTCCATCGTCTCCTGGTGTCCGGCAGCTGCCCCATGTGACCGGAAGTGGCGGCAGGGCTGAGCCAGCCCGGAAGCAGCCCTCCAGAGCGAGGTGGCGGCAGTAAACTAGCTGAAACATGTAATCCCCCACCCATGGCTCGCTGAGCTGTGCGCGGCAGGCGTGAGAGAACTCTAGCACATCCCCCCACCACTTGGGGCTCCATTGTTGCTGGTGTCTCGAGTTTTGGGGCGTCACCGTGTTCCCCTCGTCCCGATGTCGGCGTCTGCATCAAAAGCTGCTTGTGGTATGCCTAGTCCAGCGGCAGCCTCAAACAGAGCCAGTGCCTACGTCAGTGCCTGGAGCTTCCTGCCCTGCCACAGCAGCCAGTGTGTTTAGCTGTGCACAGTGGCCTGACCCTGCGCTCGCTCACTCACACACCGCTCGCTGCTCTGCACCTGGCTCGCCCTTAGGGAGCGTATGATCCAGGCCAGTAGCATGAGCATAGCCTGCTGGGCCGAGCATAGCCTGCTGAGCCAAGTGAGCAGAACGAGCCCAGTGGGCACAAGCAAACTCAAGTAGAGGCACTGCCGGCCACAGTTGTTTCAGGCTGGCGAAGCGACACCCAAAGGATCCTGTGATATTAGACAAGCAAAGTAAATAAAAAGCAGCTAAGTAGAAAAAGAAAAGTTAAATTGTCTCTGCGGGTGACATGATCTTTTACATCAAAAACTCTCAATATTCCACAAAAAAACCTGTTAGCACTAGTAAACTAATTCAGTAAAGTTGCAGGATACAAAATGAACATACAAAAATCAGTTGTGTTTTGAGGCACTAACAAGCTATCTAAAAATCTGTCCAATTTACAATAACATCAAAAAGGATAAAATATTAAAGAAAAAAATCAAGGAGGGTAGAAGATTTGAAAACTGAAAACTATAAAGCATTCATGAAAGAAATTGAAGAAGATATGAATAAATAGAAATATATTCTGTGTCAATAAATAGAAAATATCACAAATTTAAAATGTTCACGCTACATAAAGTGATCTACAGATTCAATTCAATCCCTATCAAAATTTCAATGATATTTTCATAGAAATAAAAGAAAAATTCTAAAATGTGTATGGCTCCACAAAAGACCTCAAATAGCTAAAGCAATTTTGAGAAAAAAAGATCAAAACTGGAGGCATCACACCTCTTCATTTAAAATTATATTACAAGCATAGTAATCAAAACAGTTTGGTTCTGGCATAAAAATATACTTATAGACCAATGGAACAGAGCCTAGAAATACATTCATGAATACATAGTCAACTCATCTTCAACAAAGTCACCAAGGATACACAATGAAGAAAGGATACTCTTTTCGACAAACAGTATTTACAAATACAGATGTCCACACACACCAAAAAAATGAAACTGGATCTTTATTTTACATCATACACAAAAGTTAACTCACAATGGGTTAAAGATGTAAGTGTATTACCTAAAACTCTAAAACTCCTTGAAGAAAACATATAGAAGAAGCCCCAGGACATTGGTCTTGATGGTAATTTTCTGGATATGACACCAAAAGCACAGTCACCAAAAGCAAAAATAAATAAAGAAGTAGGATTACATAAAATTTTCTGAATAGCAATAAAATAAAATTAAAATTAAGAAAGGCAACCCAATAAATAGATGAAAATATTTGCAAAGCATTCATCTGATAAGAAATTAATATCCAAAACATGTAGGAAACTCATACGACTCAGTAGCAAAAAACAAAACAAAACAAAAAACTACAAATGACAGAACAGCATGCACAAAGAAAGAGAGGTGTGATTAAGAATCTCGTGTTCTTACCCTACCTGTATTTCACAGTGGCTGAAGCTGAAGTGTCGGATTTACAGATGGATGAGATAAAATAAGATTTTTTTTTTTTTTCAGACGGAGTCTCTCTCTGTCACCAGGCCAGAGTGCAGTGGCATGATCTTGGCTCACTGCAACCTCCACCTCCCAGGTTCAAGTGATTCTCCTGCCTCAGCCTCCCGAGTAGCTGGAACTAGAGGCATGTGCCACCACCCCCAGCTAATTTTTGTATTTTTAGTAGAGACAGAGTTTCACCATGTTGGCTAGGATGGTCTCAATCTCTTGACCTCCTGATCTACCTGCCTTGTCCTCTCAACGTGCTGGGATTACAGGTGTGAGCCACTGAGCCCGGCCAATAAAATGAGAGTTCAAAACTGAATTGCTTGATTTGCTATGCTATGCAATCTTGACTATTAATTATGTAGGTGATTGAGGGAAAAAAATTATTTTTAACACATGGCAATGACATCTTGAGTTTTGTTTAAGAAAATATCTCTGATGCCAAAAAAGAGAATTAAATGAAAGAAAATTAGACTAGGTATAGATTAGTTAAAGCAAACACACAACACACCCAGGCAAATAAATATATGTGTTTTCAAACATCTGTCTTTAATTTCCTTTAAAATTTTACACCTGGACTTCAGAATCTTATTTATAAGAAACAACTCAAGCCCATCCTGTGTAGACATTTATATATTCAATGATATAAAGATTTTTTTAATTCAGAGCTTTATGAGGATGATATAATTCTGTAAAATTAATAAGCCTACTTTTTGTTTCTAGAAACATGTCAAGCAATATGTTCTCAAAAATAGTGAAACAAAACATCTACAAAAGCTGGACAAATTTTTTAATTGGTTTTTTCTTTTAAATTTCAAATTTTATCTCAGATACAAGGGTATACATGCAGGTTTGTTATATGGGCATATTGCACCCATGTGAGCATACTACCCAATAGGTAGTTAGAAAATCCTATTTTTTTAAAAGTCAAAGATGGTTCTACTAAACTGAAAGATAAGTCTCCAGGTGTCAATACATTCCATAAAAGTTAAAGAAAGAGAAGTTCCTGGACAAAAGCCTCTTAATTTGACCCCAAATTAATGTGTACCCTTGTGGGTTCCCTCTATTCCTAGTGACCACACAGGGGATAGCAGAGTATGGAATGTGCAAAATGAGGGTTTGTAGGTTCTCTATTGGTGGGTTCCCTCTATTCCTAGTGACCACACAAGGGATAGTAGAGCATGTAACATGCAAAATGAGGGTGTGGAGGATCACATATCATAGCGAGAATAGATTACCATCATTTTGTCCATAAGCGAAGAGAGGCAACTGTGTGAACTGATCATCCTATATGATGTGGTCTGGCTCTGTGTCTCCACCCAAATCTCATCTTGAATGAGAATCTGAATTTTGATCCCCACATGTTCGGGGAGGGACCTTGTGGGAGGTGATTAGAGCATGGGGGTGGTGAGTGAGTTCTCATGAGATCTGATAGTTCCATAAGGGGCTTTTCCAACCTTCCCTCTGCACTACTCCTTCCTGTTGCCATGTGAAGAAAGATGTGTGCTTTCCCTTCCACCATGATCATAAGTTTCTTGAGACCTCTCCAGCCCTGCAAAACTGTGAACCAATTTAAACATAGCACCTGATGGGTAGTGTTTCAATCTTCACCCTCCCGTCACTCTCCATCCTCAGGTAGGCTCCAGTGTCTGTTGTTCCCTTGTTTGTGTCGATATGTACTTGACATTTAGATTTCACTTATAAGTGAGAACATGTGGTATTTGGCTTTCTGTTCTTGTGTTATTTCAGTCAGGATTATAGCCTCCAGCTCCATCCATGTTGCTGCAAAGGACATAATCTAGTTCTTTTTTATAGCTGCATAGTATTCCATGGTATATATGTATCATATTTTCTTTATCTAGTCTACCATTGATAGGCATCTAGGTTGATTCCATGTCTTTGCCATTGTGAATAGTGCTGCAATAAACATACACGTGCATGGGTCTTTATGGTAGAATCATTTGTATTTCTTTGGGTGTATACCCAATAATGGGATTGCTGAGTTGAATGGTAATTCTGTTTTAAGTTATTTAAGAAACTGCCACACTGCTTTCTACAAAAGCTGAACTAATTTACACTCCTACCAGCTGTGTATAAGCATTCCCTTTTCTCCGTAACCTCTGTAGCACTTTTACTTTTTTAACTTTTTATTAATAGCCATGGCTGGCTGTGGTAGATCACACCTATAAATCCCAGCACTTTGGGAGGCCCAGGTGGATGGATTGCTTGAGTCCAGCAGTTCCAGACCAGCCTGGGCAACATGGCTAAACCCCATCTCTACAAAAAATACAAAAATTAGCCAGACATGGTGGCACATGCCTGTAGTCCCAGCTGCAGGGGAGGCTGAGGCAGGAAAATTCTTGAGCCAGGAAGGCAGAGGTTGCAGTGAGCTGAGATGATGCCACTGCACATCAGCCTGGGTGGCATAGTGAGATCCCATCTCAAAAAAATAAAAATAATAGCCATTCTGACTAGTGTGAGATGGTATCTCATGGTGGTTTTGATTTGCATTCCCCTAGTGATTAGTGATGTTGAGTATTTTTCCAAGTGCCTGTTGGCCAAATGTATGACTTCTTTTGAAAAGTGTCAGTTCATGTCTTTTGTCCACTTTTTGTTGTTGTTGTTAATTTTCTTTTTTCTTTTTTTATTTTACTTTAAGTTCTGGGATACATGTGCAGAATGTGCAGGTTTGTTACATAGGTATACGTGTGGCCTGGTGGTTTGCTGCACCTATCAACCTGTCATCTAGGTTTTAAGCCCTGCTTGCATTAGGTATTTGTCCTAATGCTCTCCTTCCCCTTGGCCCCCACCCCCCGACAGGCCCCGGTGTGTGATGTTCCCCTACCTGTGTCCATGTGTTCTTATTGTTCAACTCCCACTTATGAGTGAGAACATGCAGTGTTTGATTTTCTGCTCCTGCGTTTAATGGGGTTTATTTTTTGCTTGTAAATTTGATCAAGTTCCTTATAGAATCTAGCTATTAAACCTTTGTTGGATGCAGAGTTTGCAAATATTTTCTCTTATTCTGTAGACTGTTTTCTCTATTGGTAGTGTCTTTTGCTATGCAGAAGATATTTAGTTTAATTAGGTCTGATTTGTCTTTTTTGTTTTCGTTGCAATTGCTTTTGGCATGCTTGTCATGAAATCTTTGGTCTTATGTCCAGAATATTTCCTAAGTTATGTTACAGGATTTCTATTATTTTTACTTTTACATGTAAGTCTTTAATCCATCTTGAGTGCATTTTTGTACTTGGTGTAATGAAATAATCCAGTTTTGACCTTCTGCATATGGCTAGCCAGTTATCCCGGCACCATTTATTGAATAGAGTGTCCTTTCCACATTGCTGTTTTCATCGACTTTGTCAAAGATCAGATAATTGTAGGCATGCAGCATTACTTCTGGGTTCTCTATTCTGTTCTATTGGCCTGTGTGTTTTGGTACCAGTACTGTGCTGTTTAGGTTACTGATGAAGAAACTCAAAGACCAGGAACTTTCCCTGGCAGATACAGAAATTGTATCTACACAACTATAATAAACAACAATGTAGTATGGGTGCAGAAACATTAACGAGACCCACAGATGTATGGGAGTTTGTTAAATGACAAAATTGGTATGCAGATTACTGGAATAAGGAGGAACTCTTCTTGAAGTGGAGCTCTAAAAATTAGAAATCCATAGAAAATTATTTCAAACTTAATTCGACCTGATCCAATTCAAGATAAATTAAGGTTTCAGTTATCAGAATAGATGTCAAATCTCATAGTAGAATATAGAAATATACATCTTTTAGACCTTGTGGTAACAAAATGTATGAGACAAGATATACAAAACACTTATAATAAAAGAAACCCTTCAGAAACATGACATTCTTTTTTTTTTTTTTTTTTTTTTTTTTTTTTTTTTTTGAGACGGAGTCTCGCTCTGTCGCCCAGGCTGGAGTGCAGTGGCGGGATCTCGGCTCACTGCAAGCTCCGCCTCCCGGGTTCACGCCATTCTCCTGCCTCAGCCTCCCAAGTAGCTGGGACTACAGGCGCCCGCCACTACGCCCGGCTAATTTTTTGTATTTTTAGTAGAGACGGGGTTTCACCATTTTAGCCGGGATGGTCTCGATCTCCTGACCTCGTGATCCGCCCGCCTCGGCCTCCCAAAGTGCTGGGATTACAGGCGTGAGCCACCGCGCCCGGCCAGAAACATGACATTCTTTAAGAACTTTTATTTAACAAATCATGCCTTAAACAGGGTGAAAATAAAAATGCAAATGAGAAAATATTCACCCTACATTGAACTGACCAAAAACTAAGGTGAAGAATGTATTAAAAACTCTGAAAAATTACTAGGAAGAACATGAAATAAATGAATAATGGACAAGAAATTTGCATGGCATTTTATATAAGAGACAAACCTATTACAAGTAAACTTTAAACAAGGTATTCAACAACACTGATGACCACAAAATGAAAAGACTGCAATGACATATCATTTATATCTCACTGAACATGCAAAAATTAAAACTTCAGGGAGAAACGGTACGAATTAAATAGATCTGCAACTTATACATTGCTGGTCTGCTGTATTTGGTACAGCCCCTTTAAAAAAACACCTTTGTTATTAACTCCTAAGGTTAAATTTTCACATACTCTATGAATCAAGAATTCAACTCTGGACATATACCCAGAGAAAGTTTTGTAATCAGAGACAGGTATAACAATGCTTATAACAGCAATAGGTATTGTAACAAAAACCTGGAAGTACAACTCGGATGCCCAGCTACAAATTTTATATGTAGCATGACATATATTTTTATACAATTAAAAGCAACTAAAATTATACATAGATATTTAAAGAGTACAAATAAATATATTAAAGCTAGTATACAGAGTACTTCCATACACACACCATCTTAATGTGCATACAGATATAATAAAACAATATTAAAAAGAAATGAAATAATAAAGAGAATTCAGGGCAATGATTTGATGATTATGTTGGTTGTGGGATGGCACAAGCTTGGGTGGGCAGGAGAAACATATGGCTACACGTAGATAATTTTTAAATTCCCAGCATTTATTTCAACAGTAGACTTATAGGTGCTTATTATGCTATTTAAAATAGTGATATATATATCTAACTAAAAAAAGAAGCAATCCATACATAGACCAATATAGAAAGTCCACCATTAACTAATGACCAATGTTAGTGATAGCCAAGAATTATGATTAATTCAATTGAATGAACCTGAAAAATCTCATCATAATAAACAAACAAAAATTAAACAGTAATAGAGAATGTGGTTGAGCTTTAGAAAAAAAATAACTCCACCGAAAATGTGAAACCCAGTTTATCCTTACATTAATTTGCCATTAAAATTTACACTGCTATAAGGATGTAACACCAACCTACGAAATTAACTTAATATGACCCAACATTTGTTACCACCACTAGGCTGCCTGGCAGAAGCAAAGAAAAATCCTGTTTGGAGGGATAAATGCTCAGACCTTTTATAATTACTCACGCAGTGCTAGAAAGCATAAGCTCAAACAAAAACAAAATTCACTATAGAAAAGGGTAGGCAGAAACAAACAAAAGAAACATGGACTTAATTTAATAAAATTATTAGACAGACTATAATTAATTATGATTCAAACCTAGAAAACAGAAAACATTTTCTAAAAAAGCAAAAGGTAAATAAAAAGTTCACATCAATTTGATTTAAAAATAGTCTTCTACACTTTATCCTCAGGAGGATGGCTATAATATTTTTTAAAATAAGACAATAAGTGTTGGTGAGGATGTGGAGAAATTGGAAACCTCATACATTGCTGGTGGAAACATAAAATAGTGTAGCTGTGGTGAGAAAACATTTTGATGTTTCCTCAAAAAGTTAAACAGAATTATGCAATTGTGGGAGCTGGAAATCTAAAGTGTTTAGAGCAGGCCACCATACTGAAAATTAAGGCAACAGTTGGTGTAGTAGTCTTTTTTGTTTGTTTTGCTTTTGTTTTGAGATAAGGTCTCACTCTGTTGCCCAGGCTGGAGTGCAGTGTTGCCATCATGGCTCACTGCAGCTTCAACTTCCTGGGTTCAGGTGATCCTCCCACCTCAGCCTCTGAAGTAGCTGGGACTACAGGTGCGTGCCACCACATCCAGATAGTTTTTTGTATTTTCTGTGAAGATGAGGTTTGGCCTTTAGGCAATCTGACCACCTCAACCTCCTACAGTACTAAGATTACAGGCATGGGCCACCATGCCCAGCTGATGTAGCAGTCTTGAATTCAATTTCTGTAAGGCAGCAGGCTGGAAACTCAGGCAGAAAGTCTGGAGGCAAAACTGCTTCTCTGAAAAACCTCAGTGTTTGCTCTTAAAGCCTTAACCTGATTGGATGAGTCCCACTCACATTATAAAAAGTAATCTGCTTTACTCAAATCCTGCTGATTTAAATGTTAACCACATTTAAAAACCACCTTCACAGAAACATCTATACGGGTGCTTGACCGAACATCTGGGCACATAGCCTAGCCATGCTGACATGTAAAATTACATCACGACCACTCTCCAGAATAAGCTTTAAGTGCCAGAATGCAGTGGCCCAATCCCTTTCCTTTGTTGCATTGATGGTAGAAGCATATTTTGAGATAGAGCCTTTTCAGTCCAAGATCCTAAACAACCTATGTTGGGTATACAGCATAAGTTTGAAACATACACCTTTGGTTATTTGGGCATATTTATTTCTATAGTATAATCTAGCCTACGCTAAGAGATATGATAGTTGGATATTATTATGAAAGAAAACAGGACAAAGTAAAATAGCTCCAGAAAGAATGTCTGAGAAGCAAGAATAATGTCTAAGAAGCAAGAGAGCCAGATATTAGTAATCATGGGTACTATAAATAAATATGAACTGTCTAACATAATAATAATAAAGATCTTGATGATGTCTAAATGTGGGATAACAAAATATCAGCGAACTAAAATATTAGAGAATAGTAACATATAATTAGCATTGGATGAAGTGCTAACAAAGATTTGTAAGTTTCTTTTTATCTTCAGGAAAATAGAAATATTAATGGGTTTAATCACTTGCATATATCTTTGTGTGTTTAAGTGTGTGTGTGTGTGTGTGTGTGTGTGATATTTTGTTCTCAAACTAAGAAAGTATGCCTAAAATGGAGGCATTATAGAAAGTGAAAAGATACCTGATCTACAACAGTGTAGTAAATCTCTCATACTAATGACTTTAGCTTGTAGCGCTAGTGAGACTTAAATTATCTAAAGTTGTCAATGCCCTGAAAACCCATCAGACTATGGCCAGGTGGATTTAGTTGAGGAATATCGGAAAGAACTATTGCATGCAAGGCCATCATTTTACTGGTGTGTGTGTGTGTGTGTGTGTGTGTGTGTGTGTGTGTATTTCTTAGATACATATATGTATGTCTAAGAAATAACACTAGATGTGAAAGACTTATCGGTTGATTTTTAAATATTTGGAGGGTATTAACCTATAAAAATGACAGAAAGTAGTATAAGTTGAACATTTCTACTAGGACTTCTAGTATTACTATAAACGAATATAAATAGAAAGTAAATTACATATCCCCCTCCTACAGAAACTCAAAATTTACTAATATATCAAAGCAGTAATGTTAAATTTTGTTCCTTACCTCAGAAAGAGTAATTATTGATTTGAGATCTACCATGAAAATGGACTTCCCTTTCATCAGTGCCACAGATGTTGTATTCCATTAAGTATAATAAATATTTCCAAGCTAAATGTAATACAGAGTTACTCCTGCTTAAATTGTTCTCGTATCTAGCTTCTTACTTAAAATATATTTAAAAGGAATGGTAAAAAATAAAAATATCTGCACAGTGGCTAAACAAAGCAGGAGATATTTTTGGTAGTAAGTCACTTCAAAATGGCCAAATGCATCCTGTTGCAACACCCATAAAGCCAGCCTGGTCTGACATGTCATTTATTGTATGTGTTGGAACAGGTTCACCACATACTCAGTAATGTGCTTTTACTAGCTTTCTTCTTAATATGGGGAGATAATTTGTGACATATTGTAGGTAATACATAGGTCATGTCCTCCTTCTAGCACGTTCTGACTCTTCAGAATTTGCCTGTGGTGTAGAAGAAATAAATAAATAAATAAATAAATAAATAAATAAATAAATAAAGTCAAACTTACCGGAAATAGAACTCAAAAATAAGAGATATGTAAAAACCTTGCCTTCTAGACTGGCCAAAATTTAAAAAGTTTTAATTGATGGGGCATGTCACACATACCAGTTAGGATTGCTAATTGGCAAAATACTTCCTTTCAGGTTGTTTAATAAATGTTTTGAAAGTTAAAAGAAAATGATCAGATACTGACTCCAAAATTCCACACAGTTATATTAAAAAGAATACAATTGAAAATGATACTAATACAAAGATGTATATCACTGTTTAAAGTTGTAAAAAATGGGACAAAATCTAAATAGCTATACATATTAAACAAATATGGTATTACATTTTCATAGAATTATTTGCCAACATAAAGATGGTAATTTATATATGTAATGTATGTATGTCATGATGTATGTGTATACATATGGTATCTATGTATATCATTTCATTTTGTAAGGCACTCATTTAAGTTTACGTATAAGCACATATACATAATATAATCACACAAATGTGTTTCATAGACTATGAAAATAGTAATAAAATATGCAGGCAGTGTGATTATATGATTATATACCATTGAACATTTTTTCATTTATTTAAATGTCTTTATTAAGTGAGAATGTACTGTTTTTGTAATAAAATAACATATTTAGGCACACTGAGTCATGTAGAGATGGTCGCTACGTCAGGCTATAGACTGTGACTTTAAATTTAAGTAAACTATTTTTGATTGTTTTCTTCTGGTGAAAAGAAGACCATGTTCAAGAGTATAAACATGTAAGCATAGAGAAATCAAGCCCAGATAAATATGATATACAAAGCTATGTTATTTTGCTTACTAAAACTGTTTCTATTTCATTCATGTTTCACATACAGTATTATTATTTCTATTATTCCAATGAGGTTTAGTTTGGTAAGGAAAGAGAAGAGGTATCAGAGACAGAAGGAGGGTAATGACAATAAAATGGTATTATTATTCAAGGTAGTTTTTTGATCTTTAATTTCATGGGTTACAAAACAAACAAACAGAACCAAAACTATGACCAAAACTATCCTACAATGGAAACTTGTCCAAGTGCATAATAAAAAAAAAATTGAATGACAGAAACATGCAAAATTATTAAACAGAAACTTATTACCAAAGAATGCAATTGAGATAAACGGAGTTAGTGATCTAATGGTTCTTTATTGTTCTTCTTAATCGTTTCAATTCTAGTAAAAAATTACCCATGAAAAAAAGCTCAAGTATTCTGAACATATAAAAATGACTAAAAGTTAATTTAGCAACTGCATTGATTAATATAGAATCTTCTTTTGTTGCACGGTCCCTTGGTCTTAGTGATATTGGATGGTTTTCCACATATATATATATTCAAAATTATATATATATATATATTCAATTATATATATATATGTTTTTTCACGAGGTTGGCGGAAATCCAGGATGGAATGCAGAATGTGGAAAAAAAATCAAATGGCATTAGAAATATAAAACAACCTCCCTGAATGAAGTTGGGTAAAGGCAGGTGACCTAAATACCTTTGGAAAAGGAATCTAAAATTAAAGACAAAAGATGCTGTATATAAGCACTATACTCCAGTTAAGAGTGCTAATGTGCACACTGAACATAAACAATTGCAAATGAATGGCAATGATAGTAGCCAGATTTCTCACTGTTGCAAAGAGAGGTTACAGATAAGCAAGAGCAGGAAGTTATAGAGGTCCAGGTGTTAATAAAGTAGAATTGGAGACATCATTATGAACTCAGCTTTAGCTTAATATCTATACAGATGGCTACATATAGAAATATGAAGAGATGCTTGCTTACACATACATTTTCTTGCTCTGTCAGCTAAAAGACCCTAGAAACATTGATACCGCAAAAGCAATGAGCACACATAGCTCCCAGATTTCAGGGTCTATTAACATTCTACAATAAAAGGAAGCAGGACTGCTTGGTAAAATAGCTGATACAAACACAGGGCAGGACATATACAAGATAAGCCTGGA
The DNA here is from genome assembly GCF_000001405.40 of Homo sapiens. Classification (NCBI taxonomy): domain Eukaryota; kingdom Metazoa; phylum Chordata; class Mammalia; order Primates; family Hominidae; genus Homo; species Homo sapiens. The sequence goes on along the minus strand of NC_000002.12, from coordinate 81,469,696 downwards.
GCATCGTGTAATGCAAAGAAGTAAGGAAGTGCTCAGAAAAACAACAAAACCAAAAACCCAAGATGATGGGAATATGTTGAAGGGAAACGGGAGCCAATAGAAAGAGCTCCCTATATAGCCAATTGCTGGAACAATTTGAACCAAAAAATAAATAAACAGTATTGTATTAAACTCCAAAGTATAAAATCAATATCTACCAGTTTATATAAATATAATAAATAATTAAAGGAATTGATAAGTGAAGAAGAAGAGATAAATCTCCTATTCAGAATTCCAAATAATTTATATATATTCTCTGCCATGAAGAAGGTAGAGCGTAACTGTGTATAATGATGTTCTTCCAAAGAGAAGAGAAGTGGGAAAAAAATAAAACAGAATAACTTTATACTTACTTTTATAACACTTTAGTTGAGTTATGAAGGTCAACATCAACAGTAATGAGTCATGTTAAAAGTAGGTACCCTTGATATAATGGGATATGGACTTTCTCCCTAAAACTCTTAAGTCTAATCATAAGAAAAAAATCAAACAATTCCCAATAGAGGATCACTTTACAAAATACCTGATCAGTACTCTCCATAATGTCAAGGTCATCATAAACAAGGTTAGTCTGAGAAACTGCCACAGCCAAGAGAAGCCTAAGGAAACATAATGACTAACTCTAATGTGGGTAAGCCAGATGGGGTCCTGGATGGTCATTAGGTAAAAACTAAAAAAAACACAAGTATGGACTTTGGTTATTATTAATATGTAAATATTAATTCATTAATTGTAACAAATAGACCAGATTAATGTAAGATGTTAATAATAGAGGAAACTGACTATAAAGTGTGTGGGAAATTTTATACTCTTCCTCCGTTTTTTTGTATATGTAAAACTTCTAAAAGTTAATTTGAAAAACTGAAAGAAATGTCTTGAACATATTAAGCACAGGAGAAAGGTGATGCTTGACACAGCTGAAAAGCTAGGTAGGGATCAGCTCACCAGGGCTTTGTAATACATGCAAAGGTGTTTGAAATTTTTTTCACAATTCAAAATGCCAATTTTTCACAATTGGTAATTTAAACCTTGTGTGAAATTTGATCTCACTCATGATTTTTTAAACAGTCTATCAGTTGTGTAGTAGAATGGATTGTAAATTGAGGATGGGTGGGATAAAGGTAAGAAAATTCAAACAGGGGCAACACTAAAGAAACAACTTTAATACAACAAGATTGAGTCAACAGTAGCTGCAAAGATTTGAATGAAAAAGCATGAATTATAAGTACATATTTAATGTAAAATAAACAGGCTTGGTTATAGAACATTGTGTTGAGCTAGAGTGAATTGTTAATAATGACAGATTTCCAGCATTTTAGCAGCAGCACATTTACAGAAATATATAAAAATGCAGGAGAAATCTTGGAAGAAAATATTTAGAATTTCATTTTGGACATGTTAAGTTTGGGAAACTTTGAACGGTGTTAGTGAAGATATCAAGCACTAATTGAATATGCTTAGGAGTCAAAATAAGAAAGAAAATTTTTGGCCGGATGTGATGGCTCATACCTGTAATCCCAGCACTTTTGGAGGCTAAGGCAAGAGGATGGCTTGAGGTCAGGAGTTCAAAACCAGCCTGGGCAAAATAGATTGTCTCTATTAAAAAAAAAAAAAAAAGGGCCTGGTGGTGCACATGCAGTCACAGCTGCTCAGGAGACTGAGGTGGGAGGATCACTTGAGCCCAGGAGGCAGAGGTTGCAGTGAGCTGAGATCACAACACTGCACTCCAGCCTGGGCAACATAGTGAGACCCTTTCTCTAAAAACAAAAAAGAGAGAGAAAATTTTGGTAGTTAAGGCATTAGAGAGGATATTCACAGACGTAAAAACTGAATGAAATGAATTAGTAACAGAAAATAGAAAGTAAAAGGATGGAAACAGAAGAAACAAACATTTGTGTACAATGAGATTTGGCGAATAAAGAGGGAGTGGCCATTTGAAACATACCAATGTGTTTCGAAAGAGGAAAAGTGCTTAACTCTGTTGTTATGAGTTCTAAAAAGATAAGGAGAAAAAAATGTTCTCTTCTATGCAGGAAGACAGTGGTCAGGTATATGTCTTAACGGTCTTGAGTTCCGTTCTGGCAGAGAGCAAGCCAAGCACGGCCAGCTGCCCTCGCCCCGGGGGCGCTTTGGACGCTGCCTGGGCCTGCAGCGAGCTGGGGACGCAGCGGGCGCGCCCTCTGCCCTGCAGACGCCCCGAGACCTAGCTGTGGCAGCCAAGGCCGGGCAGCCAGGCTTTGAAGCAGCGGCGAACCTCTCTTCCCTATTCCGCCTGGAGACCTGATGGCAGCGGCGGCCTTTCCCAGCCCTGAACCCGCTGGCCGCCGGGTCTCTCGGTCCAATCCTGTCGGGCCTAGACAAAGCCCCTGCCGAGCCGCGAGGACTCAGCGACTTTGGGTGGCGGCAGGTGTGTCGGGCCATAATAATGGCGGCCACTTGAGTGTCACGTGACAGAGCCGCTAGGGTGTGGAGGGTCCAGGAAGGCGGTCACAGACGCTGCCTCAGCTAGCTGCCTTCTCAGGTCACAGAGCCGTGCAGATCCAGGTCCTGGGTGACCACTCTGTCCCGAATGAGCAAGAGACGTACCTAGTCCTGACGACAAGGGACAACGGCCTTAACGGGCCTGGAAGGTGAGCAGAGTCCCTACAACGAGTGGAACGGTTAGCGGCACTTGCTCTATGTTCTATCGACCTTGCTGTCGGAAGAGAGAAATGGCAGAATGACATCCCCCATTTGGCCCGCTGGAAATGCCCACCATCTTTTGGGAAGATTTACTGGCTGTTTATAGAATGCCTGCCTATATAATATGAAAAAGCTGCTCTCAACTTCTCCCCCAAAACCTTTTAAAAGAAAACATTTGCCACATCCAGCCCTTCTAGAGTAAAGAGGTTGCCAACGTATGAAGTAGAGTTAGAAAATCACACACCTTGCAAATTCTCATTAGTTTAAAAAGAAGTCATAGAAAATGTCTTCTGGAGTTGACTTTTTGAAATGGAGTTATTAGACCACTTCTGGAAGCAACACGTCCACGTTTGTTCAATGGGCTAGAGGACATGGAGCAGAAGACCTGAGAAGGAAAAGAAGGTTCTGTGCTAGACTAGTCATATTTAGAAGACTTTTCATACTCTATCCATTGTTTTGTGTGCATTTTATTCTCACTACTGTATATATAGTTGACAATGCTAAAGTTTTTGTAAGGTCTAGTCTTTCTAGATGTTCTGAAGTGCCTGATATATGTTAAAATTAGAGGTAGTAAAATAATACATTTTGTAAATATATATGTATATACATAGAACAGTCTTTGCCAAATAGTGCAGGGGAGTCAGGGACTGGAGAGAATGGTTAGGTGAGGAGGTAGACACAGTAAATGTTAAAACATTTATTTCACAAGTTTGAGTGTGAAGTGGAACAGGAATTAGGGCAGTAGGTAGAAGGAGACAGGAAATAAATTTGTGACTTTTCCAGATAGAATTATTATTAGACATGTGGAGGAGAATACTAGGTTCTTTGAGAAGATGAGAGGTAATGGAAACTGAACATATGGGAATGAATAAGTCCTTCATACAAATAGAAATACTTCATTAGAATGAAGGAATGGAGAAGTGAGTGGAAAAAAGAAGACAATGACTAATGAAGAGGATGATAGTTTTAAAATAGTTTTGAGGGTAGAAGAAGAGATTTATTTTTAAATGGTTTCTATTTTCTCAATAAGGTGTGAAACATATTAACTGAAAATAAAAGCAGAAAGAGACTTTTTTAATATTAAGTTAAAAGTATGTAATAAGCATTTTGTGGAGTAAACATACTAAAAAATAATAATCAAACATCTTCCCATGTAGAGTACTCTTTTAAAGAGGTAATCATGACATTGTAGATAAGAAAACATTTGGGTGCTTGGTGTGAGACTAGAGAATGCAGATGATTTATTGATCCAAGGGTGAGGTTTTGACAGGAGAAAGTATAAAGAGTGATAGACTTAATTAACAAAATGCTGAATATAAGTATGGACCATAAAATACAAGCTAGATGAAAAGGAAAGTAGAGGCAGAAAGGGAGTGTCACTACATAAAAGGAAAGGAATTCAATGGATTGTGACAGCCAACTTTTCTTTGGGATAATTAACACTCGTCGCACAAGAAACAAATCCTCAAATTTTCATTGGCTAGTATAACAAAAGGTAATTTCTTAGGCAAGACCATCTTGAAATGTGTTAGTGAGGACTCCTTATTTCATCTAGCTAGGAGTTGATTTAGCCTTCATCCGTGTTGTCATGCTATTATTTTAATGCATGACTCCCAAAGTCGTTTAAGCAGAGGCAGCATGGGATAGAGGTTGTACAACCACTTTTCATTTGGTATACTTTAACTAGAATTAGCCACATGAATTCAGTGTGCTCCAAGGGAGTTTTGAAAGTAAACAGAAGCTCATTTCATTTGGGGAATTTGGCAAATACTTTCTCTGCCACAAAGATTGCTTTCAATGTCATAAATTAGATGAGCTGAAAATCTAGAAAACTGTAGCCAGTTTGAATTTATGATGTTGGCAATCTGCAGTGTTTGTTAACAAAATCTATGGTGTAACCTTGGGATTGTGTGGCTAAAATAGAGAGGATGAAAAGGAATTTGGAGATGACGTTGTCAATCACTGAGCATAAACAAAATTTCAATGAAGAATGCCTACAGATTTCAGCAACCAGGTGGGAAAGAGAAGGTTTTAGGTGAATGGAATGAACTTTAAGAGCTGACAGTGTTAGAAAATAGAGGGGAAGTAATAACCTAGAGTTGATTCTGATGCATGAAGATAATTCCATTCCCAGCTCCCCACCGTAAGATATATAAGGTGTGAGAAAATGTGAAGTTGGAGAGGGAATTTAATGACATCAGAAGACAGTCCAATTTCAGTTAATGTAAGACGGTTAGAAAAATGTTGGACAGGAAAAAGGTGAGAATAATGGGGAGCTTTTATATGCATACATCATCATAAGTGAAGAATTTAGGAAGAAAGGGTGTGGTAGGATCAGCAGAACTAGTAAGGTTCTGTGTGTCATTAGGTAACTGAGATTTCAGGGGATAATGAATTACCAAAAGGCCTACGGTAACTAAGGTAGAGTTACAAAAGGAAACTCTAACTGAAGTTGCAATTTTAAATACTACTCAAATGCATATGAAAGAAAGAAAGCTATATTGAAAATATAATGTGGTGAAAGTGAAATATAAACCTTATCCTGTTGATTATTTTTTTTTTGCCATTTCAACTATTTATCCCTTTCTGCCTTTCCATCTCATCTGAAAATTGCAAATAAGTAACTGATACGGTTTGGACACACCCAAATCTCATGTTCAAGTCCAATCCTCAGTGTTGGAGATGGGGCCAGATGGGAGGTAATTAAAAATGAGGGTGGTTTCTTGTGGTTCAACAACATCTCCTTTGATTCTGTCACTGTAATAGTGAGTTATCATGAGGTATGGTTGTTTAAAAGTTTGTGGCACCTCCCGTTTCTCTCTTGGTCCTGCCATATAAGATGCCTATTCCCCCACTGCCCTCCACCATGGGTAAAAGATTCCCTCCACCATGAGTAAAAGCTCTCTGAGGTCTCCCCAGAAACAGATGCTAAGGTGCTTCCTGCACAGCCTCTGGAACTGTGAGCCAATTAAGCCTCTTTTCTTTATACATGAGCCAGTCTCAGGTATTTTTTTGTAGCAATTCAAGAAGAGACTAATACAGTAACCATATAATAAATCTCCCTATATTTTTCTTAGCAATATTGCATGCTCTAACACATTATCTGTGCCTTTCTATTTAAGATTAACATTTAAAAGTAGTCAAAGCTTTTTTTTTTTAAATCATGCCACTCTTCAATTAAAAGGCCTTTTCACTGACTGAAGTAAAAATTTAGAGGAAAAGTCAATGTAATTACTTGAAGTGTATTATTTTCCTAAACTTGTTACTGTAATGTGATTCAAAAACTTCCCCCCACACACATGCATAACTATTTTTTATGCACAGCCTTAGAGAAATAAAACTTAAGAATTCTGCAGGTTCAGTTGGTATAGATGAGTATAGAAACACTTGATTGAGATACTTTCTTCCAAAAACTAATTTATCTTTGATTTTCCAAATAAATCTTTCAAACTCTTCAAATAACTTGATCCATAACTGGTTCACACACACACACCCCCAAAAATTTTGCATGATAGCTCTGTTTATTAAAGGCCAGGGAGAATGTGAGGAATAAGAATCTGTCAAAAATTTGACAGAACTTCACTTATGTTCAAATAAGCTGTTTAAGAAATGAGCTACATAAATTACAAAGCAAAATCCTAGGACACAGAAGAGCCCAAATATTTCTGAGAATGCAAAACATTAAAATCCTCTTTCATGATAGAAACTAACAAAAAAAAATTTGTGAGAAACATCCTTTATTCAAGATTAATAGAATTCCTACTCCTTACCTATGCCTACCTCCAAATTCAACATGGCCATAGATATAATTTTTACTGTTATACTTCTGCTTGAAAAATAGAGGGAAAAACAAATTTCAGTGAAATTGAAGAACAGACTTAAAACTGTGCAGCAGTGTAATGGACTATTTTTACCGATGAGATCTTTCCAATCCTGGAAATCATGCAGTTCATACGATCATCTATTGGTAAAAAATGTAGAGGTGACTCTTTCATAGGCTGGTAGACCTACGAAAGTACCAAAGTATTTAAATCAATCATTTGACCACAAATGCACAGCCAGTTCTGCTGGTTTTACTAGCCCCAAGTATCAGTTTAACTGAATAATGGGTGATTGACACTTTCTTTGATTTAGTGCCAGTAGAACGTATGTCTGAAACTCTCCCCTTTCTGCCTGAAGTTAGAAGACTACATGTTGAAAGTTTGCTTTGAGCTTGGTTCTTCTTGAACATGCAGCTTCAAATCAATGTCTGTCTGCTCATAAGTTCAACCAAACCAGGACTGCCACTGGCTGCTAAAGGGAAGAAAAGGCTCCATGAAGAATTCCAGCGTACCTCCTGCCCTGGCAGCCATTCTGCTGTTTCTATGGAAACATTCACCAGATAGCAGCATGCTATACTGTGCAAGTGAAGAAGAAGGCATCTTCCTTTCATCACCACATCTAGAGTGTGACCACTTCACAGAATGAAAGAATGTGGTGAACACAGTTCTTTATTCTGACAGATAAATCGTTCAAGAGAAAGGTGAGTTCTCTTCAGAAACTGTATAATACTGCTCTCTCTTTTTCTTCCTCACAGTTAAGCATTTTCTTCAGATTGATTTATATAAGATTATAGAAATGAGGAAGGAACATAATTCACATTTATAAAATGCCTACTATTTACCAGGTACTCTGTGGTGCATTAAGTTTAATATTTCCCCAGGAGAAAGTGGACATTTAGAATTTACATGGCTTGCTCAATGTGGCACAGCATTCAAATAAAGTCGAGATTAAAATTGGTGTAGGACTGATTGCAGAGTCCAATGTGTTTCCTGTGCCTATAGTAAGGAGATATGATGGTTTCTGGGTAACAGGCAGGCAGACAGTGGAGAAAAGGAATAGATTCAGGACCAAAAAGTGGAAGCAATAAAACAGGGTCAAGAGAAGGCATAGTAGAGTTGTGGAATGGGTTGGCAATGAGCTTGGAAGCTGATAATAATATCAGATTTGGGGTAGTAGGTTTAATCCAGGGTCTACTTAGTATTAACTCTCAAAAGTAGTAGCAGGTATGGAGTTAGGAGGATTAGGAGGGTTAGGAATCAAGATGACATTTGAAATTAATTTTATCATATATCAGGGATGTTTTAGTATTTTGGTGCCAATCATTACTTACCCTGGGGAATAAATAGAGGGATACTGATTAAAATGTAGCATTTTACTAATAGTAAGTACTTTTTGACTTAGAGAAAAGAGCCTTGGGAAAAGGTTGAATTGGCACATGGTCTCAGCATGAAGCCTAGGTAAGGCTTTCTATACATGCTGCTCTGGTTTGAATATTCCTTCCAAACTGATGTTGAAATTTAATTGCAATTGTGATGGTATTAAGAGGTGAGACTTTTAAGAGGTGGTTATGTCATGAGGGCATTTCCCTCATGAAGGATTAATGCTGTTATCACAGGAGTGGGTTAGTTATCAAGGGAGTTTGGCCTCCTTTATTCCTCTGCCTTGCATGCTCTCACTCTTTCTCACCATGTGATGCCTTCTGTCTTCCACCAGGGGCCAGATGCCAGTGACATTTTCTTGGACTTCCCAGCCTTTAGAACCATGATCCAAATAAACTTGTATTGTTTATAAATTACCCAGTCTTGGGTATTCTGTTATAGCAACACAAAAGGGATTAAGATACACACCAAGTATAAATAGTGCTATTCATATATTCAGCTTTTCTGAGAGAAAAGAGTGGTGATTTGCTAAGTCAGATAAATCACACCTTATATTGGCTGCCTCTTTGAGAGAACACACAAGTGATGCATCATACTCCTTTCTCACTATTGCTTAAAGCTTTATAGATGATCAATCTCTTATCTGGGTGCTACAGCAAGAAGTTGACCCATCATGTTGTTTGCAACCTGGATTTCTGATGCCAACTGGAAAAAGGGGGTCTCTGGGCCTCTCCTACATTTCTCCAATTTGCTTCACAGCTTTTCCTCCAAAAGAAGGCTCAGCACAGTGTTTGACACAATGATTAAACCATGAATACTGCTACTTCCTTAGATTCTGAGCTATGCAAAGAAGAAACTCCATTTCTAACGTTTCCTTCACATTTTAGTATACTGTATGTGGGAATATGACTTCTAACACCAACCCTCTTCTCTCCTTTCAGTAAATATTTAAATCTCTCTTCTCATTTATAGCATATTTACATTAGCCATTTATCCAGCTATGTTGTAAATTCCTTGAGGCCAATAACTTTATCTCTTTCATCTTTATATTCCCATATCTATCGAGGGCCTGATATGCCATAAGTGTCTTTTAATTGTTTGTGGATTGAATTGTAGCATGCATGTCACTGGATCTAATATTGTCCATTGGATTCCCATAACCAATGCTAACCTGTTTTATACATGACAACTTTTGGAATATATAAGGACACTTAAAATGTCCCCCATTTTACTGATTATTTATTTTTCGGCCCCTACATCTCATACTATTTCATCAATATTTTTTATGGCAGACTTTTGAGTTTATTCATCATGTTGATGGCATTTTTTCATGTTACTCTAAAAGTGCATGCTCTGATGAGGGAGGATAACTGGGAAGGAATGTGCCACCAATCAAATTCTTTCTCCCATGAAAGTGTTGGTCTGTAGTCTTAGGTATTAGTAGTTGTTTCCAACAAGCAGATTGAAAAGTTAAATATTTTCATGAGAAGACATGTTCTATCTCTCTCTATTTGTACTATTGAATTATTTTATTATAGATTACAACTTTTTATCCCTTAAGGTACTTTTATTCTGTTTTGGTGACTGTATTGGCCTTTCATTCCAGTTTCTAGTTTCTCAGTTCCAACTGAGAAACTGTGAAGAGCCAATTATTTCCACATGCTGATATGCATGAATTTTGTCAAGGCTAGACAATGCCAATTCTTTGATTATTCCTCATTTCCTGGCCTGATTGCAGATTCCAAGCAAGAAGGAAAGCAATCATCACCTAAGGAGTGTAGCTCAACCCATTCAGTTTTGCCTTTAAGATGTTCCATTTTCTTTCATGATCTACTTTTCTAGCCTACATGCCACTATCCCACCCACTAAGTACCCCACACTTTAGACAAAAGTGCTTTCCCTTTTCTTCTAAGGATGTACACTTCTATCCATTTAATAAGTTCTTAATTATTCACTCTAAAAAAATCGAAATATGCTTGATAAAACTGTACCCCTTGATAATATTTTCTTATTTTTGCCTATTCTCACTTGTTAGTGCTTCCAAAAGGTACATATAAACACACAGACACAGACACACAGACATACACACACACACACATACAAAAATGTGTATATGTACCTATAAAGATCCAGATCTACATATTCCAGCCAGAAGTTTGGTTATTAATGTTCTCAGAAATGTTGTCACCTGTATTGAGAATTTCTGGATGACATTATCTCATCCTTTTTTCTATTCCTGAAAGTCTGTTATTAGTTACCTAATGTTGCAAACAAAGTATCCCAATGTAGCAGCTTAAACCAACATACATTTATTATCTACAGTTTCTGTGGGTCAGGAGCCTGGGCCTGGCTTAGCTGGGTCCTTTGTTCAGGGTTTCTCCCAAGGCTGCACTTCAAGTACCTGCTGGGCTGCAATCATCTGAAGATTGAACTGGGTATCTATTTCCAAGAGCTTTAATTGTTGACCGAATTTGGTTCGTCAAGGGCTGTTGGACTAGAGAATGCCCTCAGTTCCTTGTCATATGAGCCTCTCCAACATGGCAACTTGCTTATCAAAGAGTATAAGAAGATAGTAGAGAGAGAGTCCTTTTGTAGCCTAATTATGGAATTGACTATCCATTGCTCTGGCTTCATTCTATTGGTTGAAAGTGAGTCACTTCTGCCAGCCCACACACAAAGGGACTGAATTAAATACCAAGAGATGGTTCTCGTTGTGGGCCACCTTAGAAGTCTGCCTACCATAAAGGCCTGAGGTGGAACAGTGTGTCTAGGTAACTTAATACTGTTAAATTTATGTTTGCTGAATTTAATTGAAGTATTTTTTCATGCAGATCTATTAGTGGCTTGTAATTTAAAGTGTGAAACTTTCAAGGTCATTTTCACTTTTGAAGAATATGCTTATAGATAACAAAGTCTTGAACTATAAAGATGGGGGGGATGACACACTTGTTTCATATTCACTTAATCTCATATTTGTTTACATGAATCTCTTTCTAGCCATAGTTAAATTCCTATATCTTTTTAACCTTCTTCATTCCCAATAATTTCTACCACTGCTCTAAGACAAGGGCGTAGAAACATTCTGTGGCATATTCTTTCTTGACCTATTCTGATTACACCTTAACAGGTTGAATTTCTACTGCTTTATTTGCCTTAATAAATACTGCTAAAATGGTATGAAAAATCAAATTAAATTGGAATTCAGTGATAATAGCAATATAGTATAGCACTTTCTCATTAAGGTTTCTCATCCTAATATGAACTCCCGCATCTTTTAATTTACATACAACTGCTTCCTATGCTAACCTAAAATAGACCTTGCTATAGGTATTATAAAATGTTTGGTTATTCTGTATCTGAATATCTTGAAAGTCATAAAATCATGCTTGAGTTGTAATGACCTACTTGGAATTTCCATACTCAATTGCTCACATTCACATTACTAAGCCATTTAACCTCTGCTGAAAGGTTTCTTTCTTTTCTATTTCACATTCTTGAATCAGCCCTGGTACTCAAAAAGTATTCCAAGGAGTTCTATGATGTAAACTTAAGAATTTGGCATCAAATTTAATAACCCAGCATCACAGTCTACACTGAATGGGTTCTGTTTTAATTCTCATATTTTTCATTACATTTCTTTTCTTTTTTTTCCTTCACTTGTCCTGTGAATTCCTGCCTTATACTTAGTCATTTGAAATTCCACTCCTGAAGCTCAACTCCCTCAATGGTGGAAATTCTACCACTGGATTCCAGTTTTCTCATTTCTTAGTTCCCAACACCCAATTTCCCTCTCACTTTTGAATATCCTTTTTACTGCACAAGTACCAAATTTTCTTGGCTAGACTGGTACTCTAAATATAACAGCGTATTTTTATCTGGGATGATTAATTGAATTATAAGTTGGAAGTTCATATTTCACCTCAATTTTTTTAGTGCATATTGTATTCCTTCAAACCAATAGAATCTTTTGATTCCAATTTCAGTTCTCTGACTTTAGAATATACAGTCATGTGTCTGTTAATAAATGCATCCTGAGAAATATGTGAAGAGGCAATTTCATCATCATGCAAACATCATAGAGTGTACTTACACAAATCCAGACGGTATAGCCTACTACACACCTAGGCTATATGGTATAGCCTATTGCTCCTATGGTATAAATCTGTATGGGCTGCTACTGTCCTGAATACTATATTCAATTGTTATACCATGACATTAGTGTTTCTAAACATTAAAAAAGGTACAGTAAAAAATATGGTATAAAAGATAAAAAATGGTACACCAGTATAGGGCACTTACCATGAATGGAGCATGCAGGGCTGGAAGTTGGTCTGAGTGAGTCAGTGAATAATTGGTGAGTGAATGTGAAGGTCTAGGACATTACTGTATACTATTGTAGACTTTATAAACACTGAACACTTAGATGACACTAAATTTATTTTTTAAAATTATTTCTTGGGTTATAAATTAACCTTAGCTTATTGTAATATTTTTACCTTGTACACTTTTTTAAAAAACCATTAGACTTTTTAATAGTAACACTTAGCTTAAAACACAAACACATTGCACAGCTACACAAAAATATTTTCTTTCTTCATGTCCTTATTCTATAAACTTTTTCTACCTTTTTTTTAATTTTTTTTTTTACTTTTTAAACTTTCTTTGTTAGAAACTAAGATACAAACACACACGTTAGCCTAAGTCTGCACAGGGTCAGGATCATCAATATCATTATCTTCCAGCTCTACTTCCTGTCCAACTAGAAGGTCTTCAGAGGCAATAACATAAATGGATCTTTGATGTAAAACAGTGACTTCTTCTGGAATACTTCCTGAAGGACCTGCCTGAGACTGTTTTACCTTTCCTTATATAAAAGTAGAAAGATTACACTCTAAAAAACAGTTTAAAGTGTAGTATATAAATACATAAACCAGTAACATAGTTGCTTATTTCATTATCAAGTATTATATACTGTACACAATTGTATGTGCCGCACTTTTATGTGATTGGCAGTGCAATAGGTTGTTTACACCAGCATCACCACAAAGTCATGAGTAATGTGTTGTGCTACTACATCAAAGTGGCTGTGATGTCACCAGGCAATAGGAGTTTTTGACCTTCATTATAATCTTATAAGACCACTGTCATATATGCAGTCCATCAGTGACCAAAATGTCAGTCTGTGGTGCATGGATAGACCTTATTATCAAGTTTTAAACTTTTTTTTTCATCTTCTGCCTGTTCAAACTTCAGCTGGCAGCCAACAATGAAAACCTAGTTCATAAGACTCAGACTTTTGTCCTTAGACAATGAGAACCCAGTCTAGCATTATATCAGTTGATGGAGTTAGGTATTAAGTGCACACTGAAGCCTAGTTATAGACTCGGAGTTGATCACACCTTTGGACAGTGTATTTATTACTTAGAGACTGTGTTCTGCTTCATAACATGGATAAATCAAATAACAGCAATTAATTAGAATTTATTTTATTTTTGTATTACTCTAAATCCCCATATAAGTGATAACTGACATTAATTCAGTGACTCAAGGGAGTCAGGGCTGAAGTTTTATAGTTTCCTGGGTTTTCTGTCATTTTGTCAAGATGATTGCTTCTGCTCTAGTCATCATAGGAGGAAGAAAAGGCTAAATTTCAGAAGTGTTTGCCCAATATCTGTTCCTCCATTTCTTCTTTATTAAGAGACCTCTGATTTTGGGGATGGGGGGTAGAAATGTGCCCAATTTAAAAGTAAACAGACAAGCAAATAAACAAGGAAATTAAACAAAAAGAAATATAGCTCAGTATTTTCTAGGCTCTCTTGCAGCTGGTTTTCTTGCTGGAATAGTTTGGCACATGAGGGATCTGCAGAAGTCACTGGGTAGGATTTGGGAGAAATTTCTTAGAAAGGATATTGATTCAATTAACACATGTCCTTTTCTTATTATTTTTCTTTTTTTCTGCCAGAAGCATTGATATAAAATTTGAATCACAGGCAAAGATTACAGCTGGCTCCTATATCTTAGTAGAGCTTTACTGGTTGCTTTTGCCCAGAACCCATTTTGACTGGCCAGGTATCCATTCCGATTAGTTCTATGTCCATGCCACACTGGTGGTTTCAAATGTTGAATGTCACTGCTGATATTCCCCGCTTTTGTATACCTAAGTCATTACATAATCCTATGTTATCTATTTCCCAAATATTTTGTTACCTGAGTAAAAGATAAACCTCTTATCTTGTTATCTGAGTAAAAGATAAACCTCTTATCTTGTTATCTGAGTAAAAGATAAACCTCTTATCTTGTTGAAGTCTCTGGTGTTTTCATTTCTATTACATGCAGCTGAATGCAAATGTTAAGAGAGGTAGCTACTTGAACATTGACTTGCAGCCTCTTTACTGAACTCTCTTTGTGTATGCACAATCTGTTTAGTATACCTACTGCCTGAAATACTTACATTCAAAACACCCTCTGAGACTAGAGTCTGACCTTGAATCTTAGCTGAGTCATCTACTAACCCTGAAACCACTGTCAAATTCTAAAGAAATATTTCCATTGATCTCTACATTTTACCTAAATCCCTTCCAGTCACAAGCAAGTTCTTACATCAGTTTACATATTTGACTTTGCTGTTTTCCTAATATCAATTTTTTTTCCTGCCCTAGAGTTTCTTCCAGTAAATTTCTACCACCTCCTGGTTCAGATACTTTGTACACTGAAAATAAATGACATTTTAGTAATCTGCTAATGAAACACCTTATTTATAAAATTTTCATGTTTGACCCGTAGTTAACATACCTATAATCAGAAAAACATGCCTTTGCCATTCATAAATAATGTTCTTTCAAATATTTTGTGTTTTTTTCTCGTGGTATTATCAGTTATTCTGTTGCAGAGCTGTGATGTAGCTTGTGAAGTTTTTACTATCTCTCTTATACAAAGAATAAAAAAATTGAAATATAGATTAGTTAGGCAACTTGTCAAATATAGCTCGATTAACCAATGGCAGAGCTAAATTAAAATCATGGCAAATACCCAATAAACTAATGTATGCTTGTATTGAGGCATTTTATACAATACAAAGATTGGTAACTGTAAGACTGTAAGCAATTCTTAATAGTAGTTGTAAAGTCATTTATAATATCTCTGAGTCTTAATTTCCTGTTATTCTAAAATAAGTGGATGAAATAAGGCATACTATTTTTCTTCCTGACTCAATTAAAATGTATTTTTCAGTTCATATGGCAGATATGTAGCAAATTCCTAATGACAATTCCTTGCATAAAAAATAAATCTTATATACTTAAAGAATATATATTTTAATACAATCTGTTTTTATAATAAGACCCTTCCAAAATGTGATTTGACCATGATGTTAACTATGGAGTATTTGACGTAGTCATCTCCACAGTGGAAGATTTTGCCATCACTATCCACCAGTTTGCTGTGCCAAAACCTGAGAGTTATCTTCACTCCTTTCCACTCACTCACTCCCATTACCAGTAAACCTAGTGCTTTTTATTAAATATTGCTCCAGATAATTTCTCACTATGCTCTCACTGCTTCCACTGTTATGAGCCTCATTAGACGGAGCCAAGACAAGTATCCTCTAAATACTTTTTCACCTCAAGTCTCTTCTTCCAGGCTTTTCTCCACTCAGCAAGATGCATTATTTTACTTAAATACAAAGAAATGCCTTCTCCATTGCTTAAAGTACTCCAGTGGGACACTTCACTACCAAAGGACATTTGTGCACTTTCTGTTATCTAAATAAGCTGTCTTCTCCTCATCTCTCCATCTGTTTCTCCAATGTTTTACCTTTAAACTTTAACCTCGAGTCATAACTAAATATGTGTACCTCTCCATATACAGCACATTTTTTCCTTTCCTATTTTCTTTAAAATTTTCTCTCCTCCTGCTTCTGCTCCTCTTCCTCCTTCTGTGTGCTCTTTGAATGTGGCTTCATTCACCTGGAATGCTACTGTATGTGTTTTTGTTGTTTTCGTTGTTTGAAAACTTCCTTCTCCAAAACTACATTCAAGTGTTGCTTTTTCTGTCATAATTTCTCTGACTTATTCAGTAAAGATAACCCCTCCTTCCTTTTGTGAGATTAATGTATCTTTTACATATTTATATATAAATATATAAAAATATATGTGTATATACGTGTGTGTGTGTGGTGGAGTGTGTGAGTGTGTGTGTGTGTATCACCTTGAGTTGCATTGTGTTTTTTTAATCTGGTGTCCTCCTTCCTACTGTTCTTTGAATCACCTCTACCAAAGCAGTATCAACTTTGACTGGGTCCATCATGTTTTTCAAATCCTGACCACTTAGTTAAATGCCTGATATATGGCTGGTACTTTTCAAACAGATATTGAATAAATACATGGACTGACATCATAGACAAAGGAAAGACTGGAGTGGAGAAATAGTAGCAAAGGCCTCTTTGATTAGTAAAATTGATTAGTGAATTGTTTAAACAAAGTAGCTCAACAAATCTGCAAAGCTCATGAGCAGAGCTACAGTTAAACTTTTCTCTATCTAAGACGTAATTCTATTTGGGACAAACTTCTTTACTTTGGGTGATATAGTTACAAATTAAAAGTGGCTCAAGTGTGGTTTTGGTATGTTTACAAACAATGTAGCAGCATCTTAAAATTTTTCATCTTGTGATCATAGACATACTGGTAAGTAAAAAAAAAAGCAATATGTAGAATAGGAAATATAATGTGCCAATATTTGTACAAAACTGAATTGTGTGTCTGAATGTAAGCATGCACACATTAATATGTATATGCTGGAATAGCTTCATAACAGTGGTTACCTTTGATGGGAATATTGTATGGCCTAGGCCAGGAAGGGAAGGGAGATTGAATTTTCATAGTGTACCTTTTTTAATTTATTAATTTTATTCTATATAAATATGTACACAATTACATTGTTAGTATGTAAATGTTCATGATATAGTCAGCCAAACTATGAGGAAAACAGAAAAAGAGAAAATATGATATTAATGGATAAACTAGATTTTTATTGAGCAGAATCAGGCTGGGGTTTACATCAATTGCTGCCAAGAATTTTATGTCTATTCAAGGCTTAGTTTTATCAGGACTACTGGACCTCCTAAACAGACTAAATAGATCTGTCCTGGTAATTTTTTTCCCTCTGAAAATTAACTAAATTCACTCATTTGACAAATCATTCTAAAATTGTGTACACATAATTCAAGCTTTCATCTCCACGGAAAGTAAAGCAAAGTTGCTGCTTCACTTAATACAGATGGCTTTCATGGATAAGTCACACAAAACCAAATGATGTTTTTTACTCTAATCCATTCATTACCTGAACTGGTGCTTTTCTTGAGTCCTTTGTTCATTTGGTGAAATCAGACCAAAGCAAGAAAGATAGTTGGAAATATTAAAGAGAAGTGAGATGGTCCTGACTAAAGATGAAAAAAAAAAAAAAAAAAAAGCTTTGTGTTAACTCTTCTATCAATGGCAGATTATTCCCGGCAGAGACATATTTCAGCATAAACTCAGAAGTTAACTTTTGAGATGATTTATAAAGCAGAGGTAGGTCATAGCTATCCAAAGTAAATCCATTGAGAAATACTGACAAAGCAACGATTTCCTACCCTTTTATCACATCCTGGCGCTTAAATGGGAACTATTTGTCTCAGGAGGACACTATCAGACTGAACTGCTGGTCCTTTGACTGGAGTTATAGCTTTGCTGGTGTGAACTCATTCTCGACAATGGTTTGCTATCAGCTATGAATCTCCATTCACTTCAGGGAAGCTGTAGTTCTTGAAACACTAGACACTGATACTGAATGGATTGCTATTGACAACAAATCTTTAGCAATAGGAGTAAAAGAAAGAAAGAGAACTCCATGAGTTGTAATAATTAGAGCTTACACTAAGTATGACACTGAAATCAGCAGAGAAGGCTAAGTAACATCTTACCATTGCCTTGCAGAAGGCATACAGTCATTGACACTTGGCTAAAACTTCCCTGTGTTCCTTGCCGATGTCATTAGACATAAGCTGCCCCCATATATCTGTCTCTGAACAAATTCCTTATCATGTCTCAGAAAAGCTCCACATCCCGGATACACAATGGTTTCTAACTCTTAGCAGGGACTGATCTCTTATTATAGCTACAGACTGAACCTCAAACATGTCCACACACTAGTATAATGCCCCCTTCCATATGATAGCTATGCTTAAAAAGTTAATATTTAGGAATACCTACAAAACTACTCAATCAGACTCCTGAAAAAAATTGGTCGAATACCACTGGACATGTTTTGTTACATTGTTTTGTAACAAATTTGTTATAAAATGTTACATCATTTTGTTACATAATGTTTACTACATTATTTTATAATATCTATTTTGTAACATTTGTCTAACGTTAGCAAATGTTACAAAATAGACATTACAAAATAACTGTGTTTAGAAAAGGTTTAGTTAAAACAAACCATTTTGGAATATTCAGAAGAATATGGCCTGCGTTTTATGAAATAAGAGCTATAAATAAACTATCATCTGTGGTATTTATGAGCATCTAATCAGTGTAAAACAGTTTCATATTCACCATGACCTCCTTGAAAACTCTCAACAATTCTGGTGACAAGTTGGGTTTTTTATAAGTTACTTTAAGGCAGAGTTTAAAGGATGGAAGTTTTATAACAGGGTTGCCGTGGAATTAACATATCTGGAAGACAGGAGGAGGTAGCAAGATTTGTAAGAAAAGTCCAGCTGCACAGCAGACCCAAGCAACTATGTTGGCCAACCCCAAGGTAGCTCTAAAACTAAAATGTCCCATCAGATTGGTTCATATTTGGCTCAAAATGGGCAGGCCTTTATGTCCATTTCCATCAGTCATTGCACATGGGGCTATCCCCTGAAGTCCTTGGCCTTGAGTAAGGTAGCTTTCTGCAACTGAGGCAATCTTTGAAGGGGCTGACAGCTAAATGCTGCCTACAGATGTTACTACCACTAATTAGGGCTGCAAGTTTTTGTTTGTTTGTTTGTTTTTGATAAGGAGTCTGGGCATCCTGTCTCTGTGTCCATCATAACTTCGTTCTAAAATAGAAGAATATGAGAACAAGAGAAGTAAGGAGAAATAAATGTGTTCAAGGCCTCATAGAAAGTTATAGATCTGGAAATCACAACGGGTATTGTTGATTCTACTTCACGGCTCTTCCCAGTACTCCAAGTTGCCCCCGCAGACCCTAAAAATAATCTGGAAAGCTTTAATAGCAATTCTCTATTTAAAAACTACCTTTCCTTCTTTTTATTTCAACATTTCTCAGAATGTTCATCATATTTATTTATTTTCCATTGTCTCAGAATAATTATCTCTGCTCTTTTTTGAAAAATTCACCACCTGAACCCTTGCTATTATTGCCCACAATTCTCATCATCTCTGAAAATGTGTCCCCTCAGTCATTCTCTCCATTTTTACCTTCAATTTCTCCCTCATGGTTTATTTTCTCAACATATTTAAAATACAGTCAAGGTTTCCTGTTCCTGAAAAATAACTTCTCATGATGGCATTGCTCATTCTTTACTTATACCTCCCCACCGGTTCTACTTCCACACACTTGATATCAGATTTTAGATTCATTGACATCTAGCTTTGTTCCCATTTTCTACACTCAGACTGTTCCTCAAAGTGTACTGCTAACATAGAAATTTACAAAGGCAATTCGCCTCTTTTTCCCCTTGTTGACTGCATTTAATCTCATACTTCTTCCTGAAAATCAGTTTTCCTTCCCTTGCCTTTTGCATTTGGACATCTTTAATTGTGCTCTGCTGCAGCCTCCTCCTTTCAGTTGCCCAGCTTCTTCTAATATTCTGACTCAGAAGATTTAAATTCTCCATAGTTCTCTCCATTCTCTCTCGTTCTCCTTGTCTATGTTTCTCCCATGGCCACTTCATTTTCATCTACATCACAAGCTATGTTTTTATTTTTTGGGTTCCTGATATGTATTTCCAGATTTATTGTAATACAAATATATTTCATTGTCAAACATTGATAGTCTAGTAATTTTACTCTTCATTGACTGAGCAATAAAGTTTAATTGTTTAATATATTTAACTTCATAGTACCCTCTTCCAACATTTTATTTTCCACCTATCAAAACCCTAATAATTCTTGAAATATTGCAAAATCCCAAACCACTTATTCTTGTTTTAATTTAATGAGTATGAAATGATTTTTTATAAGGTTCTTGGAACCTCATTCATTTTATAATTGCCAAAGTATGTAAAATATAAAAAACATTGCAAATGTTTGTTCAGTTATTTAGATAAATAAAACAACACTGATGCAATGACTATCATCTAGTGGCTAGACACACACAAAACATATCCACACATATACATATACCTATTTAAGATGTAAGTTGTGCATAAAAATAATTGGATGGTTTTTCAACATGGATTGTACAATACAAATAAAACAAGTAAAAATTATAATTGACTACAAGCACAGAGAAATAATTATTAAACTGTTCTAGCAAGCTTTTCTGCACACTACTGAATAACTCAAAACAGAATCAAAACTGATTTAATAAGTAAAACAATTGAAGTTTTAGCTATTAAAAAATTTAAGAGCTAATCAAGCAAAATCTTTATAATTTGAGGAGCATAAAATCACCGAATATCACAGAGAGACACACACACACAGACACACACACACACAAACACACACATATATGTCTAATTTTATATATACCTAATTATATATATCTAATTATATATATACATATATATGTATTATCTCTTATAAATAATCATATATATAATTAGAGAATGAGGGGAAAACCATGATAGAGTTAACCATAATATATATCATACTTTCATGATTATTTCTGGCTCAGTTTGCTCTCTATGTAAAATTTCACACATATGTTTTCTTGCTCTAGTAGTGAAATGCAAATAAGAACATCTTATTTTCAAACACAGTCACTTAAGTAAAGGACAGGGCTACACAGAGAGAGAACTAGTTTCATCTAATGCTGAGATGATCATAAATGAATGGTGGGGTCCTTCATGACAGAAGGTAAGCAGAAACAGAGCTTGTGTTTATGAACTATCCTTACTTGCTAGCACCGTGCTGGACCAACGTGTATGAGGACCAAGAGTATGTGCAATGGGACCAATAGTGTATGATGTATGAACCCTGCTCTCGACAAATTTGCAATTTATTTGGAAATACACAGTGAACACAGTAAACATACAAGTGACATTCAATTTTATTCAGTGTTTATTAAGTGGTCACTGATGTGGTTCTTAAATTTTTTACCCAATTAATAGTAATGACAGGAGAATAACTTTAGTGTGGTGCATGTGTGTGTTTGTTAGAAAGGAAACACACACACAAACACACAGAGAGACAGAGAGAGAGAGAATGGAAAGAGAGAGAGGTAACACAAAGATCAAAGAGTGCTCTTCTGAGCCCTACTGCTAAAAAAGTGTCAGTTGATACAGAGAGAAAAGAAGAATGGACATTAGATTTTATATGTCCCCCATATTTTTTATTTTATTACTCTTAGACTCTCTTCTCTACCAACCACCAGTAAATAGAGATAAATCTTGCAAATAAGAAAGGCCTGCTCGCCACTCTTTAGTGTTAGGAAAGAAGTGGAAATAAGCAACGAGGAGGAGTATGGAAGGTAAGTTTTTCATTTTGTAGTCAAGTTTGGGGTAGGAGGAAGTCCCTCAAAGCCAGGATGGATGGTGCACATTAAAAATTCAAAGAAAACAGAATGATCTTCTCTAATCAGTGTGATGCAATATATTAAGACCAAGAAAAAGTTTAACAGTTAGAAAATTGTTCAAACTATGTCATCACTGAAGACCTCATCTAATCTCCACACATCAAGTGATATCTTCTCTGACAATTCCAGCCAGTGTCAATCTTGCTCCTTGCTCTCATTAATAGCAGTAATTTATATATTTATGGAATTAATTCATGTACAAGGTCTTCAAATAAGGCACATTTAACTCCTTGTTGTATTTCCTTAATATTTATTATAATGGCAGAAACTGTTTTCACTAATTCAACCACTAAGACTAATTAAATAGCTTGTACATGCAAATATAAATTGGTATCCCAAATAATAATCTAAGGACCTTGATTCACCCTAATGGAAAGAAACTTTTGTTCATTTTTGGAGACAAAATTGTTACTGGATTGATTACAAATATATATGTAAGAAGCAGTTAGGGTCATTGATTCTGCAGGTTTGAAATGAAAACCACTAGGACCTTTAACAATAATCTCCTTAGAGCTGATTATCCTCAGTCAAGGTTCATGAGGAGCATATAGAATGGGAGATATGGTGATATCCTTCTTTGGAAAGTACATCCTGTGAAAGTCTGCCCTCCAGCCACAGCAAATCCTAACTGTGCACCCCTCCATATAGAACATATTCATCCCCTTCCAAGATAGTCCCCTCCCGAATCTTGTCCTAGTAGGCATCAGGATCAAGCTCCAGTTTCAGGATTACGTTCATTCAGTTAGGCCCAGGTGAATATGAGGCTCTGTAGGTGCATTTTATCAGGTACAACACATTGAATTCTTTTTTTTTTTCCTGTACAGAGGTTTGTGAAATAAACAGACGAGTCATTTGTCCCCACATACCCAACATGAAATGATGCCGCAGACCTAGGATGATGGCTCTAGATACTCTTATTCAAAAGGGGAAAAATTGGAAAGCCCGAGTAGTCACTGGTCCATACAAATATTGAAATCACAGGGCATTTCCAAAAACTGTTAAGAGTTCTTAACCTAATTGCAAGTTGAATTGTTTATGAGTGCTGATACAGGATAACAGACTTCTGCGTTAGAGATGAAGCATGATTTATTACTCACAGCAATACCCGTAGCCAGAGTTCTCAGTGTTTGCATAGGTTCCTTGAACCTCAATTCGGACAGGGCGATAGAAAGAGGGTCAAGTAATGCCTGCATGTGCAGTGGGTTGCATTATAGGAAAGGACTCATGAATTTAGGGAATCCAAGTTTTTACAAAGGAGAATAGGCTGAACTACCATTTTCTTTGAAGGGAGACACTATCTGTTTCATCATAAACTGTAAGAAACCTGCCTTTTGATCTAGATGGAGACACTATATCCCCCAAAACTTTTTACTATATAACCATATTTTAAAAAGCTAGTCCAGAACAAGGAGTCAATTTCTGTATGTGTGTGATGTCCAGAATCATGAGAGACCTATGAAGAATTGTCTCCCAATGAATATCTTCAATCATTTAGAAATCAAGCATGTCAAACTATATTCTTATGCTTATCAGCATACTGTATCCTCATTCTTACCGGATATCCTTATACCCTGGAAATTTGGATAAAGGGGTACATCAATAGCAGCTCGTTGGAGAATATTAACCACAAAAATCACCTCCATGTAAATGCTAGCATCCGAAGACTGAAACAGAGTGAAGAGCAGGAGAAAGAATGAAGGATCTTAGTAGAGTCTCTAATGTTAACGGTTATATTCTAAGTGCTGATTCATTGTAACATTCTCTACATAGTCACCTGCACTGCACTCATAGCAAACTTGGCAATAGCAATGGCCTGCTCTCTTAAATTCAGCTCCGGAAGCCATGTTCCCAATTACACATAATGTAGGCCAGCAGTTGTCAAATTTATCTTGGCTTAGAATTATTTGGAGGACATTTTAAAATACAGACATCTGGGTCCAAGCTCAGAGACCTAGTCTGCTAGATATGTGATGGGACCCAAGAATTTGCATTTCTAACATATTCTTATGTGATACTGATGTTATTGATCCTGGAACCTTACGTGAAGGATGACTGCTATAGGGTAACCTTTGACTTTTGCTATAAAATAGACATATCACCACTCACGACTTTGACTAAAAGTTACATTTCTGAAGAATGGTGTATTTGTCCAGTTCCCCAGACAAGCCTGCATTTTCTAAAATAAAGTCACAACATGCAAATCTCAGCCAGAACACTTTAAGAGGTAAGATTTATTCAATTCTGGACTATTGTCTTCACAAATAAGAAATACATTGATTCCAATAACCACTTCCAACTACCTATCTTTGCTCAAGCTCATGCTCCGTGTCTAAATGAGAAAGTAATGAAGCCAAGATGAAGATCTCCTTTGTACAAATTAACCAAATCAACTTCTGACAATATAAGACTGAATTCTATTTATGTGACAAAAACATTCCCAAAAAGATGGGACAAAGCTAATAAAGAATACAAATGCTTACATTCAGGTATGTCTTCTTTAGGACAGAAACCATGCTATATTGCCTGTTGGCATCTAAGCATGAATCCACCTAATTTTTGCATTCTTCTCTGTATTGTCAGTGGCTGGAGACCTGAAAAACTTGTTCCACAGACTCCCTTTTCTGGCATGGTAGATTGCACCAATGAGAAGCATTTGCACAAGGGTTGGAAGACAGGTAAGAAGGGAAGTCATTACTTTCCAAACAGTGGAAGGCAGGTGTCTGGCCCACTTAGAACAGACATGAGGGCTTTGATACGGGATTGGTGGTGGGCTTTGACTGAGGAAAGGAGTAAGGTTTTATTAGTGACTTTCTGTTTTCACCCAGTTTGCTACTTTAGGCAGCTGAGATGACTCCTGGCTATTATTTGCATTGTAAGTCCCTCCTTTCCTTAATTCCTGAACATGAGCAGAGTCTCCATTCCAGTGGTTACTACAGAACTTTTTTAAAAAAATCTTTCAACTTTATTTTTGTCATATATTTGACTATAGAGTCTATTGCAAATAAGATATTAAGGGAGTCTACTGACTGACATCTTACTTTCTAAATCTGAACTCATGGATTTAGTAAAATAGTACATATTCTGAGATTATAAATTATAAATTCTTTAAATCTCAAACATTAAACTGAACCATAAATTTTGTCTTACAATCTTTATTTCTTTTTATTACTCTTCTATGACCATAACGCCTAGACTTAAAAGTTGACTTGACATCAACATTTCCTGAAACCAGTAGGTCATTACAATTCAAACAAATAGCAAAGTTTAAAGTCTAGTTTACCTGTGTATTGTAGTAGACACAAACTGTGTAGGGACAGAATGTACTGCAGAAGGATATGAAACAGGTTTCCAGCCCTAAGTTTTTCAGTAATGAGCTGTAGTTCCTGCGCAAGGTGCTTAGCTTCAGCTTCCTTCGATCTTCATGCTTTATTCTGAAGAACAAAACTGTTCTTTAATAATAGACGAGAAGGTTCATCACAACCGTAGCATTTTATACTTATAATAATTTCATGATATTCAGTTAACTCATTTACTTTTAGAATTGGCTATTCAAGAAAAGTCTTGAGTGTGATTCTATTTCATTGCAACAAACTTGTGCTTTTTTATATGCTTATTCTATCATATAATTGCAGTAAGAATGATATTCAATCGAATACATTGTTATAAGCAAAAATCATACTCCTACATGGCAATTAGTTTGTAGTGGTACCTCCGTATTGATAACCTGGGACAGTGATGAAGAACTTTCAAATAAATACGGACTCTATTTGGAGAATATAGAAATGGCTTTCACAAAGACGTGCATTTTAAGACACTGACTTACATTTACCATGATAGTTAGATTTGGATAATTGTCACATTTCACAAGATTTGCATTGGAAATAGCTGCAGAAGTTCCTGAAACCTTCTTGTGAATCTGGGATCAGTGAAGATAATAAGCTATCATTTCAGGCACTCTACAATTAGTACTTGACATCCTGTATCAGACAACAGAGAAACACTGTCACTCACCCCAGGACTAACTTTCTTCTTTGAGGTGACCTTGATGGTTCCTGACATTTGGAACAAATTTAAAATAAAATAAAATAAAATATAAAAGGTCAAAAGTTATATAAATCATGCTATATAAAATGTTTGGGTCTTCCTAAGTGACAGCTAAAAGAACTCTAGGTACTTTTATATGCAAACATTACCTTTCTTTTGCAACAGTGAAACATTAAG
The DNA here is from genome assembly GCF_000001405.40 of Homo sapiens. Taxonomy (NCBI): domain Eukaryota; kingdom Metazoa; phylum Chordata; class Mammalia; order Primates; family Hominidae; genus Homo; species Homo sapiens. Next base: position 81,443,768 of record NC_000002.12, on the reverse strand, counting down.
ATGGTTCCAGTTTATAAGAAAAGTCAGGAATGCAAAGAGATATTACACCCATAGTAGTAACCATTTTTCTTATTCTCCCTGGGTGGTGTTTGAGATTAGTAACCTGTCTGCTAAAAATAAACTGAAGTATTGAAAGGACTGTGGAAGAAGTGATATAATTATGAAAATCTAAGCAGTAAGCATCAACTATGTGAGGCAAGAAATATTTTTTGTTCAATTAAACTGTAGAATAATTGTCTATTGGTTACTCTGTTACTCAATATTTACCAATCTGAAATCCAGCATAAAAAATATTTTCTTCTGAATTTGGGATGTAAATCCTTATCCATAAAGCTGATATAACTCCTATCTTCAGTACAAAAGCACTAAAGAGGGATTGATGACTTAACAATTAGTCTATAAAGCAAACAAAAAGTGATTTATATTCTCTTCTCACAACAGTCAATACATTCAACAAAATCAAATTTTCTAGTAGACACAGCATTAATTTGCACATTCATTTGTTCATTTCTTTCTCAAAAGTACATATATGTATAATAAACATATACAAATATGTATCTGGTAGTGATTACTAGAATTTTAAGTTATTAATGTGAATTTGACATCATTTTTAGGATCACAAGGGTTAAAAGCCTACTAAGTTATAGCAATAATGTAAGGAATTATATATAATATAATGTACTACATGCAATTGTTATGTACAGAGGATGAAATTTACCTAGGCTGAAAGTCAGTGAAAATTTCCTAAAGGAAATTTTAAGATCACCTTGATAAATGAGTTATACGTGTACCAGTAGACAAAAGAAAACAGATATTTTGGGCTTATGGAAGAATCTTTGCAAAGACAAAGGGTCAAGAGAGAAGAAGTTGTGTTTGGAAATGGGAGAGGGTTGAACAGCAGGTATATTAACTGTAAGTGGGGAATGTTGCAGAATGAGGCCACACAAGTATACGCTGGAATCAGAAACGGCCTTGAAACTACGTTTCATATTCCCACCAGTCAGGAACTATATCTGATGAGGGCATAAGGAAACGGTGTTAAGAAAGCTTTCCATGGAGTCATCCTTCCATATTAGAGGTATTCACCATGTTCTTCTAACTACTAAATACTCATAATATATCTTCAAGTAATAATTCACTTAACATTTTCTTATATACTTGGAAAAAATCTGTACATTTTTATTTACTTCCTCTCCTCTGGAAAAAAGGATTTGTTTTACTCCCATGTAAATCTACTTTTTAAAGTTTTTAAGGCTGGCATCCTCATATTTTGACATCATGTCTCCTCTTTATTTCAGGTGATGTGTAAAAAAGATAAAATATTCTGCTGTTTGTTTAGTTATTTTGGAATATTGGCAAGGTTTATTTAAATGGTCTGTCTCTGCCATTGTCTTTAAATCCATCGCACCCAGCAATGTATCTAAGAGGTAGTAGGCATTCATAGAATGGATGTTCAAAGAATGAATTGATAAATGAAAGGACTAATGCTCAAATGGAAAAGATGGAAAGAGCAGATAATATGTACCATATAGATTTAAAGTTGCTTCTGGCCACCCCCATAATACCCTTGGCAAAGCACAATATGTGCCTTCAACTTGCTTAGGCCAAGATCTTTTCCAGGTCCACAAAGCTGGGGCATAGTTGGTGTAGAGGAAACCTTTGAATCCACAGGTGTGTGATCCTAGAGAAGCACAGAAAGGTAGTGATGGAATGAAAGTTGGGGATTATGGATGAGGAAACTGAGGCTCAAAGACATGATCCAGCTTATTCAAAGGCAGAACTGGCCTAGGAACCAGACTGTTTGAATCTCAGGACATAGATGGGAGAGAAAAAATAAATTGAGCTGGGGTTGGGAGTAGTAGAACAAAAATAAGTTAGATATGGGCCAAAATACTGATTTGGGTTGGAGGGAGAGTATGACTAATGAATACTAATTTTCAAGGCTGTATCTTTTCCACTGAAGTGATTAATGTGTCATCTTACAAGAAAGAAGGTGAAAAGATACGTTGAAAAGAGTTAAAATGGGAGATGGGTGCATTAAGCATAAGGAAAATAAAGAAGTGAGAAAAAAATATTGCCACATAATGTAAGCAAGATAAATATAAAAGAGGTGATGTTTCAGGATATAAACATTTCATTCAACTATATGAATTAATTCACTCAGGGTGGTTTTCTGTTTCTTTTCTTTTTTTAGTTTGTCATTCTATTCCTTATTCAATTCTGAGTTGAAAGAAATAGAATACAAAGTCATTAAGGAGAGGTGAGAAGAAAGAAGAAAATATTTCCTTCTTTTTTTATTGTGACTCTTGATCCCATTTCTGGAGCTAATTATCCATTCACCAGAGCCCTTAGTAATATGGCTTTTTATTAGACATGCCCTAGATGCATCCATTCATGTATTTTTAAACAATCAGGAGGGATTTCCAAGCTTTTCCAGACATGTTTGGAAAGGCTCAAAATAAATAACTCTCTATGGGAGTAATTTTTGGTATTGGAGGAACAGTTTCTTAGTATCAATTGCTGAGCTTTTAAAAAAAATTATGTAACATCCATCTTCTGTTGAACCCTGAGAGCCCCTCTCCCTGCTAAGTCCGTTCTACTGTGAAAGACACATGCCTCCCAGTTTATCTACTGCTACCTATGGAAGTAGATAGCCATTTAGGTGTAAGGTGGGAAAAAAACATTTAAAAACTAGCTGAATTACACAATTAAAAGCAGAGGTTTCTTCCTCTTTTGTCCTGAATTCAATTTTTAGAAAACGAGATGACAAAAGCAAATAAATAAACATGAACAAAACTTCAAAACAATTGTTCGAATTTTTTTAATGGAATATTTTCACCATCAATGTGTTTGTAAGACAACCTAAGAAGAGCATTGAAAAAGAATGAACTAGAGTTATCTTTTATTAGATAATTTTTCTTTTGATCAAATTATCTTATTTCAGCTGGTGTGAAGACAGAGGGCCATATGAATAAAACAAGAGTCAAGTGGGACAAATGTAAGAGATGATAGAAAATGGGGAGCAATGAGTCCAATCGTAAATGCATACTGAATCAGATGGAATGCCTGCTGCTCTTGCCCATGTCAGACTGTGAATTCAGGGTTATTAAAGATAATCCAGAAATACAAGTTTTAATGTAAAATAATACATTTAAAAATTGGCAATTAGAACCCAGTTTTGGGGTTTTTGTTTTGATTTAGATGACATTTACTTTTTTAAAATATCAGTAGTTCTGGGGGCACAGGTGGTGAATGGTTACAATGTTCTTCCATGGTGATTTCTGAGATTTGGTGCACCCATTACCCAAGCAGTGTACACTGTTCCCAATGTGTGGTTTTTTATCCCTCACCTGCTTCCCACTACTCCCCCCAAGTCCCCAAAGTCCATTGTATCATTCTTACGCCTTTGTGCCCTCATAGCTTAGCTCCCATTTATAAGTGAGGACCTATGATGTTTGGTTTTTTATTCCTGAGTTACTTCACTTGTTTTTATTTTTTATTTTAAGTTCACGGGTACATGTGCAGGATGTGCAGGTTTGTTACATAGGTAAACTTGTGTCTTGGGGGCTTTTTCATATAGATTATTTCATTACCCAGGTATTAAGCCTAGTACCTATTATTTTTCCTGTTACCTTCCCTGCTTGTATTCTCCACCCTGCAATAGGCTCCAGTGTGTGTTGCTCCCCTCTATGTGTCCATGTGTTCTCATCATTTAGCACCTGCTTATAAGTGAAAACAAGTGATATTTGTTTTTTCCTTCTGTGTTAGTTCATTAAGGATAATGGCCTCCAGCTCCATTCATGTCCCTGGAAAGGACATGGTCTCATTCCTTTTTATAGCTGCATAGTATTCCGTGGTGTTTATGTACCACATTTTCTTTATCCAGTCTATCATTGTTGGGCATTTAGGTTGATTCCATGTCTTTGCTTCTTTACCCAGTCTATCATTGATAGGCATGTAGGTTGATTGTGAATAGCGCTGCAATGAACATACATGTGCATGTGTCTTTATAATAGAATGGTTTATGTTCCTTTGGTTATATATCCAGTAATAGGATTATTGGGTCAGATGGTGTTTCTGTCTTTAGGTCTTTCAGGAATTGCCACAGTTTCTTCGACAATGATTGAACTAATCTTTACTCCCACCAACAGTGTATAAGTGTTCCTTTTTCTTCTCAATCTCACCAACATCTGTTATTTTTTTACTTTTTAATAATAGTCATTCTGACTGGTGTGAGATAGAATCTCGTTATGGTTTTGATTTGCATTTCTGTAATGATTAATGATGTTGAACTTGTTTTCACATGTTTGTTTGCAACTTGTATGTCTTCTTTTGAGAGGTGACTGTTTATGTCTTTTGCACACTTTTTATTGGGGTTGTTTGTTTTTCTATTGTAAATTTATTTAAGTTGCTTATAGAAGCTGGATATTAGATCTTTTTGGACGCATAGTTTGTAACACTTTTCTCCCATTCTGTAGGCTGTCTGTTTATTGTGTTGATAGTTTCTTTTGCTGTGTAGAAGCTCTTTAGTTTAATTAGATCCCATTTGTCAATTTTTGCTTCTGTTTCAATTGCTTTTGGCATCTTCAGCATGAAATCTTTGCCTGTGTCTATGTCCTAAATGGTATTGCCTAGGTTGTCTTCCAGGGTTTTTATACTTTGGGGTAAAACTTAGTTTTAAAACAACCATGCTGTTGCCCATAGTATAACTTTGGGCTACATAGGGAATGTAGGCTACTAGTTTATAACCTCTGTGTTAAGAAAAAATGAAACTGTTTTCCTTTATTTTTGTCTCATCGTAGCTCTTGCAAGTGACTGCCTAATTTGAGTTAGTTACATAGCAATTAGGTCATGAATCCCAGAATGATATCATTCAAATTTAGCTGAAGAGGAAAAAGATACTTGCTCTAGTCTTAGTGAGTCGCAATGTTAAGATTCTTTTACCAGGTCAAAAAACTTTCAAAATAAATTTTGAGGACTTGACAGAGAACTGTCAAAAACATTAAAACAAAACAAAACATAATGAAAATGCCAGATACAACTACAATAATTTTTTGAGTTTTGATTGGCGTTTTCCTAATGAGTAATGATTCTGAACATCTTTTATTTTTTGTTCTTGTTCACCATTTATGTATCTGTGGGCCCTTTTTTCCTCACTTACATAAGTAGGTCTAAAGCACATATTTCAAATAATTCTTTCTACTTTGTATCTTTTGAGAGTGTTATTAGGGGAGGTGGGTTTTTTTGAGAACCATGGCATGTTATTCTCAACCAATTAGAATTTGCTAAACTGTTGGAGACTCAAAAGAATTGTTTTCAGTCCAGTTTACATCAAAGTCCTCATCTTGTAGTCTAAAAGACGGTGGCAAGAGAAAGCCATTGATGTTGATTTGTACTAACATTGTAACCTTGCTGAGAGTAAGTATATTTTTAAAGGTGATTCTGAGGCTCATAACACCCAAAGAAAGTCTCCAGGTAGATAGGAAAGGACCTTTTACACTTAACAACAAATCAAATTTAATCTGAATTGGTAAATAGATAAATAAACAAACAAATAAATAATTTTGTTCAATGAATTTATGTCTGCCCATTCTTTGACATAAAGTTTGAAAAATCAGTCACTAGACTTGGGTTTTTTAAAAAAGAAATCTGAATATTTTCCTCTTGATGAATACTACTAGTCTATTCTCTATCTTAAGGGAGAAATATAAACGTGTGTTGGTGGGGAGTGCACCTATTATATTAAATGTCTCTGTAGTGAGCTTTTTCAAACAAATCACTGAAGAGTCAAAGTTAATAAAAAATGTGAATTACAAAAGAAATGATTTGCCTAAGACTCAGATAATTGAAGAGAGAGTGTTCCGAAGGAGTGTATTTTAAAAACTGTATTCTGGCATTTACTTGAATTTCTATGATAATAATTAGCAAACAGAATTGAACTTCTTCTACTTGATGGAAAACTCCAAGAATATCCAAAGACATTCTCATAACTATGAGCTGTGTAAAAGCATGTGCATTTGGAATAGAATATAAACATCTTGCGCTGCTTCAGTCCATGGAGGCTGTGGAGAGCTGAAGGAACAAAGAAGCACGGATTTATTGTAATGCTAAATAGTACACTAGAGGTAACTGTGCTGCAGCTCTGGAAATACTGAGCTAATTTAAGCCAAAGACTCCTGAGGATCTTACTCTAGTGGCAAGCCTAGTCAGAATTTTTGATGCCACCTTGTTTTTTATAGATGCTCCATCTACACATCATTGAAATCATGCTGCGCTTGTAGAAGTACAAAAGCAGTCCTTGTGTCTTAGCACCAGGCACTCTGAAACTGTGTTTGCACATTTTAGTATACCCATCTGCACATGGTTACTCTGTGGAGCAGTAGGCCCAGCTCTGGGTTCATTTCTCTCTATTGCAATTTACCTCTTCTTATTTCAACTAGCCGCCTGGGCTTGGAGAAGCTTCTAAACTTCTTGACTGTAAAATGAGAAACTTCAACGTGTTGCAATCATGTAGAAAGCCTAAGGACATAAAATCCTCTGTAACTGTTCTATAATAAAGGAAATAAACTAACATTTTTTTGTCTCATATGCCTTAATTACAATTTTGTTCAAAAGTTACATTTGAGAATTAACAATATACTTTGGATAATTTTCCAGAGTAATAGGGCCGACTGCCTCAAGAAGATATTCTAGTTTTCTAGCTTAATACTGTCCCATAGAACTTTCAAAAATGATGGATAGGTAGTCTATCTGTGCTATTCAACACACTTGCCATTAAAAACATGTGTCTATTAAGCCCTTGAAATGTGGCTAACATGAATGAGAAACTGATTTCTTTAACAAGTAATTAAAGTTGAATTGAAATAACCACATGAATGGCTACTGTGGTGTAAAACACAGATTTTAGCCTCTATGTCATAAATGTCTTAACACTGGAGCAATTACAGAGCAACAAATTGTCTAGTGTCTTCTCAACCACAGTTTGACAAACAAAAACCATAATAAACACTAGGGTTCTAGATTCTCAGAAAAGATCACCTCTGATAGTAGTTCTCAAACTTGGCTGCACATTGGAATTTCCTGTGAAGCTTTCCATAAATGTTAGTGCCAACAGATATTCTGATTTAATTACTCTGCTAGAAATGACCTACACATCGTGGTTTTTGTTCCTTTATTGTACATTTGTTTGTTTGAAAGCCACCCAGGTGATTCTAATGTGCAGCCAAGTTTGTAAGCCACTGACTTCGAGATGTTGCTTAATTGACTCTCTTCTCTGGTAACTAGTCCAATGTTTCACCATGGGTACAGCCCTTCCGTATACAATGCCGGCTTTGTAGAGGTCTCTGCTTCCACTCGTATGACTCATGTACTATCCAGGGAAGATCCCTAAATGTCATACACATTAGAGATTTAAATTTATTCTAATACTTTCGGCAGAAAATCACAAGCAAAAATACTACCAAAAATAGTCTTCCCAAGTTGTTAATACTACTGTGGTTCCTAGCACTGTGGAGTGACATTTTTACAACTTAGGCTGCAAGGAATTCCCAACAGTAAAAGGAACTCTCAAAGTTTACCTAAAAACAAATTAACAAAAAACTGAAAAATCCACCATAAGCAACAGCCAGGAATAAAGAGAAGAATTAGAAGTCCAAGATTTCAAGACAATTGAAAAATAATCTGAGGAAACATAGACATTATCTTTATAATGATTAAAACCATAGAAAGAAAGGATAACTTTAACAACTTTCAGCCATTATTGCAGGCTTATTTTGTACCAGATTGTGCAGGTGCATGCTATGGACATGATTTTACTGATGGCTCGGAAAGTGAAAACAAGCAAAAACTAGAGAGGATATATATATATATATATAAATGAACTGATTTTTAAAGAGATACTGAATATGTTCATACAGCAGAGGAAAATAGCATAGGGAGAGAATAGTTGAACTTCTGAATGAACAGGGGATGCTATAGAAAGAAAGGATTTAAGTTAGGCTTATTGCTATTTACTAATTAACTCTCAAATTCTTTCCTCTGTCTATGGTAACTAGGCTGTGCTAGCTAATTTTATTTGTCAACTTGGCTAGGTGAAGGTACGCAGATTATTTGGTCAAACATCAGTTTAGATGTTTCTGTTAGATGATTTAAAAGAAAACGTTTTTAGTTTCTCACTATTATGTATATTAGTTGTAGGGTTTTTGTAGATGTTCTTTATCAAGTTTAGAAAGTTCTCCTTCATTCCTAGATTACTAGGAGTTTTTATTATGAATGGTTGTTGAATTTTGTGAAATGTTTTTTCTGCTTCTACTGATAATCACCATGAGATTTTTCTTTGTTAGCCTATTTGATGTGATAGATAACATTAATTAATTCCCATTTGGTCAAGGCCATGATTCTTTTTAATGGAGCTGCAGTATCTCATATTAAAGATTTGACCAGTTTCATTAGTTCCAACTCTGGTTAAAGTAATTTGAAAGAAATTTATGTTAGGAGAAATTAGTAAAGCAGTTTTTCAAAAGTTTTTGATGCTAAACCTAAACTCTATTCTAAGATGAGGTAAAGGATAATTTTTCCATTGTATATCTAAGCACAAGAATGAATAAAAGTCACAGAAATGTCAAAAGAATACTAGAATGGAAGGCTATATTGACTTATTAAATATTTTAAAATAATAATAATGTAGAGAGTTAAATATACACAGTCTGAAAAAATAAGATGACAAAGTTTTTAAATCATGGTCTTGCTGTAGAAGTACTTCAACACACCCACACACATACTATGACTCCTACGGATACAGCATCTTTTGAAGAGCCATTAGCAAGAAGTAGAAATCAGTGACTAGGCTACTATATTAAACATACTTCCATATACAAGGATTCGATCTGAAGAACCACCTACACTGTAATTAAAGAAATTTTTCTAAACCTCAATTTCTTCATCTACAATTGGAATAATAATAATATTTGGTCTTTCTTACAAAACTGTCGTGACATTCAACTGCTATGATTCTGCATGATAATCCATAGATAAGGTTAAATACTATCCAAACGTAATATCATGCATTGAACATTGCTATGTCTGTGAACCTATATGTATATATACACATAATTTTAAATTATGTAGATTATAGTAGTATCTGTACTATATTTAAATGATTGTCCACCTAAGATTTTCTAGGGCAAGCTTCCTATGAAATATTCTGATCGAGTGTTATATTTCAGGTCAAACTATGTATGTTTTTGTGTTGTAGTTTTTGGTTTTTACGTTACAGATACTTTCGTTATTGAAAAATTTTCTACATATTGTGGTGTCACAGTCAATTTTTCATATGACCAATTAAAACAGATTAGTAACACCTTAAATTCCCTCCTCAATTTCAAAAACCTATATTCCTATGTTGAGCTCTGAGCTGGGAAAGGACATATATGGTCTACTCAAGGAGTTTTTAGTAGTGGAAAATTATTTTCAAAGCTCCACTCTTCTTATTTGAGTATTTTTATTTTTACTTTCTTTTGTACATGTATTATGTTTACTTACTATTGATTTTTTTGAATCTCTGGAAAGTACAACTTGCTAATTCAGCCATTTAAAGTCCAGGGTCAATTTTTACATATTTGATGCTTTCCACTCCCCTGAAATGTAATGGATTTTCAAAATATCTGGTTTTTGTACTAAGGAGAAGGAGGTTTGACTACACATTTGGCCCTATTTCATCATATTTGAAATGTAGCCAAGTTTCTATCATCAGCATCATCTTTGAGATTAAATATGAATATATTCTTTTAAACCTACAATCCTTACATAGCTAGAATTGTTAGCATAAATTCCAATAAATATGAGGTCAAAATGCAAGGAAGAGTGTAACTGAAAACATTCTGTTTATGGATATGACTGATAGTACAGGAGGAGCATTTCACACAAGAGTGTCCAATCTTTTGGCTTCTCCGGGCCACATTGGAAAAAGAAGAAATGTCTTGGGCCACACATAAAATATACTAACATTAACGATAGCTAATGAGCTAGACACACACACACACACACACACACACACACACACACACACAATCTTATAATGTTTTACAAAGTTTACAAATTTGTGTTGGGCTGCGTTCAAAGCCATCTTGGGTCACATGCAGCTCACGGGTCGCAGGTTGGATAAGCTTGATCTAACAAATATTTATTGTTAAATGAAATCAGGATAACAAATAAAATCGGTGAGTGAGTGAGAAGGACAGAAAAGACAAAGTTTCCACACAGGATGAGGACCAGTCACAGGGAAGAAATTTGCAGTACCCTAACTACAAGAGCAAATGTCATGTCCCAGTCTTCATAAACAGGTTAAGGTAACATAGTCAGCATCTACTTGCTGAGATGGGATGGACTTTCAGTGGTTATCATACACAAATCTTGTTGCTAAAGCAAGTTAGGAATGAAAAACATATTAGAGTTTACCCTAGGGGAGCTGCTATTTAGTAAGAAAAGGTGCTAAAACAGTGCTGAATCCTGGAGAGCTAATGAGCACTCTGAGGAGTGGATTTCCTTAGGGGAGTTTGCCAGATCAATTCACTAATTGTGTATCATTTTGAAAATTTACACCAGAATAGGAGTAATTATATGTTTCTCTTTTCTAAGACCCACTACTGGGACATAACAGTGCACCTGAGAATTGCATTCAACTTTGATGTGAAAGCAATATGTTAGTGTGCTTGGAAGAAAAACAATTTGTAGATATGCAGAACAACTTGCAAAATAAACATTAGTCCCTACATTAAAGAGAAGAGCCATTTAGAAGGTTTGAAGGCTGTAAGTTCAGAAAACCAGCACAAATAGCCACTCCTCATGTTCATCTCTGTCCCTGAACATATCAACTGAGGCAAACTCTCTGCATAGTGGTATCATTGACAATATTAATAGACTGAGGTACTAAATGTCCATGAATGAGATTGAAATGATATATTACCAAATATCCTCTGCTTGTGGGTATATTACCTATTTTTAAATGAAGTAGGGTAGATTCACATTTCTCACTTACATTGAGATATTTTAATTTGAGTGAGAGAAGCAAAGATAGAGTTTCAGTTAGTCAGAAATATGACTTAGCTTTGGATAGGATCATCAGAAGCACAAGAGACATCGGAACAACAATTGTAATGTTTATAGTGACACTGCCATAAGTTTAAGTATTTCACTCCCGACCAGGTAGAATTTCTTACCAGTGCTTGAGAAACTTTCATTCCTGAAAACCTTTCGTAGAACTGAATGTCCTTTGTGATAATACCTCTGCTGCCTTCCAAATTTTAATTATCATCTTTCACTATGCCTACATAATAAGATATCTCTACACCATTCTGTGCACAGAATGACTTTCTACTCAAATATGAGTGTCCCATCATTGGCTCTATTACACTAGTATTGTTATTGTTTATTGTATTTATCTCTTACAAAGCTACAACCTCCTTGAATTTTGGACTTTGCTAATCCATCTCCAAATCCCCGAAGATATTGGTGGGCCTTCATATACGACCAGTAAGAAGAATGTATATTAAGTAAAGTATTGATTAGTTTTCTTGATTTTATCAAATATCAGAATCAACAAAACCAATTTTTCCAAATAATTTTATATTGGGTCATAGTATTTGAGTAATTTTGCTCATCACGTTTGAATCTTTCAGTTACTTTACGGGAAGAGTTGCTAAAATGATAATTTATTTGTAGCTTGTACAATAGCCAGTTTCTGCCTCTGGAGAATATTAAATAGGGGACTTAACGCAATTGTCTGGCTGATCCTGAAATCTGACCTTGATCGTCCAGGGTCACTGTTGTGCTTCATAATGTCATTCACGATTGTGCTTCACAATGTCAAAGTAACAAGTCTCAGGTTCCATTTTGACAACAGTTCTCTAAGTTTGAGAATTTGGCACAATCTCTCACCAGCCTCATTTATTTGCAGGTGGGTCTTCTCCCCACCCCTGCTCCCCACAAAGTGAATAGAAACCACCATGATATATATAGTAAAGTGAAATATGTTATCAAACTAATATTAACATTTGTCATGTGGCACTTAATTTAGCCAGAAATAATCACTAATGTAAACCTAGCAATGGTAAATAGAAAATTTATATGTATCTAAATGGGTACTAATAAAAACTATGAACTTATGTATTTGTTATTTCATTGCCTCTGTATGAATGATGGGGAAGCTGAGAAGAGGATTTAAGACGATTTTATGAAGCCTGACTTCAGTAACCAGCCACCTCTGCCATATATTACCCCATATATGAAGCCTTTAGTGAGTGATTTTTCCTCTCTAATAATAATTCCTTTATGGTGTGGTTGTAAAGGGTTAAAAGAGACAATGCACTTAATGGGTTTTTGTAGCAGGTATAACAAATACTGTTACTCAGGTTGATTTTATATATAATTTTAAAATAACACATAATCTTAATTAAGTTCTTACTATGTTCCAGGTAGGGGACTAAGTTGTTAACATTCATTATTTCATTGAATCCTCACAATATACTATTATTATTTCGCTTTTTTAGATACTCCACTGAGGGTTACAGATGTTTTGTGAGTTGCTCAACGTCCCTCAGCTATGGAATGATTGATATTCTAATTTGAATCTGGATTCTCTGATTCAACTCCCAAATTCTTAACAACTGAACTATAATTATATGATTAAATATTATATTTCTTTAAAGATGTTCAATTTATTTCAACCTTCTTAAATAGGACACTCACAAGTAAATTTTCTTTTATCAATTAATAACTCATTAATTACTGTCCATTCATGCTCACTCAAGATATTGTCTGTGTTTCTTTAAGTCATCTCCAATTATTTTTAAAACAAATGATAATATAAATAAGAATTTTAAATCATCAACTCAATATTTACTAACAGAATTATCTGATGCATTGAGAAAATTTTATAAGAAATTAACAAGTTTTTTACTCAAAACTGTAATAAAGTTAAAGTTATATGTATTTGAAAACAAATACTCAGAGTCGGAAATAAAAAAAATGCCATCATGAAGGTAAAAAGAATCCTCAAGTGGGAGTAATTTGTGATGCAAGGGGCACTAATATTGGAGTTAGTGGCCTCGATCTATTCTAATTACTTTTGCTGTGACCCTGGACTTATTATTCAGTGTCACAGAGGGCAGTCCCAGTTTCCTCATCTGTAAAATTTAGATTATGGTGCCCTACTCATATTGCAAATGAATTTTTAAAAATAAGCACATGAACTGTATCAAGTCTCTTCCTTTTACAGTTGCTATTTTACTCTTTTTGGAAGTGTTCAACAAATATATATATATATATTGAATATATATATTCAATATATATATATATATTGAATATATATATTCAATAAATATATATATATATTGAATATATATATTCAATAAATATATATATATATATATATATATATATTTGAAGTTCTTTTAAGTAATGATATATTAGGGTTGAGAGTCCTAATCTGAATTTGCAATTGAACTCTAACTTACCTTATCTTTGTATTACACAAAAACTTACATTAGACTACACAGAGAGATTGACAAAATACAAAGGGCTAGCCAACTTCCTAATTCCTGGAAATATTTAAAATATACAGAATTTGGGGAGCAAATAAGGGATATGATGAACTAGTTGCATTGGTCCTCTTATAGCTAGACAAGAAATAATTGTTTAAACTTATGGTATCAGTGTGTGAGTATGTGTGTATACATATGTGTGCATGTGTATTTATAGCAGAATTTGAGTTGCTGAATTATACACATACAATAACATTGATCTTATACAGAAAGTAAAATGTCGTTAAGTGTAAGCACTAATAATATGACAAGCAGCAAAACAATAAATGTTCAGAAAATAAAAACAAAAAAGAACAAAAAGTAGAAACACACACACAAACAATAAGATCCCACTTTGCTTCAAAATCTGTGGTAAAAAAATTATAAACTACATCTTAATTTTCTTTAGTTAATACATATGGAGCAAAAAATTGTGGCTCATACTCTTATTTCAAAGAGGGCCATTGGGTGAGGGGTATTGTCTAGGTTCTATTTAATGTGATAGGGGAAAAAATTGGGAAGAGATATCTCACAATGCAGAATATGCCTGAAAAGATTTGTGTCTCTTTAAAAGAGATTACCTTTAGCTCCCACTTTGATGGGTATATGAGAACTCATTCTAAGTTATACTGCCAAAGTATAGAAATTTTCTAGTATTTCTTAGAATAATTTCAAATGTCACATCTATTTATAGTTATTCCATTGTTGTAGGTAGGAGGATGTTGCATAATAGTAAAACAAATAATACAAGTGTAGATGAGGAGATTTAAGCAAAGATATGCTTCTCCTTGAAAACATTCTCATAATTATAAGGAGTTAATTATTTGTGCATTTATCGAAGGTCTGTAAACTCCATAAAAGCAAGATATCTGTGTTTTTATTTGTATATTTATAATGTCTAACTCTGTGTATGGCACACCCATTTACCAAATAAGTGAGTTTTTTATTAAGAGAGTAGCTGAGTGTATAATTGAGCTAAATAAATGAATATAGTGTGGGAATAGTAAAGTGGACAAACTAAGCTTATACAAAAGAAGAAGTTATAATTGCAAAGTAGTGTTAAATAAAATAGATTGGATGATGGAAAACTAGATTTTTGTTGTCTTGAAGCCAAGCAAAGGGATTTCAGTTTGATTTGGTGGGGAGAGAGAGCCAGAAGAGAGAATGGCAAGAATGAATTGAGGGACAAAAGTGGAAATTATTAACAATGACCAATTTGGGGTATTTCATTGATTCCAATATTTTCTTCTCACAATTATTTTTGTAGACCTCATTGATTTCACTAGAGGAGAGGAGAGGTGAGAAGAGGAGAGGAGAGGTGAAAAGAGGAGAGGAGAGGAGTGGAGTGGAGTGGAGTGGAATAGAATTTAGAATAGAATAGAATAGAATAGAGGAAAAAGTAAGGAGCTGAGACGAGGCTTATCTGATTTATGATAAGAGGACAAGAAGAGGAATAGATGGCATAAAAGACTGGAAATCTAAAACTGATAGCCTGTGATGCCCAAATTATATTTGCACTGCTACAGCTGAAACTGGAGAATAGCCCGCTGTGTCAGGGGTCCCCAAGACCACCCTGAGGTTAGATGATATCCTAGAAGTGTTATACTCCTATTTACTGCCTATGAGAGGAAAAGAATGCAGATGAAAATGAGCAAAGGGAAAAGGTGCTGCGGCAAAGTCTGCAGGAAACCAGTTGTAAGTGTCCCCTTCTAGTTGAGTCATATAGATCACATTTAATTCTCCCAGCAATAATGTGTGACAACACACGCAAAATGTTTTCAACCTAGGAAGCTCTCCCTAGTCTAGATGTCCAGGACTTTTACTGAGGGTCAGCCCTGTAGGCATGCAGCACCAGTGGAACTGACCTCAGTTACTTAAGCTCCGGAACACCAAAGAAAAAGCAGGTGCTCACCATATATAATATTGTTAGCAAAAACTATCTGGAAATACTAGATACTGTGGTTCAAAGCCTTAGGCTTACAAAAGCACTCATCAAATAAAACACTTCAGGAGCTCAGTTTCCAGGAGTTAAGTCAAAAGCCAGCCCTGAAAACAGGCCTTTTTTGGGATATGCACTTTGAGCAACCTGGGTCTGCAGAGTTGACATTTCCTGTGTATTCACGTTTTTAAACTGTCCAAAATTCTTACTGAACATAATTGTGTGTGCAATCCAAAAGAAAGAAGAGAAAAACTGAAGACAGAAAAGATCCAGTTCACCCCTAACCTCTGTTTTAGAAGCAAAGTATAGGAAATCAGGATTAAGACACCAATACTACCCCAAAACAGCAAATAATTCCAAGTAATTACCTCCAGCTTTGCAAATAAAAGGAAAATAATTTAGCAAAATTCAGTTCAAATTTTATTTAAATGAAAATGCAAGGCATCTAATGTATACTTGGTACTGACTATCATTTATGTGTTCAGCCTATGCCTCAATCATGACAAAACAGGAGTTATAAAGTATTATTTCAGCTTCAATGGATGCTGTATTTATAACACCCTAGGCCAATAGCAGAAGGTGAATTAAGAAAAGAAGATGGTAAATACACTATTATTTTTAAGCATTTTATTGTCATTTCAACCCACTAATGTCCCTAAGCATTTTAATACAATTTCAGATTACCTTCTGCTACTTCAGTTAAAATCAAAATGCATAACCCAGTAGAAAATACTCAATTTATTTTCTAATATATAATTATGGAAATATAGATTTATATAAGGTCAGCTTCATGAATATGTCCAAAGAGTGCCTTTAATTTGTGAAGTTACAGGTAAATTGACATGATTCTTCCTTAAGAGTCTGAGAAAAGTTAAAATTTAAAAATATCTTGGAGGCTAAAATACAACTCTAAGTCCCATGTGGTAATCTAAACATATCCAGGGCCACATATGATATTACACAACCTACAAAAATCAGTTATCCCCATGATCGACCTTCATACTGACCCTCTTCTCTTTTGGAGGTAGGCATATCTGAAGATGGTGCATAGCCTTAGCTATGTACCATCTGGTGAAACTGGTGATATGACACATGCACCAGCCTACGTTTACAACTCACAATCATTTATACCAAAATTTTTCTACCTAGGAAAGTAATGGTGTTTTTGTTACATTCTTGCTCTGATGATAGCATCATATGAAAAAATGCCATAGGCCAGGCACCATGGCTTTCACATGTAATCTCAGCAGTTTGGAAGGGCCAGATGGGAGGACCACTTGGGTCCAGGATTTTGAGACCAGTCTAGGCAATATAGTGAGACACAGTCTTTACCAAAAAAAAAAAAAAAAAAATAGCCAGTGTGATGGCACATGCCTGTAGTCCCAGCTATAGGGGTTCACTTGAGCTCAGGAGTTTGAGGCTGCAGTAAGCTATGATTGCACCACTGCACTCCAGCCTGGGCAACAGAGTGAGACTTTCAAAAAAAGAAAAAGAAAGTAATTATAAGTAAAAATGTAATTTCCTACAGAGCATCTAATTAAGAATTATTGAAAAACACATCTTGCCCCAAATCATCTCTTTCACTGGGGTGGTATTGTGCCTTAAACTGCCCTGTATTGATCCACTGACTTCTAGCTATTCCACCTTTTATAATCTGAATAGGAATCTGTAAGTTGGTATTCCTTAGTGTATAAGGTACAATGGTTTTATTTTTTGTTAATTTCTCTGAGTGGTTATGAACATGGTAGCAAGTTATAAAATGCCAAGGGTATCAGCATATGTTCTTGGTTTATCATATTAAGTAAAACAAGAAGTTAAGAAAAAGATTTGTCAAGATCCTTGGCTCTAACTTATAAAGTAACCTACTTTCTACGAAGACTTTCACCAACACATTCCTCCAATGTATAGTCTTTGTTTTCTCATTGGGCAAAGAGAAGTGCAGGATTTATGAGGCTGATGCTGAAGCAAATTCAGATATAATGCACACCTTTCCATTTTTGATGTTAGTTCAAAATACAAGAAAACTTAAGGGCAACTCTAACGGGTGGCCACATAAGATAGGCACTATAATTTTCTACCACTCTCCTGTTTCTCTGCTTTGAGATCAATCATTGATAGTAGAGAGGCCTCATTTATGAAGAACGCTTCAGAAATGAAACCTCGGAATGTTTATATGAAGTGAAATGATAAGTGAGACAAGCCAAAGGTTTCACTCTTTAAATTAAAACAGATAATTTGAGGAAGTTTGATAATATTTCATGATTTGTGAAAATGTACCTAATTATCATTTTAAATTTTTGTTTTAAAAATATACTTTATGGATATTAGTTTTGCTTTGCATGCTTTCATTTAATAAAAGTTTAGTTTTACTTAAAAGATAAAGGCAAAAAGAGGTGTTTTACATAAACATGACTATGACTGAAACGTGGATACTTTATATATGCGCTAATATAAATAAGGTGTTTCTTGTCACTTGTTGGCATCCCTGTATTATTTACTCCAAGCCAAATGTCATCTGAAATCACAGCCCACCAATACTACCTGCTTCAACCACCACTGTCATTTATTGAGCACTACTATATACTAGCACTTCAGTAAGTGCTCTGCATGTATTGTCTTATTTAATACTTAGAACAATCTATGATGAGCATATTGTCCCTATATTGAGAAAAACTAGAATTCAGTGGAGCTAATAAAAATGCTTAAGGCCATTTAAAGAGCAAGATGGTGGAAGAGGACTCTCCAGTACTCAATTTGCCGCCACCCAAAAAAGCCACATCAGCTTGAACAACTATCCACACAGGAAAATACTTTCACAAAAAGTGTGAGATTACAGCACTTGAGTATAGCACAGAAATAAGAGAAGATGCATAGAGAAGGATAGGAAGAACACTTTTACGTTATCCATGTTACGCTCCCCAGACTCCAAGTGGCACAGCTCAGAGAGAAGGTACTCTCTGCTTGGGGATGGAGAGGAAACTGAGCACCAGGCTTTGCCTCAGATCCCAACACTGGGTCTATCCCACAGCCCCAGGCTTCAGGCTGGTATCCACAGAGCCTCCAAGCCTGCCCCACCACCAGAACTGATCTCAATCCCCCTGGCTTTGGACCCACCCCTATCCCAGGCCAACCCCTGCAGACTTAGATTCCAAGCTCTTTCCCATGACCAGGTTGGCTCCAGTGGACTATCCCAACACCTGGGGCGGGGAGGAAGTGACTAAAGTCATTGCCTAACATAGATGACAGAGAATGGATATAAACAGGTATGTCTCTGAAGACTGTGCTCTGAGCCATTATATAGTTTCTTCTCATGCACTTTACTTGTGGCTTTCACTTTATAATTGCTACATCTAAGTCATAACTTTATAAAGCATAAAGATGACATGGGGATTTCTATTTATGTTCAGCAGATAAAGAAAATGAGGCTCAAAGGACTCAAGTAGCAAACCCAGAAGTATGCAATGTGAGAATATTAGGGAAACTATTGCAAGCAACTTCTCCTGATCCCAAGTCTGGGGCTTTCCCATTTGCTCTACCACTCCAGTATACTATTTCCTCCAGTATACAATGCACTGCTCTAAATAGAAGCATCATTCCAATGGGGTTTTCCATTCCCATCACTTTCCATCCCTGATTGAAACCAAAATGCCATTGGTCAAAAAATTTCACAAAATACTGTAACAAATGTGGTGATGGAAGGACCCATTCTTTGTTCTCAAGTTACACAGGTAAAGGAACACATTTAAGAAAATAAAATTTAATGACTGCTATATTGGGTAAACACCAGAAAATAGTTGTAAAAGCACAGAGAAAAGGATAATTAGGTTTCCATCTGGCAGGAGGTGACATAAGAGATTACTCTCACAGACTAAGTAAGTTTTCTTTAGGAAAAAAAAAGAGTGAAGGAAAATTGAGTAAAGGAAGAATCAGTAAGGTGTGAAATGCTCATAGGTATAATATATGAATAAAACAATGAGTGGTACAATTTGCTAGGAAAGAGTATAGGAATTTGGGACAATCAAGTAAAAAATATGAAAGTATACATTAGAGAACCTAAATAATTTCTTTCTTGTTGTTACCTCAGTGGATGACGGTTATAGAATATACAAATATCCCTCAGGTGAGAAAATATTCCACATGTTTCACAATTATAGTATATTGAATTTTCATCCAAATTCAGCAGTTTGGTAAAAGAATGAAAAAATTAAAAGGCAGCTATTGCACTTTCACTTTTTATAATTTCATAAGGTTTGTGTTTAGTAATGAACTTGGTGAGTATAGCCCACAAGATTAAAAAATTGGATTGCCAAGAATATTTTATATGCAATAAATAAAATTATCAGTGATAACAAATTTGTTGTGTACTATTACCTGTTAATCAATCCATTAAGGTGAATGGGAAAATAGAGTATTGAGAAAAGGGAGAATAAAGGGGCAGACATAAGAAAAAATGTGTGGGTTTAATGGAGGCAAAAGAACGAGAATGGAAAAAAAATTCAGTAATTAGGCATGACCTAATTACTGCCCACTAAGGCAGAACTAATATGAAACATTGGCATGTAGTACAACACGTGTTTTCCAGGTCTAGTTTAAGATACTGATCCCTATATGAACATGAAAATGGGCATTAATTTCCACTGCACAGACAGGAAGTGCCAGTAAAATTACAAATGGTAACATTCCATTTAATGAACTTTCACTTTTTAAAAAGTTCCTCACAAAATTAAATAGAACATTTAAAAAATCTTAGCTCCTCTACTACCACACTGTCTCCTACTGCAGACATTACTTGTTATCAGGGAAGTGGGGTGTGTGTGTGTGTGTGTGTGTGTGTGTGTGCAAAGTCTATTGCATCTAGATAGCAGTGCTATTTAAATTCAGAAGTATCACACATCATTTAATAATTTACAGTCCATGTGGAAGACTGTATCATGTATTATTTATGGGAGCAAATGCTCAGGGCCACAACAATGCAGGCTATATTTCTCAAGCTCGCATTATTACCTTTTAGGTCACTCAGAATAAAAAGTTCTGAGTTGCCACTTAGGAAAGTCACTATCTATACCAGTCATCAGAAGAAACATCACTGATTAATTGCAATCTCTGGAATGAGGTCAATAACAAAACTAGCAGGGTCGGGGGCACAGGGGAGACAGCCAATTATCTCACTAGAAATACTCTTGAGTTATTCACCTTGTCTTTAAGTAGGGCTGAGCCTGAGTCCCTACGAAAAGAAGTCATCTGTTTAGGGGCCAAGAAGCCATCCTTCCCCCTGCCAAAAAAAAAAAAAAAATCATCTAGCTCACTGAAGCCTGTGAGGGAGGTCCTACAATCACATCTTCATTTGTTGGTGTAAGCAACATAATGAGTGTGGGGTAACACAGAGATGCCACTCTCCACTTCAGGACTGAGTTGCTTATTTTCCAAGCTTCTGGAGACGTTGGCAGCATAAAAATGTCAACCAAGTCCCTCTCTGGTAACTGTACTCTGCAAAAGAAAGCTGACTTGGCCAGGGTTACACCACCTTTATGAGAAGCAGCCTACATCCACTGATGGGTCAATGTAGGAATTAAAGGGCTTG
Organism: Homo sapiens; assembly: GCF_000001405.40. Classification (NCBI taxonomy): domain Eukaryota; kingdom Metazoa; phylum Chordata; class Mammalia; order Primates; family Hominidae; genus Homo; species Homo sapiens. The sequence continues at coordinate 81,422,671 of NC_000002.12, read as the reverse complement.
CTCCCTTGCTTTAAGTAAAGAATTTTGTAGGTGTGTTCCACTCCAGAATTCCCCACAGAACCATCTGAAGGATTTGTGGTGACTTCATCACGGTTCAACATCCCTCTGCTCTGTCCTACTTCTTTCATTCTCCTACTGTTGTTGATCCCAGAAGCATTCCTTACTTAATATTTTTTTCACACAAATCTCAGCTTCAGGTTTTTCTTAGAGAAATTTACCTTAGACAGGTGATGCCAAAAATCACTGAGGAAGCCTACTTGAAAGCGCAAATTTGGAGCTAGATTAACCACCATACTGCAAGCAATGAAAACTCCATCACTGGTAGAATGTGTAACACTGTTAGCGTCTTGCATGCTCTGGCAATGTAATCATTAAGCTTTCCATTGCGCTAAAGTAATATTGGGCATATACACTAATGGGGGCATATTTCAGGTGTTTAAGAAATTCTGGGGAAGTAATTATCATTAGGAAAGTGGAGTTGAATGGTTCTTACTAGGACTTACGATGTATTCGATAAAGAAAAGGCTAAGGGTAGTTAGTCACCAATTAAAAGCTAAGAGCGAAAACTAGAGGGCCTCCTTGGTTAGTTCTACTGAAATTCTCTTTTACCGCAGTTGATGAGCAGACAAAACACAGAATCAAGCCCAGGATTTAAGAATAATAGTAGCAGCAAAACTATCAAGAGGGTTGAATTCTCAAACTTGGAATGAATGCCTACCTTACTAAAACCAGGGTTCTGATTATGTAAATTGGGACTCAAAGGCATATTATAGGGTTATCTGGGTAAATGCAATTCAAACTATTGAATGCTCAGATACTTGTGAAGACTCTAGGCCCATATTAAAGGCCCACTACTCTCTGTTAATTGCTAGAGTGCCTTTCTTGCTTGAAATCAATGTATAGGTTGCTGTTTTGCAAGAAACTATAAACCCCCATTAGAATTTACCCACACTAACACCCTTCAGTCTGCAAGTTCAATAATCGAAACTAAATTAGAAGATAACCAAGCTGGAAAGTGCAGGGTGTACCATAAGTAGGAGATTATACCTAGAATTTGCTGCTGGGCTCAGCCAACATTTACTGTTAGAATTAGGGTTAGATACTGAGGAGGCTGGACTAAGGGGAGAAGATAAGAGAATGCAAAATTGAAAGAAGAAGAGTTTGTGGATATGAGAGCACTCTCTCATAATACAGGATTTAACATCTTGGCAATGTGCTAGGAAATGAAATTGACATACTGTTTTTGGAAGTTTGAGAAAGGTGATACCCAAACAAAGTAAAATTGAAATGCCAAAACTGATATGGCATAAAATGGAAAAAATGGAAGTAGGAATGCTGGTATGGATAAACAACATAAGACTGGAAAACCCACCAGTTGAGTATATCCCATGAGAGGGACTAGAGAATACTCATTTTACCCCAGTGCTGATGAAAAGTATGCACACATTCCTGAGAAGCTCAGTGGCCACTTTCTACATTTCCATACTGATGATAAGAAATGCTACTCAAACATTTGGAGCATAATTGGCAATAAAGATGACTGTGAAAAACAGGAAACAAGTGGTAGACAGAAGGCTGACTGATCATAATAATTAGGATTATTTGAGAGGTAACTGGAGAAGATCTGATATAATCTGATAAATATTTGAGAGGCCTATAAAGATGCTTAAAAATACTTAAAGTTCCTAGAAAGTGGTTCTCAACCAGGAAAAAGTTTTCTAAATTGCACAAGGTCTAGGAATATTGCTGGCTGTCACTTTGGCAGAATGATGCTGCTGGCATCAGAATAGTAGAGGCCAAAGTTGCTGCTAAGCATCACACAATACACAGAATAGCCCCCACAAGAAAGAAATATGCAAACAATAATATCCATGTATCTGAGGTTGAGAAACACCAAGGTAGGGATGAGGTGGATAGAATCAAAGAAGTCAAATATAGTTATTCAGGGGCTAAAGGCAACCATACGCAAACAAGTCACAATTTCTGAATTAATTTCTGTTTAGGGACAGTTTTTCAGATCCAGTACCAATTGACTACGGTAGACAATGAGTATTTGGGGGGAATGATGTTACAATAATTCCCATAGTACTTCCTCAAATGGATCTATTGCTGATATGATTTGACTGTGTCTCCACCCAAATCTCACCTTGAATTGTAATAACCGCCATGTTTCAAGGGTGGGAGCAGGTGGAGATAATTGAATCATGGGCGGGGGGGTGGGGGGGTGGCGATTTCCCCCATACTGTTCTTGTGGCAGTGAATAAGTCTCATGAGCTCTGATGGTTTTATAAATGGGAGTTCACCTTCCCAAGCTCTCTTGCCTGCTGCCATGTAAGATGTGACTTTGCTCTTCATTTGCCTTCTGCCATGATTGCAAAGCCTCCTCAGCCATGTGGAACTGTGAGCCCATTAAACCTCTCTCCGTTATAAATTACCCAGTCTTGGGTATATCTTTATTAGCAGTATTGAGAACAGAATAATACAATTGCCACTTACTTAGGGAAGGGCATACCAGGAAACATAAATACACAAACATTTTGAGGATGACTGGACACAGAAATTAGGCTGATACTCTATTCAGGGTCCAAAATAATCATTAGGCTCTCTAATGGGAAAAACATAAGGGAACAGATAATAAACGAAGTTGTGACACATGCTGTGGCCCTCAGTGTGTCTTCTCTATCCACAAACTTAACTGGCAGTTATTTTTCCATGTACACAAAAGTATATTGAAAATGAACTATAAAAAATTTGGTAGAACTCAAAAATTGGTCACTGTCCTGTATAACAGCTGCTGTAGAAATGGAAGCTGTGTAACTGCCTCTCTTCGTTGCCAGTCAGATGGTAAATCAGAAGCAATATTCTATCCTGGAGGGAATAGTAGAAATTATATCTACCTGTAAAGCATAAGGGAAGCTTCTGGCCAAGATGGTGTAGCAGAAACTTTACATGTGAAGCAAACTCAAAATCGGGGGGGAAATGATATGAAACAACAATCTTCAAAACAAGATATATCAGGAAACAAAGAACAGTGTTCCCTGAGATATGGGAAATAAAAGAGAAAGCCCTAAAATTGTCCAAGTGCATTGCCTTAAGAGAGTTTCCAGGACACAGCGCAAGAAAACAGAATCTAAAAAGAGTCTGGGAGACTCTCTGAGTCGAGAATATGGAAGTGGAATCCAGCGAGACGAAGGAGGATAGACTTTGTAACAGAAAGAGGAGCATGGAGAGATAATTCTAGTGATATTCAGAGCGAGAAGTCCATAGACCTGCAGAGGGTCCTTCTTGAGTATTGGGCAGAATAATGATCAACACAAGGCAGAACTGTGGAGGATGCCCAGAAGCAGAGGCTAGAGAGGCAAGCTTGCCATGAGTCGTCCCAGAAAACTCTTGAGGAAGGAGCAGAAGAGGAGTGAAACCCCTGAAGAAACAATATAGAAATTGAAGGAGACAGAGGAGATGGTAATCAAGAAACAGGAGTTTCTGGAGCAGACAATTCAACATGAATTGTTCATTAGCAGCATTGAGAACAGACTTTCAAAGAACCATGGTTCCAAGAATAAGAGAGCTGCTCTGCAGGCTTTACAGGGGAAAAAAAGATGGGAACAGCAGCTGGCACAAACTGATAGAACATCATCCACCCTAGAGTTTCAGCATGAAGTCATTGAGAATGCCACTACCAATGCAAAAATGTTTTGTACTTTGTAGTTAGCTGCCTGAGGCATGGTTAGCTGCCTACCAGGACCTGGACATTGGCAAGGTAGATGAACTGATGGATGACATCACAGAATAGCAGGAGGTGGCCCAGCAGATCTCAGATGCCATTTCTTGACCTGTGGGTTTTGAAGAAGATGTGGGTGATCATGAACTGTTGGAGGAACTAGAGAAGCTGGAGGAGGAATTGGCCCAAGAATTGTTAAATGTGGGGCAACAAGGAGGAAGTGAACCCCAGTCAAATGGCTAGTGTATCCTCCACACTATCTGCCTTCCTGGGAGGGTCGGCTCCCAAAGCAGATGAAGACAAAGAAGCACAAAAGGAGTGGCTGCGTGGGAATCCCGATAAGTCTGGGCTGGTCTTGTTGTTCCCTTTTCCTTAAGTGCCAAGTGCTGAACAAAAGGAGTATAACTTTTGGAGGAAATCCTGCTGAGGCTGGTAGTATGACCCTCCCAGAGAAAAGGGTCTGTTGCCTTTTTAGCCCTGGCTCAATTCTGAAGAGGAAACTTGCTGTAGGAGGAGGACCTGAGCTCCTTTCTATTTAAAAGCAGTTGCAATATAAACATATGCATAAAAGAAAATACCTGAGACCTTGGAAAGAGCCACCAGGAAAGATAGAGGGAATAGTATCCAATACTCACATATGGTGCCCATCACCCAGAATTGCAAACTTTATATTCCTTGGGATACTGAAGAAACTAATCAGAAGCTTTCTAAGTAATAACACAGCTAGTAATGGATCTAAAAAAAAAAACTCAAAAGGATCAAATGTCTTCCAAATAACTATATCCCAAAACAAACCACAATGATATTTATAGGAATATAAAAATATCCATCAACCAAAGACATAAAATTTCAAATTTCTGACATTAAAAGAATGCTAGGCATGCAAAAAGATAGAAAAATGTGATACATAAGAAGTAGATAATTATTATATCAACATCAACCTACAACAGACACAATTGTTCAAATTGGCAGACACTAAGAAAGGCAAAATGCATACCTAGAGGAAGACCTGGTGAACTCACTCCTCCCTATCCCTGTCTTTAAAAAGAGAGGAAAAAAGATAGAAGGAAGTATGTCTAGGACAGTTTCACCTAGACATTAAGGGAGGTACTAGAGGCACTAGGTGTCCTGATTGAGTCTATTCATAGTCTCATGTATCTATCATCATAGAAAGAGGCCAGATCCAATATTTCACTTCAGGCTTTATATGGGCAAAGGGAAACTTTTTTTTACTTTCTGAAGGTTTGCTAACAAAAGGTAGATCAATAGATAGGTATACAAAGTTTATTAATGTGCACCCGTATGCATAGGGGGGTCATGCAAAATATTAAGTCAAAGAGGAACCAGATGTTTGATGTTTAAATATTCTCCTCATAGGAGAGAGATCCATGGACCTGGGAGGTGGAAGGCAAATTTCATGGCAAGAGGTAGAGCTGCACAAAAACAAAGCTTGACTTATTATACAAAGTTCCTCAGGTAATCTTTTGGAGCTTCCCTTAGAATAGATGAAAAGTCTTTCTGGCATAGCGGTGACTCCCAGTCTCTTTTCTTCTATGGTTGATCTTTCCTGATTATTCAATAAGATCCTAAGGGAGGTGATTTAAGGCAATTGCATTTATTTTGGAAAGAATCTTTCTTGATCAGATAAGAAAATTCCAGAGAGAGTCCCTCTCTATCAGGAGAACAAGAGAAGTCTGTAGGACCTTGATTCTGAGGCAGCTTCCAAGGCCTCTCAACATGTCAAAATGCCAGTTATAAGGGTATCACTTTCTGAGCCCCAACTGCTTAAATGTAGAAGCAGGACAATCAAACTTATTGGTCAGCTTTGGTTTTTGTCCACTGATGAATAACTAGTCTAGGAATACAATCTCACTCTATCATTCTTCCCAAATTATTTGCCACTGTAGTCCGTATACTTAGCCTGGGATAACTGATGGCAGATTACTTATTTGCAATGCTTTTAGAAATTTTTAAGTCTGCTGTCCAAATATACACTAATTATAACACAACTTTCTCTAATTCTATATATTTATGTATGTTATACATAAATATGTGTGTGTATGTGTGTGTGTATATATATACACACACATTATCTCACACATATATATGTATATATCACACATATACACACATATATATCTCACACATTACTGTTAGAATCTGCTTATTAGAATCTTCTGCACTTTCTTGAAATAGACTGAAATTTGTTTCTTTGTCTACCCTAGAGCTATTTGTGGCTAGCCAGGGTAACACTGGAAGTGGTTCTCGTTGGGTATTTTATACCTAAAATTCTTCATAGTTACTGTGGTCTCTGGCTTTTAACACATACCTAAATAAGAACACAGTTCTCAAAAAAAAATGAACATAAATATAGAAAAAAATTAACAAATAATTATCTGTATTTGGAATCAGCTAAATGACACATTTTACATCTCTGCATTTAGACATTTTCAGACACCATCAGATTATAGCAGTCTAAAAATGAGAAGCAACTTGCTCAGAAGAAACGTGAGGTTCTGAAGACATAAAATACAAAGAAAAAAGTCATTCTATTGTAGAGTTAAAGAGGTCAAAATTTAACACTTTCATTCTTCAGGTTAGAAAATAATTTAAATGACCAATTGAAAGTAATGCACCCAGCCAGCACAGGCTGGAAGTCAGCAGTCTTCTTCTCAGTCTAGTTTAACTTTATCCTTACCTGTGTGGCTTATTCTTATATGGCTCCCAGCCTTTATTTATTTTATGGACTTATTCTCATATGGCTCCTGGGCCTTTATTTATTGTATGGACCTGTAGTGCTTTTCCTCTTTTCAATTAATTACTTTATAATTTCACCAAACTTAAATTCCATTTGAATTTTTACCCCTTCCAAGAAGTCATTCACCATCATTTCATCCCAGTCCCATACTTATTCCTTGTTTCTCTGAGTTCTTCTTGGTAGCATTAGGCAATTAATTACTCTCTAGCTGTGACATCTAGCTACATTTATCTCCATGTCTAAGGAGAACTCTCTATCTCAAATTCCCTTCCTTAACCTCCCATAGCTAAGATTCTCCAAAATTAAAATTTTAAATGTCAACAAAGGTTACTGATCCAGTGATACAGTTTTTTTGGATCTCTTTGTCATTCATACCCATTTTTAATTTTTACATTTTTGGTTTATTTCCTCTACCTGTAATTATTCAAGGCTCTTCTTCCTTTGGCTGTACCTAAAATGAATATATTCTTGAATAAACCATGCACAAAAAATGGGGATAGTTTATTACTGCAGCATAATTCTGCTTTCCTGACTGGTACAGCAGTTGTGAATATCTCATTCAGTAATGAAGAATATAGGAGTTGATATCTATTGGAGAGACTACAGGGGGGATCTCTAATACCTGTTATTGGAATAAAAAGAGTAAATCAATTTTTAAACTAACTCTATTTGATTACAAAGTGCACTGGAGTGTAGACGATCTAAGATTGGCTTAAGCAGATCTTTCTCAATTATTGGAAAAACAGTTCCTGCCAATGCTCGGCTTTTAAGATATCTTAATATCAAGGGGCCTGAGCAAATTTGTCATCCATTTGATTAACAAATGAGATGACAATGCCTTTCATCTGCTATGTGGTGACCAAGAAATCTTAAATATCAATATCCAATAGTGTCTTCCCAGTTTCACTGACCATTCTTGGCAGGGTGGAATGGGGATGGAATTGCCTTCATACTTTTAAAGGCAAAAGTATAAACAATATTTCCTGGAGAGTAGAAATATGAGAGAAACTAAGAGAAATGTTATCACACTTTGAAACCTCAAAGCACAGGGTAAATCTGTTATTTTATGTAACTTTCATCTTCAGGATTTGAGATAATCAAAGGCAATATCAAAGGAATACTATGGTTTATGCACCAGATTTACCACCTCGGAAGCTATAAAGCATATCTTTAAGAGGTAGGTAAGATTTTTTTAATGTTTAATTATTCATTGATGCATTGTAATGTAGAAGTTAAGACTTGGGGTTCTGATATCAGACAACCTAGGTTTTAATGTCTGTTTCACTATTTCTGTGCATCTCTGAGCATGTTACTTGGCCAAAACTCATTTGTTTCCTTTGAAAAACCAGAATTTAAAAAGGACCTGTCCCATGGGGTTGGGGTGGAGATTGCACAAGCATGTAAACTCACTGCCACACAAAAAATATGCAGAATTATTTCTGATTATCTATAATTTGCTTACTCCTCCCTCCTTTGGTTTTTCCCTCAGGGGTGTAAATTTAAAGTCCTTAAGTAGAAACTGTCAATGTTTGAGACCATCAAGAAAATTGGTAACTGAGGGGGTTACCTTTAAGTCTGCCCCTGGAATTTGTTTTACTCAGAGGCAGAGAGGAAACTGAAGATGTGATAGTATCTACTATATGAGAAGAAAGCAAGCAGAGTATATGTGAACTGAGATGAAACATAATGAAAAATTAGGAGCCTATGTAAACCTGAAAAGGGTACTTGGTGTAGCATCTTTAGAAGTTCCAAGTGGTGCCCCATTGAGCATATGCCTGTTTCTAGTCCTAGAATTGCAGTACCATGGGGAATGTGTAAATGCTTTAAAAGAACTAAGTGATGCACGCAGTGATAACTGAAGTAAACTTGTCAAGCTATAACTTGATTTTTCATATCAATTTATTTCATTTAAATGTTAGATTTTACTTCTTTAATTAGCAAATGTCTTAAACCATACCTAATATTTAGGATTAAATTGAGGTCTTCAAATTAAAAAAAAGTGTACATAGCTATCAAATCATGTGAACTATAGAGCACTCTAAAGCATTTTTGTCTTAATTTTTTCTATTATCAAACAAAATTTCAGCTTTGGTATGCAATATTTGCAAAAATAATGCTTGCATTTTTATGTTAATATACAGCTGGAAAAGAGTACATAGCAATTATGTGATGACTAAAAGGCCCCAAAGCATAATAGTGATGTTTTGAACAATTTAATCCATTAAAAGCTCAGTTAAGTGAATAAAGAAAATACTTTTAACATATGGTTGTAGTAAAAAGTGGTAAACATTTTAGTATAATGGAATATTTTTGAGTAATTTCACCTCTTAAACCAATGTTTTCCAAAAATGGAATGAGAGACATTTAAATCATCAGAACTCTCGTTATTATTAACATTTCATCTAATCTCCATCATACAGTTTTTAAAGTTTTCTACAGTCTTGTTTCCTCTGACCTTTATATTCATACGATTTTCTACTCTCTGAAGGAGTCTATAAAGGCAGATCCATCATCATCTTCCAAGTTCAGCAGCCTCATTTTTACTTTCCCATGTGATATGGTTTGGACATGTGTCCCCTCCAAATCTCATGTTGAAATGTGACCCCCAGTATTGGAGGTGGGGCCTGGTGGGAGACGTTTGGGTCATGGGGATGGGTTCCTCATGAATACCTTGGTGCTGTGCTCACTATAGTGAGTGAGTTCTCATGATACCTGGTTGTATAAAAGCATATGTCACCTCCCCCTTCTCTCTCTTACTCCCACTCTCACCATGTGTTATGCGTGCTCTCCCTTTGCCTTCTGCCATGGTGGTAAGATTCCTGAGGTTGCATCAGAAGCCAAGCAGATGCCAACACCAAGCTTTCCGTACAGCATGCAGAACTGTGAGCCAATTAAACATCTTTTCTTTATAAATTACCTAGCCAGGTATTTATAGTGATGCAAGGATTGCCTAAGACATCATCTTTCTTTCAGAATTGCCCATAGGACACTCACTCTCTCTTCAAACCCACCTTTTCCCTGATGTTCAACTCCACACTCTCTTGTTACTAATGCATATTTATTAACTTTTGTGTTTCACATACTGTCCTAAATACTGAAGCATCACAAAGTCATTGGTACTAATCTGCTCACAATCTAGTGGGAGAACATTTTTAAATGAGCAATTGAAATAAATTATGATAAGAAGTATGTATTAGTCACAGCATTTGTATAAAGGAAAGAGTGATTCACTAAACAGAGGTCAAAGTCTGTTGAAGTTATTGAAGTGAAAGCTTGACTGTGTGAGTGATATGCAGTGATTGTGTGGATGGTGGACTATGATTCCCCAGATAGGGGAAGGGAATCTTAGGAAGAGGGAAGAAGCTGTGTAAAACCATGAAGGATTGAAACAATTCGGCTATCACGAGTAGGAATGGTGTGACATAATGCATAATGGATAATGTATTAATTGGTATCCATTCAAAAATAATTCACCGAGGATTTCACCATAGTAACAGTATAAAAAAGGAAACTTATTAGGAGGCATTGTTAGGGAGGTAAGTTGGGGTCAGATCCTGAAGGGCTGTGCCATGTACTGACAAAACAGAGTGCTCAGATTGTATCCTGTTCTTGGTGAGGTATCAATTTGAGGAGTAATTGCTGTAGATATATCACTCTGCCATTCCATAACAGATGTAAAATGATGGGGTAAATAGTTGTTCTACCAAATGAATTAAATAACACCTCTGACCTACTCTCTCACCGATAATGCCACGCCCGCCCTTGCTACGTGCCAGATCATTCTAACAACAGACCATCTTGGATGAAGGTTACAATCTGGATTCTCTATTTGCATGTCTGAGTTACTGTGAACTTTAGAAGAAAAATACCATTTTCATTTACTGTTCTAAGAGCTTCAGTACAACCCACCAATTGCTTTTTGTTTTTTTCTGACTCCTCATAATTGCTATTTTAAAACTTGAATATTCTCTAACAGTCTCTTACTCAAGCACATTCTCTCTTTCCCAGAAGACAGAAGTCAACCTTCCTTTCATTTCTTGTAGGGGTGTTAGAGCTTCCATGAATAATTCCTCTAAACAACCCCTCTCTCCTACCAAGATTAAACTTCATTCTATATTCTTAACTATCTTTCCCTTCTTTTCTCAAAGTTCAGAGAAGAGATGTTAGGGAATTCTACCTACTTCTCCTTTGTGATGGAAACATGTTCACTTGCGTCCTTAACTCCTTTCCCCCACTTCCTCTTGGACTTCTCTCTCATGCTCACTTAAGCTGTTTCCTGTATCATATTGACAACAAATATACATCTCCTTTCTATTCCCTAACGCAATGAAAATATTGCATACAATATATGCTCAGTTACATAGCCAATTTAGGACATCTAACATGACTCCTAAGTAATTCTCTATCATGCATCTTTAATCATTTACTAAGTCCAGTAAATGCTATTTCTTTAATAATGCTCTAAAACATCACATCTTAACCCTTGCCACTGTCTGTACTTATTTGAGACAATTATCACTTTTCAATCAAATTATTACAAAACTCTACAAATTGTTCTTTCTGTCTTTAGTTTGGACCATTTCGTAATCTTAACCTCCAGGAATTTCTTTTTTTTTGTATTTTTATTGGTTTGAGACTGAGTCTCGCTCTGTCGCCCAGGCTGGAGTGCAGTAGCGCAATCTCGGCTCACTGCAAGCTCCGCCTCCCGGGTTCACGCCATTCTCCTGCCTCACCCTCCCAAGTAGCTGGGACTATAGGCGCCGCCAACATGCCCGGCTAATTTTTTGTATTTTTAGTGCTGACCTCGTGATCCGCCCGTCTCGGCCACCCAAAGTGCTAGGATTACAGGCGTGAGCCACCGCGCCCGGCCTCACCTCCAGGAATCTCTTAAAAATTTATATCGAATCAGTTTCTCCCCCTCCTCCTCCTCCCACTAATTTAGAACTCATCAGTCCTTACTGCCCAAATACTCTGAGGCCAAAGTTGAAGAGATGGAAGAGATGGAATTGAAACTTAAATAAAAAGTGTACATTTTGTTTTGTTTTGTTCACAAATTGGTTTCTTTTAGTGACCTAGTAAACCTTTCTAAACATCTTCTATATGGTCACCCCAAACCAATTGAATTATTAATATTTGGGGGAGGAGTATTATTTTTTGTTCATTTTTGTTTTAAATAAGTGAATAAACAAAAGGAAAACTAAAAGTGGCCCTTATGAATTTGGGCCTTAAAAAATAACTAAATTATTTTGAAATGTGGCTGAAATAGCTACCAGTTTTTAATTGTGAAAAAGATTTTCAGTGTTTTTTGTTTGTGTTTGGTTAATTTTATCATTCTTATGGTACAATGGTTTGTAGGACTATTCCAGATACTTACAAATGAGCACGTACTTGTTTAGTTGTAGATCGTACCCCGAGTCTTATAGCTGACAGAATTTTGCAGAAAGCGACAAGTGTTGTACTTTCTTAAAAAATACTAAAAATGATCAAAATGAGATTTGTAGCCAAAGGGTGGAAAGTACAAAGGACAACACAAAATGGGCCCAGTATGCCAAAAGGATGAAAGAAGATAACGGTCAGTGTGAATTTACTCGACATTCTTTTGCTAAGTTCTGCAGCTAATGAGGGAAGTTTACTGCCAAGCTAGTAATCTCTTTTCCTGGTACAAATGCAAAAAATCCCAAATAAAGTTGCAGATCTAGGCATTTTACTAATCATTTTTTTTAGCTCATTATTTTTGGGGAATTTTAAATAGTGTGTCAAAATAAATGAAATGGGGGCACTGAAATAAAATCATGAAAGCAAAACTTTTAATTTTAAAACAGATTACTGAGGACATTCCAAAAATGAATTAAAATTATATGTGAGCCTGAATTTTTCTCCCTTCCTTATTTCTCCCTTCTTTTCTCTCCTGTTCCTTCACAGGCCTCTTCACCAGCTGAGGTCTTTCATTATCTATTATGTCCTATATATATTTCTGAAACTAATTATCCATAAGTACTTATCTGATTATTTCTAAAAGGAAAAGGAAAATTTCCCTCTGCAACCCTCCTCCACAGGCGTTACAGTTTTATGTATATATTTGGTGTGTTCCATATTCTTTCTATGCATTATTACATATATACATTTATAATTTTTAAACCACACACTAGGTCCCAATCAGCTTTGTTTTCTTAATTTAAAAGTTAATAAAAATGAATAATTAATTAACTATGACATAGTCTCACAATAAAATACAATACATTGAATTTTATTGTGAAGCTGTACTATATTTAAATGAACTAGTTATTTTCTGATTATACTTTTGAGTTGTTTCTAGTTAATTCTTAATATAAATCCTATTTTAATCTTTATATTTCTTTAAGACAAATTTTAATTGGTGAAATTGTAGTGTTAAAAAGGGCATATGCATTTAAAATATTGATAAACGTTAACGAATTGCCCCCCAAAATTAGCAAATTTATTATTTTATTGCCATTGTATGGAAGTGGCTATTTTTCCATATTCTTTTCTGAGCATCATCAAATGGTAAGCATTTTCAATCTTATCTATAAAAGCTATTATCTCACTGTAATTGTCAGTCCTATTTTCTTCTTTATTGAAAAGTTTTAACAAATTTTCTTATGCCAATTTGTCATTTGTAATAATTGTTTTCTATAAACTTCCATTTTTCAACCAGGCTACTGTTTTCTTTGAATATTTCAATGAAAATTTTGTGCTAAATAACTATCTGATTCATATTTGCATTGTCATTTTAATTTTTTAAATATTTGAGATATTTTTGTTATTGTAATTAATATTGTTATCTTTAAGCAAAAATGTATGTAATCAATCAGCCTTTTCTTTTGTGGATTTTAGATGTGATTTCTTAGAAAAATTTTTACTTCAAAAGCATGCACACTTCATTTGATTAACACATAGGTATATTCTTTTTATATTACCTTTATTTATTCATATAGAATGATTTGAGGTATGGAGTGAATAAGAAACCAGATTTACTTCCCCTAGATAGATGAGCAAATGGTTCTCAAAACCAATAATGGAACAATTCATTAATTCATTGATTTTTTTCATTTATATTTCTTCACATTATGTGCCATTCACTCCCAAAAGAACATTAAATACTTATGTTGTAGGTGGGAAATTATTTTCTTCCTGAAATTTATTAGACTGTTTCTTATGATTCATAATTAATCACAATTTTTATATTACTTTTAAGTTATTTTTAAAGAAGTTATCTATCTATATTGGCATAAACATATTTTTCTAAAATGTCCCAACACTTTGAGTGGCCGAGGCAGGAGGATTGCTTGAGGCGAGGAAATCAAGACCAGCCTGGGCAACAAGATGAGGATCCCAATCTACAAAAAATATTTTAAAATTAGCCAGACGGGCTGGGCGCAGTGGCTCACACCTGTGATCCCAGCACTTTGGGAGGCCGAGGCGGGCGGATCACGAGGTCAGGAGATCGAGACCATCCTGGCTAACACGGTGAAACCCCGTCTCTACTAGAAAAAAATACAAAAAATTAGCCAGGCGTGGCGGCGGGCGCCTGTAGTCCCAGCTACTCGGAAGGCTGAGGCAGGAGAATGGCGTGAACCTGGGAGGCGGAGCTTGCAGTGAGCCGAGATCGCGCCAATGCACTCCAGCCTGGGCGACAGAGCGAGACTCCGTCTCAAAAAAAAAAAAAAAAAAAAAAAAAAAAAATTAGCCAGACATAGTGCCACGTGCCTACAGTCCTAGCTATGCAGGAGGCTGAGGTGGGAGGGTCAGTTGAGTCCAGGAGTTCCAAGCTGCAGCGAGCTATGATTGAGCTGCTGCACTTCAGTCTGGGTGACAGAGCAAGACCATATCTCCAAAAAAAATGAAATTTCTATAAATGTCAGGAATAGTTCTTATATATTAAACATTTAGCATATGTTAAGGAAACCATTATTTTCAATTTTGAGTTATATTAATAGGCTTCCTTAAATTCTACTTTCATTTTGCCAAAATAAACATCAAAATGAATTATTCATTAATATGCATTTGATTTCACTTTCCAATCTTTTCTATATTATATTTTATATCATTGCTCAATAAATGATACCTGTAAAGTTTTTTTTTCAATCTTCATTATTTATTTTCATATCTGTTATGCTGGCTTAAAAATAGAAAATGTTCTTCATTTTAGGAGTAAATTAGGTAAAAATTGTTAGTGGGTTTTGTGTTTCTTTTTTGAGACAGGCTGTCATTCTGTTGCTCAGGCTAGAGTGTAGCTGCACAAACATGGTTCACTGCAGCCTTGAACTCCTGGGGTCAAGTGATCCTCCTGCCTCAGCCTCCCAAGTAACTGGGACTACAGGCATGCAACACTGCACACCCAGCTAATTAAAAAAATTTCGTGGGAGGGAAGAGATGGGGTCTCACTATGTTGCCTAGGCTGGTCCCAAATCCCTGAGCGCGAGCTATCCTCCCACCGGGGCCTCCCAAAGTGCTTGGGATTATAGGTATGAGCTACCACACCTGGCCATTAGTTTCTTAATAGGTGAAAGTAATTCACCTGTGAATCAATATGGGCATGTTGCATAAGGTGGAGTCTCGTCCTTAGATAATTGCCTCAAATTCTTCAAAGATGTTTTATAGGTGTGGCTTTTCCATCCCTTAATGAGGCATAACTAATGGTTTAATGACAAACAAAAATTTTATATTTTTGTCTTCTGTATATTCAGTTAATTTACTGTTAGATATCTGGATTTCTTTTCCCTTTTTTATGATTTATTAGGCTACCTAATGGTTGATCAATTTTGTGAATTTAAAATATCAGCTACTGCATTAGATTACCAGTTAACCTTTTGTTTCTTACCTAAGTCCTTGATATCTCTTGGGCACTTCATTCCTTTGCTTTGGTTTATTTTTATTTTCATCTTTAGTTTTTTAAAATAATAATTGTATGGTAATCAAAATTTATACCTGGTGGGATAAATGCAAAGATTTTTAAGGAGAGAATAGAGGAAGCAAAAGTTGAAGATGAATGAAAGTTACTTTAATGGTAAAGGGTATGGAAATTTATGGAGATGATTTTCTAGGGAAGAAACCACATAGAACAAATCTCAGTAGAGATAAAGACACCCTACGAACTCCAGAGTTCATTACAGAGACACACAGGTGCTGACATGAAAAATAGGGTAAGGACTGTCCTCAGTGCCACAGCTTTTCTACTGTTTGCTCAAGTGTGTTTTCTGTTCTTTTTCCTTCCTGAACTAATTCCCTTCCCAGTCATTCTAGAGAATATGATTATTTGACTGTGCTCACTAGGTACAATGAACTATGAAATATTTCAAGTGTGTGTTTTAAGACTAGGTGAATCAAACAGTACTACTTTCTATAACCAGCCAGTCTCTCAAAGGCGCAGGCTGTTTAGATTCAATTCTGTAGTTAATTTCCTTGTCAATGATTCATTTTAATTGGAACATAAGCTGCGTAGGTCTACATATCTCTGGCAAAATAGCAGAAACAAGTTTTAATTCCTATTATTATGGTAAGTATTTGAATAATTTATTAGGGAGTATGAGGTGTATGAACTAAACAAACAGGCATTTCATTTAAAAATTCAATAATTCATTTTTTTTAGCAAGGAGTAAGCATGAATAATTTGGGTCAGTATGATTTTTCTCTGGTATATTTTATATTATTTGTTCATTTTGAGTATCATTATGAATTAATGGTTCCTTACAAACTTTACTGGTTCTAGTTAGCTATAAATATTTATTATATTTAACATTTAAGTGGTCACTACTTGATCTTTCCATCAGGGCAACTTCTTAATGCTTTTTTAAAGCTACTGTAGGCATTTTTGAAAGCATCCTTTATTTGTAAAAACAAAATATTCTGGACTTATTTGGAGATTTTCTGACCCAGCCTTGGAATTCATGGATCAAATTGTGTTTTGTTCCATGAAAAAAGCCAGACTCAAAAATTAAATATTGTATTATTCCAGTCATGTAACATTCTAAAAAGGCAAAACTAAGGAATGGAAAATAGAGCAATGCTTGTTAGTTGTAGAGAAAGGATGGCTGACTATAAAAGGATACACAAGAGAATCTTTGTGGTAATGGAACAATTCTGTATGATACTGGAGTGCTGGATACATGGCTTTATGCATTTATCAAAATCTATAAAATTGTACATCCCTAAGGATAAACTTCAATGTATTAAAAAAAAACCCACCAAGTGCCTAGGATCCCAAAATAGAATGGAGACTATGATAAATGAATCTAACTGAATAAAAAACACAACATGACCTCACTGTATGGGGTGGAGATAAGGAGTTGAACGAATTAACACCAGAAAAGTGATGTTTAGACTGGAAACTTACCAGTTTCCAGTCTAAATTGGGAAGCCATGAGCATGTCTATCACCTGGTGTTTGGCTCCTGATACCATTATCCAATGAAAACAACAAGGGCTCCTTGTAGAAATGGTTGATTTTAGGGATGGGTCAGGTAACGCTCCAGATGAGCCTGAAGCAAGCTTTTAGTGCCAGAAGGCAAATAAGTGGTTACACAGCTGAAAACAAACAAACAAAACAAAACAAAAAACAGGGACATGCTTTTATAGTTTGAAGTATCTTTGTTCCACTGTTTATTATATTCTAGATTTGGTGAATTGAGCCCTCAGAATTTAATCTTTAATATTTCTACATTTTGACCTATCATTGTTTCCCTCGTAGTCCTTTTGTTCATTTTTTGTAAATATTCAAGTGCTTCAAATTATCTTATACTCTGTTTATTGCAGTTTTGCCTAAAAGCTAAAATGACACCTTCCCTTTCTTAATTAGTTCATGATACTTTGAAAGGATGAGGTTTCTGCAGCATTACAATATGGTCTGGTATTTGAGTTCATTTTGTCAGTTTCTATCTGAACATTTTTACAGTGAGGTCCCTTCTTTCTAGATCTAACTCTTTACCACTGATCTGCTTATTTTTCTGGCAAACTGTTTTTCTTAGAGTTTTTTTTTTTTTCTTCTCTAAATAGACTGAAAAGACGAGGGAGGTTTTAGTATATCAAGTCCAAAATCACCACCCACTTTCAGATTCTAAGAAATTCTGGGCTTTTAGTGAGAGGACAGTCCATAGGTGGAGTGACAGCAAACAATGTTTTGACTCTCTGTTCATGAGACCAAGTTTGAGCATGCCATGAGGTGATGACTGAGCAAATCCTTCAGTTTTCACTGTTGTAAACTGCTTTCAATTTTCCATGTACTCTTGGGAGTTTTAGAAGTTTCCAAATGTCAAACGATATTTTAAAGGAAACGATATCTTTATTTTACTTAAAGTAGAATCTTTCTACCTTTTTTTAATCTGTAAGAATTAAGTTTCACTTTTTATTGTGACGTATTTCACATTCTACACGGTTTTAAATATTAAAAATCCCTAGGTCACATAGCTCTTTAAGCCGTTTGCCTTGTTGTGTGTGTTTGTGTGTGCACACAAGTACATGCTATTAGCAGTTGCCTCCATATGGATCTTCATTTAGTTTTTTAAAGTAATGTGCATACTCAAATATAGACTGTCTGCCTGACCTCCTAAAATCTAAATTCTTAAACTTTTTTCCCATTGCACTATCTTCCGAATGCAAAAAAGAGAAGAGAAAAAGGAAATATCTGCAGGACATAGGTTCTATAATTCTTGTCATTCTATTAAGCATGACTCTCTCAGGATGTTTTCGAGTTTTACTTTACCTCTCTCACTCAAAGTAAATCTTGAATTGTAGCAAGATTAGGCTCCTCAACTGTTTATTAACATGTTAATGCAGAATCATCACGAATCTTCCTTAGTAGTTCTAATCTGTAAATTTAGGGAAAATCCAATATAAGCTAGTATTAATGAGGTCCAGACTAAAGTCACATATTCCAGAAATGTACTTTCATCATAAAGGCTTTCTATCTCCAGTTTATAATAAAAATCTGAGAAGGCGGCTGCAAAAATAACTTTCTGAGTTTTTAAATCATAAGCAAGGAATTGTCTCCTTCCAGGAGGACTAAACTTTAAGGCATAATGTGGGTATGAGGCCAATAGATTGAAGGCCAGATGTGAGAAATATTTACAAATGGAAGATAGAACTAAAGATTGAGCAATTTCTGAAGTGACAGTAGAGGCTTTCCATAGATTGCATGTGACCTTAGAAATAAATGGGAAGGCAGCATTAAAGTGAACCCCCTATTTCCACAGCTGCTGAATGCTGAAACTGCAAAGCTACATTAAACTTCTTTGCAAAACATTACTCACCTTGATCATGAATTCAGTGAAAAATTGTGCAGTGAAGAAACAAAGACTTATATCTTTTCACAACTCATCTGAAAAATAAAGCACCTTGGAGATTTCTGTCTGATACCTCACCGGCAAAAATAAATGCTTATAAAGTAAAAGACGCTGAGACTCTCTAAGAAACATTCATACACTGCTTTAGAAAATGGTCACAATTGCTTTTATTGAAATGCTGATTCAGGGAAATCAGAATATAAATCTGAGTTATTTACAGAATGTATGAAAATGATTTCTACTATCCAACCACCAAACACCCACTTTCACAAGCAACCTATTACCAACTCTTCTAAATGCTTCTTATCATCCCTATTGTCATTATAGTCCAAAGCACTGCCTTTCCTCC
Organism: Homo sapiens; assembly: GCF_000001405.40. Classification (NCBI taxonomy): domain Eukaryota; kingdom Metazoa; phylum Chordata; class Mammalia; order Primates; family Hominidae; genus Homo; species Homo sapiens. Next base: position 81,403,545 of record NC_000002.12, on the reverse strand, counting down.
TAGGATGTCTGCAGCATTCTTTAATTTGTCCCTCAGAGTCCAGGCTTATTACTCTCCAGGCTTATCTTGATAATGCAGTCAGAATATAATAAATCTGACTCCTCATACTCTTACTCAAAACATTCTAATAACTTACCACTTTTTAATTATGAAGCTTAATTTACTTAGTGTGTCTTAGAAAGCCCTCCATGATCTTCCCATGGTGTATATTCTTGTATCATTGTTAAGACCATCCATTCTACCTCCAGGTCTTTGCCTATCTTTGTCGAGTCCAGCGTTGTCTACCAAATGCTTAGCACAACACTGATTCCTAAATAATTTATGAATAGGCAAATCTGGTCCAAATCCTGTTCAAAGCAGAGAGACTTCATATTAATAAAGATGAAAGATTTTACCTAAGAGGTGAGAAACACACCTGGAGGCAATTAGTGGGTTCTCTGTAACCTAAGAACCTGATACTTAGGTCTGTAGTGAAGGAAAACTGACTCTATGACCCTATTTTAAAAAGAAAATTATCTTGATATTGAAGTAAGACTTGAAGGATTAAAACTGTGCAGTATGCATAAAGTCACAACTGTGATAAGACATACTCTGATGAGAAAGTATGAGAAATTGTGACTAAACAACTATGACATGGTAATGTATAAAGAGAATAATTTGAAGAATGTTGGAGCCACATTATCAAAACTCATGAATGCCAGACTAGGAAGTATAGATTTTATGCTATAGTCAATCAATAGAAAGTTTTTAAATGATGAAATGATGTAATGACATTTGTTACTATCAAGATACATCAGGTAACACTATAGAAGACCCACTAGATTGGGAGATGTTTCAAAGGGATAAGAGTATAAATGAATGAAATGCATTCATTCAAACATAAATCTTGATAAGACAAAATTGTGTAAGTTATGTGGATTAGAAGGCTTTTGCCTTTGTGTGACTTTATGAGAGGTGGTATAGTGTAAACCTTAGAATCTGAGAGGCCCGCATTCAGACGCCAGCTTTACAATATACCAGTTATTTAACCTCTTTAGTTTTTCATCCACAATCTAAAAATAATAGTAATGATTTCATAAAGTTTTGTAAAAATCACAGAAAATAGTGTATGTTATCCTCCTAAACTAAAGTGACTGGTACAAAATAGATGCCTAATAGTTTATATTTATTGTAAGTATTAAGCTTAAGGACAATACTTTAAATAAATAATAATAATTTATTTTTTGAGACAGAGTCTCACTCTGTTGCCCAGGCTGGAGTACAGTGGCGCATTTTCTGCCCACTGCAACCTCTGCCTCCTGAATTCAAGTGATCCTCCTGGCTCAGCCTCCCGAGTGGCTGGGATTACAGGCGCCACCACCACTCCCAGCTAACTTTTGTATTTTTAGTAGAGATGGGAATTCACCATGTTGGCCAGGCTGGTCTCGAACTCCTAACCTCAAGTGATCTGCCTGCCTTTGGCCTCCTAAAGTGCTGGGATTACAGGCCTGAGCCACTGCGCCCAGCTAATAATTAATTTCTAAAAATGGTTTTAGTTCTACATATAATCAACAAACTGCTGTTGGCCTATTTAAATGCTTAATAACATGCCTATACTATTTTTCCCCTGTACATTCTTTAGTATTGCACGTCTGGGTTCTTTTTGTTCCTCATGTTCTCTTCACCACAACAGCATTATATATTCTGTGGCAACAGTACAGCAGAGAGAGAGTTTAAACTGATCTGATTTAAACTTAGAAGCGTAAATCTGTTTCTACTTTGTTTTCAAGATGGAAATGTATCCTTGGTGTGGCATTGTCTCCCTGTGTGTCACTGTTCACCAGTCTTGATGGTAGTAACTCCCTTGATGCCCAATGCCAAATAGGCTACCATAGGACTGCACAATAGCCCAGGTGAGGAGATGATGAAATTCTACACTATGGCAGTGGCTGTGAGATAGCATTATCACAGTTTATCAATGGTCTCTGGTAACTTGCTGGATAGGAAAGATGAAGAGGTAGAAAGAAAGAAATTGATTCTCAAGCTTTTAACCTTTCAGACTGGATGAATTTTAATGTTATATAATAGAGAAGTCTTATGTTCCCTATGCTCTGTCTCACCCTTTCTCTGTCTCTTTTTTGGGTAGTTCTTTATGAGATGTCTCACTATCTCCTAATAGTGATTTCATAAAGTTTTGTAAAAATAACAGAAAATAGTGTATGTTAGCCTCCTAAACTAAAGTGACTGGCACAAAATGGATGCCTAATAGTTGATAATTATTAGCCAGAGAATTCAGCATTTCTTTGAATTTTCCCTAAATAATACACTTCTGCATAAGCATTACTGAGCAATGTAAGATTTAATGAAGAGTAAGAAGAGATATTGGAATATACACTCCTAATAAAAATATTTTAAAAAAGAAAACTTCTTTAAAAGCAAATATTTGGATAAAATATAATTCGTTATATCTTGTCCATGATTCCTAACCCCATAGAATGTCCAACCTTGCTGGAGGCTCTTTTCTACATTCCGTCTAGATACTTTAGTCACTCGATAATCGTGATGTGGAGTAATATAGTTCTGCTTCCAGTTTGTTTCCGAACTCATCTATGAAAATCACAAGATGTTCAGGATGAAGCCTTTCTTTCTGTGCCTTGTATACCACATTTTGCCTATTAGGTTCCCACATTCACTTGATACGGTTTATTAAAATATTACTCCACCAAGAATGAGTCACAGCCCAAGAATAATTTGTTAGAAACTCTTTTTTTGAAACTCATTTAATAATATTAACTACGAGAGATAATATACATGAGTATAAAAACATGAGTATCCAGTATTCACGGGAAGTGGGATTGGTGTACATTCAATTTTAACCTAAGTTGGATGCTTTTGTGACATGCAGGTGTAATGTCTAGTATATTGTTGGAAATAGGGTTTTTATACTATGGCCAGAGATGGGTCAGCAGCAAATTAGTTCCAGACAGGAAGGACAGATAAGGGCGACAAGAGCAAAACTCTGTCTCCAAAACAACAACAACAACAACAACAGCAACAACAACGAGAAAAATAATGATCTGAAGCCAAGCACAGCTTATGCCTGTAATCAGCACTTTTGGGAGGCCGAGGCTGGGTGACTGCTTGAGCTCAGGAGTTTGAAACTAGTCTGGCCAACAAGGCGAAACCCTATCTCTACCAAAAAATACAATCAATCAGAAAACTGACAAATGGTAACCAAACTCATCAAGTCATAAAACCTAGGGGTGCCTTGTAACTTTAAATTAGACTATCTACATCAATGTCAAATTCTTGTTTAAATATAGTCTATAAATGTTTCTACCAGAGAACCATTTTCCAGATCTGAAATAACTTTCCATCCTTGCTCTAAGTAAACAAAGTTCCCTGAAGACTGACCTGAAAATGACAGTGCAACATGGTGGGAAATCTTAATAAGCAATCGATTCCTAATTGCTCTATTGCTGTAAAGCTCTGCTGCAGGCAAGAATTATTTAAAGTGGGCTGCCTGCTGGCTGTGTCTCCAGCCTCACCCTGAAGTCTGACTCCTTCTGATAAGTCAGATGACCGCTAGCTGCTGCAAGAGGCACACTATTGTTTTTCGTTGTGCTTTTCCTTGCCTCAAAATGCTCATCTTAGATATATATCTATATATAGCTATATATGTTATATATAAGAAGTGGCTAGTTCCTAGGGTATCTATTCAGTGGCAATTTGTCCACTACTCTGGATAACTATTCATCTCCAAGCTGAACATGCCATTCAAAAATTTATTAGAAAATGGAGAACAGGTATCAGTTTAGTTTAACCTCATTCTTTATTGAGTGATATTTTTAACTTCTTAGTAAAATATTAATATGTTATAATCTACCAAATTAAGAAATATATTGCTTTGTAACAGTTATTCAGTGGTATTGCTTCACGTAAGAATGTCCTGGCTGGGCTTGGTGGCTCACACCTGTAATCTCAGCACTTTGGGAGGCTGAGGTGGGTGGATCATGAGGTCAGGAGTTCTAGACCAGCCTGCCTAACATGGAGAAACCTCGTCTCTACTAAAAATACAAAAAAAATTAGCCAACAAGGTGACGGGCGCCTGGAATCCCAGCTACTCCGGAGGCTGAGGCAGGAGAATCGCTTGAACACGGGAGGCAGAGGTGCAGGTAGCCAAGATTGCACCACTGCACTCCAGCCTGGGCGACTAGAGCAAGACTCCGTCTCAAAATAAATAAATAAGTAAAATAAAATAAAACAATAAAAAGAATGCCTATCAGGCAGGCCAAATAATTAGAATATTCTTTTTTGTTGTTGTTGTTGTTGTTGTTGAGATGGAGTCTCGCTCTCTCACCCAGGCTTGAGTGCAGTGGCAAGATCTCGACCCACGGCAAGCTCCGCCTCCCGGGTTAACGCCATTCCCCTGCCTCAGCCTCCGGAGTAGCTGGGATTACAGGCACCCTCCACCACGCCTGGCTAATTTTTTTGGTATTTTTAGTAGAGATGGGGTTTCACCGTGTTATACAGGATGGCATTGATCTCCTGACCTCGTGATCCGCCCGCCTCGGCCTCCCAAAGTGCTGGGATTACAGGCGTAAGCCACCGCGCCCGGCCTAGAATATTCTTAATAATGAAGTGGCTACGTTGTCTGGGGTATGAACCTGGGGATCGTCATCACGTGCCAGGAAAATTTAGGACATGGAAACAGATGAGGATTTTAGGAGCGAAGATTTAATAGGTAGAAAGAGAAACAGCTCCCTCTATAGAGTAAGAGCTCTCCGAAATGAAAGAGAGCGGGCGCAGCGAATGCGCAGAGTTTTACAGTTCAGTTTAAGGACGTGGTGTCTGATTTACCTAGGGCTCACAGATTGGTTCGATCAGGTGTGACCTTTACATAGTGGGTGGGGAAGGCTGGTTGCCCCACTCTAATCTTCTTATGCAAATGGACTTTCCCATTCATTGATACCCTACTGTCTTCCTCTTGCTGTACTTGTGGCTGGCAGAGAAGGGAAGATTGTGCCGCCATTTTGAAGATGTCTAATCCTTAGTTCCTGCCAGCATTCACCTTTGCAAGCTTCCAGCTTGCAGGCTGCTCTTTGTTAGAAAATGATTTGGGGCTGCGTTTCATTAAAAAGAAAAGCCTTACCAAGGACTCTCATGCCCTTGCTATCTGCCTAAGTAATTCCTCCTTAACTCCTATATCAATAGTATGTAATTTGGAACATTTATTTTGTTTTAGGCCTGTTTTCTAAACTATTGAATGAAAGAGCATGGCTTGTTTAACTCAGCTAATCAACTGTGAAAAGCCTCACTCTTTGGCATTAAAAATCACAAACAAGTTGATACCAGTTACCTAGTGACTTATTTTGAGCATCAAACTTAAAACAATAGGTAGGAAAATAAAATCTGAAGCTGGTGAGAGCTAGCCTGTCAAACCTCAAATTTCAAAAGAAAAGCCAACACTAAAATTCTCTGCCTATAAAGGGATTTGCATATGAAGTGATATTTTTAAAATGTCTTTTACTAAGAGATAAGTAGAAAAGGTTAAATAATTTACATAGGTAATTTAGTTTATAAAGACAGCTCTATAGTTGATTCAATTCCCTTTGAACTTTCTTGCTTTAAAAACAGATTATATCAGTACAACATGAAGCTTGCATGTATGTAATTATCATATATAAAAATGATGAGAAGATGCTCGATCAAAATATCTGGAAAATCCAAGTAGCCAGAAAAATGAATTTCCTGATCAGCCAAGGGGTGACTCTACACACACACAAATTAAGTTTTACTATAGAAAATTTTCCTAAAATGCCTAAAGCCATGGTAGCCAATTAGTGGCTTCTCTGTAATGAAATTACTGATCAAACTCAGGATCAAACTTGCAGGGTTGAGATCCTGCAAGTCCTCAGAATCATCAATCTGAATGTGTCAGGCCTCTGAGCCCAAGCCTGCACATATACATCCAGATGGCCTGAAGCAAGTGAAGAATCACAAAAGAAGTGAAAATGGCCAGTTCCTGCCTTAACTGATGACATTACCTTGTGAAATTTCTTCTCCTGGCTCAGAAGCTCCCCAACTGAGCACCTTGTGAGCCCCGCCCCTGCCCGCCAGAGAACAACCCCCTTTGACTATAAATTTCCACTACCTACCCAAATCCTATAAAACGGCCCAACCCCTAACTCCCTTCGCTGACTCTCTTTTTGGACTCAGCCTTCCTGCACCCAGGTGATTAAAAAGCTTTATTACTCACACAAAGCTTGTTTGGTGGTCTCTTCACATGGACGCGCATGACAGTAAGTGGTGGAGAGTATCCAAGTCACCAGCGACGAATCAGTATGGGTCTGCAACAACCTTAATTCTTGTCTCCTGAGAAGAAAGAATTCAACTAAGAGGCTTAAGGCAGAAAAAGAGACTGAGGCAAGTTTCAGAGCAGGAGTGGAAGTTTACTAAAAAAGCTTTACAGCAGGAAAGAAAGAAAAGTACATTTGGAAGAGACCCAAATGGGCTTCTTGGAGGTCAAGTGTGGGGTTTGATCTTTTTACTTTTAAAGTTTTATATATTGGCATACTTCTGGGGTCTTGCATCCTTTTCCCCCTGATTCTTCTCTTAAAGTGATCTCCCCGCATGCACGGTGGCCTGCTAGTACTGGGGAGGTAAGCATGCACAGTGTGTTTACTGGAGGTGTATGCATACTCACCTGAGACTTTTTTTTCTTTTCCAGTGCAGTGCCCCCAGAAGGTCATACTGTGCCATTTTTCCTTTTAATGTGCATGCTCAAGCCCACTCACCCAGTTCCTGAGATCTTATTGGAAGCTACCGATCACCAATTTCAGGTGTCTCTATCTACTGGGAAATTTCCTCTCCCTGGCACCCGCTGTGACCAATTATCATTTTAGAGAAGCAATGTAACAACTGCAGGACTATCACCTGATGGTTGCCTGACATTCCTGGTGGGTAGGGGGAGCCCTTTCCTGTCCTGCTCATGGCTGATTAGCTACCTACTGTAACAGGAACATAAATTCTGAACACCTATTTACTGCACTATTGGTGATGTAGCAAGAAAGGTTGTAAGATGTTATTCTTAGTAGATCAAAAATAACTCTGATAAATTCCCCAATTCAAGTTAGTTTCAATTCAATACTGACAAATATGTATCAAACATCTATTATTTTCTAAAAGCTTTATTGTCAAAGGGAAAATATTAGGTAGGGTACGGGTAAATCTGGTCTGCTAAAATAAATTGAAAATAGATTAACAGGGGAAAACAATATACAGTTTTACTAATGTTCAAATGTATATAGGAGCCATACAAAATATGACTCAAAGAAGAGCTGAATGATTAAAGCTTAAATAGTGCCCTCTTCATAAGGGAGAGGGAGATGGAGGAATGTAAGCAATTTTGAGGGTGTGGTAAATGATTTTTAGAAGACTTAATCTGGGCCCAAGGAACAGACAATAGTTTGTAAATAATTCTCTTTTAATACTGAACGGGACCTCAAGAATAAACAATGACCTGGGACAATGTTTCTCTGAGCTCATTAAGAGAGATGGCAATTAACCTCAAGAAGGTTAGAAAAGGAGCTTCACTGTGAACAAAGGTTTTTCTTATTATGCAGATACCGTCTCCCAGGTAATCTCTCAGAGCTACCCTTAGAAGAATAGGTGAAAAGTTTGTCTGCACATGGTGATGACTTTTAGTCTTTTCTCCTCTCTGGTGGTTAATCTTTTCTGGTTATTTGATAATATTCCTAAAGAGGTTACAAGACAATTGCATTTCTTTTGGAAGAAGTTTTTCCCAGTCAGACAAGGGAACTTCCAGGGAGAATGCCTCCCTGTACTTGGCAGGAGAAAAACAAAAAAAGGTTAGAAAGTCCTTCATTCTGAGGCAGCTTCTAAGTCCTTCCAATTTCCTTTAATTCAAAAGTACTCAGCCTGCCAGAGCACTATACTTGGTTATTGTTCTCTGAGCCCCCACACCCCCCGCCGACCAAAATTGGGAACTTTCATTGATGTGAGTAGTTTTGATAGTATTACTTTATAAAGTTATATAAACATTTTAGATACATTTAATCACTTGAAACTTTGAGGGGGAAATAAAATGTCAACAGGGAAATAAAATATCAACAGGAGTAATGTATTCATGATCTAGATGGGACTATATCCTTTGAGAGCTTATGGTAACAAAATAGGAGATTGCTCAACGATTGACAGTTTTCATAAAGTTTTTGAAAGCAGATTTTTGTATATAAAATATAGCTATGATTTAGTGACACTTTAGAAAGGAAAATGATTCAAAATTAATTACCATGTAAAAAATGGAATTTTTATTGAGAACCATGAATAACTTAAAAAAATCAAATGAAAATAATGTAAAATGCATAGTAAGGAAGTCCAATGTCTTTTTTTCTTTCAAGATTCTGGACTCTTTCTCCTTTTCTCCTATTTTCCCCTTTCTCCCTTTCTCTCTGTCCCTCCCTCCCCCTTCTTTATTTTCTTTTTTAATTATAAGTGGTTCAGAGACATGCATATATCCATGGAAGAGTAAAAGAGAGTGACAAAGGTGTAGAAGACGAGTGGCAGAACATGAGCTCAGAATGAGCTGTGGCTTATGACAGTAATAAACATCAGAAAACTGGTTCTTCAGGCAATGTTTTCAGTGGGAGGATGAACAAGAAAGAAGGTCAACTGCTTGAGGCAAGCGCTGTTATTTTAATAGATGTCAAAGAGACAGAAGCCTATCCTAGTCTAATTTTTCTTCTATTACCAGCAGCAAGTAGAAAGCTCTTCAAACTGAAGAGTGGGATAAATATATAAAAGAGAGAATTAAATGCTTAAATCAGGTATTCCAAACTTTAATGCCTTTAGCCACCAGAAAGATAACAAAGAGGCACACAGAGTGTAGGAAAAAAAATGAGGGGAGTGTGGAACTGAAGAGAAATGAACAGCACATCCTTATCTGAAAGGATTTATATTCCATTATAAAGAACAATAATACATCGTGTGGGGAAAGATGCTGTGCAGAGACTGCTCCCTTTTCTACTATCCATTCTATCAGAACTCCTACAAATCTTGTCTGGACTTTCAATTCTAGTACAATAATATACCAGATATCCTGTAAAAAAAATTCCCGATATATAATATAGCACCCGCAAATACTGAATGTATAGCAAATGTCTGCTTTTGGTTTTTGTTCAGTTGGTTATGGTTACTTGGTTCTGTTTGGTTTCATTTTGTTTTGCTTTGTTTAAGCCACTCTTTACTGCCCAAGAAAGTAAGAGAAATGCCAGTGATCACAGATGAAAAAGGGAGCTGAAAACCAGGGAGGTAAGGCAGTGCAGATTGGAAGCTGCTCTAGCCTACGGTGACACTGTAGCAGTTGTTTAAGCAGCAGAGGACAGGGTTGTGTCCCTGCAATAAGGAGAATTGGGACCCTCACCTACAGCTGAAACCCATCCAGTGAAATTCTCACCACATGGATGAGGTGGAAAAGTCGTCATATTGGCAAAGGAGACAATGGTCATTGACTGTCCTGAAATGAGCTATAGGTTCAAAAAGTATCTTTTGAGAATTAAGAAGCACTTACCTTCCCTCAAATGTATTTGTGATTTGCATTTATCTTCTTTGTGTAGTCACAGATACCTCTACTTAGACATTAACTTGGAGTGGCCCCCAAAAGAAAAGTAATGTTCAGCTAAAAATAAATAGAATGAAGTAAGAGAATAAGGGTCTTGGAAATAGACTCCTATGTTTATGTGTCTGCCATAGAGACCATCATGGGATGGATGAACTGTTTAATAAGTGCTGCTGGGAAAATAATAAAATGAATTGGACTCTCACCTAACACCATTGAAAGAAATAGAAATATTTCACCCCAAAATATATTTCTTAGACATATTGTTAGATGGCCATTCAGAGAGCACACAAACAGAAGTAGCCTTGCAAAGCTGTCTTTTGTGGGGGAGATTTGAATCTGTAGAGAATCTGCATAGATGAAGCCAGGCTTTCTCTGAGGCCTTCCCTTTTCAGATCTAAGAAAGATTAACCAGGTATCTGAAAACATTAATGGTCCAATTGAAACATTTTACCATTTATTCTCTTTGAAGGCTGCTACCTGTGAAATTTTATCTACATAACACAGCTACTTTTGCTAGTCATTCCTCCATTTCTTTCTCTCCCATAACCTATTTGCCACAACCCAAGCCCCCATGTTTCTGTAACCTCAAGCTTCTACACCCTGTTGCGGGGGTTGGAGCAGTCAGTCTGCAGTTCTTGTTCACGTGCACATTGATGAATTTGTATGCTATTTATTATCTGCCTTTTGTCAGTTCATTTTTCATCAAACCTTCAGAGGGAGAAGGAGGCATTTTCCCTTAACCTCTATACCATATAGACAATTTAATTACAGGTAAATTAATTATTAGCTACGGAAAAGAAACTTGGAACTTTTAGAATAAAATACACAATAATATATCCACCAATTCTGGAAAGAAAATAATTTCCTAACACAAGATGCTCAAATTTAAAATGCTCAAATAAAAAGTATTTATAAATTGGTATTTAAAATAAAATTTATTTAATGGCAATGAGAAAAATTAAAATATAACCATACTCTACAAACAGTATTTATAATGTATTTAATCAACTTTTATTATTATAAATTATAATATATATCACTTATAAAGAAATATTAAAAAGCAAAGACAGAAACCTTATAAGAAATATGTGCAAAAGAAAATAGGCAATCTACAAAAAGAAGATAGCTGAATTACCAAGAAACATTTGAAAAGATGATCAGCTTCACTATTAAATAGAAAGTTGTCAATTAGAAAACATAAAAAGATACTCTTTCATACCGTCAAATAAAGTTTAGCCTAAAGCTGCCTCCTTACATATTTTAAGTTTCACCTGTAGTTTCTCTGTACACTGTGAACTATAACCTAAATGGAGTTGTAAACAGACTGTAGTCTGTTCTTGTGCCAATCACTGAGTTTTGGCCAAAGTTTTGGCCAACTGTGCAAATCATGTTCAAATAAGGGAAGCACCAAGCTGTAACCAGTCCAGCTGTTTCTGTACCTCACTTCCATTTTTTGTAGGTCACTTTCCTTTTTCTTTCCATAAATCTTCCTCCAGCATGTGGCTGTGCTGGAGTCTCTCAGCCTACTGCGACTCAGGAGGCAGTCTGATTTGCAACTCATTCTTTGCTCAAACTCTGTTAAAGTTAATTTGGCTAAAATTTTTCTTTTATCCATACCCATCTAACAAACATTTTAAGTTGTAAAAATAATAATTGTCAAAGGTGTGCAACAACATAACTGCTATACCCTTCCAGAGAAAGTATAAATTGGTTAAAACAATCTAGTCTATAACTAGGAAGAAACTAAAAAATTTGAAGATTTGTATAACCCAGTACCAAACAATTCTATATAGGCTAGAGAAAATCTCATAAAGTGTACAAGTTGACATCTACAGAAAAATATATTTTCTGGTATTAAAAAGAATTAAAAAAAATCAACCCCAAATTGATTATATATGGGGTATATTTTTATGCAGAGTCAATTACCATTAATAAACTAGAGCTACAAACATCAGCATTGGTGCATTTTATACACATATATCTGAATGGAAAAAAATTACACAAGGCTGGGCGTGGTGGCTTACGCCTGTAACCCCAGCACTATGGGAGGCCGAGACAAGCGGATCACCTAAAGTTACGAGTTCGAGACCAGCCTGGCTAACATGGTGAAACCCTGTCTCTACCAAAAAATACAAAAATTAGCCTGGCATGGTGGTGCGTGCCTGTAATCTCAGCTGCTTGGGAGGCTGAGGCAGGAGAATCGCTTGAACCTAGGAAGCAGAGGTGGCAGTGAACTGAGATCAGGCACTGCACTGCAGCCTGGGGGATAGAGTGAGAGTCTGTCTCAAAAGAAAGCAAAACACACACACACACACACACACACACTCACACACACACACACAAATGTATACAGCAAGTTTACTTTTGTGAAAAGTTTAAAACCATGCAGAAAAGACTGTTTTTAAAATTACGTATATGTGGGGGCAAGAAAATGATAAAGCAAAGCCCAAGTGTGGTTAAGAAGTTAGGATAGGAATTACACCTAATGTGCAAGGAGCAGGAAAGTTCAAATAAGAAAGTATATTATAGCCGCTCAAGGGATTCTTCTTGCCCACTGCAGAAAGACCATGGCATTGTCATAAAGAAAGAGTTTAATAGAAATGAGGCTGGCCATGCTACCTGGGAGATGGAATTCATATTCACATTATCTTATCTAAAGCTTGTAGGTTAGACGTGTTTCAAAGGCAGATTGGAGGAAGGTGTAGGGGCAGCCAGGTAACAGGTGCTTGCTGCTGATTGGATGGGGCAGAGATGAACTCATAGCAGGTGGAAGCTGTTCTTCTTTAGGCTGAATGCTTCTGGGTGGGGCTACAGGAGCAGGGTTGGTGGTCCAGGTGGAGCCATGAGCGTCAAACATGCAAAAAACCCAGAAAGATGTCTCAAAAGGCTGATCTACAATAGTGGTGCTATTTGCAGGAGTAATTAGGGAAATTGCATATCTTGTAACCTCAGGAGTAATGGCTGACAATCGTTTATGTCTGCACCTTAGCAGGACTCTGGTTCCTCTCTCCCCCTAGGCTGATGGCCTCCCATTAGCTTTACAAAAGCAGTCAAATTTGGGGCAAGACCTATTATCATTTATACTGTAGCCTAAATGTCTTCTAAAGTTAGCTGGGTCCAATAGCCCAGGAATAATTAAAAGAAAGGCAAGATGGGGGTATGTGGGTGGTAGCTCAGCTTACTGTTATAATTTTTCTCACTGATATAATATTTGCAAAGCCAGTTTTAATATTAAGAGATTCTACTAAATTTTAATGTTTATTAAGATAGGTTAATTATATGGGTATTCATTGTATAATTTTGTACATATATTTATTTAAAATTTACTTATAATGTGCAAATAAATAATTTATATTCTCCAACTCCTCATTCTAATCTTTTAGTTCTTATCTCTACATTGAAATTATATTCAAGATCACAAATAGTCCCTTAATTTCTAAATGAAAATATAATCTGAGCCCTCACCTTACTTTTTCTTGATAGTTTCATATGTGTAATAACTTTCTTCTTTTCTCTTTGCTATTTAAAACTGCATTTAAATATGAATCAGTATATGAAGAAGTGTGTGTGTATGTGTGTGTGAACATATTTCTTCAACTTATTTTTCTTTCTTTCCATCCTCCTTTGTTGTATTTTTTTCCTAATTCTAAGAATGTTAGACCACTTATTGGTGAGAACTTTCTATGCACCCCTCACACTAAGCTTTCTTTCTCCGTGCACTTCATATTTAAAATTTTATACTGTGTCTTCAAGTTTACTGATTTTTTTTTATTCTTTCATGTCAAATCTACTGATAAAACATCCTCCTTGTCTGGAGTAACACTTGCAGTTCATTGTCTCATGGCCATGGAGAACAAGGAAATGGACACACAAAGAGTGAAGTTGAGAGCAGAAGTTAGGTTAAAGAAAGAGAATAACTCTCTGCTGCAGAGAGAGGTCCCAGAAAAATGGGTTGCTGGATCTGTGGTGAAATGCAGTGGGTTTTATAGATGAGTTGGTGAGGAGGTGGTGTCTGATTTACATAGGGCATGAAAGACTGGTTGGACCAGATGTGCCATTTGCATAGGATGTAAATTTCTGATGGCCTCCAAAATAAATTCTGCTGAGGACTCTTTTGCCTTCACTATCTGCCTAAATAATTTCTTTCTACCTTCTGTATCATTTAGCCCCTCAGGAATGGAAAACCTAATTGCTGTTGGGGGTGTTGAACATGACTCTTTCTGGCTACTTCCTGCTGGAGAGGGGCATCATGTGGGGAACAGGAGGTAGGGCTCCTCCTGGAGTCAATCTAAGGGTCCTCAGAAGAAAGGTGTGTCCATGCATGGTTCCATCTGAGGCACCATTTGGAGTTTAATAGCTTCTAGGTGAGAAGAAATTAATTTTACAAGAAGTTTAGAATGTAGAGTTTGAATATGAGTATTAAGATTGCCACTATTAGTAGGGGTACTATAGGCTATAACCATGAGAGTAGAGTTTGTTTGATACCTATTAGCCATTTAGATGGGTTGTAATACTGTTGCCTCCACCAGATGTCGCTGTACTTTACCAGAAGCATTAATATAGAAGCAAAATTTTCTTAATATAGGATAAGTGCCATTGGATTGGGTGGCCAGAGTAACTTTATTGCTAACTTTGACAAAATCGTTCCTGTAATTATTAATCCTGTTATGAACATAATTAGGCAGAATATTATAGCGATTAGAATTTTCCATCTAGAATTCCACAATGTGGGTGACACAGTATAGTTTTACTGTAAATCGTAGAGTAAGAGTAGGAATTCTCACAAGAGTAAGGTAATAAATAATTCCCCTTTAAAATTTACTCACAAATATATAGAATTTCCCTTTGGAGGTCTATTAAGTTACAAATGTAATCCTAGGGACAATAAAAATCTCTAGTGTAATAAATGACTCCCCTTTAAAATTTACTCACAAAGATATAGAATTTCCCTTTAGAGGTCTATGAAGTGACAAATGTAATCCCATGGATAATCAAAATCTCCCTGCAAGTATGTGTCAAAAAGAAGTTCTCATATCTGGTGGGCAATCTCAAGAGAAAAGATAGAAATGACTGAAAGTATCTGGTAAGGAAGGTGTGGGACTGAGTAGGACAAGTAGCCATCATTCGTTTAGTTATCTTTTATGATTTTCAGCTTAAGGTCTCCTGTCTCTTTGCATTGATATCTGGGACATTCCTCTAGGCCCCCTGGGATTGCTCCCTCAACTTTTCAGGCTTTGACTGGAGTGTTATGTACTCAGAAGTAGATTTTTGTAACTTTTACCTCCGAGGAGATTGAAAGAAGAACAGTGTAAGGCCCTTCCCAGCTTGGGCTTAGGGAAGGAGACAGAGAGGGAAGAGCCTGTACCAATACCGAATCTCCTGTGTTCAATAAAGGTGATCCTATTTCTTGGGGTTGGGTTTCTGCTAATTGTGTTAATTCCTGTTGGAAGTGGGCTAGGGAAGTTACATGCTTAACCAATTCTGAGGTCTTTTGGTCTAATAGAAAACCATTTGTAAGAAAAGGCCATTAATACAGCATTTTGAAAGGATGCAGACCTAACTTTAAAGGGGTATTTCTTACCTGCAGTGCAGCAATGGGAAGAAGAGTGACCCAGTAAGGTGAGTTTCTTGGAACAGTTTTCTGAGGTGTCTTTTGATAATATTGTTTGTCTTCTCTACCTTTCCTGGGGACCGGGGTCTCCAGGCACAATGGAGATGATACTGTATGCCTAGTGCCTTTGAGACCCTCTGTGTGATAGCTGCCTTAAACGAGGGGCCATTGTTACTTTGGAGGTATTTAGGTAGACCAAAGCAGGAGCTAGTTCATTAACTAACACTTTTATTACCTCAGAGGGCTTGGATATAGAAGGTATTGTATGCTCTTCATCTTTGGCATGTGGGTAAAGACTGTCTGTCAGTCTTCCCCTGGATAGTTTAATCATCCTTTGGGTTTGAGGAGGAAGGAGCTGCCTGTTGAGGGGATTATTTTTTTAGACAGATTTCACAGGCATTAACAACCTGTTTGACTGTTTTTAATAATTTCTCTCCTGAAAACAATCCCTAGGCTCACTCATAGGTTTCATCCTTTCCCAAGGAAAAAGCTTGGTGAAGGATCACTGGCTGGAGGCTGGCAAGTGGAGTTGCCATCCTCTGACTGTAGCCATCCTGAGGGTTGGAAAGTGTACCCTTGAGAGATGGCCCATTCTATCTCTGCAGGGGAGTACTGAGGCTTCATTTCTTCTATGAAGGCTTCCCAGATTAGAAGGGCTTTGGGTGTGTTGAGACCCTGAGGCTTTCTTGCCACTGACTAGGCTGCCTGATCAGCTAACTTGTTTCCTTCAGCTATTTCATCTGTTCCCTTCCGATGTCCCTTATAATGCATCACAGATAAGCCCATTCTTTAAATCTACTTCATTTTAGTTTTTGCATTGTTTCTAGACTTTAATGCTTCTTTAGGTTCTTTTAAATAAGTTCCATTTCTTTCCAAATTATATTCATGTTTTTCTTTAAAAAATCATGGAATATATCTATAATAGATTTTTAATGTATTTTTATCGTAATTCTATCTACTAAGGCATGGATCTTCTGGGGATACTATTGAATGCCACAGGTGTTTAGCAGGATCTTTCCATTATAGCTGATAAAACAATGTGTCTATATCATACCCATTAGATAAGCATCATTTTTTAAATTGTCAAACAAATAACAAATGACAAAGATGTGCAGCAACACAATTGTTGTATTCTATTAGCGGAAATGTAAATTGATGACCTTTGAAAATTGGTCAGTTTGCAGCTCCCTGACAGTTGTTCTTTCTCTAGTAATTGCTATTTGCCTGGAGCCATGGAGTCAACCCCGGACATGCACACGTTAGTACTTAACCAAAGACTCAAGGGGACCCTGAAGCAGATTTTTATAGCCCTGATAAAATCTGTAAAATATATCCATTTCAACCTTTCCCAATGCTATTATCTGTCTCCTCAACTCGACAAGACCTCCCTACTTGCTCTCTATCATCTTGAAAAAAATACCAAGGCAAAAATCAGCGTGATGACAATGCCCATATAATTAACTTGCTTGCCTTCTGTCAGGGACCAGTCTGTGCTGCTTGTTATAGATTGTCTAAAAACAATTGTTTCATATATTTTGAAGAGCTGTTTAGTTGTTTAGAGTAGGAGGACATGTCCAGTGCTGTTACCTGTGGCGAATCTGTATGGGTCTGCAGCAACCTCAATTCTTGCTGCCTCAGAAGAAAGAATTCGACTGAGGGGCATAAAGCAGAAGGAGAGATTCAAGTAAGTGTTAGAGCAGGATTGGATGTTTATTAAAAACCTTTAGAACCGAAATGAAAGGAAGTAAAGTACACCTGGAAGAGGGCCAAGAGGGCGACTTGAGAGATCAAGTGCACATTTTGACTTTTGACTTAGGGTTTTATATGTTGGTATGCTTCTAGGGTCTTGCATTACTTCTCCCCTGTTTCTTCCCTTAGGGTGGGCTGTCTGCATGTGCAATGGCCTGCTAGCACTTGGGAGGGGCTGTATGCATAGTGTGTTTATTGGAGTTGCACGGATGCTCACTTGAGGCGTTCTTCACTTACCAGTTGAATACTCCTAGAAGGTCATATACCTGTTAAACTCCACTATGTTGTCTCTTAGTGTCTATGCTTAAGCCCACTCATCCAACTCCTGAGATCTTATGGGGAAGCTGCTAATCACCAGTTTCAGGTTTTTTCTATCTATTGGGAGACTGCCTTTCCTTCGTGCCAGCTACAACCAGTTATTTTAAAGAAACAGTGTAACAACTGCCTGACCATCACCTGGTGGTTGCCTGCCATTCCTGATAGGAGGGGAGGGAGCCCTCTCTGCCCTGATCATGCCTGACTAGCTACCTGCTTTAACAGTACCATTTAGTCTATCCTGGCTTTTCTTTCTTCTTATTTTATTTTATTTTATTTTTTTGAGATGGAGTCTCGCTCTGTCACCCAGGCTGGAGTGCAGTGGCACAGTCTCAGCTCACTGCAACCTCCGCTTCCCGGGTTCAAGCAATTCTCTCCTCAGCCTCCCGAGTAGCTGGGATTACAGGTGCCTGTCACCACACCCGGCTAATTTTTTTATTTTTAGTGGACACAAGGTTTCACCATCTTGGCCAGGCTGGTCTTGAACTCCTGACCCTGTGAGCCACCCACCTCAGCCTCCCAAAGTGCTGGGATTACAGGCATGAGCCACCACACCTGGCCTCAGCTTTTCTTTCTTTTTAAATCAATTACCTAACATCATTTTGACATCTTTTTAATAAAATACAGTTCAAACAACACAGACATTTATAATTGACCTAGTATTTGAGGCAAGTTACATATCTATCCCCAATGGCATGGAAAGCATAGAGTAGCGGAAATAATTCCCCAAAGGATTTTTTAGGTAATTAGATTGGATTAAATAATAAAATACATTGTGCATACTATACAATCCCCAAACAGATAAAGTTACATTAAAACATATGTGTAAATATGTTTGGTGACTTAGTTTTCTTAATTTAGAAAGGGCTTCAATGCCTGTTGCTTCTGAATCAAATAACTTTGTAAACCTCTTGAGCAAGGCTTTCATTAGATTTTCACCTTCCTGATTCACATTTACTAAAATCACACGACTTAGCTAATAGAGTGCTGATACCTTTAAGAAATTCCATAAGATTATAGCACTCAATTTCAATATGAAGCTTACGTTTGAATTTCCTTTTAATGTTCAAGAATATTTACTTTTTTTAAATGATGATTTTCAGAATTTGATTAATGCTGGCTTTTGAACCTAATTTTTTTTTTTTTTTTTTTTTTTTTTTTTTTTTTTTTTTTTTTTGAGACGGAGTCTCGCTCTGTCGCCCAGGCTGGAATGCAGTGGCGCCATCTCGGCTCACTGCAAGCTGCGCCTCCCGGGTTCATGCCATTCTCCTGCCTCAGCCTCCCGAGTAGCTGGGACTGCAGGCGCCCGCCACCACACCCGGCTAATTTTTTGCATTTTTAGTAGAGATGGGGTTTCACCGTGTTAGCCAGGATGGTCTCGATTTCCTGACCTTGTGATCCGCCCGCCTCGGCCTCCCAAAGTATTGGGATTACAGGCGTGAGCCACCGCATCCGGCCTGAACCTAATTTTTTGTATTACTTTAAATTTTACTGGGTGTGACTAGTAGACCAGTGATTAACAAAAATGAAGATAGACTCAAAGTTTGAATTAGGGTACAAGAGTGCTTCATTAAGATGATAACAATAATCACAACTGAGATTTATTAATTGCTTAGATATGCCAGGAGATCTTCTAAGTCCTGTACACATTGTTTTTTAATCCTTACAATCTACCTTGGAGGGAACCTCTATTTTCACTCCTATTATACTGTTGAAGTAACAGAGACTCAGAAAGGTGAATGTTTTTGTCCAAAAACACAAAAGTAGGCAAAACCAGGATTAAAACCCTGAGAGGCTTGAAGATGACATCTTGTAAATAAATTACATGCTACCACTCAGACTGCACACTGAAAGATCTGGTAACATTTACTATGGCATTCTATGCCTCTAGACTCTGCAAGAAAGTGAAGATTAAAGTAAGCAAGGTCAATTAATAATTTGGAAATGAACGAAAACCCAGTTATCACTATCTTGCTACTTTCCCTTGATTTTAAATCAAAATCTTGCTGTTTAATATGGATGCCATTGTAGGAATTTACATGAACTCTCCAATATATTTAGGATTTTTTCCATCTATCTTAGAGGAAAGAAATCAATCAGAAAATCTTCAGCTATGATGGCAATAGAATATAGCAATTTGAATGTATGCCCTCTGCTCATGCAGATGATAATTTAATTAATGTAGATTAAATTATTAATGACAATGTTTTATCTTTCCATTTGCAAGGATATTTTTAAAATGCTCTCTGGAAAAATATAACATTATTAATCCAGATAAATGAATTTTAACAATGACACTGAGCATTTGGACGTGTGAAGTACTATTTACTAATTAATTATACTATTTATCTATTTGATAAATATGTTTTAATATGCTAAAGTTTTTTTGTACTTATTTTATCTATTAGTTGATTTTGTACAGCCTCAAATACAAATTTTTTGAAGTTAATATTTTTACATTTGCATTTTAGTATATGAGTATTTAGTATATTTGTATTTCTCTTCTTTAATTGCTTGTGAAGCTATCTGGGTCTGGAATTTTCATTCTGGAAAGGTATTTAACAAAAATTTATTTGATTTAATGCACATAAACTGTTTGGGTTATTTATTTTTTATTGAGTGGGCTTTAGTAATTATTTGTATCTTTCTAGGTCTTTCTCCAACTAAATCATCAAATTTGTTATCCTAAAGTTATTTATAACATCCCTTATAATCTCTCTCATTCCTGATATTGGTAATTTCTCTCTTTCTCAGGCTCTTGATATTTCTGATGTATTGCTAACATCTCGAAGAATCAGCCTTGGGCTGATTTATTTTTTGGTTGTTATTTTATTAATGCATAATCTTATCTTCATTATTTTATTTCTTTTACTCATTTTATATTTAATGTGCTCCTCTTTATCTCATTTCTTAAGGTGGAAATTTAGGTAATTAATTTGATGCTTTTCTTATATGTATTCTAACAAGTTTTTGCGGCTACAAACTTCCCTCAAACATTGCTTTTCTTGGCTCCCACAAATATTAATATGTTCAGTTTTACTTTCATTCTGTTAATAGTAGTTTCTAATTTCTCTTTAATTTCTTCTTTTTCCCTGGTGTTATTTAGAAATATGTTGTTTAGTTTCCAAATATCTGGGGATTCTCTATAAACCTTTTTGTTATTAATTATTAATTTAATTCCATTCTGATCAGATGATATCCTGTTATGATTTAACTCTTGGATTTACTTAGGATTATTTTATGATTGATAGTGTTTTTCAAGTCTTCAATACCCTTACTGATATTCTGTCTACTTGTATCAATTATTACAATATTAAATGCCTGAATAAACCTGTAGATTTTTATATTTCTTCATTCAATACATTTTTGCTTCACATAAAATATGTGCTCTTATTAGGTACATAAACCTTTATAATTGTTATTTATCTAATTTTTTAAATTTCACTCCATTTATTGAAAATAATAAGCCTTATCAGAATAGATTACATGCACTGTGTTACATTTAAACTTTGCTACATTTCTTGAATACTAACTCTGAGGTGGTGAGGGGAATCTGATTTCAGCAAGAACATCACTTACATTTACAGCAACATTTAAATAAGTATCATGCATTTCCAACTCCCTCTATGTATTCAATTATATAAGACTTACTAATATAAAATACACGTATGTTTTTTATTCCTTAGATCTTTTCTACTACAGATATATTATTACATAAGTATATATATATATATATATATATATATATACACGCACAGAGAGAGAGAGAGAAAGAGAGACAGTAAGAGAGAGAGACACACAGTAAGAAAGAAAGAAAGAGAGAAAGTTTCTCTATAGTTCTTATATTATACATGTATTCCATCTTGACAGGGATCTATCTATTGTGTATACAAAAATCCAGTTTGGGGGCTATGTGTATGTGTATTTTAGTTCACAACATAAAACCATGTGAAACTTGACCCAATTGTATTTAGTTGCTCTTCATTCTCTTGAAAAATTGATGTCATTATCAGTAAAAAATATTCCTCTTAATCCCTGGTAATATTTTTGCTATGAAATTACATTTATCTGATATTGAAATAGGATTCCATTTATCTTTTTATTAATATTGATGTGGTATATCATTTCCCATCTTTTTAGAATAAAATAATTATAACACATTTAAAGTGAATTTCTGGAAGAAAGCAAATTTTAATGTCATTTTTTCATCTATTTTTAGCTTTTCACTTGAGTGTTTGAAGGTAGCTACTGAGAGAGAGAATTTAAATATACTATGTTGCTATTTTTTCCAATAATTTTATACATTCTTTTTTTCCCATTGCTGCTTTTCTGCCATCTTTTGGATTTGTTGTATATATTTTGGTAATTCTATTTTAGCTTCTTATTTGATTTATTAACTATAACTCTGTTTTTTAATGGTTGCTTTAGGGTTTATGGTGTACGCCTATATCTCATCACAATCCACCTCCAAGTAATGACATACTGTACTACTTCATGTACAAAATAATGACCTCACATCAGTGCAATTCTACTTTTTCTCCCAGCATTTATTATTGTCATATAATTTAATGAACTTTACATTGCACTGTTGTTTTTGCTTTAAATGATATCCTCAAAGAGTCTTCAAAATCAAGTTAGAAATATTACTTTTTAATTTATCCACTTATTTATCCACTTAGCCTTTTTGGGTACTCTTAATTCCTTTGGTTAGATGCTACTTTTCATCTCGTATTATTTTCATTCTGTCTGAAGAAACTGTTTTAGCATTTTTATAATACGAGTAGGTTGGTGACAACTTCTTTTAGCTTTACTCTGTCAAGAAAGTCTTTATTTTGCTTTTGAAAGATATTTTCACTATAAAATATATTTTTGCTAAGTTATCTTTTTTCTTTCATTCTTGTAGGATATTGCCTCATTATCTTCTAACTTGTATTGTTTTCAATAGAACTCTGTTGTCATTTTTATATTTTTCCCTGCTGTATGAAAAAAATATAAAATCTTTCTGGCTAATTCTGAATTATTAACTTTTTCTCAGGTTTTAAGCGATTCAATATGTTTCTTTTTTTGTAATTTTCTTTTTCAAGAATGTGCTTAGGATTCTTTGAATTTCTTGAATCTGTGGGTTTAATTTGGGAATTTAAAAATTCACTGCTATTCAAAATATTCCATCTGACCTCCCTTCCACCTCTCTCTTTCAGCAACTCCTATTATGTATATATTAGGCTTCTTGAGAGTGCTCCACATTTCACTTATTTCATTTGTGTTCCCTTCATCCTTTTAATTAATGTTATTTGAATGTGTTTTGTTTGGGATTGTTCTACTGCTGTGTTTTCACGTTCAATGTCAATACCTTTTCTTCTTCAGCATCCAATCTGTGGCCCATACCATGCAATGTATTTTGATATCAGATATTATGGATTTTGTATCTAGAAGTTCAATTCAAGCCTCTTTAAATTTTTTTCTATGTTCTACTTAACATATTTACTTTTTTCCTCTACCTTCTTGAAAATATGGAATTGAGTTATAACTGTTTTATTGACTTTGTATAATAATTCTAAAGCTTGTGCTATTATTGTGTCTTTTTGTGTTGATTTATTTTCTTCCTCAATATGGATTGCAGTTTCCTGCCTCTTTTCATGCTTGGTAATATTTGATCAGGCGTCAGACATCGTGAATTTCATCTTGTTGTGTCCTAGGTAGCTTTGTATTCCTACTTTGTATTCCAAGGTAAAGATTATTGAGCTTTGTTATGGGATATAGTTACCTGTAAGCAACTTGATTTTTTTTTCAAGTTTTTTTTTAAGCTTTATTAGACAGAATCAGAACTATGTTAATCTAGGTCCGCCTTTGCCCTACTACACAGTCAATTCCCTTGGAATTACTACTACACCCAATGCCCAGTGAATTTTAAGGCCTTCTCTGTCTGGTAGCAACATGAAATAGTCCTGGTGGAGAGTGATCTCTGAGAATTGTTTTATCTGCTTCTTTTGGATAAGTATTTCTCAGTTCTCAGGTAGTTTTTTAATATAAATGTCCTTATCAATGCTCAGCTTCAACATCAAGGGGGACCTTCTGGAGATCTCAAAACCTTCCATTCTCTCTCTGCTGCTCTCTTTTTCTTCAGTATTTTACCCTGTGAGTTCGAACTACTTTGATCTATTGGGACTTCCACATCTGTCTTTTCAACTTGGAGAGACTGCCAAGCTTCAACTGGTTTTCCACTTCTTGCACTGCATTTTAGAAACTCTCTAGTAAGCCACAGTAATCAGATGGCTCCCCTCATTGGTTTTTCTCTCTTTCAGTGTTCACTACCATTTGCTGCCTGATGTTCAGTGTCTGAAATCTATTGTTTCATACATTTTGCCTGTCTCTTTATGTCAATTATTAGGGGCAGGAAGCAAATTCAGTCCTGGTTATTCTATCTTGGTCACAAGCAGGAGATTGTAACTGTAGTTTGGATTTCTCATAGAAAATAATTCTTCACAACTGTGTCAAATAGCAAATGAGTATTTTTAAAAATTCCTTGGGCAGTGAGAAGAGTAAATTTTTTTTTTTTTTTTTAAATGTGGGGAAAGTAATTTCAGAGCTAGGGGATATGAGAGTTTCCCTGGTTCTACTTTTCCTTTTGCCATGGGGACAAGAACTGATTTCTTTATTCAGATAGGCACAGCCTCAAATATCCAGGCCCTCTGAGTTAGCCCACCATGAACCAGTATATTTACCTCCCTGGTTTTAATGCCTTTCTTTATTTTTAACACCTGGAAATGTCACTGTCTTTGTTTAAAGCCCATATATTAAAATAGATAAATTCCTCTCTTTTCAGTATTATATGGGATCATAGTGGTTGAGAAAGTAGACTACATATTAGCTTTTACTTATAATTGCTGTTTTTTCTTTTCATTTTGTTATTGCTTTACCTTTTATATATGTTGGTTGTCTACATGATATTTTCTTTGAATATTTTGTAGGCAGATTGATAGAACTGACAGAACATTCTGAAAATCTTGAACTTCAGGTCACATAACAAAAGGTAAGAAAATTCACTATAGGTGACACATGAACAACAAAGAGTTTAGGAGAACCTACCCCCAGGGCAGTAAAAAATCCATGAATAACTTTTGACTCCCTTAAAACTTTACTAATAGCCTACTGTTGACCAGAAGCTTTATCCATAACACAATTAGTAATTAGCACATATGTCATATGTGTTGTATACTATATTCTTACAATAAAGTAAGTGAAAGAAAATAACGTTATTAAGAAAATTAAAAGGAAAAGAAAATATGTTTACTATTCATTAAGTGGAAGTGGATCATCATAAAAGTCCTCGTTCATTTCAGCTTCACATTGTAGTTTGAGGAGGAGGAAGAAGAGGGGCTGTTGGTCTTACTGTCTTGGAGTGGCAGAAATGGAAGAAAATCTAATATAAGTGGACTTGTGAAGCTCACATCCATGTTTTTCAAGGGTCAACTATATTTAGAAATTTGTCAATATGCTTGGAAATTTTTCATATATCGATTAAAAGAGAACACAAAAAGAAATGAAAATAATTTCAGAAAGCTGTTTTGGGGAACATGGTTATACTGAAGAACATGAAGTAGAAGAGAAGTAGAGAATATTTCAGGCAGAGTGAAATCATCAAAGAAGAGAGATGAGGATAGGAAGGGTAATAAATGTGTAAAAATATCAAAACTAAAGTTGTAGTGAAGTATTTGTATTAGGTAAAAACAGCAGATGAAGCTTGATGTGATCAGCTCTGTATTATATGGAAGTGGCCTAAAAGGAAAAAAAATAGAAAACAAAGCCCATAAAATCAGATTATTCAGATACCAACTCCTTAAGAATCTGCAATCAGCTTAATTAGTCATTTTAAAGCAATAATAATGCTCTTATCCCAAATGAGAAACAAAACTTAATGATCTTATTATCTATCTCTTTATACCAAGTTGTCTCATATACTCAAAATGTCTGTAAACCTAAGATGTCTTTTATTTTTAAAAAATTATGAAATAATTGGGCAAAGATAAATTTCCCAGTAAACAAATAAGTTGATGAAATAATTTGTTCAAAACCAGAAAATAATAGAAACAAATTTAATTGGAGTTTAACAAGAGCAAATAAAACCTGAAATTTTGACACACTTCATCTGTAGGTAGACACTGGCTGGTGATTGACTTACCATATAAGAACTTGCAATATAATTACTGGTATTCCTTCATAAACAGACTTGGAATTCTTACCCAGTTAATGTTTTATGTGCAGAAATACACATGCACTTGAATATAAATATGCCTCATATAAAGGTAATTAAATATGTTTTTGTGATTATAAAAATGACTACATTCTTTTTTTAATGCTTTTATCACTCTAATAATTCACAAATTTATCTGCTCAAAATGGTGCACTGTGAAATATAAAAGACAAACTTTTAAAACTGAAAACACACTTGTGATTGATTAAAGCATCCAGGAAGTTAATCCATTCAATGATTCCCAACTACTCAAATAAGAGATGAATTTTATAAATTTCACCTACAATATATTCTGACCACAATTTACCTCTCTAATATAATCCACCTCTGGTTCCTAAGTAGATAACTTTTCCTACTTAAACCAATCTATACCTTTTACCTTAAAGTTATTTTTCCTTTGCTGCTTGTCCCCCATTTTGCTCAACACGACTGTAACATTTATCCTTAAATTCCTAGCTTAATATCACTTCCCCATGGGAAGACACAACCCCTTCAAATATATTCATTTCTTTCAACTCCTACTGTAATTTAGACCACACCGTGCATCATTTGAGCATTATTTTTCTCCTATATTTTAATTTTTAAAAAATCTTTAAGTAATTTGTAATTTCCTTGAAGTCATTAAACATTCTTTTTCCCTATTTTCCAAAGCACAGGAAACACTAAACCAGGAAAACACAGGAAAAAACCAATAAGTAAATTTCCCAAACATATTTGCTTTTTGATTTATTGATTAATTGATTATTGATATAGATAGTTTATATAACATCAGCCTAGGAACAAGAGGCTCCTAGTAAGGTCTTTTTTAGATAATTCCATTTCTATTTTTGTCTTCCATTGAGATGGCCAAAGGAATACATTAATCACAAGCCTAATTTTCTCAGAGTCCTTTCTTTGACTTAATAGTCTAAGTTTGGATCCTTCCAAAGAAGTAACAAAATTTGCATTTGGTCTTTGTTTTTTTCTCCAGAGCATGCCTTCTTGACAGTGAATCTTAAGTTTAGCATCTTTTGCAATCTTGATAGGCCAAGAATAACTTCCCAAATCATTAGATCTTTGTTCCTTTTTGCTTAATAGTTCTTTCCTCAATTTCTTTCCTTTTTCTTTTATTTTGGTATAGACCCATTATTCCTTATTCAAAATGCTTGGGACCAGAGTTATTTAGGATTTGGGATTTAAAAAAAAATTGGAATACTTGAAGATGCAAAATGAGATAACTTGGGGATGGGATCTAAATCTAAACATTAAATTTATTTACATTTGTTATACACCTTATACACATCACTGGAAGATAATCTTATATAATAATTTCAGTATTTTGTGTCCAAAAGAAAGTTTGTATTAAGTACTTATGTGTTTAATTTTCTACTTTGGGTGTCATGTTGGTGCTCAAAAAGTTTCAGATATTGGACTTTTGAATTAAGTATGTTCAACCGTTTTAAGCAGGGAGCAGAAATCAGGTTTTGGTTTTAACACCTTGCTTGGAAATCTCCTCAGCTAACAATTAATGGCTGTTGCTTTAAGTTGTACTTTCCACATAACTGTAGGAAAGTTATGTGGAAAGTAACAAAGTTTCTGGCTATACATACACATGTTCCTTTTCCTCCGTTATCCAATAACATTCTTCATTTTCTCATAAGCCCTCACTGGCAGTGCCTTTACTGTCCATGTTTCTACCAACGGTTTCTGATAACTAAAAAATTCTCTAGGACAGTATGTATTTTCTCTACTGTGCTTTGCACTTTGAAACCTCACTAGCAAAGTCATTATCATCCATATTTCTGTACACTATCTGTGCTAGCCAAAAAAGCAGTTTTAGTCATGCTCCTCCAACTTTTCCAGCCTCTACCCATTACCTAATTCCATTGCCACTTTCACATTTTAGATATTCGCTAGAGCAGCACCCCATTTTATATGTTACAGTCTACATTGTTTCCTATTGTGACTATAAAAAATTCCCACGAAATTGGTAAGTTAAGTCAATATAGATTTATTATTTTTATTTTTATGCCGGTCAGAAGTTGAAAATGGGTTGGAAAGGTTGTGTTTCTTCTGGAAGGTGTAGGGGGAAATCTGTCTCCTTGCCTTTCACGATTTCTAGAGACTGTTGACATTCCATGTTTCACGGTCCACCTACTTTAACCTCTGCTTCTGTCTTCCCATTGTCTTCTCTCGCTCTGACCCTGCCATCTCCTTTTTATAAGGATCTTTGTGATTATACCAAGTCCACACAGATAATTCAGGATGAACTCTCAATTGCAGTATCTTTCACACCTGCAAAGCTCCTTTGCCATGAAAAGTAACGTATTTATAAGTTTGGGGATTAAGACATAAACATCTTTGGGGAGCCACTACTTAGTCTACTACAAAGTTCTAGATCATTTAAAGTTTATTATATAAAAAATTAAGAATTAAGATGAATTAATATTTTTTAAAAATGAATTAATTTTTTTAAAACAATTCTGGCCTGTCATAGGTGCTTAATAAATAAAATATGTTTGCGTAAGTGTTAGCGGTGGTAGAGATCTGAGTTACCCCGAGTTACCGGCGGAGTATCCATAAGATCCCTAGCAACTTCAGTTTTTATCTCCTTAAAAGAAATAATTTGACTGAGGGTCATAAAGCAGAAAAAGAGATGAAGGCAAGTCTCAGAGCAGGAGTGAAAGTTTATCTAAAAAAAGTTTTAGAAAAGGAAAGAAAGGAAAATTATCTTGGGTAACTGAAGGACAAACAGAGAAGAGCAGACAGCAAAAAAGGGGGCCCTTAACCTTGACTCTAGGACTTTATAGGCTCGCCTCTTTCCCATGTTTCTTCCCTTCAGGTGCGCTTTCCTCACGTGCAGTGCTTTCTTTATCCTTGGAATCGAGCACACGCAGCGTGTTTAGGGAGTTCTATGTATACCCATCTGAGGCGTTCTTCTTTTTTCAGGTGGAGTGTGCCCAGAAGATTATACTTCACCATTTTTGTCTCTTAATGTGCATGCGCAGAAGTTGCTTCTCTCTGGGGTCCACATTCAATGAATGTTTTGATGTTAACAGATGTGGACCATCAGGAACTGGCCTCTCCCTGGCGATGCCAAATTATTGTTTTTAGAGAGGCAAGGCAATAATTGCAGAAATGTCACCCAACATTCCTAGTGTGGGTGGGGAGAGCCCTCTCCTGCCTGGCTCATGCCTAACTACCTGTAACATAAGTAATGATTAATAGCATGAATTTGGGATTAAAGACACAGATTTAATCTCAGTCCTGACACTATGTGGAACTAAGTGAATTATTTTGCCTCTCTTACCTATATTTTCCTGATCTTTCAATTCAGTGGACTGGTATAGAGCACAGTGAGGTAGGGGTTATTTTTTGGATATTGTATGACATTTTTCATGTAGTGATTTAGCACAGTGTTTGCCACATAGTAAATACTCAAGAAAGTTAATAACATCATTAACATCATCAGAATCATCACCAAGTGAAACTTGTAATTGCCTTGTTCTAATTTCGGTAAATAATAAAAGTCTATTTTCAATGCGGGATTTATCCAACAAACATTATAATTTCTAAAATAAATGAAATAGATGAAGTTTGCTCTTTGCTACTTCCCATCCTTTCAACCCTTACACCTTGATTTTGAACTACAGATTCCCCTATCTCTGCTAGAGTTTTCCTTTTCTTTCTTTTTCCCTATTGTATATATTGTCGTTTAACATACTAGATTATTAAGTTATTTAATATGTTTGATGTTTACTACCTGTCTTAAGATTCCTTAGGGCAAGGTTTTTAGTCTGTGTTGTTCATTGTCATACCATAGGACAGTGTATGGCACATAGTAGGCACCTGCTATATATTTGCTAAATAAATGAGTAAATGAATGGTTTTCATCCTGGTTTACCCCTGAAAAAATTATATTTTATAAATTATTATATAGCAATGGCCCTCCAAATTCAGACTTTATCAAAGACTGATTCATATACTGGATATGTTTACTCAATGAACAGATTTGTACAATGTATAAGTCACATATTTTTGGGTACCATGTTTTCAGAACCTAGTTACCTGTAATAATTCCAAAATCTTTAGGAATGAGTTAATGTATTTGTAATTATAAATAGAATGACAATCATTGGCTGTCAATTTTTTCTTTCTCTAGATTGATGAAGAGAATACTCAGGGAGAGTGTGTTCATGGTGCACTCATTGTCAGATAGCAAAGTGTATATGTGTTTGAGATAATATCTACTTGTTTAAATGTAGAAAGTATGGGACGGGGTGGTAGTTAATGCTTTAACTAAGTATGCCAGAAAAAGATGGTACATAAATTCTTATATGTTCTTCTTAACCTTCCTCATACATGTCACACCATGCTATCCCATTCTCATTCTTCACCCTCTTTAGTCAAGAAAATATTATTTTGCTTTAGGTTGGGTTAAATACATGGGTCTTCCAGGTGGTTCTGAAATATTCTTTTTTTTGTTATTGACAATATTTTTATAATTGTTAACATCTTCCTCATTGTCCGTTGTATTTTTTTCTTCATTTGCAAATGTGGTTTGTTTTTTGGAAGAATATTTCAAATTTAAAGAGCACTAAAAAGAGTGAAGAGCCCTAAAGACAACTGGGGTTTTATGTTGAAAACATTTCTCTAAACACCTGTGAACTGTTGACTTTAATTGGGCTACAGCTGGAAGAGACTGTGGAGAGGAGGGAGCAGGCTGGCATTTTTAAACAAGCATACATTAACATCATCATGACTTTCCTCTAACACACTAGAGGGCAGAACGGTCATGAATGACTCTAGGCTAGATTAGGGCACTTATACTGTCTTCTCTATCCTTTTATCTATATGTCTTTTCAAGATATGGTCAGGAGAGTGTTTAAATAACTGGCAATGTTTAGATGTTTAGTTAGATTAACTCTCCCAATTGTATTCCCGTTTCATTAAGGACACTTCTGTAAACTGAAGTAATGAGAGAGAAATTGTGGAATCCCAGGAAGCAGTGTACAGTGGTCAGGAAGACAGGGTAAGTGTAGAATATACTCCAAACCTGCACATGTTGAATGCTCAGCAATGATAAACCAGTATCCTGTATGAGGATGCACATTTTTAGAATAGTGTGGTTTTTCTGGTATTAGGAAAATTGCTTCCATAGGGACTCTATGTCATAATTGGTTGAGGAGAAAGAATGGGCACAAATATCTAGAACAATAAACGATAGGGAAGAACTTTCCAGAGAAACGGCCTTCGAGAACACATCTCAGAATATGGTCTGTGGTCATGTGAAAATATATATGTGTATATATATCTATAGATCTATAGATCTATAGATGTATATAGATATCTATAGATCTATAGATATATATATATAGATCTATATATGTATATATATCTATAGATCTATATATATATATCTATATCTATCTATCTATATATATATCTATATAGATATATATAGGTATATATATATATATATATATATTTTAAAGTAGTGAAAGAAGAGGAGCTATTAGGATTCCTACTGAGAGGATTGGCCAGGGAGGCCTAGGAGGAAGGGTCATTTCTTCAGAATTCAGTTATCACAGGCCAGTCTCTGTGTCTTACATCCCTCATCTCAAAATTGGAAATGCAATATCCTTCCATACCTATTTCCTAACAGAATTTGAAGCATCAAATCAGATTATGAAACTAAAAGCACTTTATAAAAAGTACAGTTATAATATGCAGGTTCCAGAATTGTTCAAGCGGTAGGGTTGAATTCAAACAGAATTCATAACAGTGTCAGGATGAGTTCAGTCCCACAGAGTTAAAAATAGTACTGATATTTTTACCCATGAAACAGTTTCCAATTTCTTAAAAAGAAATAAGAAAACTTCGTAAGTCATCGTTTTTTTCCATGGGTTCTTTGCTCCAGCTAAACTGATCTTTCAGTACCTCTTAAAAATGCTTTGCTTTTTCCTTCTTTCCATTTTATTCTTCTTATTTTTCCTAAACTATCTATATGCTCCACCATATGTTCAGGGCTCCCAGGGCTCAAAAGAAAGACTGATGCTGTTTTTTTTTTTTGAATAAAGATTAATGCCTAATTATCCAAAATGTATTTGGATACTTACTATATTGTGCTACATAAATATAATATATATTTTAGCACCTTACATTACTCAGAATTCTTTATATATATAAAGTATTATATGTAAAGTATAATATATGATATATAAAGTATATACAATATATAGTAAGTTCATAATATATAGAGTATGTATATAATAGTCATTGTATAATATCAAGTATATATAATAGTATGTATTTTATATATAGAGATAAATACTTTATATATAAAGTATTCTGAGTAATTTGAGATGCTAATTTCATGGCAACTTGTCACAATATTCCTTAGCCACGTAAACCAAGGGTGCCAGTGTAGGAGATGGTAAGTAAGCAAAAAGTCACCTCTGGAACCTTCTGGTAGATGAAAGTGTCTTTACTGTTGACCTTTTTATGCAGGATTCTCACATACTGTGCTAAGGTAAGACATCTACAACAGTTGTTCCATGTGAGCTACTTACTGCATAGGACATCACCCCAACCGCATTTAATGATACAGCAATGATCTTAACTATAGTATAAATATATTCCTCTCTAAAAACAAGAGTAGTCACTCCTGTGGTAGAACCCTGAGTGACAGATGGGATTATGCCAGATGGGCAATGGATGTCTAGGGATGCGAAACATGAGCGTATTTGACTTCATCCCCAGAACTTGCAAGCTTTTATTTCTATCTGGCAGAATTATGGAACTGCGAGCTTCATCACACAGGAGTCACTTTACTAACAATGTGTAAAGGATTCAGGAACCAATGCTGCCCAAATTCTTACTAAGTCATTGCTTAATGAAAATGACAGACATTTCCACTAAGTAATCATGCCAGAAGGTTAACATATTAGTACAGAGAACATCTGTCTCAGTCTGTTTTGTGTTGCATCACAGAATACCCGAAACTGGGTAATTTATAAAGAACAGAGATTTATTTCTCACAGTATTAGAGGCTGGGAAATTCAAGATCAGGGTGCCAAAAGGTTAGAGCCCAGGCTCTCTGCCTTCAAGATGGAAGCTTGAAGAGTGCATACTCCAGAGGGGAGGAGCACTATGTTGTCATAAGGCAGAAGAGCAGAAAAGAGCAAACTTTTTCCCACAAGCCTTTTTTATGGAGGCATTAATCCATTTATGGGAACAGAGCCCTCATGACCTAAACATTTCCCATTAAGCCCCACCACTGGAGATTAAGTTTCCAACACATGAATTGTAAAGGAGACAAAAACATTTAACATTCAAATCACAGTGACAGCCAAAGGGACAATCATGAGAAAGATACAATCATGAGAATGAGGATGGAAATTTGAGAGGTGCATTTATAAATTAATACAATTAAACGAAGATGTTCTTTAAATGAAGCATGATAAATATTTTAGTACCATAAGTTAATGCCTAAAGTTTAGGAGTTACTTTGTGGCAAACTGTAAGACACTTGCAACACAATAATAATCAAATTAAAATTCTCTACAATAAAGAAGGAAGAAAATTTTGAATTTTGGAGACATCATAAGTAAAAATAATATAGAAAATCTCCAGTGAGATACATTGTGGTTAATATAATGATCTGAAAATTCTGAAAAGAAGTATATTTCAAGCAGCCAGCATGAAAGGAAAGCAACACAAAAGTGATACAGTATCAACTGGCCTCACTTATTCCATGACAACCTTCAAACTACATAACAAATACTTGAAATAACTTTGCTGAAGGAAGTGGAAAAAATTACTCTGCTAAGCAATTTTGGAAAAAAGTTTAGATTATAACAATAAAGACAAAAGGAACAATACATAAACACTGTACTATAGTTGACAAAGGTGTTTTCCCAGGGAATAGGGGTTAATAAATAGAAAACCATTATACATGCAACTGGAATTCAGCACCAAGCAAATGGATGGGATGATGGGAGCCAGGTTTCTCAATGTTAGAGTGAGAAGTTACAAATAAGCAATGTAGGAAGACCAGAATGATCTGTTCGGTGTTGGATTAAAGTTGGAGACCAGTATAAACTCATGTATAGCTTTGTGTGTGTGTGTGTGTGTGTGTGTGTGTGTGTGTGTGTGTGTGTTTGTGTGTGTGTATTTTATATATATATATATATATATAATGTGCATACACAGAGGGAAATATATGGAAACATACATATACAAACATGCGCATATATATAGTCACACCCAAATGAACACATAAATATTTATAGATATGTACACAAATATATGTACACAAATATATCTCATTTTCCTGTCACTTGACCTAGTGGAGAATCAATGACAACCCAGGAACAAAAATTAAAACTCATATTTAATACATTATATAATATTTGTCTTAATCTTAGAAATATATTTTAGAATATGCCTTGAGAGGAAATATTTATCTCAAATTCAGCAATTAAGCATTTTTCTGTATTTCTTCTATAAAATGGAATTAGAATTAATTACACATTTTAAAACATTCTGGGTTGGGTATATTTTCAATTATTTCTACAAGTCATTATATCTATCTACTTTTCTATCTATAATGAGAAATTACTGGAATGTCATATATGATATGCATAATGGAAAAATCATGCATAATTTGATTCATCTGTCAGTGACAATATTTTAATTTTTATTACACTTAAGTTGCTTTTTGAAAAATAATGAGCAGACATAATATTTATCTTTAATCTTAAAACAAAGATATAAATCATTATCTTTTAATAAAACTGAACCCAGAGTTATCTCTTATTAGATGCAGCTGGAAATATAGTAGAACATGAAATGTAGACTATGGTTCATAGTCAGGATATGCTCATTGACTTGAATTTGTAAAAGATAAGGCAGGAGATGTTTGACCAAAACTCTGATTATCGTAATTAAACTGATAAAAATAACAGGAATAGGAAGTAAAGTTGACATACTTTAATTCTACATAAATCATATGCAAATGTATTCACTTTTGAATGGTTACATTGTACTATTTTTCAATTTTATGTCTTAGGGGTAGGTTATGAGGTTACAGTGAGGGGACAGACACAGAGTCATTCTTTCTACAAGCCAACTAAATGCAAATAAATGATTTTTCAGAATATACAGATGTGAATGAGAGGAAAAGACTGAGACCAATAACTTATTAAAATAGTAAAATTCTCACATTTTCCTGTATCTAGAAAAAATGATAATTTGATTGATTGGTTAACCATGTGAAAAGAAGGGCAGTATTGACTGCTCTCCATTTTAAAAACACGCTACCACTCTATTTGTTCTTCTCCATGTTTCCCTCTATTATTTATTTCTTGAAGATTAATTTCTTCTTACCCTTATCCAAATAGTTTCAGTGGTTCATTGAAATTACCTGGCTTTCTTCTGGTTGAATTGGGAATAAATTCAAGTTTCCTGACTCTGTAGTGTGCATGTTTTCTGGCTCACTGTCCCCGGAGGTTGTCTTTAAGGTTATGTGTGATTCCCCACCATAAATGTCTTTTGCCCCAGTACAGCCTTGGGAGAGCTGTAAAGGACAGATATATAACAAATAATGGAAGATTAAAGGAAAATGAAACCAAAATCAAAACAAAACAGAAAGACACAGACTTTCAAAGAGAAGATTTAATGCAAAGTTTTCCTTATATATACGTTTTGGGGGCAAGAAGCCTCTATGTCAGTCTAGAAATTCTTTGAATTGTATTGACAAACTTATATTATGTATAAGAAATCCACTAGTTGAAGGAAGGCTTCAAGTTTTCAGAAAAGATAAAAGAAGGGAAGGCACACACTCCTTTAAAGACATATTAGAAAAGAAGAAAAGGGGGAAGAAAGGAGGGAAGAGAGGAGGGATGGGAAGAACACCCTATTTACTAACAGGAGTGATTCCGAGAGACCTAAGAGGAAACCATTTAGTACTCTAATGGTGACAGACCGCCAACATGCTGCTTGGCACATAGAAGAAATTTAATCTGACTCAAGAAGAGAAGCAATTTAGATTTGTAAGTGAGTCTGCAATACTGTGATCACCAAGCTGAACCCACTCATTATAGTAACCCATTACATATGTGTAAATCTCTACTTGAGAGAACCTGTAGGCATACTGTTAAAGAACAAATGGTAAGATCAAAAGCTGTAAAATGTGAACCTAGGTGATACGGTTTGGCTCTGTGTCCCCACCCAAATCTCATCTTGAATTCCCACGTGTTGAGGGAGGGACCCGGGGTGGGGGAGGTAATTAAATCATGGGGGTGGGTCTTTCCCAGGCTGTTCTCATGAGAGTGAATACGTCTCAGGAGATCTGATAATTTAAAAAATGGGAATTTCCCTGCAAAAGCTCTTTTTTGTCTGCCGCCATCCACATAAGATGTGACTTGCTCCTCCTTGCCCTCTGCCATGATTGTGAGGCTTCCCTAGCCACATGGAACTGTAAGTCCATTAAACCTCTTTCTTTTGTAAGTTGCCCATCTTCAGGTATGTCTTTATCAACAGTGTGAAAACAGACTAATACACTAGGTCTACTTACTCCTGACGTATGTCCCTTTTCATAAGCATGCTGCAACCTAACATGACTCTCCAAGCTAGTTCTGTGCTTAAATATAATGATACATTATTTTTGGAAGAATCAGAGACTTCCTTGTTTATGTAGCTGATTATTGCTAAAATAATTTCAGCATTTTCTATTTGAGGACACTATTTAAAATATTTCATATTATTAACTTCTAAAAAACTTTCAAAGAACAAATTAAATAATAATGTTATGTCAGTTTTACAGAAGGTTAAATTAAAGCAGACACATTAATACGTTGTACATGCCATAATTAAGGCAGAATTGGGGATTGAAGAAATCATAGGATTGTAGAACTCATGCTGTTCAAGTAGCCTAACTCAGAACCTAAAACTTCTATAATATTAATCCTTTGACTAATGCTAATGAAGAACTGTATTGAGTCATTATTGTTTTTCTGTAGAAGAATTAAAGTTTAGAGAAGTTTTGGTTATTTCATTATGCCACGGAGTCTGTAAACATTTAATGCAGAGTGCCTACTCTGAGTCAGGCCTTGAGTTAGCAACCTTAGGGTATAATGGTATGGCAGTGACCCTGCCCCTTCTATCAAGGAGTGTTCAGTCATCATAGTAAATCTCTTAGTGATGCTCCAAGAGGAGATAATATAGGTTTAGAAGTTTAAATGATCAGCAGAAACTATACCATTATTTAAC
Organism: Homo sapiens; assembly: GCF_000001405.40. Taxonomy (NCBI): domain Eukaryota; kingdom Metazoa; phylum Chordata; class Mammalia; order Primates; family Hominidae; genus Homo; species Homo sapiens. The sequence goes on along the minus strand of NC_000002.12, from coordinate 81,366,744 downwards.
GAAATATATTCCAAGTTGAGTGCAGTGGCTCACACCTGTAATCCCAGCACTTTGGGAGGCCGAGGAGGGAGGATCACTTGAGGCTAGGTATTCAAAACCAGCCCAGTCAACATAGCGTGACACCATACATAAAAAATAAAAATTAAAAAATAGTTAGCCAGGCATGGTGGTGTGTGTCTGTAGTTCCTGCTACGTTGGAGGCTGAGCAGGAGGATCACTTGAGCTCAGGAGGTTTGAGGTTGCATTAAGCCATGATCATGCTTCTGTACTCCATTCTGGGTGACAGAGAGAGACCGTGTCTCAAAGAAAAAGAAAATCCAGAATCACAGCTAACTACTTGCAGTATCAGTATAGAATCCTAAGCTTCCAGTCTGTCTTTTTTTTAGTAGAGTTCCCCCTCCCTAAAATGTTTGTCCACCAAAAAATTGTCAATATATTTTGGGTAACCTCGTTGAAAAGTTAATTATAAAACAAACTAAATCAAAACATAAATATCTTCCCCTCAAAAATAGATAAGTATGCAAAGTTTTACATATGAGAATGTTCCCTGACCCCAAGTTAAGAGCAAAAATTTAGAACCAGGTAAAGCAAGGTGAGGCCAATAAGGATACATTTAATAATTAAAAATTCTCTAAAGTCTTATAAACTGGGATAATTATTAACTTACTCCTATTGCATTCAGTTGGTCAGCTTTTATTGAGTACTATACTCCTCAGAGTGAGGCTAAGGCCAATGGAATGTACAGAAAAGAAAGTCCTTCCTTCAAGAACTTTATGATTTGTTTGATATACAAGACACATATGTAAGAAACAGGCATGAAATATTAACCGTAAAAGTGAGAGTCTACATCCACCAGAGAAATGATGCAATCATAAACAATTCTTTTTTATTTAAAATTCTCTCTCTTAAAAATGGTTTAGACTATATTATCTCTAAGGGCCCTCAAGCACTAATATTATATGATTATATCAACAGCAATGGGATCAGGGCTGCTCACACACAGCAAGTTGTACGGAACACAGCAGAAAAGAAAAAGATTAGCTTCTGTCCAAAGCTCTACATTCACCCACCTCTTTCTTTTTTACTCTATCTTACTCCTTTGAGACTATCAGCCCTTAGATCTCTCCTGCTTATCTCTACATCTGTAACATCTTAAAGCATATTCTTTTTTCCTGATGTCTAAAAATTTTACCTGAAGAACAAAGATGTTAAATTTCCTATATTTATAACACAGGGAATCACCAAAAGGGGATAACATTGTAGTGTTTACTGAGTGGTGCCAGTTTAGAAAACGATGCCCTATCATCCATGTCCCCCCATTATCCCTCAATTCATATAAGAACAGTACTCAGAAAGATGTCAAATAATTTTGTGTGCAGGTTCCTAGGGAACTATTATGCCTCCTTTTAGAGAGAAAATAGCAGAGCTGTTCTTCCCTACTAACATGGCAGAATCACTTGTAATATAGAGTGATAAATCAGGGACACTTCTCAGTGTCCTTCTCTGAAAGTCACTGCACGTCTGGGTCTTCAGAGTTCCTGAAACTTCTGTGATACAGAGAGATGGAGGAGTCGAGAGAGGGTACACTAGGGGGGAAAAGCAAATTGCTCTTTAATGTGGCTTAAATATGTGTTTTCCCCATAGTTTATTGTACACTAGTGAAAGTAGCTAAACTTGAACAACCTTCCTTTAATTTTCCAAGCAAACTATCTATTGAATGAAAGCAACAAAAAGCAGTTGAGAGCTCTATATTCTATGTTCACTCTCCAGATGCAAGTTTTACTCTTCGACTCTGGGAGATGTGACTGTGTTCCTCTGTGTAAGCACGGCTCCTGTTAAGGACCCTCTCTCCAATGACTAAATCCAGGCCCTGCCAGACAATTCCACCTGAACAACTTCAGCTCTTACTGAAACTCAGTAACTCTGTTTCTTCATTTTCTTCTTCAGAACTTGGAGCGATAGCAGTTTCCAGATATCACCACTCCTTGGGTGTGTCATCATCCGTTGTTGTTTCACTGAATTCAACACACAACTATGTAAATAATGTATTCATTAAATATTTTCACTACTGTCTTTGAGTCCATCTGCTCTATTTTAGGAATCTGACTGACAGAGTTTTGGTGTCATGGATCAGTTTTATCCTTAGTGCATGGACCAGGAAAAACAGGAAAAAGAAGAAATGAAACTGGATCTTCAAGGTCATTAAATTGGAACCATAGGACCCTCAAAACAACTAATGAGTACCCTCCCATTACACAGTATGTCCAACCAGTTCTTTTTAGGCAGGGAAAGAAATGTGCCACTTATTTAGACCTTTGTTTCACTCTCCCTTCTCCTTGCTCATTAGCAGAGAAGATGCATGTGAAAGTGAATAGGTGAAGGAAGTAAAGAGATCATTCCACCCAACTTCCACCCCATCTTAAGACTGCAAGCTGCTAAATCCACTGACAGTTGTAGCCTGTAATACAGGGAGGGGAGGAGAAGTGATTTAAATGAAACTTACAAATGAGCAGAGCTAGATTTTGAAACTGAAATGGCAGAGTTTGAATAAACTGAAGTGACTAGTATGGAATCTATCAAAATATTATAAAAAGATCAATGGAAATGGGTTTATATAGGAGAATTGTCAAGCAGTTAGTGGAAACATAAATGATTTCCCATTTAAACCTGTGATGAGTTGAGACTCTTCAATAAATCAATTTTACTAAGGGTGGTATGCTCTGGCCAGCTTGATATAGGCTTACTCATGCAGTAATAAATATATGACTGTTACATTTAAGCAGTCTAGTTTATGAGATAGAATCATAAGAAATGTATTATGGTTTTCTTCTATTGATTTGAATATAGTCATGGGCACTAGGTTTTCCTCTTACACTGTATAAAAACTAGATTCTTAGGTAATACAGTTTCATTGGTCACTTTAAGATACAAAGTACTGTATCAACTCAGTAAAAGAAATGTCTTTTCAGAATAATCCAAAGTTACAACTTGATCTAGAGTTCAAATTTGTTCATTGCCCCAGCTAAAATCTAATGCTAAAGAGATGATTGAGTTTTGCAAGGGGTTAAGTGGTCACCTCTTTACTTTTCTCACCTAGTATTTCTTCCATATCTTGCCAACTATGGATATAATCTCCTAAAGTACTCTCTGAATTTTATAGATATTTAAGCTAGAATACTCCCTCTCTCCTCTGTGTGTGTGTGTGTATGTGTGTCTGTCTGTTGGTTTGTGCATCCTTTTTTTTTTTTTTTTGAGATAGAGTCTCACTCTGTCACCAGGCTGGAGTGCAGTGGTGTGATCTCAGTTCACTGCAACCTCTGACTCCCTGGTTCAAGCAATTCTCCTGCCTTAGCCTCCTGAGTAGCTGGGATTACAGGCACATGCCACCATGCCCAGCTAATTTTTGTATTTTTAGTAGAGACGGGGTTTCACCATGTTGGCCAGGATAGTCTCAATCTCCTGATTTTGTGATCCACTCTTCTCGGCCTCCCAAAGTGCTGGGATTACAGTCGTGAGCCACTGCGCCTGGCAGTTTTGTCCATTCTTTGGGAAAATATTCTTGTATATTGCTGCAGTTTCCCTGAAATGGTCAAACGCATATTTATATGGAATGGTTGCTTAAAACTCCTTTTTCCAAAAAGAGTTTCCAAGGTGGCCAAATAGGAAGAGCTCCAGTCTGCAGCTCCCAGTGTGATCAATGCAGAAGATGAGTGATTTCTGCATTTCTAACTGAGGTACCTGGTTCATCTCACTGGGACTGGTTGGACAGTGGGTGCAGCCCACGGAGGGTGAGCCGAAGCAGGGCAGGGCATCACCCCACCCAGGAAGCACAAGGGGTTGGGGGATTTCCCTTTCCTAGCCAAGGGAAGCCGTGACAGAGGGTACCTGGAATATCAGGACACTCCCACCCTAATACTGTGCTTTTTCAACAGTCTTAGCAAATGGCACACCAGGAGATTATATCCCGTGACTTGTTCGGCAGGTCCCACGCCCACAGAGCCTTGCTCACTGCTAGCGCAGCAGTCCAAAATCGAACTGCAAGGTGGCAGCCTGGGATGGGGGAGGGGCGTCCGCCATTGCTGAGGCTTGAGTAGGTAAACAAAGTGGCTGGGAAGCTCGAACTGGGTGGAGCCCACCGCATCTCAACAAGGCCTGCCTGCCTCTGGAGACTCCACCTCTGGGAGCAGGGCATAGCTGAACAAAAGGCAGCAGAAACTTCTACAGACTTAAACGCCCCCGTCTGACAGCCCTGAAGAGAGCAGTGGTTCTCCCAGCATGGAGTTTGATCTCTGAGAATGGACAGACTCTCTCCTCACGTGAGTCCCTGACCCCCATGTAGCCTAACTGGGAGACACCTGCCAGTAGGGGCCGATTGACACCTCATACAGCCGGGTGCCCCCCTGAGATGAAGCTTCCAGAGGAAGGATCAGGCAGCAATATTTCCTGTTCTGCAGCCTCTGCTGGTGATACCCAGGCAAACAGGGTCTGGAGTGGACCTCCAGCAAACTCCAACAGACCTGCAGCTGAGGGTCCTGACTGCTAGAAGGAAAACTAACAAACAGAAAGAAATAGCATCAACATCAACTAAAAGGACATCCACACCAAAACCCCATCTGTAGGTCACCATCATCAAAGACCAAAGGTAGATAAAAATCACAAAGATGGGGAGAAACTAGAGCAGAAAAACTGAAATTCTAAAGAACAGAGTGCCTCTTCTCCTCCAAAGGAATGCAGCTCCTTGCCAGCAACAGAACAAAGCTGGACAGAGAATGATTTTGACGAGTTGACAGAAGTAGGCTTCAGAAGGTTGGTAATAACAAACTTCTCCGAGCTAAAGGAGGATGTTCTAACCCATCAAAAGGAAGCTAAAAACCTTGAAAAAAGATTAGACGAATGGCTAACTAGAATAAACAGCATAGAGAAGACCTTAAATGATCAGATGGAGCTGAAAACCATGGCAAGAGAACTACGTGACACATGCACAAGCTTCAGTAGCTGATTCAATCAAGTGGAAGAAAGGGTATCAGTGATTGAGGAGCAAAAAAATGAAATGAGAAGAGAAGTTTTGAGAAAAAAGAGTAAAAAGAAATAAACAAATCCTCCAAGAAATGTGGGACTATGTGAAAAGACAAGATCTACATCTGATTGGTGCACCTGATGTGATGGGGAGAATGAAACCAAGTTGGAAAACACTCTGCAGGATATTATCCAGGAGAACTTCCCCAACCTAGCAAGGCAGGCCAACATTCAAATACAGGAAATACAGACAATGCCACAAAGATACTCCTCAAGAAGAGCAACCCCAAGACACATAATTGTCAGATTCACCAAGGTTGAAATGAAGGAAAAAATGTTAAAGGGCAGCCAAAGAGAAAGATCGGGTTACCCATAAAGGAAAGCCCATCAGACTAACAGCAGATATCTCAGCAGAAACTCTACAAGCCAGAAGAGAGTGGGGGCCAATATTCAACATTCTTAAGGAAGAGAATTGTCAACACAGAATTTCATATCCAGCCAAACTAAGCTTCATAAGTGAGGGAGAAATAAAATCCTTTATAGACAAGCAAATGCTGAGAGATTTCATCACCACCAGGCCTGCCTTACAAGAGCTCCTGAAGGAAGCATTAAACATGGAAAAGAACAACCAGTACCAGCCACTGCAAAAACATGCCAAATTGTAAAGCCCATTGATGCTAGGAAGCAACTGCATCAACTAACGAGCAAAATAACCAGCTAACATCATAATGACAGGATCAAATTCATACATAACAATATAAATCTTAAATGTAAATGGGCTAAATGCCCCAGTTAAAAGACACAGACTGGCAAATTGGATAAAGAGTCAAGACCCATCAGTGTGCTGTATTCAGGAGACCCATCTCATGTGCAGAGACACACATAGGCTCAAAATAAAGGGATGGAGGAAGATCTACCAAGCAAATGGAAAACAAAAAAAAGCAGGGGTTGCAATCCTAGTCTCTGATAAAACAGACTTTAAACCAACAAAGATCAAAAGAGACAAAGAAGGCCATTACATAATGGTAAAGGGATCAATTCAACAAGAAGTGCTAACTATCCTAAATATATATGCATGCAAAATAGGGGCACCCAGATTCTTAAGGCAAGTCCTTAGAGACCTACAAAGAGACTTAGACTCCAATACAATAATAATGGGAGACTTTAGCACACCACTGTCAATATTAGACAGATCAACAGGACAGAAGGTTAACAAGGATATCCAGGACTTGAACTCAGCTCTGCACCAAATGGACCTAATTGACATCTACAGAACTCTCCACCCCAAATCAACAGAATATACATTCTTTTCAGCACCACATCATGCTTATTCCAAAACTGACCACATAGTTGGAAGCAAAGCACTCCTCAGCAAATGTAAAAGAACAGAAATTACAACAAACTGTCTCTCAGATCACTGTGCAATCAAATTAGAACCCAGGATTAAGAAACTCATTCAAAACCACACAACTACATGGAAACTGAACAACCTGCTCCTGAATGACTACTGGGTAAATAATGAAATGAAGGCAGAAATAAAGATGTTCTTTGAAACCAATGAGAACAACGACACAACATATCAGAATCTCTGGGACACATATAAAGCATTGTGTAGAGGGAAATTTATAGCACTAAATGCCCACAAGAGACAGCAGGGAAGATCTAAAATTGACACCCTAACATCACAATTAAAAGAACTAGAGAAGCAAGAGCAAACACATTCAAAAGCTAGCAGAAGGCAAGAGATAACTAAGATCAGAGCAGAACTGAAGGAGATAAAGACACAAAAAACCCTTCAAAAAATCAATGAATACAGGAGTTGGTTTTTTGAAAAGATCCACAAAATTGATAGACCACTAGCAAAGAAGAAAAGAGAGAAGAATCAAATAGACACAATAAAAAATGATAGAAGGGATATCACCACTGATCCCACAGAAATACAAACTACCATCAGAGAATAATATAAACACCTCTACACAAATAAATTAGAAAACCTAGAAGAATTGGATGAATTCCTGGACACATACACCCTCCCAAGACTAAACCAGGAAGAAGTTGAATCCCTGAATAGACCAATAACAGGCTCTGAAATTGAGGCAATAATTAATAGCCTACCAACCAAAAAAAGTCCAGGACCAGATGGATTCACAGCCAAATTCTACCAGAGGTAGAAGGAGGAGCTGGTACCATTCCTTCTGAAACTATTCCAATCAATAGAAAAAGAGGGAATTCTTTCTAAGTCATTTTATGAGGCCAGCATCATCCTGATACTAAAGCCTGGCAAAGACAAAATGAAAAAAAGAGAATTTTAGACCAATATCCCTAATGAATATCGATGTGAAAATCCTCAATAAAATACTGGCAAACAGAATCCAGCAGCACATCCAAAAGTTTATCCACCACGATCAAGTTGGCTTCATCCCTGGGATGCAAGGCTGGTTCAACATATGCAAATCAAAAAACATTATCTATCACATAAACAGAACCAAAGACAAAATCCACATTCTTATCTCAATAGATGCAGAAAAGGCCTTCAACAAAATTCAACAGCGCTTCATGCTAAAAACTCTCAATAAACTAGGTATTGATGGATGCATCTCAAAATAATAAGAGCTATTTATGACAAACCCACAGCCAATATCATACTGAATGGGCAAAAACTGGAAGCATTCCCTTTGAAAACTGGCACAAGACAGGGATGCCCTCTCTCACCACTCCTATTCAATATAGAGTTGGAAGTTCTGGCCAGGGCAATCAGGCAGTAGAAAGAAATAAAGGGTATTCAATTAGGAAAAGAGGAGGTCAAATTGTCCCTGTTTGCAGATGACATGATTGTATATCTAGAAAACCCCATTGTCTCAGCCCAAAATCTCCTTAAGCTGATAAGCAACTTCAGCAAAGTCTCAGGATACAAAATCAATGTGCAAAAATCACAAGCATTCCTATACACCAATAACAGACAAACAGAGAGCCAAATCATGAGTGAGCTCCCATTCACAATTGCTTCAAAGAGAATAAAATACCTAGGAATCCAACTTACAAGGGATGTGAAGGACCTCTTCAAGGAGAACTACAAACCACTGCTCAATGATAAAAAAAGAGGACACAAACAAATGGAAGAACATTCCATGCTCATGGGTAGGAAGCATCAATATCGTGAAAATGGCCATACTGCCCAAGGTAATTTATAGATTCAATGCCATCCCCATCAAGCTACCAATGACTTTCTTCACAGAATTGGAAAAAACTACTTTAAAGTTCATATGGAACCAAAAAAGAGCCCACATTGCCGAGAAAATCCTAAGCCAAAAGAACAAAGCTGGAGGCATCACACTACCTGACTTCAAACTATATGACAAGGCTACAGTAACCAAAACAGCATGGTACTGGTACCAAAACAGAGATATAGACCAATGGAACAGAATGGAGGCCTCAGAAATAACACCACACATCTACAACCATCTGATCTTTGACAAACCTGACAAGAACAAGAAATGGGGAAAGGATTCCCTATTTAATAAATGGTGCTCGGAAAACTGGCTACCTATATGTAGAAAGCTGAAACTGCATCCCTTCCTTACACCTTATACAAAAATTAATTCAAGATGGATTAAAGACTTAAATGTAAGACCTAAAACCATAAAAACCCTAGAAGAAAACCTAGGCAATATCATTCGGGACATAGGCATGGGCAAGGACTTCGTAACTAAAACACCAAAAGCAATGGCAACAAAAGCCAAAATAGACAAATGTGATCTAATTAAACCAAAGAGCTTCTGCACAGCAAAAGAATCTACCATCAAGTGAATAGGCAACCTACAGAATGGGAGAAAATTTTTACAATCTACCCATCTGACAAAAGGCTAATATCCAGATTCTACAAAGAACTTAAACAAATTTACAAGAAAAAATCAATCAACCCCATCAAAAAGTGGGCAAAGGGTATGAACAGACACTTCTGAAAAGAAGACCTTTATGGAGCCAACAGATACTTGAAAAAATCCTCATCATTACTGGTCATCAGAGAAATGCAAATCAAAACCACAATGTGATACCTTCTCACACCAGTTAGAATGGCGATCATTAAAAAGTCAGGAAGCAACAGGTGCTGGAGAGGATTTGGAGAAATAGGAACACTTTTCCACTCTTGATGAGAGTGTAAACTAGTTCAACCATTGTGGAAGACAGTGTGGCGATTCCTCAAGGATCTAGAACTAGAAATACCATTTGACCCAGCCATCCCATTACTGGGTATATACCCAAAGGATTATAAATCATGCTACTATAAAGACACATGGACATGTATGTTTATCGTGGCACTATTCAGAATAGCAAAGACTTGGAACCAACCCAAATGTCCAGCAATGATAGACTGGATTAAGAAAATGTGGCACTTATACACCATGGAATACTATGCAGCCATAAAAAAGGATGAGTTCATGTCCTTTGTAGGGACATGGATGAAGCTGGAAATCATCATTCTGAGCAAACTATTGCAAGGACAGTAAGTCAAACACTGCATGTTCTCACTCATAGATGGGAATTGAATAATGAGAACACTTGGATACAGGGCTGGGAACATCACACACTGGGGCCTGTCATGGACTGTGGGGAGTGGGGAGGGATAGCATTAAAAGAAATACCTAATGTAAATGATGCGTTAATGGGTGCAGCACACCAACATGGCACATGTATACATATGTAACAAACCTGCACATCATGCGCATGTACCCTAGGACTTAAAGTATAATTAAAAAAAAAGAGAGAAAAGAAAAAAAAAGCTCCTTTTTCCTAAATTTCAAGTGAGGGGCAGGATAAGTTCATTCTAAATCTCCAACTTTCAACCATTTTATACCTGTAATCTCAAAATGGATAAGAGGCTTAAAAGGTATAAATTGTTGAATCTCATTTGAATGTTCTTTCAATTGTCTTTTAGTCTCAGTGTAACTATCTGTTTTCATGGTGTGACAACATAAGAAATTGTCTTAGATGGTTGAAGGTAGATATGCTCTCCACCTCTCTTCCATCTAATTGTGTTAAAGAGAGCGTCTATGGTTTCTTAGGTCCTTCACACTGGTAAGTTTCTCATTCTACATGGGCTTCACTGAATACAGAACAGTTGCACATCTGTCAGGGGTTAGATAGGCATTGTGAAGCCGTGTACACTTTCTGCCTTGTTATTTTTCTCATGTAACATTTATACTCCATCTTTGTACAATCTCACACTTAGGAAGCGAGGACAAGTTTGCAAATTCAGATTAGCCTTTTATAGTTTGTCCAGCATACTACAAATGAATCTAATACAAAGAATGTACACTCAGTGTGTTGAGTTCCAGGTCCCTTGATGATCATCAGTTTTCTGCAGGAGAGGCAGGTGTCTTTATGAATAATAGAAACCACACAGCTTAGCTCTGGGAGAAAAGGTGAATTTATCTAAGTAACCAGTTGTATCTCATTTTCAATGAAATTGATTGGCCACTTGATAGACTATAAACAAGTCTGTAAACACGTTTGTCAAGTGAAATGACCTGTGGTAGAATGGTCCTGTCTGTAGAGTGTGGATTTTGCATGTGCACTGAGGGCAAGAAGGGTCAGGGAGTGTACAGGTCAGTAGGAGATTTAATGAATTAAATTAAAAAAACAGGGGGAAAACACATAGGCTCTGTTTGACCTCTTTCTCTGAACTTCCATGCATTTTATACTGACCTCTAAATACTTGTCTCAATTTGTATACTGTACATAAAATTCAAAAAGTATATATTTTCTCCTCCAATGTGTTTGAGATTATGCTAAATGTCTTTGCTGTTTGGGCTACAGAATAGACCATGAAGTCTTTGCGAGAATGTAGCAGATATTTTTTATCTTTGAAGTCTTGGTTCCCATTACAATATCTGAACCCTGGTATGAACTCAATACAAGTTTTTCTTTAAGTGGAATGAAATTTGAATTGAATCTGTTCATGTTAAGAGTGTTCCTAGTTTTAGAGGCTGTAAGATTTCATAATAATTACAAAGTAAATTACTTAATGTTAAGATAATTGTGTGCTAGAAGAGAAAGTCAACTCATGTGGCTCTCACCTCCTTTCATGATCAAGGCTCTTTTGAAGTGGAGCCTGTGATGGAACCATCTCTTCTCTCCCCTCCTACTTTCACTTTCAGCAGAGATGAAAGATAATGAAAACAGCCACAACAATTCTTTAGGTGCTAGGGAATACGGCAGCAGGATTTTAGCCAACAGGGCAGTGGCTCCTTTATATTTACCAATGACTTTACTATAAGGATGCTTTGAAGATAAAAATAAGTTAGACAAAAGGAAAAGTAGCAGATAGTGGTAGTCATAGTTTAGGAATAAATGAGTCCATTCAAAGGGAAGTAGAAGTACCTGATTGACAGGAATTATGGTACCAGAGAAAATTAAACTGATGTGTTTTTCTGTTATTATTTGATATTTTAAAAATATTTTTTAAATGCTGGACCTGGGAGGTAAGGCGAAATTGACAACAGTGTCCGTACATTAAAACTCTTATTTTGGACAGCTTGTTTAGGATTTGGGGTGATTACAAAAAACAGAGACTTACCCATGAAAGCAATGTCTGCTGAGCATGTGGCAGGACAAACATATGAGCTAAAGCAAATCACCTCCCTCCTTCTTATTTGCCTTGTTTGTAAAATGGAGAGAATTGTATCTAATGATCTGGAACCTTCTTTTGGTACCCAAATTAAATTCCATTTCTTCCCTCCCCTGGTATGCATTTTTGTTCCCTCCCCTGGTATGCAGCAGTACTTTCATCCAGTTTAGAGTCTTCCTGTTCTGAGCAAAACAGTGAATTCATACCAATTGCAAAATAATTATTTTTTTTTTTCAGTTCAAAATAGGGTCCGCAGAGCATAATACTTAATACAAAGTGAAGAAATCACTGATGGCATAATTTCTGAGATTATATCAAAAGCAGTCTTTTTTTCTTTGTGGAAAATCTTTTCTTATATCCTTCAAACTGCACAATATAGACAGGTGTCAGCTCCAGCTAGGTAAACTACTTTTAAAAACACTGTTAGGAATCAAACACGATCCAAATGTAGTTTGGTTTCATAAAGAAAGAGATGAGTTTTCTTGCAGTGGAACTCTCAAGCAATCTTACTGAAGGCATTGAAATTTAAGTAGTAATACAGGAATATTGGTAACATCAAAAATAAATGTAAATATTTTTAGAAAGGACAATTGAGGAAAACAGATATCAATAAGAAATGGAGCCATCTCCAAATTTTCAAACTAAGTAACTTGGTTTCATACAGTCAGCTGAATTTCAAGATTTTGTAGGCTTTATTATATGTTTTTATTTTGGTTTGTTTTACAGTTTTTCAGTGCTAACCTAAATGAGAGTTACATAGGGTAAAGAAGGTTGTAAAATAAAAATTAGATATTTTTATCTTTTAATTTATTTTTTATCTTCTATTTCCAACTTTTATTTTACATTCAGGGGTATATGTGCAGGTTTGTTATAGGTAAACATGTGCCATGGTGGTTTTCTGCACAGATCTTCCCATCACCTAGGTATTAATTTCAGAATCCACTAGCTATTAATATTCTCCCTAATCCTTTCCCTTCTTCCACCCCCAACCCTCTGACAAGTCCCAGTGTGTGTTTTTCCCCAGCATGTGTCCATGTGTTCTCATAATTTAGCTCTCACTTTTAAGTGAGAACAGGCTCTCTGTTCCTGTGTTAGTTTGCTAAGAATTATGGCCTCCAGCTCCATCCATGCCCCTGCAAACAATATGATTTCAATCCTTTTATGGCTGTATAGTATTCCATGATGTATATGTACCACATTTTCTTTATCTAGTGTATCATTTATGAGCATTTAGGTTGATTCTACTTCTTTGCTATTGTGAATAGTGCTGCAATGAGCATTCAAATGCATGTTGTCTTTATAATAGAACAATTTATATTTCTTTGGGTATATACCCAATAATGGCATTGCTGAATCAAATAGTATTCTGCCTCTGGATCTTTGAGGAATTACTACACTGTATTTTAAAATGGTTGAACTAGCTTACACATCCATCAACAGTGTAGAAGCATTCCTTTTTCTCCACAAACTCACCAGCATCTGTTGTTTTCTGACTTTTTTTTTTTTAATTGTACTGGTTCCTTTATTCAAATTAAGATATTACAATACAAAAACATTGTTCTAAATGTAGGCTTATAATGAAAATCATACTATTCCATACACTTGCATAAATGACTTAAACAATTGAGAGACAATATTTCCCAAATAGTATACCATAGAGTTAATAACTGAAACACACCATGAAAATGCTCTGTGGTCAAAGAGATTTGGGCAATGCTGGTTAAGTAAAGTTAAAGAGTTGGTTTTGCAATATGACTTCTCAGAGCTGTTAATATGTTAGTATATATTTGAATACTCAAGAGGGAGCTATAAGCAGTAAGCAAAAATTTTTTTAGAATATATTTGATGAAGAAATTATTTTTAGATGGAAATCTATAAGGCTGTTGTTTTATATAAAAAAAGGAAGGCATTAATCTTTCTCTTCTGAAATGCCAAACTTCAATGATGAGTCCTGCAAACTGGTTCCTTATGGCACGATGCTATCCAGGAATAGGATAGCATTGATGTAGGATTGGCTATGTGTTCGTATCTGAGTGTTAGCATGACATTTGCATGCTATGTCATGGACTGAGAATCTGGGTTAGGTTGTCCTGACAGCAAACGCAATTGTGATATTGTCAGTATACCACTCTCTCTATTTACTCATCTAAATGAACCACTCTACAAGAAACCTTTGAAATTTAATAAATTCAACTCATATTGAACTCACAATTTAATTTTAATTCATATTTACGAGCTATTGAAAAAACATTCCACTCACTTGAAAATTCAAAACAAAAATAAGAGTATTCTTTATTCCATAATTGCACCATGACTGAAAATATTAAATAAAAACAAGACGAGAACTTGTCTCTAAAGAACTTTAAGGAGTCCATTTCTCAAAAAACTATGCCATACTATAGATTCTTCAATATTTGCAAATACTTTACTTCCACAGTTTTGTTAAATTTCTACATGAGAAATGAGGATAAAAAGAATTGAACTAGAGTTTCCACTTTATTTTATTTTTTCAGAGTCCACAGAGCTATTTTATTATTATTACTATTATTATTATTATTATTATTATTTTTTTAAATTATACTTTAAGTTTTAGGGTACATGTGCACATTGTGCAGGTTAGTTACATATGTATACATGTGCCATGCTGGAAAGAACAAAGCTGGAGGCATCAAACTACCTGACTTCAAACTATACTACAAGGCTACAGTAACCAAAACAGCATGGTACTGGTACCAAAACAGAGATATAGATCAATGGAACAGAACAGAGCCCTCAGAAATAACGCCGCATACCTACAACTATCTGATCTTTGACAAACCTGAGAAAAACAAGCAATGGGGAAAGGATTCCCTATTTAATAAATGGTGCTGGGAAAACTGGCTAGCCATATGTAGAAAGCTGAAACTGGATCCCTTCCTTACACCTTATACAAAAATCAATTCAAGATGGATTAAAGATTTAAACGTTAGACCTAAAACCATAAAAACCCTAGAAGAAAACCTAGGCATTACCATTCAGGACATAGGCATGGGCAAGGACTTCATGTCCAAAACACCAAAAGCAATGGCAACAAAAGCCAAAATTGACAAATGGGATCTAATTAAACTAAAGAGCTTCTGCACAGCAAAAGAAACTACCATCAGAGTGAACAGGCAACCTACAACATGGGAGAAAATTTTTGCAACCTACTCATCTGACAAAGGGCTAATATCCAGAATCTACAATGAACTCAAACAAATTTACAAGAAAAAAACAAACAACCCCATCAAAAAGTGGGCGAGGGACATGAACAGACACTTCTCAAAAGAAGACATTTATGCAGCCAAAAAACACATGAAAAAATGCTCGTCATCACTGGCCATCAGAGAAATGCAAATCAAAACCACTATGAGATATCATCTCACACCAGTAAGAATGGCAATCATTAAAAAGTCAGGAAACAACAGGTGCTGGAGAGGATGTGGAGAAATAGGAACACTTTTACACTGTTGGTGGGACTGTAAACTAGTTCAACCATTGTGGAAGTCTGTGTGGCGATTCCTCAGGGATCTAGAACTAGAAATACCATTTGACCCAGCCATCTCATTACTGGGTATATACCCAAATGACTATAAATCATGCTGCTATAAAGACACATGCACACATATGTTTATTGCGGCATTATTCACAATAGCAAAGACTTGGAACCAACCCAAATGTCCAACGATGATAGACTGGATTAAGAAAATGTGGCACATATACACCATGGAATACTATGCAGCCATAAAAAATGATGAGTTCATGTCCTTTGTAGGGACATGGATGAAATTGGAAACCATCGTTCTCAGTAAACTATCGCAAGAACAAAAAACCAAACACCGCATATTCTCACTCATAGGTGGGAATTGAACAATGAGATCACATGGACACAGGAAGGGGAACATCACACTCTGGGGACTGTGGTGGGGAAGGGGGAGGGGGGAGGGATAGCATTGGGAGATATACCTAATGCTAGATGACGAGTTTTCTGACTTTTTAGTAATAGCCATTCTGACTGCTGTGAGGTGATATTTCATTGTAGTTTTTATTTGCATTTCTCTAATGATTAGTGATGTTGGGCTTTTTTCTCATATGTTTGTTGACAGGATGTATGTCTTCTTTTGTGAAGTATCTGTTCATGTCCTTTGCCCACTTTTTAATGGGGTTGTTTGTTCTTTTCTTGTAAATTTGTTTAAGTTCCTTATAGATGCTGGATATTAGACCTTTTTCAGATGCATAGACTGCAAAAATTTTCTCCCATTTTGTAGGTTGTCTGTTTATCCTGTTGATAGTTTCTTTTGCTGTGCAGAAGCTCTTTAGTTTAATTAGATACCATTTGTCAATTTTTGCTTTTGTTGCAATTGCTTTTGGTATCTTCATCATGAAATCTTTGCCCATGCCTATGTCCTGAATGGTATTGCCTAGATTTTCTTCTAGGGTTTTTATAGTTTTTGGATTTACATTTAAGCCCTTAATCCATTTTGAGTTAATTTTTGTATATGGTGTAAGGAAGGGGTGCAGTTTCAATCTTCTGCATATGGCTAGCCAGTTCTCCCAGCACTGTTTACTAAATATGGAATCCTTTCCCCATTGGTTTTTGTCAGGTTTGTCACAGATCAGATGGTTGTCGGTGTGCAGCCTTATTTCTGGATTCCCTATTCTGTTCCATTGGTCTATGTGTCTGTTCTTGTGCCAGTACCATGATGTTTTGTTTACTGTAACCCTATAGTATTGTTTGAAGTCAGGTAGTGTAATGACTCCAGCTTTTTCTTCTTGCTTAATATTGCCTTGGCTATTTGGACTTTTTTATTTTGGTTCCACATGAATTTTAAAATAGTTTTTTTCTAATTTTGTGAAGTATGTCAATGGTAGTTTAATGAGAATAGCATTGAATCTATAAATTACTTTGGGCAATATGGCCATTTTATAATATTGATTATTTATATTCATGAGCATGGAATATTTTTCCATTTGTTTGTGTCATCTCTGATTTTTTTGAGCAGTGGTTTGTAGTTCTTCTTGAAGAGGTCCTTCACTTCCCTTGTTAGCTGTATTCCTAGGTAGTTTATTCTTTTTGTGGCAATTGTGAATTGGAGTTCATTCATGATTTAGCTCTCTGCTTGCCTGCTGCTGGTTTATAGGAATGCAAGCAATTTTTGCTCATTGATTTTGTATCCTGAGGCTTTTCTGAAGTTGCCTGTCAGCTTAAGAAGCTTTTGGGCTGAGACAATGGGGTTTTCTAAATATATTATCATGTAATCTGCAAACAAAGATAATTTGACTTCCTCTTTTCCTACTTGAATACCTTTATTTCTTTCTCTTGCCTGATTTCCCAGGCCAGAACTTTCAATACCATGTTGAAGTGAGGCAGGGTAAACTTGTCTTGTGCTGGTTTTCAAGGGTTGTGGTTCCAGCTTTTTGCCCATTCAGTATGATACTGGTTGTGGGTTTGTGATATATAGCTTTTATTGTTTTGTGGTATGTTCCTTCAATATCTAGTTAATTGAGAGTTTTTAACATGAAGGGATGTTGTATTTTGTCGAAGGTCTTTTCAGAATCTATTAAGATAATCTTGTGGTTATTGTTTTTAGTTCTGTTTATGTGATGAATTGCATTTATTGATTTGTGTATGTTGAAATAACCTTGCATCCCAGGGATGAAGTCTTGTTAATTGTGGTGGATAAGCTTTTTGATGCCAGTATTTTGTTGAGGATTTCTGCATCGATGTTAATCAAGGATATTGGCCTGAAGTTTTTTTTTGTGTTGTGTTTCCGCCAGGTTTTGGTAACACAATGATGCTGGCCTCATAGAATGAGTTAGGGAGAAGTCTCTCCTTTTCGATTTTTTTGGAATAGTTTCAGTAGAAATGGTACCAGCTGTACTTTGTACCTCTGGTATCATTCATCTGTGAATCTGCCTGGTCCTGGCTTTTTTTTTTTTTTTTTGGTAGGCTACTTACTACTGCCTCAATTTCAGAACTTGTTATTGGCCTCTTCAGGGATACAATTTCTTCTTGGTTCAGTCTTGGGAGGGTGTATCTGTACAGGAATTTATCTATTTCTTCTGGTTTATGTGTATAAAAATGTTTTTAATATTCTCCATTGTTTTATTTCTGTGGGGTCAATGGTAATATCCCCCTTACCATTTCTAATTTTGTTTATTTGAATCTTCTCCCCTTTCTTCTTTATTAGTCTAGCTAGCAGCCTGTCTGTTTTATTTTTATTTTTTTCAAAAAAAAAGCAGCTCCTGGATTTGTTGATATTTTGAAGAGTTTTTCATGTCTCCATCTCCTTCATTCAGCTCTCATTTTGATTACTTCTTGTCTTCTGCTAGCTTTGGGGTTTGTTTGCCCTTGGTTCTCTAGTTATTTTAGTTGTGATGTTGGGTTGTTAACGTGAGATATTTCTAGCTTTTTGGTGTGGGCATTTTGTACTATAAATTTCCCACTAAACAGTGATTTAGCTGTGTCACAGAGATTCTGGTACATTTGTCTTTGTTTTCATTAGTTTCAAAGAACTTCTTGATTTCTGCCTTAATTTCATTACTTATCCAAAGGAGCAGGTTGTTCAATTTCCATGTAGTTGTGTGGTTTTGAATGAATTTCTTAATCTTGAGGTCTAATTTGTTTGCACTGTTGTTCAAGGGACTGTTATGATTTCAGTTCTTTTACATTTGCTGAGGAGTGTTATACTTCCGGTTGTATGATCAATTTTAGAGTAAGTGCTACGTAGCAATGAGAAGAATGTATATTATGGTGTTTTGGGTGGAGATTTACATAGATATCTATCAGGTCCACTTGATCCAGAGCTGAGTTCAGGTCCTGAATATTTTTGTTAACTTTTTACTTGATGATCTGTCTCATATTTTCAGTGGAGTGTTAAAGTCATCCACTATTATTGTGTGGGAGTCTAAGACTCTTTGAAGATCTCTAAGAATTTGCCTTATGAATCTGGATGTTCCTGTATTTGGTGCATTTTTAATTAGGATAGTTAGATCTTCTTGTGGAATTGAACCCTTTACCATATGTAATGCCCTTCTTTGTCTTTTTTTTTTTTCTTTGTTGGTTTAAAGTCTGTTTTGTCAGAAACTAGGATTGTAAACCTTGCCTTTTTCTGTTTTCCATTTGCTTCATAAATTTTTGTCCATCCCTTTATTTTGAGCTTATATGTGTCTTTGCATGTCAGATGGGTCTCTTAAAGATGGCATACCAACAGGTGTTGGTTCTTTATCCAGCTTGCCACTCTGTGTCTTTTAATTGGGGCATTTATCCCATTTACATTTAAGGTTAGTACCGTTATGTATGGATTTTTTCCTGTCATCACAATGCTAGCTATTTATTTTGTAGACTTGTTTATGTGGTTGCTTCATAGTGTCACTGTCTGTGTATTTCAGTGTGTTTTTGTAGTGGCTGGTAATTGGAGCCCACAGACTGACACTGCTTGGCTTCTCGGATTTAGCCCCCTTCTTAGGGATATGTATGGACCTCTCACCTTGTCTGAGTGGCAGTTACCTTTGTCAGAGATCCCAGGGCTAGAGTATGTAAAGCTCCCAGGTCTCTGTGTGTTTCTGAGCAGCAGCTCTGCTGAGACTCCACACAGCTCTGTGTGTTGAACGCAAGGCTCTGGTGGAGTGGGCTCAGGAGAGGAGCTCCTGATCCATGGGTTGAAAAGGTCTATGGGAGATGCATGGTTACCCAGGGTCACACATTTACTCACCACTTCCCTTGGCTGCAGGTGGGGGTTCCCTTGGCTCCATGTTGCTCCTGAATGGGCCATCATCTTGTCCTTCTTTCCTTCATTCTCTGTGGGTTGAGTTGTTTCCTCAATCAGTCCCAGTGTGAGTATCTAGATATTTCTGTTGAAGGTGTGTATTTACTCAACCCTTTTCTTTCTCTTTATAAATGCCATGCACTACAGCTGCTTTTAATCAGCCAACTTGAGCTGCCTCCCCCAAATTAGAGACTTTTAAGAGGACAAAGGATTTAAAGAATATGCTGAAATCTATTGAAAAAGGTGAGAAAAAAAGCAGAGATGACAAAAATATAAAGACATAATATGATCAATTAGAATAGAACTTGAAAGTGGGAATTTAATAACCTCTAGACATTTTAGTGTTTATGTATACAAATTCTGACTGTTAAGTCCCAGCTTCGGACACAGGACCTTATCACTGTCTATCTATAAAGCTCACATATATGCAACAATCAAGGTAAAAGTGTTAGGGCTGCATGAGGGCGTATATGTAAAACCTGTAGCTAGATAGGTGTGGGTAGCAGACTCAACATGTGTGCACTGTTTTAATTGAAGACCAACATATTTGAGTTTTCCACATATGTATCTCTGAAGTTTTCCAGATTTATGACATTTACTCCTAGTGCAGTGTTATCCACTACCTCCCTGATATGTCAGTAGCTATTTGCAGGTCCCTCACACAAACAATATATTAGGAAATTATTTCTCCATTGTATACCTGGTTCCTATAAACCATAAGTAAAATTTTACTAGTAAGTAGAATCTGATCATTTTTGAAGATGCATTTTAATGACATTATTCAGGAATATCAAAGAAGGCAGCTTCTACAAAAAAAAGACACAAAGGATCTTATCTCAGGCCTAAGTTAATTTATTTCTAAAGGGTGGTAAACTTATAGAAGCTGTGAAGAGATCACCCAGTTACTGAACTGATCTTATCCACTTTTTGCACATCTGTTTGACACTGACCCTTGTACTGTAGAAAAAGTACATATTCTTGTACTTCTCTATGCTTTAGCAATGTCTTGCAGGCTTTTTAACTGGGTAAGGCATGGTCCTTGAGGAGAAACTCTTTTACTGAAACCACCAAGCAACTCATTAGCTGAGAAACTTGTAGGTGGGTGTGCTCCAGGGCACTAACAGATGGTTTAATTGGTTACAAAATTCCAGAAGGTAATGTGCAGATTGACAGCATTTTTGTCCAAAATCCAGGGTAACTCTAGCTGTATGTAGGGAAGAAAACTGCTACCTGAATAGAATATATGATTTCAGGGAAAGTGGTCAGACCTCTATAGCTCCAGTTTATTCTTCATTCCTTCATTGTTAACATCAACCTGTAACATTATAGATGCATTTCTGTGATTTAAGGCTTATCCCTTGTTTATATTCAACTTTCCCTGGGAGTTTTAACAAGTTAAATATGAATGACTATTTAGGTCCTTTCCAATTAGCTACAGTTGAAGAAGTTTCTCCCTTGACCCCAGATTCATATCCTTTACTCTAAGCTTACTAACCATAAAGAATATGGAAAAATAACTAGGGATAAACAGCCAAATGTAATAATGCTAAAATAGAATACTAGATGTATTCTCAATCACTAACTCAGGACAGCTTTCTGTGTTGTTTATGCATCTGTGGTAATGACAATTTAGTATCCTAAGCCAATGTTTTCTCGTTTATGACTAATTAGGAGGTGGGGTAGAGAGTGACCATACTGGCAGACAGAAAATAGTGCTCCTGTTGCATGTTCAAGCCACTTCACAGAGGAGAACACTTAAATGCAAATTGACCAATACACTTTGTTCATACGGAAAAGTTTTAACATTTCAAAAATGATTCATATATTTTACCTTGTCTTAACTTATACAGGGAATATTCAAGTGGTTTCCAATTCTGACACCCTCAATTCAAGCTCCTGGAACCAAGCCATTGCCGAATTATTATTTATTCCTTTATAATTTATTATTCTTAAGTGCCTTCTAATGAGTTTCATTGATTTGTTCATTGTGCTTCTCACAAGGCAGGTTGGCCATCTGTCTAAGTATGTTGACATTCATATTGATTTTGAATAGCCTTCAATATCTTTCTTCATTTGGGCAGGGCTGATGAGCCTATTCTTAAATAAATAATTGAAAAGTAGATTTTTTTCTATTTTTATCTAATTGTTTTGACACATATACACACATACACAATGCGCAGACAGGAGGCTGCAACTGGGGTAGAAGCTATCTCAGGAAGTACACAGGGGGTTCATAATAAAAATTATTGACACTTTCTTAGTTCTTCCTAGGTTCTAGATGTTATTATAAATGTTGCAAGTATAAACTAATTTACTACTTCAAATAACCCTGAGAAGTAAATGCTATTATTATTTTCATTTTATATATGAGGAAAATAAGGTATAGAAAGGTTAATCTCAAGATCACACTCGGTTTTTTAGTCATTAGCTGAAGGGTTTAAGAAACACAAAATGAGAATGTAATTGAAGAACAAAGACTACTTGCCCTACCCCATCTGCCTCATCTTTAAGAGAAAGACTGTGGGGAAAACCTAGCAGAACTTGATCTGACTTTTCAATTTTCATGTAGAAAAACAAAGGGACTGTGTGGAGATCTTGACTGGCTGAGGCTGTTGGAGTTGGCATCAGAAAGGGGAGAAGTACAGACTGGTTTAAGGAGATGTATGTACCTAAGAGATTGGCTGAGGTGATTTAGCTATCACTAATTATCACTAACCTAATTTAGCAATTAGGTTATGAATTCTGGAAGTAAAAGGCAAGAACAGTATTGAGCTGAAGAGCAATCTACAAGCAAAGAACTGTGGCAAAACATTGAGTCATTTCTAAAGGGTCTATCAATAACCAAGGGTGTATACAAAATCAAAAGATAGTCCCTGCTCTGATGATTCTCACACAAATTCAGTAACATAAATCCTGAAAATAAACCATTTAGAAATTTTCTAAATATAAAGCAGAAGCCTAATTTTATATGTGCTCTTGGGGTATAAAATTGTTCAATAAGAAGGAAATTAAGAGTTTACAAAGTCTTAGATTTTAGAGTAAGCTGAGGTGTATTCTAGAAGAAATATATTTAAAAAACACCTCAGCTTACTCTAAATCAGCACATGGGCTCAGGTTTTATCTATTGTCTTAAATTCATCTCAATACACTAAAATCTAACAATAATATTTGCCATCTCAAACTCTCACCTCCAAATCATCCCATTATTGATTTATTCATTGGACTACAGGAATAGGGCAGGCACCGAAAAGTCAGTCATCACTTATAAATCCTTTAAGACTTTGTAAACTGCTTTCAAGTAGATTATCTCATCACTGCCATCACAACAGTTAAAGCAGCTATTATTTTCCTGCTTTGTAGTAAAAGAGATGGCAGTTAGAAAGAGAATTAAATCTCATGCTCTTTCTGCCAGTAGGCCTCTCCTAAACTCTTATCCTACACAGCAAACCTGGTGAGTATGAGGCATTATTCCAAGAACACTGAGGCCGCACATTTCTATAATTGCTTTAACATATAATAGCTGACCACACAATAGATGGTGAGATCAGGAAGTATAAGGAGTTGATTCCAGCATGCACTCTTAATTTCCTTCTTATTGGACAATTTTACACCCCAAGAGCACATATAAAATTAGGCTTCTGCTTTATATTTAAGTGTTCTCTTGGGGTATCAAATGCATTGAAAGCATCAAATTCATTAAAAACTTGTACATTCCTTGCAAGTTCCAAATCACTGAGACAGGCATCAGCCCAAACTAACCTTTCCAATCACCAAATGGCAATCTACTATTTTTCCATTTTTATATAAGCCTTGAATTTGCCATGGCAATTTTGAAAATGCACTTGACATCTGCATAATCTATTTGTAAGCTTGATAAGATTTTGTTAACCCAATCACAACTACTAGTTGCATCTTTAAAATCCCAATTTATAACCTCACTAAATTTTACAGATAATTTCTTCAACACACTGACAGCCACTCATGTAGGTGTTATTGATTATTACTTTGTATACAGAACCAATATGGGCATTTGGTTCTCAAAGCTTACTGGAGAGCATTGTTTTAATAATCTCTGCATCTAATGAGGAAGTCCAGAGCTATCCAGTGATGTCTTACTGTTGTTGTCTTCAATCACAACATAAGTTAGTATGAATTAGAATCTAGATATGCTGAATTTGAGTAAATGTTCTTCTGAATGTCAGTTCACTTAGCTTCTTACACATTTTTATTCAGCCTGCACACACTTTTCAGAGTTGTTATTAAAAAAGAGGTCAGATACCAATATCTCATGTTAGACATTACTTGTTTTTAATTCTTTTTTAACAGAGGAATAGCCTGAAGAGAATTTTACTTTGCAGCATTGATCATGCACGGTGTTATTGTGACCGACTTAACCCATTTATGCTGGAGGTTGCAAATTTTTTTGAGAAAAATCAGACTTTGATGATGACCTCAAGCAGTAGGATACAAATAACTCTCACAAGCTTAGCGTTCCAATAATGGAACACTAGGCATAAATTGGTTAATTTGCCTGGTTCAAGTATCCAAGTCAACTCTGACGTCCAGGCCAAAACATCAGCCCAGAAGAAACTTTTTAATACTGTAGTAACTCTAGAAACCAACAGCATTGTTCCAAGAAACAGCTCTGAGTGCCACTAAGACCAGCGTTCCGCACCTTAGGCCACAATCTATCAGGCTTCTACACATGCTGTTACATTGCATTTCTTACTCCTTGACTGCTGTCCTTTCCTAACGGTGGGGCTGCTCAGTATACCAAAAAAACACTTGTGAAATGTTATTTCAAGCCTTCTGCAAAGCTATCTACTCTACCCTAGACTTTTTCCAGAAAATTATGTAACCTTTATCTGATTGATGAATCCTGCAAGTCCTATAATAAGAATAAACCATTCATTACATAATAAATAATAAAACATAAATCAACGAAAGGCTCAACATGTTAGTAGAACTTGGTTCTAAAGCATTCTAAATGGTAGTGTGATTTGAGTCATTAAGCCCATCTGGATCTCAGTTTCTATTTCTTTAAAATATAGGAGTTGGGGCAGATAATATATGTTCTTTCTTTGTATTACATTCTGTGATAACATAATTTTAAAACACAAAAACTCTGGGCAAAGAAAATATAGTCAGCATTTTCACAGAGGGGTATATAAATATCTTGAAACCACTTTTTTATTGTGGATATATATATATATAGTTACTTTATTTTAAGTGTATAATTCAGTGACATTAATTACATTCACAGTGTTGTACAATCATCACTTTTATCTATATTCAAAACTTTTTTATTACTCCAAACAGAAACTTTGTAATCATTAAACAATAATTCCTCATTTATCTCATCACTCAGTCTTTGTGACCCCACATCTACCTTCTGTCTCTATGATTTGCTTATTCTAGATATTTCATATAAATGTGATCATATATTTATTCTTTTGTATCTAACTTATTTTACTTAGCATAATGTTATCAAGAATCATCCATGTTATGTATCAAGAATCATCCATGATATAATATGTATAATATGTGTAAGAACTGTATTCCTTTTTATGGCTGAATAGTATTTTATGGTATGCATATACTACATTTTGCTTATTCATTCAGCTGTTTATGGACACCTGGTTTGTTTCCACATTTTGGCTATTGTCAATAATGCTACAATGAACATTGGTATAAATTATCTGTTTAAGTCTCTTTCATTTTTTTTCACTTCTTTTTAATGCATAGACCTGGAAGTAGAAATGCTAGGTCATATAATTCTATGTTTATCTTTATGAAAAACTATCAAACTCTATTCCACAGCCACTTTACCATTTTCCATTCTTACCAGCAATGCATGAACATTTTAATTTTTCCATAGCCTCATCAAACTTGTATTGTCCATTAAAATGTCTATATAGACATTGATATATATGCATTTATAAATAGAGTTGGTCTCAGAATTAGCTCTGAGTGTATATAATATATATAATATATATATAATTTTAATGGACAATATTATATATAATATTCATTCTAGTTAAAGTAATATCTTATTGTTGTTGTGATTTTCATTTCCCTAGTGACTTTGGAGCCTTTTTTCATGTGCTTATTGACTGTTTGTATGTCTTCTTTTAAAATATATTTATTCAAATATTTGGCTTATTTTTTAATTGGGTTGTTTGTGTTTCTTTGTTGTTGTTGAGTCATAGGAGTTGTAGGAGTTTCCCCTCATAATGCACCTGTTAAAACCCTAACCCTCAATGTAACTGCATTTGCAGACAGGGCACTTAAAGAGATAATTAAGGTTAAATAAGATGATAAGGGTGGGATTTTAATCCAACAAGACTAGTCTCCTTATAAGCAGAGGAAGAGACACCAGGAATGCACATGCACAGAGGAAAGGCTATATGAAGACACAGTCAGAAGGTGGCCATCTACAAGCCAAAGAGAGTCCTCAGGAAAAATACAAGGGGAAAGCTTTTAGTCTCATTCGAATCATGTTAGGGAGCTTCCCTTCTATTTGTTTTCTAAGTATTTTTTATTACAGAAGGGTGTTTGATTTTCTCAAATGGCTTTTCTATGTCAATTGAGATAATAATGTTGTTTCTTCTATTTGCTCTATTAAGGTAGCAAATTACGTTGATTGATTTTCTGATGAGCTGTCCTTGCATTCCTAGGATACCTCCCACTTGTCTATGGTGTATAAAAATTTTAATATGCTGCTCTATTTGGTTTGCTATTATATTGTTGAGAGTGATTGAATCTACATGCATAAAGAATATTGATGTATAATTTTCTTTTCTTGTGATGTCACTATTTATCTTTGGATCATGGTAACTCTAGCTTCATAAGAGAAGTTAAGAATTATTCCCCCCTCTTATATAGTTTTGGAAGATTTTAGAAGAATTGGTGTTAATTCTTTAAATGTTCAGTAGAATTCACCAAAGGGCCCATCTCGTCCTGAATTTTCTTGGAGTGGGGTTGATTACTGAATAAATCTCTTCTTACATGTCTGTTGAAATTTTCTATTTCTTCTTGAGTCAGTTTTGATAAATTATGTTTCCAGAAATTTATCCATTTCATCTACAAAATCTAAATTACCAACAAACAATTATTTATAATATTATTTTATAATTCTTATTTTTCTCTAAGTTCAGTATTAATATCCCCACTTTCATTACTAATTTTATTTATTTGTATTTTCTCTCCTTTTTCACTTCTCACTCTGGCTAAACCTCTTCCAGTTTGGTTGATCTTTCCAAGAAACTGCTTTTGATTTAACTCCATTGATATTCTCTATTGTTTTTCTATTCTCTGTTTAGTTTAACTTCACACTCATCTTTATTATTTTCTTCCTTCTGCTAGATTGGCATTAAGTTTGCTTATAATTTTATAGTTCTTCAAGGTATAAAGTTAGGTTATTGAGGATACCTTTTTTATTTTTTTAATGTAGGCATTAAGAGCTATAAATTTCCCACTGAGCCTTTAAGGCATACTATGAGTTTTGGTATGTTGTGCTTTTATTTCCATTTGTCTCTAAGTATTTTTTAATTTATTTTTTGATTTATGTTTTGACACATTGGTTGCTTACAAGGGTATTGCTTAATCTGCATGTGTCTACGACTTTTC
This sequence comes from Homo sapiens, assembly GCF_000001405.40. Taxonomy (NCBI): domain Eukaryota; kingdom Metazoa; phylum Chordata; class Mammalia; order Primates; family Hominidae; genus Homo; species Homo sapiens. Next base: position 81,339,684 of record NC_000002.12, on the reverse strand, counting down.
TAGTTTTCCTTCTGTTATTGATCTCTAGCTTCATTCCATTGTGTTTGCAGGATACTTTGTGTGATTTCAATCTGTTCAAGTTGTGGAGATTGGTTTGTGGCCTAACATAAGATCTATCATGGAAATACTCTATGTTCCCTGGAGAAAAATATGTTTTTATTCATTGTGTGGAGTATTATATATATTCCTGTTAGATTTAGTTGGAGCAGTATTATAAAAATTTTCCATTTCCATATTGATTCTCTCTCTGTGTTCTATCCATTATTGAAAGTAGGGTTTTGAAGTCTCCAATCAAGTTTATACAACTATCTTTTCTCCTTTCAATTCTATCAATGTATTTTTCATATATTTAGTGGCTTTGTTTTGTGTGCATATATTGATATTTTTTATCTTTTTAATGTTGACCCATATTGTCTTTGTTGTTTCTTGTTATAGTTTTGATGTGAAGTTTGTATGTCTCTGATATTAGTATAGCAACTCTATATTTTGTGTTAGTATATTTTGGTGTTAGTATAGCAACTATATTTTATTGTTACTACTTTTATGAAATATCTTTATTCATCCTTTAACTTTCAAATTTTTTACTTCTTTGGATCTAAAGTGAGTCTCTTGTTAACATCACACAGGTTTTTTTATTTTTGTTTTGTGCCTGTGTGTTTTAATTCATCTGCCAATCTCTGACTTTTGATTAGAGGGTTTAATTTATTCACATAAAAGTTAATGACTGATAAAAATAACTAAATAACTTATGAATGCCACTTTGCCTTTTGTTTCCTCTATGTCTTATACATTTTTGCCTCATTTCTTTCATTAATGCCTACTTTTTAGTTGATTTTTTATAGAGAATCATTTCTTATTCATTTCACATTTTCCATTCTGTACATTTTTTAGAAATGTTCTTTTGGTGTACTGTGGAGATTATATTTAGCATCATAAATTATTAAAAATCTAGTTCAAGTTGATTTCAAATTAACTTCATTAGCATAAAAAACTACTCCTATATTGCTCCATCCCCCACTTTACGTTGTTTTTCTCACAATTTACCTCCTTATATATTGTGTGCCAAATAACAGCCTAACAGCCATTTTTAAGTCTATTTTACACATTTTTCTTTCAAATTCTATAGTGAATAAAAAATTGGGTCAGGAGCCGTGGCTCATGCCTGTAATCCCAGCATTTTGGGAGGCCGAGGCAGGTGAATCATCTGAGATCAGGAGTTCAAGACCAGCCTGGCCAACATGGCGAAACCCCGTCTGTACTAAAAACACAAAAAATTAGCCAGGCATGGTGGCGGGCACCTGTAATCCCAGCTACTCTGGAGGCTGAGCGGGGAGAGTTGATTGAACCCGGGAGGTAGAGGTTACAGTGAGCTGAGATCACACCATTGCACTCCAGCCTGGGCAACAAGAACAAAACTCCATCTCAAAAAAAGAAAAAAAAAAACGAATTATAAAAATACAACAATGCTTTCACATTTGCTTGTGTAGCCACTTTTATGGTTATATTTCTATCATTATGTGGCTCCAAGTTACTGCTTAGTATTCTAACATTTCAATCTGAAGGACTCTAGCATTTCCCATAGGGCAGGTCTAGTGGCATAAACTTACTCAGCTATTCTTTACCTGGAGAAGTCTTAATTTATTGTTCATTATTGAAGGGAGATTTTCTTCGATATGAAATTCTTGCTTAACATTTTTTTCTTTTCTTTCAGACTTTACATATATCATTCGATTGCCATCTGGCCATGATGATGTCTGAAGAGATATCAGCTGATAATTGGTGAAGATCCCATGTCTGTGATCAGTCACTTTTTTCTTGCTAATTTCAAGATTCTCTCCTTGTGAAAAGTTTATCACTAAGAATTCTTTGAGTTTATGCTTTTTGGAGTTCATCGTACCTCTTAGATATGTAAATTAATGTATTTTATCATATTTGGGAAATTTAGACTATCAACTTTTTCAAATATTCTTTCTTCCCTTTCTCTCTACTCCTTCTAGAAATAATATAGTACATATACTTGATGGTAGACTAGAACACATGTTTCTGTTCATTTTTAAATTATTTTTCTCTCTGTTCCTTAAACTATGAAGAAAACTTAAAAACACTCATAATCTAGCACAGGAGTAAGAACTTTCAACAGCTTAATGTAGTTTCTATATTAAATTTGCCTGTGTGTGTTTGCAAAAATTTGGGATCCAACTGTATATAGTAGCCTCACATATTTTATTGTGTAAGCATATGCACCACTGTAATAGTTATGATAATCAGGATTATAAAAGATTTGCATAGATTATTATCACAAAGATGTACCATGACTTATTTATTATTTGGTTGTCTTTTTCCTGTGATGAGTATAGGTCTTGTAAGTCTTTGTATATAGTTATGTTAATTCTATAAAATAAATTATTATCAGTGTAATTAATCAAAGTGGAAAATATAAAATATCTCTTCAGAAAGTTTTTACCAATATATATGTTTCCCTAGCAGTATGAGTATGCTTAAAAGCTAATTTTTATATCAGCAATAATTTGCATTTCTAGAGCACTTGGCAATTTGCAAATTATAATCACATATTGATCCTTTTAAATATGCTAAGAGGTAAGCAAAAAAAATCATTATCCTAATTTTACAAGTGAGGAAACTAAAAATCAGAGATATAATATGATTTGTACAAATGTAGACTAAGTAATTTTAGTAGTCAGATTAAAGACTTCTAAAATTTAGTTTAACTACTTAGTGGCATATTTCTATTTAATATGAGCATGCAAGTTATGGATAAAAATGGAGATGATTCATAGGAATAGGTGACTATCAAAAGATGACACATTTAGTAAATCTAATGTCATGGAACTAAAATACGTGAAAAGTGGTTATCATGTTTGAAACAAGTTAGTGACTGTATTACAAAGTACTGGCATTTCCAAATATTCTCTTCTAAAAGAATTAGATACAAAATTATTCTGGTGATTACAAAATGCTTATGAATTTAAAGTAGTTTTTAAATGGATGAAGAAAATTAACCACTGCCATGACTCACAGAACTTAATTACGTTCCACGTAGATTTACTAAAAAATGTGATGGTGGGGAAAGAGTAGGCTTAATAAACACTACTGTAGGGTAATAGCCCATTATAGCGATTGTTAGTTTCTCAATATTCCACTGTGTTCTGACAGCAGACATTATATGATTTCTATTCTTTTTAATTTGTTAAGTGTGTTCTATGGCCCAGAATGTGGTCTATCTTGGCAGATGTTCCATGTGATCTTGAGAAAAATGTGTTTTCTACTGTTGCTGGATGAAATATTCTATGAATGTGAATTATATCCAATTGATTGGTTGAAAGTATTGTTGAGTTCAACTATGTCCTTACTTATTTTCTGCCGGCTATGTCTGTATATTTGCCTATTATTTTCCTATTTGAGCATTTTATATGATTCAATTTTCTCTTTTATTAACATATCTATTGTAGTTCATTTTTTTTAGTGGCTGCGGTAGAGTTTACCATATACATGAGCAATTAATCTAAGCCTACTTTCAAATAACACTGTACCACTTCACAAGGTAATTTGAGGATTTTACAACAAAAGAATCCTAATTCCTCCCTCCTATCTCTTCTATTATTGTTATCAGTTATTCCCTAATATAAAAGCATACATAAGCATATATGTATGCACATATATATATACACACACATATAAAACACATACATGATCAAATATATTTTGCAAATACACTTTATCTGTTAGATCAATTAAGAAGAAAAATAAAAATGTTTATTTCACCCTTGCTTATTTCTTCTTCAATATTCTTTATTTCTTCATGTAGAACCAACTTTCTGACCCATAATATAATATTTTCCTTCTCTCTCAAGAACTTCTTTAGACATTTCTTAAAAGCAGCCTTACTGAAAAATATTTTTTCTCAGTGCTGTTTGAGAAAGTTTATTTCCCTTTCACTTTTGTAGAATAATTTCACAGGATACAAAGTTCAAAATTCTAACTTGGTGGTGTTTTAAAATTATTTTTCTTTCAACACTTTATTGCATTCCACTTTTCTTTTGTTTGCCAGTTTTCTGAGAAGTTGGATGTTAACTCTTACCTTTGCTCTCCTACACGTAAGGTATTTTTTCCTTGTGGCTTAAGATTTTTTTATCTTTGACTTTTAGTTGCTTATAAATGATATGCCTCAGTGCAGTTTTTATGGCATTTATCCTGCTTGGTATTCTCTGAAATTTTTAGGTCTGTCCTTTGAAAATTCACATTAATTTGGAAAAGTTCTCAGTCATTGTTTCAAATATATCTTCTGGTTTTTTTCTGTTTTTTTTTTTTTTTCTACTTCTGGTATTCCCATTAGGTGTACATTACAGCATTTGTAGTTGTAATATCTAAGAACACAATTCCTAGATATTCTGTTCTATTTCTTTCAGTCCTTATTGTCTCTGCTTTTTAGTTTTGGAGATCTCTATTTATATTTATTCAAGCTCAGAGATTCTCTCTCCAGGCATGTCTAGTCTACTAATAAGTCCATCAAATGTATTTTCATTTCTGTTACAGTGTTTTTGATCTCTAGCATTTCTTTTTTTGTCGTTATTTTTTAGGTTTTATATCTCTCTGCTTACATTGCCCATATCTCCTTACATGGTGTCTATTTGATTTATTAGAGTGGTTATGATATTAATTATAGATGTTTTATATTTCCTACCTCATAATTCTTATATCCCTGCCATATCTGGTTCTGATGCTAGCTCTGTATCTTCAAACTGTATATTTGCTTTTTTGTTTGTTTCTTTTTGGCTTTTAGTGTGCCCTTGACATAATGTTTTGGGTAAAAAAGAATTGCTGTAATAGAAATTTCATAATATCTTGGTTAAATGTTGGGGGAGAAGCATTCTAGAGTTTCATGGTTATGTTTTATTCTCTTAGTAAATTTATGCCTCTGGACTTTGAACTTTACAAATGTTTCTAAGTTTTTTTTCCTTCCCTCTTAGGTGAAATAGGACGGCTAAAGTGAGATGGAGTTGGGCATTTCCCTTCTCCCGCATGTAAGAGCTGGCTGTGGTTTGGTACTTCTCTTTCCCCAGATCAGTTAGACTGATAAATCTACAAAAGATTAAGCTCTGATTAACTAGTTTCTCCTGAGGGCAGGCCTTGTTAGGAACAGAGAGTCCAGGCGTATTTTAAAATGATTATTTTCCTCTCCTCTTGCTGCAAGTATGAGAGGACTTGTCTCAGCTTTTATTTTGAGAATGAAGTCAGGCTATTGGGGGTAAAACTTAGAAAAGCGTGGAACCCCCCTGTGACTAGATATTTCTAGAATTTTTAAGTCTAAGACTTCACACCTGGCTGAAAACTGAAAAACTTCAGTGTTTCACCAATTACAATTCAGGTTTTTCAACCCAGGCACTGGTTCTTGTGGAGGTTTCTGCTCTGGTATGTTGTGGTTCTCGGTATCCTCTTGCATATTTCTCCAATTTGGGGGAGGGTGGCATGACTTGTGACCTCATATCTCTTATGAATCTAAGAAGAGTTCTTGGTTTTTCAGTTTTTTTTTTTCAGATTTGTACAAGTTAGGATGAAGTGGTAATTTCCAACCTCTTTAGATGCACAATTGGAAATCAAAGAGGATAATACATATTTTCATACAAGCAAATGTCACTTTTTTTTCAAATTCAAAAAACTGGTGAACAAGATTTACTTAGAGAAATCATTTTATACTAAAGAGAGTAGACAATATAGCAAAAATAAGATACTATTCAAACTGCCACAAATAAAAAGCTACTCAGGAAAAATTTAACCAAAGAAATAAAATACTTCTGTGCAAAAAAAAAACAAAAACCATTAAAATATAATGAACAACAGAAAAGGTGATCTGAATAAATTGAGAAGTGTTATTGGACAGTATGAAAATATTTTTAAAACATAAAATTGGTACAATTTAATCTATGAATCTAGACAATACAAAATAAAAATTTTAGTTGGATTGTTTTAGAAATTCAATAGCATACTCTAAAATATATATGGATTAATCATGGCTCACTAAAGCTAACTTTGGAGAAGACAAAAAAAGAGTAGAGATTTTCTGTAAAGATATTAGCATATCTTAATAGAAAGTAACAGAGGTATTGATAAAAGAACAAGTCATATGGGTCAATGGAGAAAAAGCCTATTGGAGGACCCATGTATATATTAGGATTAAAAATACAATAATTTTTTCTTTTTTTTTTTGAGATGGAGTCTCGCTCTGTTGCCCAGGCTGAAGTGCAGTGGCACCATCTTGGCTCACTGCAAGCTCCACCTCCTGGGTTCACGCCATTCTCCTGCCTCAGCCTCCCTAGTAGCTGGGACTACAGGCACCCGCCACCACACCCGGCTAATTTTTTGTAAAATACAATAATGTTAAAAGCAAAATCCATACAAAATTAATGTATAATAGAGTTATAAAAATATGTTAATTACATAGAGAAAAATAAAATTTAATCTAACCAAACAAAAAACACACCTAATACAATATATAAAGGTAAAACCTAAATAGATAAAAAACCTGAATGATAAATTATAAAGTAAAAGGGGAAGAAGGGTATGATATTTTAACAATAAATATACTGAGATAAAATTTAACATAAAATGAATTGCACCTATTGACAAATGTGAGATTATGTTGAACATTTCCATCAACTCAAACACATCTCCTTTGTGTTTCTTCCAGTCAATACCCTTCCACCCATGGCCCAAGACAATTATTGATGTGCTTTCTATAGCTAAACACTACATTTGTCTTTTCTAGAGCTTTATATACCTGGAAAGGTATATAATCTTTAATGTCTAATTTTGTTCACTCAGAACAATGGTATTGAGATTTATCTATGTGCTTTTGAGTATCAGCACATCATTCATTTCTATTGTTTGTTACTATTTATACAGATGTACTAGAATTTGTGTGTTTATTCAATTATTTTTCATTGGTTTTCATTTTTCAGTTTATGACAAATTTATACAAATAAGCTGTAGATATTACTGTCCAAGTCTTTGTGTAGACATTTTGCCTTTTTTTTTTTTTTTTTTGAAACAGAGTCTCAATCTGTTGCCCAGGCTGGTGTGCAATGGTGTGATCTTGGCTCACTGCAACCTCCACTTCCCAGGTTCAAGTGATTCTCCTGCCTCAGCCTCCTCAGTAGCTGGGATTACAGTGTGCACCACCATGCCCAGCTAATTTTTGTATTTTTAGTAGAGATGGGGTTTCACCGTGTTGGTCAGGCTGGTCTCAAACTCCTGACATTGTGATCTGCCCATCTCGGCCTCCAAAAGTGCTGGGATTATAGGTGTGAGCCACAGTGCCCAGCTGCCCTTTTATTTATCTTATTTAAATACATAAGAATAGTACAGCTATATCATATAAGTGAGGTAAATTATACAACAGACTGAAATATTTTCTAAAGTGATTTTACCTTAGTTAACTACATTTGGAATTGTCAGTCTTTCATTTTAGCCATGGTAGTGATGATATGGCAGTAACTCATGGTATATTAATTTCTACTCCTGGATAACCTGCATTTGAGCATGTTGGATTATCATTTCCTATATTGCTTGATTATATTTCGTAACAGTTGGTTAATTGTTTTAAAACATATGTTCATGAGGAGTATTGTCTTACATTTTGTTTATTTTTTACTGTGTGTTTTCTTGATTTATTTCCTCATATTTTGTTTGGTTTTAGATTTTGGAAAATACTGATCTCCTAGAATGAGTTAGTAATTTTTCTTCCTCATTTTCTGAATGATTTACTGAAAAATTATAATTTTTAATTTAAAACATATTGATAGGACTGATTAGTGAAATTGTCTGATTTTAAATTTTTGCATCTGCATGTTTTTTTTTTTACTTTAGGTACAATTTATTCAATCCATTTAATGCTGTTCTGATTATTTATTTCTTCTTGAGAGACCTTGAAGTTGTTATTTTCAAGGAAAATCTTTTATTCTTTTATTTTTATTGTAGTATTTGTAAAACTCTTAGTGATGTCTCTTCATTCTTAATATTGTATCTTTTTCCCATTTTTCTTTGTAATTCTGGCCAAGAAAAAATTATCAATTTTATTAATATTTTTATTGAACCAACTTTTGAGCCATTGATTCTGTTTATTGTGTGTTTTCTCTTTTTACTTGTTTCTGCTATTATCTTCATAATTTTCTTAATTATACTCTGTGATTATAATTTGACTTTTTCTAGCTTCTTAAATCAGAAAACTAGATTATTGTTTATATTCTTTGCTTTTTTCCTAATGAAAGTATTAATGCTATAAATTTCTTTCTAATTACTACTTTAGAAATATTGCAAAAAAATTTTGAAATAATTTCCTCCATGATTTTGATCTTTTTTATTTTGGATACAGTGTTCTATAAATATTGATTAAATTTAGTTGGTTGATATTGTTATTCAAGTCTACTATTCCTTATCAATTTTAATTATATATATTACATATTTACATTACCTTATTAATTTTAATTTGCTTAATTATACCACCAATTACTGAGAAATAAATATTGAAATCTCTAAATGCAATTGCTAATTTGCCTCTTTATTTAATTCTGCTTGTTTTAGTCCATGTTTCTTGTGTTTGGAATTGGTCTATAATTTTGTGCATATAAATTTGGATTATGTAATTTTTATAAATTGTTTCTTTTATCACTTAAATATCTGTCTTTTTTATTGTAATATTTATTTTCCTGAAGTCTACTCTATAAGATTAAAATATCAACTTTAGCTTTCTTATCATGAGGCTTTATATGATATATTTTTTGCATTTTCTTTTGAACATGTGGTAGTCTAAACAATGACTCTCAAAATATTTCCTAATATCTGGAATCTGTGAATATGATATCCTCCTTATATTGTAAAAGGGAATTTGCAGATTTTGTTAAGTTAAGGATCTTGAAATGGGAGATTATCCTGGATTGTTAAGGTCAGTCTAATGTAATCACAAGATTCCTAATATGAGGGACACAGAATCAAATTTAGAAAAAGAGATTTGATGATAGAACCAGATATTGAAGTGAAGTGTTTTGTAGAGGGTGGAAGGAACCATAAACAGGGATTGCAGGGGGAATCTAGTCACTGGATACAGCAAAGATAGAGAAAGATATTTAAAATAAAAATTCAAACTAAATTTGGAAATAAAATAAATGGAAGTGTATGATGATATTACCAATAAGTTATTTCATTAAATGATTCAGTGGTGTTTGTTAAAATTGTTTTTCATTTAATGAGAGTAATACATGGAAAACAGTTCCAGAGAATAACTTTACGTGTCTAAATCTGACATAGAGATAGCATCTAAAAATATGAAGATCTACAAATCAAAAAGAAAAGGGAAAGAATCTCACTGACAAACAATAGTGAGCAAAACTTGAAACCTTCAGATATAGGAAAACATATTAAAAACTTTAAAGAACACATGAAGAGGAGGACAAAATTAATGTTATCAGGGACACTGGACTTAAAACAGCAAAATGCTATTATGGCTATTAAACTTTTATTTAATACAAAGTTTATATTTTATGTAAACTTTTAAATATAATTTATACAATGTAAAATTGTAATTTAGTATAATTTAGAAACTTGATATTATGAACATGTGACAGTGATGTAGAATATGTGACAGTGATGTAATTCCCATACATGCAGTTTGGGAATGTAAATTGGCATCACCATTCTGGAGAGAAATATGGCACTAATTAGTCAAACTAGGTATTCTGTGTCTGTATATGTATCCCAAAGAATTTCTTACACAGGCCCATAAGTGTACATGCACAAAGACAGGTACACAATTTGGTTCTGCTGTGATAATGGGGGATTTTGAATGCAACATATATTGGATGAACATCATGGAGTTTCTACTCAATGATTAGAACGTGGACTACATATACACGTTGGAAAATAGATGGATCTCACAAACATAATCTATGATGTTTAAGTAAGAAACAGAATAAGGCACACAATTTATTTAAATTAAAATACATGTATACATAATACTAGCATAAATTTTAGAGTGAGCTATACAAAAATAAATATATACTAATTAGCATTAAGATAATTGTCTTCAAGATGAGATAGAAGATGGGAATGTGAATCAAGTAGTATTAAAAGCACTATTTCCTCACATACCTTACATTCATAGATGACCACTTCATATAGTTCTAATCAATGGTGGAAAACTTCTAAAAGAAAGCACAGTAAAGTATGACACGCTTTCTGCAGTTTGGCACTCTCTTTCTCACTGATTGGAATACAGATGAAATGCCTAGGATCTTAGCAGTTATTGTTTTTTCTCAGTAAAGACAACAGCAGCGACATCTGATATCTTTGTGCAATTGAACTAAACCAGAAATCTTGTTCCTTGCTAATTGTAGCAAACACAGTCTTTTCTGAAGAAACATCAAACTAAGACAGATTGAAACACTTCTTATAAAGCTGGAGTCCAAGATCAGGATATAGGAAGAACTGGAATTGCTGAGCTCTGCTAATTTTATTTTATTGTTTAGCTTGCTATTACAATAAAATGAACCTATGAATGCCTATACACTGTTGGTGAGAATGTAAATTAGTTCATTCTCTATGAAAAATGCATGGCAATATCTCAAAGAAATAAAAATAGAACTACTATCTGACCCAGAAATCCCACTACTCGGTGTCTACCCAAGGGAAAATAAATCATTATATAAAAAAGACACCCGCCCTCATATGTGTATTACAGCACTATTCACAATAGCAAAGTCACGGAACCTCCTAAGTATCCATCAGTAGCTGATTGGATAAAAGAAAATGTGGTATATGTACACCATGGAATATTACACAGCCACAGAAAGAAAGAAATCATGTCCTTTGCAGCAACCTGGGTGGAGCTGGAGGCCATTATCCTAAGTGAATTAACTCCAAAACAGAAAAGCGAATACCACATTTTCTCAATCATAAGTGAGAGCTAAACAATGGTTATACATAAAGATGGAAATAATAGACACTGGGGACTCCAAAATGGAGGAAGAGGGAACAGGGGTAAGAGCTGAAAACTTACCTATGAGGTACAGTATTCACTATTTGAGTATTGGGTACACTGGAAGTGCAGTCCCCACCAGTACACAATGCACCCTTGTAACAAACATATACGTGTACCCCTGAATCTAAAATGAAACAAATTTTTAAAAAACTATGCAGGTAGCAGTGGAGACAGCATGAGTTTTGGAGACATCAGCTATGAGTTCAAGTTTCTTCTTAGTTGCTGGCTGTCTAACCCAGTGGCATAAATGTCTTTTGCTTCAGTATCTCTGTCCATAATAGAAAAATATTATAACTTTACATTTTTGAAATGTAATAGACATAATGCATTTACAACTCCAGACATTTATTTTATCCTTAAATTTTAATTTCTCTCCTTTTGAACAAATAACTTTAGTTGTATCAGGGGAACAATTTTCAAAGGCCCAAAAACAATTTGCCTCTGCACCTGGAAAGGGGCCTCAGGTTAGTTATCTAAGTTAGGATTCAGGCTGACAGTGATGCAATGATCCTTTTCAAATTGTGCTGTAGAAGTAAAATCACCATATGTCATCACAGATGGCATACTGGCAGGAGAGAGCTGTGATATTTCAGATGACAAAATAGAGTCAAAAACACTTTAAAAGGTTAACAAGAGGGTCATGAAATGTAATCTAACCAAATTAGATATAAAACATTTCTGATTTGGGTTTCACAAAGCAGCCATCCAAAATTGGGAAGAGGGATTTATTTGAAAAGTTCTGATATAAAAGGTCAACACTTTTATTGGCTATGATACCAGTTTAAAACAAGAAAATGACACTGAAGAGGTGTGAGCTCAAGGTGGTTAATCGAACCCACAGTGTCTGTTTCTCTTTGCTCCAAGGATATTATAAAATGATAATAAAATAAACACATAAAAACAAATGATACAGGAGATAGACTGTGTGGATGAGAAATTTCTACCTATTTATGGATAAAGTATGTCCAGGAAACCAGAGCTCAGTACCCAGAAGTGACAATTGTAGTAGAGGGGAGAGTTTCTCTATATCTGCCTAGCAGCCTAGCAGAATCATTAAAATGGCAGCACAAAGAGAGAGAGGGAGAGGGAGAATGGTAGCTGTAATAAGGGCTTGTTGGAACGGCTGAATATTGAATTGCTTTGTCAGTCCCATTCTTATATTCTTATCTTACCACCACCATTTTCTCACCCATCCACCAAGTAAGATAGAAGAGATTCACAACATTTTTACACCATATGTTTACAAATTTGGGATAGCCTTAAAAAAAATACCTTAAAAATAATTAGAACTGGAAGAGGGGGCTTTAGATCTCTAGACGAAGATATGCCCAGGCTGGAATTTGCTCCAGTCTATAGATGAAATCTCTACTTTTGACCTTTAAACAAATATTTTTAGCTTCAAACATAATGCAAATTCCAAGAAAACATAATAGAAATTTCTCACTTAGGAGAGTCTCTTGAGAGAAAAAACACAATTTCATAGACAGAATAGGATAGGTACAAATAAGCAGCTAGCCTAAAAATAAATCAATATCAAAGATAGAAATGTTACAAAGCATACTCTTTGAAAACAATGGTATTAAATTAATAATTATAATATAAAGTATCTTGAAAATCCCCACAAATTTAAAAAGTTTATCACTTACTGGTAAGTAGTCATGACAAAAATTAGTCATATGGGCCATTATAAAATATTTTTAATGAAATGATATAATTATAACATGTATGCATTTGTGGAATGCAGTGATTAGAGAAAAACCTATAATATAAATGCTTACATGAGAAGGAAAAAAGTAAAACTTTTCTATCATTAAAAAGTTGAGTAATTTAAATTCAATATAATTAAAATAGAGCAAATTATAGATGAGCAGAAAAAATGAAAAAGAAAATACAGCAATAATTCTAAAGTACAGCAAGTGAAATAGCATATTCCTTTAGAAGACATACTAACAAGACATACTGAGAGAGACAGAGAGATAGAGAAAAAGAAACACAGAGCAAAATTAACAATTACAGAAATGAAGGATGAACTGTTAATACTGATCATCCTTCAGGTAATAAAAGGGAGACAACAGGATATCATAAATGACACTATGCCAAAACGCAAAAATTTCCTTAAAAAAAACAATTTAACATGCTGATTCAGGATAGCCATACATAAATGAAACAAATTTGTCATCCAAATATTCACACACACACACAGACACACACACACACACACTCTCAACCCTCAAAGCCCATGTGAGCTTATTTAATACTACTATTATTTGTATTATTCGATATTAAATAAAATAACAGTATTAAGTGGGGTTTGTTTCAAAAATGCAAAATTGATTTAATATTATAAAATCAAATAGAATAATCTACCACATTGAATATAAAGAAAAAAATATATCATCTCAAAGAATGCAGAAAAATTATTTCAGAAACTTCGACATCTATCTGTGATTAAAAACAGAAAACTATAAATAGAGGGAAATGTCTCAATATGATAAAAGAAATTTTGAAAACATCTACAGCTAATGCCATGGCTAATATATTAAATGGTTCTTCATAAGTTCAAAGCTTAGCTGTATATTCTCACCATTTGAATGTAGCTTTGCACTGAATAGTAATGAACAAAATAAATAAATACATTTCAGAAAGTTTGGAAAGAAAAAAGAAAACTATTTTCATTAACAGAAGATATGATTGTTGATAAAGAAATCCTTAATAAACTAACAAATAAGAACTAAGAATTTACCAAGATTACTGGATACATGGTCAAAAATAAAATCAATTTTATTTCTATATAATAGCAACAAACATTAGAAGATAAAAGATATAACTGGTGAAATGTCAAAAACATGTAAATCTAATGCATAAAAATACAATATATAAAACGTTTCTACACTAACAACTATAAAACATTGCTGATGCAATGTGGTGTTTATAAATATATATATATTTATTTCAGTTTATAGCTGGTTTTCAGTTTATAGCTCACATAGCCCTTATTACAGTCCTTTGTTATAATATTGGGTGTGTTAGTCCTCAAGAAAAAGAATCTCTCATCTGCCCTCCTTTTACCTGCCCCAAGGCAGGATTCTCTAATCTTCTCCTACCTTCCTGAATGTGAGTCTTAGGGCTCTTCCCTGAGAGGGTCCTACCTCATGCTCTGAAGGAAAGAATGCTACCATAAAAACTTAGGAAGACTGTGTTTGGAGAGTTTCAGGACTCCACATTCAATAAACATGTGGAGGTTCCTGGTGAGTGGGGCACCCTAGGAGGGCATGGAAGCTCTGTGACTCTTCTATTATACCTTGCTCTGTGCATTTCTTTATCTGTGTCCTTTGCAATATCCATTATAATAAGCCATTAAATGTCTTCCCTGATATCTCTGAATTGCTTCAGCAAATTAATTGAACCCAAAGAGGGTGTTGTGGGAATCTCAACTCAAAGCCAGTTGGTCAGAAGTTCCAGAGGCCTGGACTTGCAACTGGTGTCTTGGGGGTCAGGTGGCAGTCTTGGGGACTGAACTCTCAATCTGTGGGATCTGACACTATCCCCAGGAAGACAGTGTCAGGACATGCAGCTGATGTCTGCTGCTGATCGTGTGGGGAAAAGTCCTCGTACCTTTGGTCATAGAAATCTTCTTCTGTGATAATTATTGCTGTGGTGTGAGGGCAGAGGAAAATCATGATTAGAGGGAGTTTTCCTGAAACAGGCAAATTTCTAAAAACCCTAACTAAATGGAGAGCTATAATGTGTTCAAGATTAGAAGGTCTCAATATCACTAAGAAGTCAGTTCTTCCTTCTCTGCTACATGCCCAGGCAGATCTTCAGGCATTCGGAGCACCTGCTTGCCTGGTTCAACAGCTTGAGTTCCCCCATTCCTCCACATGCAGAGATTCTGATACAGGGGGTCCCTCTGTGCTCCGCAGCCAGGCATATTTTCAGGCATTTGGAGCACCAGCTCAACTGGATCAGCAGTCTCAGCCACCCCATACTTCCTGTGAGGAGATCCTGGGGCAAGGGGGGCTCTCTCCACTTCATGCCTAGGCAGATCTCCAGGCATCTAGAGCACCCACTATCTAGGATTAGGAGTTTAGTCTGCCCTCCAACCCCATGTAGAGAACTTACGGCCAAGTGAGTTTTCCAGCTCCATGCCTAGGCACATGTCTAGATGGCTGCCCACTGGATTCTCCTGTGGTATTGGTACTTATGCCTGGCATCCGGGACCTGTAGGTGGGCCTACCAGTCCAACCCTATCCATCATGGTTTCTGCCCCTGGGACTAAGCAGGGAGCTCAGACCATTGTGAGTTCCATGGATCAGCCCATTCCCTGAGGCAACAAAGAGCTTCTGCCAGTAAAAAAAAATCAAGTATATACCCAGCAACGTTGGCCACAGCCAGTTCTTTCCTATAAGTGCCATCTACTGGCTTGTAGGTCAAACTGCACAACCCAATACAAAACCTGCCAACAGAAGTTCACAGGGCGGTAGAAGCAAAGCCAAATACCCTATCTAGCATTCTCTACAGTTGCACCCCCTAGGGAGGGAGGGAAGGAAAAGTGAAAAAAGAAAAATTACAAAGAAAGGAAGAAAAAGAAAATATTCTACCTGTATGAAAATAATTTAAAAAATAATAAATGAGAAGGAACCACAACAAGAATTCTGGCACCATGAAAAATCTGAATGTAGCCACACTTCCAAAGGATTGTACTACCTCTCCAGCAATAGTTCCTATCCAAAATGGAAACTAAGAAAAGACAGATAAAGAATTCAAAGCATGATTTGAAAATAAACTCAATGAGATGCAAGACAAGTTTGGAAATCAACACAAGAAAACTTCTAGAGAAATTTAGGAAATGAAGGAAGAGACAAACATAGCAAAAATAAATACATCAGAGCTTCTGGAATTGAAAAACTCATACAAGAAATCTTAAAATACAATTGAAAGCTTTATCATTAGACTGTACCAAGCAGAATAAAGAATTTTAGAGTGGAAAACTTGTCTTTCAAACTATCCCCAGTGAGTTAAAAATAAAGAAAAAAAACTTTTTAATGAATAATACTTCAAGAAATATGAGATTATATGAAGTGGCCAAACATATGAATTATTGGCATTCTTAAGATAGAAGAAGGGAAAGTAAGCAACTTGGAAACATATTTAAGGGAAAAATTCAAGACAATTTTTCTGATCTTGCTAGAGAGAGGACATTTAGATACAAAAAATCCAGAGAACACTTGTGAGCTACTATTCAAAACAAACATCATCGAGGCACCAGACTGTCTGAGGTCAATGTTAAAAAACAAAAACAAAAACAAAAAAATCCTTAAAGGCAGCAAGAGAGAAATGTCCAATCCCATAGAAAGTGATCCTCATCAAGCTAACAGTGGACTTTCCAGAAGAAACCTTACAATCCAGGAGAGATTTAGGGCCTATTTTCAGCTTTCTTAAAGAAAAGAAATTCCAACCAATAATTTCATATCCAGCCAAACTAAGCTTCATAAGTGGAGGAGAAATAAAACCTTTTCTAGATAAGAAAGTGCTATAGAAATTTATCACTGCTAGACCAGCTGTACAAGATATTTTTTAAGAGAGTTGGTAAACATGGAAATGAAAGAACAATACCTGCTACCACAAAAACACACTTAAGTACATGGCCCACATGCCATATAAAGAAATCACACAATAGAAACTACAAAGCGACCAGCTAACAGCTTTACAATAGAATCAAAACCTCACTTATCAACATCAACTTTGAAAGTAAATGGTCTAAATGCCCACTTAAAAGACCCAGAGTGGCAAGTTGAATAATAATAATAATAATAATAATAATAATAATAATAATAACCCTACCCATCTACTGTCTTCAAGAGACCCATCTCACGTATAATGACATCCATAGGCTTAAAGTAAGGGGTCGGAGAAAGACCTACTACCCAAAGGGAAAACACAAAAGAGCAGAGGTTACTATTCTTATATCAGATAAAACAGATGATGACCAACAATGATCAAGAAGGACAAAAAAGGACATTACATAATGATAAAGGATTCAATTCAACTAGAAGACTTAACTATACTAAATACATACACACTCAACTCTGGAGTACCCAGATTCATAAAACATGTACTGCTAGACCAATGGAAGACTTAGACAGCCATACAATAACAGTGGGGGACTTCAACACCCTCTGTCAGCATTAGACAGATCATTGAGGCAGAGACCTAACAAAGAAATTCTAAACTTAAACTCAACATGACCAACTGGACCTAATAGACACCTAGAGAACATGCCACCCATCAACTACATAATATATATTCTTCTCACCTGCATACAGGACATACTCCAAGATTGACTGCATACTTGGCAATAAAGCAAACCTCAATAAATTCCAAAAAATTGAAAAAATACCAAAATATGATTACCTTGGTACTCTCGGTTCACAGTGAAATAAAATTATAAATAAATACCAAGAAATTCTCTCAAAACCACACAGTGACATGGAAATTCAACAACTTGCTCCTGAGTGACTTCAGGTAAACAATGAAATTAAGGAAGAAATAAAAAAGTTTTTTCAAATACACAGAGACACAGCATACCAAAATCTCTGGGATGCAGCAAAAGCAGTGATAAGAAGACAGCACCAAATACCTACCTCAAACAGAAATATCTCAAATTAATGATCTAACATCATACTTAGAGAAACTAAAAAAACAAGAACAAACTAATCCCAAAGGTAGCAGAAGAAAATAAATTACATTTATTCCTTGATTTAACCCACTATCACTATGACCACTGTCACTCACCCATCCACCAACTATTGGGTAAACAAGTATTTTACTTGTTTTTGTTAATTTTTCTTAAATGTAAGTATAGCTCACATTTATTTCAATGTTTCATATTAGAAGTGTTTGGGGTCTTTATTTAGAAGTTTGGTGACATTTTTGCCAACCAGAAATATGTCATAGGAATTTAACTCTTGTTTACATAAATTAGCCTATGATAATATTTGTTTCATTACACATCGTTTTACTTAAAGTTGCAGTTTCCAAGAATTTATCAATGATATTAAGAGAAGACTTACTGTAACTTACTTCTAAAAAAGATAATACAGTAAAAATGATAGGGTGTCACATCTGCTATGAGGTTACAGAAGATTGTGACTTTCACCTTGTTAGCAGACTCTTGCTTTCTCACTTGCACACTTTGATGAAGCAAGTGGTCTTATTGGTAAGGCTCAATGGCAAGCAGCTAAGAGAAGCCTCAAACATTCAGTGAGAGAATGAGACTTTTACTCTAACAACCTACAGTAATGCCAACAAACGAATGATCTTGGAAGTGAATTCTCCCTAGTCAAGTCTTTAGATTGCCCAGCTGACACACTGATTTCTGCTATTGAAAAAAACCCAAGCTGGGGTAAGCCTTGTCCGGACTTCTGACCCACAGAAACTGAAAGATAATAACTGTGGGTTATTTTAACCCACCAAAGTTAAGGGTAATTTGTTATCTATCACTTGAAAACTGATGCAGTATAGATAGTCTTTATTTTTTCTCTAGATAACTAATATTATTTTAAAAGTCATTTTACATATCTCTGTCTACCTGTATAAAATTT
The DNA here is from genome assembly GCF_000001405.40 of Homo sapiens. NCBI lineage: Eukaryota > Metazoa > Chordata > Mammalia > Primates > Hominidae > Homo > Homo sapiens. The sequence continues at coordinate 81,321,030 of NC_000002.12, read as the reverse complement.
TGTGAAATTTTCATGCTTTGATAATCTTTGCTTCACTAAAAGCTCATCAATCTTTAAAAACATTTTTGTAATTTTTAAATTTCAACAAGAAAAATTTTCAATTATAAAAACTAGGTTGTATTTTTGGTTGGGTAATTTTGATAATCTTTTTCTTAATAATATTTATTTTTAATAAACTTTTTAAGAACACTTAGATTTACAGAAAAAGTAAGAATAGGGTACAGAGTTATATCCAGTTTTCCCTATGTTACACTAATGTGTTTACTTGTTACAATTATTAGAAATTGATCAATAGTCGTGTACTTTCAGGCTACTCATGACTGTCACAGTGTGTTAGTCTTTTCTTGCTTTTGATCACCTTGAAAGTTTAAGGAGTACTGATCAAGAATTTCATAAATTGTCCTTCAATTGGAATTTGTCTGACGTTTTTCTCATATTATTCTATGGTAATGTATTTTTAGGAGAAAGACCACAGAAGTAAAACACTCTTTCACTGCATCGCACCAAGAATACATACTGTCAACACGTCTTGAGACTGTGGGTGTTAACCTTGATTACTTGGCTGAGGATGTGTTTTTCAAGTGTCTCCACTATAAAATCCCCTTCCCTCCCTGCTTTTATACTATACTCTTGGGAAGGAAGTCAATATGCACAGCCCACACAGAAGGAGCATGAATTATGCTGCACATCTCTGAGGGCAGACTATATGAATTATTTGAAATTTTTATGCATGGGAGATTTTTCAAATTTCCCCCATTTGTTTACGTATTCAATCATTTATTTACTTCAGTATGGACTCACAGATATTTATTTTATACTTTGTGTTTTAATCTAATAATATTTTATTTATATTGTAGGTCAAATTGTTCTACCTTTGGTCACTGAGAGATCTTTCAGTTGAAATTTGCACCCTTTTAACATGTTTCCATCATTGTGAGATTTGGGTTATTTTTGCTTGCTTTTTGAGCAAATCTTTACTTATGGAACTCTAAGATGCTTCAGGCTCATCTTGTGTATTTTGTGCCCCAGTTTTAAAATTAGTCATTTCTCCAAGAAGGCCTAGTTTCTTTAATTAGAAAATTAAATTGGAAATCACAATCTGGGTACCTAGTGTGCTCATTGCCACAAGGGTGTCATTTCTTTTAGACCTTCTCATCTGACTAAGTAAAAACTATGTATATAAGGTGTATACTAACCCTGTACAAACACTTACCTAGAAATATTTCTGTATATAGCCATCCATATATGTGACAAGCTAAACATGAGTTCATACTAATATTTTCAACTGTAACACTTTACCATGTGCGTCTTTCAAACCTCCTTTAATTGCTTATCTGTAACTTCTCAAACCAACAGGAAAAAGTTGGCTCCCACCAACCACTATCCATTTACAGAATTGTACATTTCCAACTTACATGTATAACAGTTTCACAGCTGGTGACTATACCCCAGTGTAAAACCACTTTATGCATTAGTGTACAATGTTTTTGTCTTCAGTTTACAAAATCCAGCCATTTCCAATGTTACTTATATCAGCATCTTTTTCTCTATCTTCAGTGAGTTTTTTAAATGTTTGTAATAGAGTTAGATTGTTTTGTGACATTTTGCATTTTATCCTAGCATCCCCCAATGACTTTAAACAATTTTTCATTAAGTTGCATATAATCTGGTTCACTCAGTGCACTGCAAAGTTCTATAGTTTTTAAGAAATAGTATCACACACTCACCACTAAAGTGTCACACAGAATAGTTTTATCACTCCAAAATATTCCCTGTGCTTCAACTATTATTCAACCATTGTGCCTTCCCACTAAATTCCTGACAATAACTAATCTTTTTATTGGCTTTATAGTTTGTCTTTTTCAGGATATCTTAAAATTAGAATCATGTAGTACACAGACTTCACAGATTGGCTTTGTAAAATTAGCAAATACATTTAAGGTTCTCCATGTTTTTTATGGCTTGAGAGCTTACTTATTTTTATCACTAAGTAATATTCAGTTGTATATATGTACATACCACATTCTTAAAAAAAATCTATTCCTATTAGAGGACATCTTGGTTTATTACAATTGTGGGGGATTGTGAGGATAGCTGTTGTAAGTGTTTATGTGCATGATTTTGGCATTTTCTTCTGTTTATTCTGACATAAACTTTAAAATCAGTTGAATAAGTACCCAAGAGAAAGACAGCTAAATTTTATGACAAGACTATATTCATTTTTCAAAGAAACTTCCCAACCATATTCCTATTATTTTGCAATTCCTCCAGAAATTAATGAGAGGTCACGTAGTTCACATTCTCACCAGCAAGAAATATTGCCAAGCTTTTAGGTTTTAGCTATTCTAATAGGTTTGTAATATAATCTCATTGCTTTTTCAATTTTCATTTTCCTACTGTCAAATTATGTTTAGAAACACTTCATATGCTTGTTTTTATTCTGCATATCTTTTGCCCATTTTCTGGTAGGTTTTTTTTTCTAGTCATTGGGTTTAAAATAATCTTTATGTATTTTGAATACAAGTCTTTTATCAAATATATATGTTTCATATCTGTTTTCCCAGTTTGTAGTTTGTCTTTTTATTCTTTGAACAGTCTTTTACAGAGCCGAAGTTTCAATATTAATAATAAGGTTTAATTTATCAAGTTTTTCTTTAATATATTATGCTTTCTGTATTGTTTTTAGAAATTATCATAAATTCATCATTACATAAAAATTTTCCTTTACTTTCCTCTAGAACTTTTATATTTTGCATTTTGTATTTACTGTATGACTCATCTTGAGTTAGTTTTTGTGAATGTTGTAAGGTATATGCCCAGACTTTTTAAATTTGTTTTTGTCTATGGCCATCCAATTGTTCCAGCACTACTTGTTGAAAAGACTATTCTTTATACATCAAATTGCATTTAAAATTTTGTCAAAAAACATTTGACTCTATTAATGTGCATCTATTTTTGGGCATTCTGATCTCTTTCATCAATTTGTCTGTATCTCTACTAACACCATACTATCTTGATAACTGTGGTTTTATGGTAAATGTGGAAGTCAAATAGTGTATTTTTTTCTGATTTGGATTTTATTTAATATTGTGTTGGCTGCTTTCAATGTTTTCTCTTTCCATATAAACTTTAGAATCAGTTTGTTGGTATCCATAACTTCCTATGATTTTGTCTGGAATTACATTGCATCTATAGATCAAATTGGAAAGAACTGATATCTTAACCTTTAATCTTCCCATCTATGAATATGGAATGCCTCCTCATATGTTTAGATCTTCTTTGATTTATAAGAGTTTCATAGTTTTCCTCATATATATTATGCACTTATTTTGTTAGATTTATACCTTAGTGTTTCATAGTTTGGGTGATAATGTAAATGGCATTGTGATTTTAACCTTAAATTCCAATTGTTTATTAATTGTATATAGAAAAGCAATTGACTTTTGCGTAGTAACTTTGTACTCTACAACCTTGCTAATTATTCATTAGTTTTAGAACTGTTTTGTTGATTCTTTGGGATTTTCTACATAAATAAACAAGTCATCTACAAACAGAGTTTTATTTCTTCCTTTCCAATCTGTTTATTTTTAATTTCCTTTTCTTTTGGTATTGCATTAGCTAGAACTTCCAGTATGATGTTAAATAAGAGGTAAGAAGGGATATCCATACTTTTTTCCTAATATTTGTGCAAAATAAGCTAGTTTCTCATGAGTAAGTGTGATGTTAGCTAACAGTATTTTGTATATCTTCTTTATTAAGGTGAGAAAATCACCATTATTACTAATATGCTGACAGTATTTATAATAAATTGTTCTTGAATATGGTTAAAAGCTTTTTCTACATCAACGGAATGACTATATAATTTTTATTCTTGAACTATTAATATACTGAATTATATAGTTTGGCTTTAGAATATAGAACCAGTCTTGAATACCTGAAAAAAATTCCACTTGGTCATGGTATACTTTTGCGTAGTAACTTTGTACTCTACAACCTTGCTAATTATTCATTAGTTTTAGAACTGTTTTTGTTGATTCTTTAATTATTTTTATACATGGTTATATTTGATTTATAATATTTTGCTATGGGTATTTGCACCACTGTTCATGAGAATTTTGGCCCATAGTTTTCCTTTCTAGGTGTGTCTTTTTCATTTTTATTTTTTAATTTTTTAATTTTTAGATAGAAATGCATTGAGATATAATTCACACACATTACAATTTGCCCAGAGTGAATACTACAGTTTTTTAATATACTCACATGTATGTGCAAGCAACATCACAGTCAATTTTAGAATATTTTTATCACTGCTAAAAGAAACCCTTCAGCCTTTAGCTATAATGCTTTTATTTCCCCAACACCCCCTCCTCCAGACCTAAATAATCAGTAACATACTTGGTCTCCAGATTTTTCTGTACTGGACATTTCATATAAATAAAATCACATATGGGAACTTTACTTAGCACAATGTCTTTAAGGTGCTTTTACTTAGCATAATGTATTCAAGGTTTATCCAAGTTACAGCATAACTCAGATTTCATTCCTTTTTATGCCTGTCATAATAAATTTTTAACATTTTTATCTTAGATGCTGGTTCTTGGGGAAAAAAAAAGTCTTAATTTACTTAGAAGAAAATGAGAAAGACAAAGACGTCTCTGAAGTTTCCAAAGAACCTTCAGCTACTTCCAAGACCTCTGGGGGTAGATGACACTGGTTCTCATTACAGAATGTGACATACTTTTCCCAATGCTGGGAATACTAAGCACTGAGGGGAATTTTTGGTTCTCAAGTGAATGTGAATGAGGCAGAGAGTAGAAGAAGTGTTATTTTTCTGAAGGAAGGGGAAAAACACAAAGAGATATAGCGAGAGAGAGAGAGAAAAGGAGAAGGGAAGAAAGGAGAGCTGCATAGAGAGCTGTGAGCAAAGAAAGACAAATAGGTGTGAGGACAGCTTGGAGATGGACTGAGGGAAACATGAGATGTCTTTCTCTTTATTTGTATCTTTAAATTTCTTTCAGGAATGTTTTGTAGTTTTCAGTGTACAAGTCCTTTGCCTTACTGGTTAAACTAATTCCTAAGTGTTTTATTCTTGCTGATGATATTATTAATGTAATTATTTTCTTAATCTCCTTTTCAGATTATTCATTGTTAGTATATAGAAATGCAACTGATTTTTTTTTGCCGATTTTGTAGCCTGCAACATTCCTGAATTCATGTATTAGTTCAAAAAGTTCGTCTGTGTAATCTTTAGAATTTTCTGCCCATAAGATCATGTCACAAGATTATGTCAGCTGCAAACAGAGATAATTTTACTCCTTCCTTGCCCGTTTGGATGTCTTTTTTATTTTTTTGGAGGCAGAGTTTTGCTCTATCCCCCAGGCTGGATTGCAGTGGCACGATCTCGGCTCACTGCAACCTCCTCCTCCCGGGTTCAAACGATTATCCTGCATCAGCCTTCTGAGTAGCTGGGATTACAGGCGCCTGCCACCATGCCTGGCGAATTTTTGTATTTTTAGTAGAGATGGGGTTTCACCATGTTGGCCAGGCTGCTCTCGAACTCCTGACTTACAGTGATCTGCCCGCCGCGGCCTCCCAAAGTGCTGGGATTACAGACGTGAGCCACTGCGCCCAGTCGTGGACACCTTTTATTTTGACTTCCTCCATAATTGATCTAACTAGATCTTCCAATACTGTGTTGAATGGAAGTGGTGAAAGTGGGTATCCTGCCTTGTTTCTGATAATAGGAAATCAGCTCTTTGTATTTTCCAATTTAGTATCACAGTCCTGGGGATTCTACATTTATGGCCTTTATTATACTGAGATAGTTTCTTTCTATTCTTTTTTTTTTTTTTTTGGTTTATGTCTTCTTTTTTTTTTTATACTTTAAGTTTTAGGGTACATGTGCACATTGTGCAGGTTAGTTACATATGTATACATGTGCCATGCTGGTGCGCTGCACCCACTAACTCGTCATCTAGCATTAGGTATATCTCCCAATGCTATCCCTCCCCCCTCCCCCCACCCCACCACAGTCCCCAGAGTGTGATATTCCCCTTCCTGTGTCCATGTGATCTCATTGTTCAATTCCCACCTATGAGTGAGAATATGCGGTGTTTGGTTTTTTGTTCTTGCGATAGTTTACTGAGAATGATGATTTCCAATTTCATCCATGTCCCTACAAAGGACATGAACTCATCATTTTTTATGGCTGCATAGTATTCCATGGTGTATATATGCCACATTTTCTTAATCCAGTCTATCATTGTTGGACATTTGGGTTGGTTCCAAGTCTTTGCTATTGTGAATAATGCCGCAATAAACATACGTGTGCATGTGTCTTTACAGCAGCATGATTTATAGTCATTTGGGTATATACCCAGTAATGGGATGGCTGGGTCAAATGGTATTTCTAGTTCTAGATCCCTGAGGAATCGCCACACTGACTTCCACAATGGTTGAACTAGTTTACATTCCCACCAACAGTGTAAAAGTGTTCCTATTTCTCCACATCCTCTCCAGCACCTGTTGTTTCCTGACTTTTTAATGATTGCCATTCTAACTGGTGTGAGATGGTATCTCATAGTGGTTTTGAGTTTCACTCTTATTGCCCAGGCTGGAGTGAAATGACGACACACTCTCGGCTCACCACAACTTCCGCCTCCTGGGTTCAAACGATTCTCCTGCCTCAGCCTCCCGAGTAGTTGGGAATACAGGCATGTGCCACCACACCCAGCTAGTTGTGTATTTTTAGTAGAGATGGGGTTTCTCCATGTTGGTCAGGCTGGTCTCAAACTCCCGACCTCAGGTGATCCGCCTGTCTTGGCCTCTCAAAGTGCTGGGATTACAGGCGTGAGCCACCACACCCAGCCTAGTTTCTTTCTATTCTTAGTTTGTTGTGGGTTTTTCCCATGTGTTACATTAATTGAATTTTATATACTGAATTCTCCTTGCATTTCAGGAATAAACTTTGTTTGGTCATGATGTATAATCCTTTTGATATGCTGCTAAATATGGTTTGCTAGTAATTATTTGACATTTTTTCATTAATATTTATAGGGGATATTTGTCTGCAGTTTTCTTTTTATTCCCCCAACTTTTACTCTAAGCTTAGGGGGTACATGTAAAAGATTTCTTACCTGGGTAAATTGTATGTTAACAATTTGAATTGTGAGTAATTTCTCCTGTTCTGTAGGTTGTGTGTTTACTCTGTTGACAGTTTCTTTTGCTGTGCAGAAGCTCTTTAGTTTAATTAAGTCCAACTTGTCATTTTGTGTTTCTCGTAACACATTGCTTTTGGAGTCTTCATTATGAAATATTTGCCAGGGCCTATATCCAGAATAGTATTTCCTAGGTTTTCTTTTAAGCTTTTTATAATTTTAGATTTTACGTTTAAGTCTTTAATTCACCTTGAGTAGATTTTTGTGTGTAGTAAAAGAACAGAGTCCAGTTTTAATCTTATACATATGGCTAGCCAGTTATCCCAACACAATTTATTGACTCAAGCAGACTTTCCCCATTGCTTGTAATTGTTGACTTTCTCAAAGATCAGATGGTGGTAGGTGTGGGGCTTTATTTCTGGGTTCTCTGACCTGTTCAGTTGGTTTATTTGTCTGTTTTTTGTACTGGTACCAGGCTGTTTTGGTTACTGTCGCCCCGTTAGTGTACTTTGAAGTCAAGTAGTGTGATGCTTCTGGCTTTGTTCTTTTTGCTTAGAATTTCTTTAGCTATTTAGGTTGTTTGTTGGTTCCATCTGAATTTTAGAATAGTTTTTTTTCTTTTTTCCAATTCGATGAAAAATGTTCTTGGTAGTTTGGTAGTAAGAGCATTGAATCTGTAAATTGTGTTGGGCGGTATGGCCATTTTAACATTATTGATTTTTCCTATCCATGAGCATGAAATGATTTTCCATTTGTTTGTGTTGTCTCTGGTTTCTTTCAGCAGTATTTTATAATTCTCATTGTAGAAATCTTTCACTTCCCTAGTTAGCTGTATTCATAGTATTCTTTATTATTTTGTGGCTATAAAAAAAGGAATTGTGTTCTGGATTTGGCTTTAGTTGAGATATTATTGGTGTATCGAAATGCTAGCGAATTTTTATATTGATTTCGTAACCTGAAATTTTAATGAAGTTGTTTATGAGCTCTGTGAGCCATTGGGCAGAGACTATGGTTTTTTTTTTTTAAGTTTAGAATCATATACTGATTCTAAACTTAAAAAATCTGTGAAGAGAGATAGTTTGGGTCTCCCTGTTTCTATTTGGAGGCCTTTTATTTCTTTCTCTTGCCTGATTGCTCTGGCTGAGACTTCCAGAACTATGCTGAATAGGAGTGGTGAGACTGGGCATCCTTGTACTGTTTAGGCAATAATTCCAGCTCTTGCCTGTTCCGTATGATGTTGGCTGTGGGTTTGTCATAGATGGCTTTTATTATTTTGAGGTGTGTTCCTTTGATGCCTTGTTTGCTGGGGGTTTTTGACAAGAAGGAATATTAAATTTTATCAAAAACCTTTTCTGCATCTATTGAGATGATTATGTCATTTTTGTTTGTAATTTTGTTTATGTAATGAATTACAATTTATTGATTTGTGTATGTTAAATCAACCTTTCATCCCAGGAATAAAGCCTACTATAGCATAATGGATTAGCTTTTTGATATGCTGCTGGATTTGGTTTGCTAGAATTTGGTTGAGGATTTTTGCATCTATGTTCCTCCAAGATTTTGGCCTAAAGATTCCTTTTATCACTGTGTTTCTGAATGATGCTGTCTCATAGAATGAGTTATGGAGGAATTATTCCTCCTTGATTTTTTGGAATATGTTCAGTAGGATTTCTATCAGCTCTTCTTTATACATCTGGTATAATTTAGCTGTGAATCTGTCTGGTCCAGGGCTTTCTCTGGTTGGTAGGTTTATAATGACTGATTCAATATTGGAGCTCATTATTCATCTTTTCAGGGCTTTAATATCTTCTTGGTTTATCTTGGGAGGTTGCATGCTTCCCAGAATTTATCCTAGGTTTTCTGGTGTGGGTGTATTGAGGTGTTTCTAATCGTCTCTGAGGATTTTCTGTATTTCTGTGGGGTCAGTAGTAATGTCTCCTTTGTCATTTCTGATTGTGTTTATTTGGTTCTTCTCTCTTTTCTTTTTATTAGTCTAGCTAGTGTTCTACTAATCTTACTTATTCTTTAAAAAAACAACTTTTGGTTTTGTTAATCTTATGTTTGGTTTCTCACATTGCCATTTCAGTCAGTTAAGCTCAGATTTAGGCTATTTCTTTTCTTTTGCTAGCTTTGCAGTTGGTTTGCTCTCATATTTCCAGTTCCTCTAAATGTGGTGTTAATTTGAGGTCTTTCTAACTTACTGATGTAGGCATTTAGCACTAGAAACTTTCCTCTTAACACTGCTTTTTAGTTATGTCCCAGAGATCCTGGTATGTTGTATCTTTGTTTTCATTAGTTTCAAAGACTTTCTTGATTTCTGCCTTAATTTCACTGTTTACCTGGAAGTCATTAAGGAGAAGATTGTTTAATTTCCATGTAATTGTATGGTTTTGAGTGTTTATCTTGGTATTGATTTATATTTTTATTGTATTGTGGTTTGAGAATGTTGGTATGATTTTTTTTAAATTTATTGAGAATTTTGTTCTGGCTGCATATGTGGTCAATTTTAGAGTATGTGCCATGTGCAGATGAGAAGAATGTATATTCTGTTGTTGACTGGAGTGTTCTGTGGATGTCTGTTAGGTCCATTTGGTCAATGTTGAGTTTAGGGCCCAAATATTTTTGTTAGTTTTCTCTGGTACTGTCAATGGAGTATTGAAGGCTCACATTATTAATATGGTTATCTAAGTCTCTTCATAGGTCTCAAAGAACATTGGGTATTTCAGTGTTTGGTTACATATATATTTAGGATAGTTAACTAAATCTTCCTGTTGAACTGAACCCTTTAGCATTATGCGATACCCTTGTTTGTCCTTTTGGATTATTTTTGGTTTAAAGCCTGTTTTCTCTGAAATAAGAATAGGTACCCCTGTTCTGTTTTGTTTTCCATTTACTTCAAACATGTTTCTCAATCCCTTTACTTTGAGCCCATAGATGTTACTGCATGTGAGATGGATCTCTTGAAGACAGCATGCAGTCAGGTCTTGCTTCTGTATCTAACTTGCCACTCTGTACCTTTTAAGTGAGCTGTTTAGCCCTTTTGTGTCCAAGGTTAATGTAGATATGTGAAAAATTGATCGTGTCATTGTGTTGTTAAGCGGTTGTCATGTAGACTTGATTGTGTAGTTGCTTTATAGTTTCAATGGTCTACATAGTTAAGTGTGTATTTGTGGTGGCTGGCAATAATCTTTTGTTTCTATATTTAGCACTCCCTCAAGGACCTGTTGTAAGGCTGGTTTGATGTTAACAAATTCCCTTAGCACTTGCTTGTCTTAAAAGGATTTTATTTCTCTTTCATTTATAAAGCTTAGTTTGACTAAATATTAAATTCTTGGTTGAAATTTCTTTTCTTTAAGGATGCTGTATAAAGGTCTCTAATCTTTTTTAGTTTGTAGGTTTCAGTGAAAAAAATCTGCCGTTAGTTTGAGGGGGTTCTCTTTGTACGTGACTTTCCCCTTCTTTCCAGCTGCCATCAATATTTTTCCTTTCATATTGACCTTGGAGAATCTGATGACTATGTGTCTTGAAGATGTTCCTCCTGTGCAGTATCTTGCAGGGATTCTCTGAACTTCCTGAATTTGAATGTGTACCTCTCTAGCAAGGTTCGGAAATTTTTCACGAACAATATTCTCAACTATGTTTTTCAAGTTGCTTGCTGTCTCTTCTTCTCTTTCAGGGAGGCCAATGAGTTGTAGGTTGGGTTTCTTTATATAATCCCATATTTCTCAGAGGTTTTGTTCATTTTTTATGATTTTTTTTATTTTCCTCTGACTGATTTGAGAAACTATTCTTCAAGCTCTGAGGTTCTTTCCCCACTTGGTCTATACTGCTGTTAATATTTCTGATTGAAATTCTTGTAATGACGTTTTTAGCTCTATCAGATCAGTTTGGTTCTTTCTCAAAATGGCTCTTTTGTTTGTCAGCTCTTGAATTACTTTACTGGATTGCATAGATGCCTTGGATTGGGTATCAACTTTCTTTTGAATCTTGCTGATTTTCCTTGTCATCCAGATTCTGAATTCTGTGTATCACATCAGCTATTTCAGTCTGCTTACGAACCACTGCTGCAAAGCTTAATGCAGTCATTAGGAAGTAAGAAGACACTTTAGGTTTTAGAGTTGCCAGAGTTCTTAGCCTGGTTCTTTCTCATGTGTGTGAGCTGATGTTTTGTTGTTGTTGTTGTTGTTTGAGGTGGAGTCTCACTCTGTCACTCAGGCTAGAGTGCAGTGGCGTGATCTTGGCTCACTGCAACCTCCACCTCCTGGGTTCAAGCAATTCTCCTGCCTCAGCCTCCTGAGTAGCTGGGACTACAGGTGTGACATAATCCCAGGCTAATTTTTGTGTATTTTTAGTAGAAACGGGTTTTTGCCATGTAGGCCACGCTGGTCTTGAACTCTTGACTTCAAGTAATCCACCTGCCTTGGCCTCTTAAAGTGCTGGGATTATAAGTGTGAGAACCATGCCCAGCCTTGATGTTCCTTTAATCTGTGCAGTTGCTGTCCTTTGGATGGCGCTTTTCACTTTTATATTCTTTGATGCTCTTAAGAATTTGACTGTGGTTTATGTCGGCTTTAGTTGGCTGGCTTTTTTCTGTTATTACAAGTTGTCTGTTACGGTAAATAAAGAATAGATAAAGAGACATCCATAATTATAGAAGTATATAATTCAGTAGTTGAATAAAGTATGTCAAATTTTTAGTGATACCCTTTTTAATTTCCAATAACGTTATAGATTTAAGCAATAATTACCAGTTATTACTACACCAATTATGCAGCACCCCAAATAATTGAGAAGACTCAACAGCCTAGCCTGGTATACCTAATTAAGTCTTTAATAAAGACAAGGGATTCAAAATAGCAGGAGACAGAAGACCTAGTTAAACTTTTAGTTTCAGATTTCAAAGTTTTTTCTCAGCTGCACCAAATTTACTTCTTTAGATCGTGAACCACCAAGAGGCATGTGTGACATCCTGGTCTCAGTGAAGCTATATTACATTTTTACTGGGGAATCTTTTATACCCCATTGGTCACAGCCAAAACCAAGCTGTGTACTAAGGAAAACCAAGCATAGATTATCAATCTGTATTATTTCAACTATCACTATAAATAAATTGGCACACTGGCACAGAGCACCTCTAATTGAGTTTTGGGACATTAAAAAGGGCACTATGAATGACTGGCTAGAACACTTCTTCTAATCTCAGCCAATACTTATTATGGTTCCAGATATTTCTGGAGTTAAATACAGTCTAGAAATACTTCACAGCAGCTGCAGATTGGCTCTATACTTAATCCCAAAAAGAGAGACACACCAGATATTTTTATGTGTCCCTTATACAATGTATGTAATATTCTTACAAAAGGAAAAAATGAAAAAAGAAAGGAAGAAAGGGAGGGAGGGAGGGAAGAGGGAAGGAAGGAAGGAAGGAGGGAGGGAGGTAGGGAAGGAAGGATGGAAGGAAGGAGGGAAGGAAGGAAGGAAGGAAAAGGATTAATTATAATAAAAACTCTAGATCTAAATACCAGTTTACATGAAATACATAAGGCTAACAGATGCAATCAAAAAAATCCAGAATGTGAGATACTCTAGGGAAAAATGATCTAATTTCCTCAAACATAATTGCAAAAAAAGAGTAGAAAAACAAAGACTAAAATTATGTAAGGGATATATAAGCCAATTCCAATGTGCAGAATCAATCTGGATCCTGAAGCAAATGAGTAAGCTGTAAAAATAGGAAACATTTGGGATAATTTGAACACTGGTTGGTTATGTATCGGTATTAAGGAATTATTGTTATGTTGTTGTTGTGCTAGTAGTATAGTGGATATTTTTAAGCATCCTTATGAAATGGTGACAAACTTTATGAAGTTTGTGATTAAAAAAATAATCTAATGGCAGTCTTAGAGCATATGAAAAGCTTGCAGAGCCAGGGAGATCTCATAATTTATTATCCAAAAAAAAAAAAAAACTTGAAAGCGAAAGGAAGAGCTTTTTATAAATTTTCCTGGGACAATATTCATAAGCCTAGAATATTCCTGGCAAAGTAGGTATGCTGTCCCTACCCAGTATATATCCATGTAGAAGGACTTAATACCTTGCAAAAAATAGAGTAAAATCATTCTGATTATTCTAAGTTAAAAAATCTCCCCTCCCTTCTTTTAGGGTCCAAGCTTGGTCTGAGAATTAAACTGATATAAGATAGATTATTAGAAGAAAAGCATAAGAAAACTTGTAAGTGGCAAAAGAGCTGTCATAAAAATGGAGATCCTGAAGATGCAGTTAGAGTCAGTTATATGCTGGATTGGACATAGAATAGTAAACTGTAGAAATGTGACTAAATTATGTGGGAAGCCTTAAAAGTTATTAACAAGGGCTGTACAGAACTCTTTTGGTTTCAATTTCTCATCTTTGTAGATTTGGGTGCTGCATCTTTCTAGCATAGAGAGGGCATCTTTCACATGGGAATCTCATTTTCTGCTTTGAAGAAACAGCACAAGGGTCGAAGTGATTTTTTTTTTTTTTTGCACCTTCTGTTTTTCAAGTGTCTTTAACTTAGTCAATAGGCCAGAATAGTATACATTTAACCCCTTCAATTGGTCTGGATTTAATTACAACTGAATATGGCAAAACCAGGAAAGAAGTCACATTTAAGATAAAGTAAAAAATATTTTGATGCTGCTATGTAGAGACCAAAAAAGTAGAAAAAATAAAGTTTTATTTTATACTGATTCTTTCATCATCATTCAATATGTTCAAAAGTGCTCAGTAATAAAAATGTGCCCTATGACTACTACATTACGTATCATGTCATTCTCTTGGAAAGATATTATTGCTATGAAATCTCATTAATTAGTTCATTTCACCTGTTGGCTCGCTGTGGTAGGCTCCTCATATTTTTAACGTTTTTGTTTGTTAGTCATCCTGGAATATGAACTCCTCCAGGATTTCTTTTGGGGATTCCAAGATAAAACAAATGATATTGTACAGGAGATACACTGCAACAGAGATAATCCTGAAAAGTCCTGGTTAAGAAGTTCAAAGTGGGTGAGAATGCTCCATGAAGAAAACCATCCATTGCTATTGCCCATGTTATTTCACTGAATTATATCTAAAGTCATCTTGAAACTCTCTAGATGGCCATCCTTACGCTATATAAAAAATCTTAAATTTACCCATTTAAATATAATCTATCAAAAAAGGCAAACATTTTAGGCTACATTATAATTTAGCAAGTACTTTCACATCCACCATACGGCTGAATATTCCTGATTGTTATTAAGTCATTCAAATGTTTTTCATTAAATATAATTCAAAATTAAACTTGTTTCATAAGCAAAATATTCAATGCAAATATGCAAATGTATACAAATACTGCAATGACTTTTAATCACAGCTTTAATATCAACCTATTAGGTTTGAAGGATGGATGTCATTTTTCATTCTTGTCTGCTTTTATTTTGTAATGGTGGATTTATTCATTTTCTCTCAGCTTTGAGCTTCCTAACCACAGGGTAAGACTATCCTACCATGGAGAAAGCACATAATACAGCCTAGCCAATTGTAGCTCTCCATCTAACAACACAAGATGATTGACGTATTAGTCTGTTTTCACACTGCTATAAAGAACTACCTGAGACTGGGTAATTTACAAAGAAAAGAGGTCTAATTGACTAACAGTTCCACATAGCTGGGGAGGCCTCAGGAAACTTACAATCATGGCGGAAGCTGAAGGGGAAGCAAGGTAGATCTTACATGGCAGCAGGAGAGAGAGAGAATGAAGGGGAAACTGCCATATACTTTTAAACCATCGGATCTTGTGAGAACTCACTGACTATCATGAGAAGGGCATGGGGGAAACCACCCCCATGATCCAAGCACCTCTCACCAGGTCCTCCTCCTGATACATGGGGATTACAATTCCAGATGAGATTTGGGTGGGGACACAGAGTCGAACCATATCTAGTGATATAGAGGGGCTTATGTAACTCACAAAGGGGAAATCACAGCGATTTTTAAGGAATACTTTGGGCCCTGTGGAGAACAAAATTATTTTGCTTTTGATGCAATGAGATGAGAGCTGAGGAACATGCAAATCATCATTGACCCCCAAGTATAGAAATTGTCAATTAATGAAATATAAATAAGAAAACAAATTTTTAAATGGTAAAAAAGATTGTTGTACCATAATGTCGGTTTTACCACTGAAACACTGTGAACCCTCTTAAACAACCTGTTTCATTGATTATGTTAATAAACATTTGTGTTTAAGTTGGTTTGGCTTTAGTTTCAATAATCTCTGAGGCTTGCTTAACATATTGTCTAATAGTAGGAAGTATGTATTATTTACTGAACAGAATCTAGTGTGCACATAACTAATCTGATCTCCAATATTTTGCAGGTTTTCCTGATCAACACAGTGTTCTGTCATTCATATGATACAGTTGCCACAGTATCATATTATACAGAAAAGAACAATGGCATTGCCTTGTATGGCAAGGCTTAAAATAATAATAGTCCCTCCAAATCTATCTTTCCAATTAATACCTATCATTGAAGGCCCATATTAAAGTTTTTCATCCCAGAAATCTTCATCCCATGGTGACCTCTCCAGCCCTTGTCCTCCAGTAATGGACAGATTCTAACAGCCTCCTCCCCAACCCCAGAATCCTCACTTCCTGATGTTTATGCCTTTGTATAATTCAAAGCCCTTGGTTGTGGGTGGGGACTGTGACTTTCTTCTGACAGAATATGGCTAAGGCAATAAGATATCACTCTTGTGATTACGTTACTTTCTTTAAGACTGTCTGTGGGAAAGAGAGTTTCTGGGGTGCCAGATGAGTTGGTCTCCCCTGTGTGAGACACCCATGGGGAGCAATGGGCAGCCTCTGAGGAGAAAAGTCTCCTTATTGCCTTCATGTCTTTATGCCCTAAGAGCATAACCACTCAGCAGCATTCCACAGGTTGCTCAGGGAGATAATACTCCCTTGAAGCCGTGGAGTATAATCAAACATCTTGGCTCCTCCTGAAACCCACTCCCGCCCATTTCAGTCCCGATAAGTTAAAGATCTTAAGTAGTTTAGACACATGCCTTTGCTCAAGGAAATTCACAGAAACCGCCATTGCTCTACATCTTATTGAATGACTCACGACTTCTCCTTCACTGATTAATCCTTTTCCTCACCCCTTCCTCCCCCTCCCATCTGCCCTAAGAACAAAGAGCTTGTAAACCAATAAATTAGTCAGAGCCAGAGAGCTCTGGGCCGTGAGCAAGCCTCTGATGCTCCGGTCCCCTGGACCTGCCTTTTAGACACTTACTCTGTCTCTTTCTAACTCCTTTGTCTCCGGACCTGCCTTTTAGACACTTACTCTGTCTCTTTCTAACTCCTTTGTCTCCGCCGGACTTGGGGTACCAGCTGGGTGGTGTGGGGCTGGTTTCCCCAACACTGTCTTTCTAGGAGACTCATGTTGGAGCCTCTGTGCTGGCTAGTTGAAGAAAGGGTTCACGTTGGGAAAAACCCACATAGTATGGAACTGTCTGCAGCCTCTAGGAGGCAAGCACATACTCTAAGCAACAATTAGCAAGAAGCTGTGCCTCTCAGTCATAAAATCACAACAAAATGAGTTCTGCCAACAACCTGAGTGAGTTTAAGTGAATGCTTTCCAAACTGAGCCTCCAATTGAGAACATAACTCAGCAACTCCAACACTGAAACTCTAAGCAGAGGATTCATTTAAACCTTGACCAAATTCCTGACCAGCAGAAATTGTGAGATAATAAATATGCAGTGTTCTAATCTTCTAAATTTGTGGTAATATTGTTACTCAGAAATAAATAACTAGTATATTTCCAGTAGAAAATGCTGTTAGTTCAATCAAGCTTTTAGGTAATAAGGTATCTAATGAAATTTACTGATGCATTAAACTTTCTTATACCAATATTTAATTCTGACCTATTTTCCTTCTCTTATAAAACAAAGTAAATTTTGAAGAGTTTAGATTACGTCTTCTACTTATTATGTGGGAACAAATTAGAGATAAACTGTTTGCTATTAGATAGTTTTATATTATATATTATATTATAATGAGGATTCTGTCATAAATCATTGTTTAGTTTATAATAGAAGATACTCTTGGCTAATAAAGAAGTGGAATAACTTGATAATAAGTTCTTAAAGAAACCTACTTTCTGGACCCTTAGCTTTAGAAGAAAAATTCCAGATGTTTCTTTTTAGATACAGTTTGACAACTTTGTTATACATTAGGTGTGACTGCAGAATTCTAAGATGAACCTCAATAAGCCACACACTTGTATAATCCTTCTAAGTGAGTGTTGGAGGAATACATGAATATAATGAGATATCACACCCCTGATGGTATTATGTTATTTGGCACAACTGAGTTTTTAAAAGGGAGATTATACTGGGTTGTACAGGCCTAACCACATGATCCTTGTGATAGGCAGAATTTTACAGTGACTTCAAGGACGCTCACACTGTTGTAATAATTTTCTTCTCCTTAAGTAGGGGCAAAATTTGTGTATAAGGTAAGATACAATTATATTCATTGCTATGTTAGACTATATAGCAAAAAAAGATATTATTCTGAATGGGAGTGACCCAGTTTGTTGAGCCATTTAAAAGCAGAGAGTTTTCTTTGTCTGACTGCAAAAGGGAACGTCAGAAAGTTGTGCTTCAGTGGGCCTGGAGGAAAGCAGGCATGGATGGTGCAAACTCCCTGTGGGAACCACATGGAAAGGACCTGAGAGCAACCTCTAGGAAATGAGAGTGGTGCATGAGTACAATAAGCAAGGAATGGGGGACTCCAGTCCAATTGCCAAAAGGAACTAAATTTTGCAAGCAAGAATAAACTATGAAGCAAATTTTCCCCTGCAGGGCCTCCTGAGATGAGAATTTAGTCAGGCCAACATGTTGATTTCACTCTTCGGATTTCTGAACACAGAACTTATACATGCCATGCCAGACTCCAGATACATGCAACTTTGAGCTAATAAGTGGATCTTACTTCAAACTGGAAAGCTTTTGAGACTTTATTATGCAGCTATCAAAATCTAATGCTAGAGTTGAGATTCATCCTAGTGAAAGAGATTCAAAATCAAAGTGATTGAAATCATAAAAGGGAAAGGATCTGTTGCTGGCTTTGAAGACGGAGGGTTCATGTGGGAATGACCTGGGAGTAGTCTATAGAAGCTGTAATCAACCTCCAACTGACAGCCAGAAAAAGACTGGGGACCTCACAAGCCACAAAGAACTGAATTCTGCCAACAATCTGAATGATCTTGGAAGTGAATTTTTCTCTAAAGCATCCAGGTGAGAGCTCAGCCCAGCCAATGCCTTGGTTTCAGCATTAGAATACAGTGAACAGACAGTCCAGCAACCCTGCTCTGCCACTCCCATACTTCTGACCTGCAGCACTGTGAAATAAAAGTGGTGTTTTAAGGCACTAACTTCGCGGTAGTAATTCCTCACACAATACTGCAAGGGAATGGAAGAAGTTGCATATCTCTATATTCACTAGCAAGACTTTTGCCTTAGATCAGTGAGGGACAGAACAGAGAAACAAGGAAAGAGAAATGGAAACTGAAAATGCATAATAAAGAAGAACACCAACATTGGTTTGATAATGAAAAGACATTGAGCACAAAATTTGTTTGAAATGCAGATAAAGGTCAATCACAAAGAAAATGAATTGATACATTTTCATTAGAAAGAGATAAAAGTGTTATAACTCTCAATAACATTATGTTTTGACACAATTTTAAACAAACAAAAATTTGTAAAAAGAGTTTAAAGAAATTCTACTCCTTTTTAAACAAATTTATCCATTGTTTATATTTTGCTAATTTTCTTTTTTAATCTCTTTTTTGTGTGTATATATGTGTGTATCTTCCATATGCATAATTTTGATTATATATTATATGTCATGTTATATACATACATACATACAGGCATATACATGCTTTCTCATATATTGAAAGATTAATGAATAACTTTTTAAATGAGCCATATAAGAGTAAGTTTCAGAAACCAATACCCTTTATCTCTAAATTTATCCTGTTATTTGTTAAAAAAAAATTATTATATAAGCATAAAATAGTTATCAAAATGAAGAAATTTAACACTGATTTACTATTACTAACAAAACCGAAATCTATATTGCAATTTCATCAATCAAAAAATTATGTCCTTTATAGTTTTTTAAATAATATTTTTTGGCTGTAACTCAATTCAGAATTAGGCATATCATTTAATTTATTTACACACTTACAATCTGGAAGTATCCATTAGCATTTCTTGTCTTTTTCTTAACTTTAACATTTTTTTAAGAATGTAGGATTTTTATTTTGGAGAATGACCATCAACTTGTGTTTGCTTGATTGTTTGTGGCCGGAATACCTGAATTGGTATTGTGTGTTCTGCATCAACCACTAGATTTAACAACTACTGGTGATGTTCCTGCCTTATTCCACTGACTAGATTATTTAATACAATACATATACTCTTAGGGAAAACTGTTCAATATTTTACCATTAGAAATATTAGTGATGAGATCTTACTTTCTTTTATATGCCACTATAGTAGCCTGGAATTTGCAAGGGTATGAATATTTACATCATGGGCATTGGCAAATGCTACCAGTAAGAGTTTCTTCCTCAAAGAACTAATAGCTAAATGTCTACCAATGTGCTAATGATTTCAACTATTATTTGTTTTTAGGGGGTTTTTCTACAATATGGGAATTTAAAAAAATATTTAATCAAGCATTTTTTTGTGCCTAGTTTTTTCTTTCTTTTTGGGAGCAATAACATGTATGATGGAAAGATTTATATTTCCCTTAGTTCATTTATATTGTGTTCATTTTTTTCTAGTCTTTGTCTTCCTTATTTTCTTCAGATTGTTGTGTTTTGTTTTTCAAATGTATCCATCTATTTAATAAATTTTCTAAAATATAGTACATATAGACCATGGAATACTATGCAGTCATAAAAAATAATGAAATTATGTCCTTTGCAGCAACATGGATGCAGCTGGAGGCCATTATGCAAGCAAACTAATGTGGGGACAGCAAACAAATACTGCATGTTATCACTTATAAGTGGGAGCCAAACATTGAATAAATATGGACACAAAGATGGGAATAGATACTGGGGAGCACTTGAAAGTGAAGGGTGAGAGAGGGACATGTGTTAGAAGGCTACTTATTGGGTACTACACTCACTATCTTGGTGACAGGATTATTCATATACCAAGACTCAGTGACATGCAATTTACCAAGGTAACAAACCTGCACATGTACCCCATGAACCTAAAAAAACAGAAAAAAATTGATCTATCTTCAATGCACGAAAGTATTTCTTTTGGCATTTCTAAATATTTGTTAAATTATTCCAGTATTTTTTACATTTTATATATATACTTTTTACTTCTATATTTCTATCAGATTTCCTTTATGACTTCCATTTCTCTACTTGAATTTTTAATCTCTTCATTTATTAAAATCATACATCTTTTCAATTTTTGGTAATGTGTATAATAGTTGTGTTAAAGTTATTCTATGCTAATTCTATCATCCTATCATCTCAGGGTCAATTTCTATAGACTGTTTATTTTCCTGATAATGAATCATATTTTTAGCTTCATCATTTGTCTAGTAAATTTGAATTGATAGAGGACATAGTCCTTTCTTAATTATTTACATCCGTTTTAAGTATTTACAATAAGAGTGCAAGTTCAGTACTTTACACTGTCATGAGTATATATGGAAGTCCTAGAATCTAGATACTTGGACTTTTAGATGAAGTATTTTGATAAATGCTGACAATCAATTTTGAAATGTTAAAACATCATGCCAAACAACTCTGTGCAATTAAATAAAATATGCCTATAAGGTATATCTAGTGAAATCCAATATGTGAACTCTCTTCTGTAGAACACATATCCATTATGTAATATACTATGTGTATGCCACAGAACACAGGCAAGTTATGTATATGTTTCATAAATATATGTACCTTTTAAGTCAGGTATGTGTATTGTTTATCTGCCTGCATTCTGTTTACTACCTGTGAAACTAATACCTCATAATAGATGTTTAAATATTTTTATATAACCCAAAGAACAAAATGTCTTACCACTTGCCTTGAAATGGTTCTTTTATAGCAAAAAATGTTTTTTGAAGGTGATAGATATGTTTACGGTATAGGTTGCAGTAATGGTTTCACAGATCTATATTTTATAAAACAATTTCCAGACTCATCAAATTGTATACATAAATATGTACAACATCTTGTGTGCCAATTATACCTCACAGAGTTTTTTTTTTTTTAAAAAGATGGTTCTTGAATGTCTTTATGATATCAAAACATATAAAAAATGCTATGGTAGTAAAGTAGGAATTATTTAATAAGTACTTCCTTACAACAATGATGATAGATTTCTTTTTTTTTGCTCTGTTGTCTATTCTGAGTTGGTAGTTCTTGAGATGTGTTGGGTTTGGAACATTCTTTAAATAGTTAATTGTTTTCTTATACTATCTTTTCAGCTCATTTTAAGTTTAGAATATGGAACAGACAACATGTATATTTTTGGCATTCTTCAATTTATCATCTTCAACTCATGTCCCCCAATACACACCCATCAGAAGCACTCATATGCTCTTATATTATTTGATAATTAATTCTAAGATAGGGATTGTTCCCATATTAATTATCTGATGGATTTCTTTAATTATTTGTTTGGGCCAGGCTTTATGAGAGTCCCTGTTGGGATTTTGTCTCTCCTTCCTATTCTCCAACGCAGGTAACACATTGTAAATAAGCAAGAATTATACCATAGTAGAAACATAGTCAGAGTGAACATTGGGAGAACTCTAGAATCTGTTCTTAGGCAGGGCGTGGCTAAAATGTGCTCATATTATAAATAGAAAAAAAAATAAACTTGTTTGTTAATGATTCATCTTCTATCGGTTAGTTGAATTAATTTGAACATATCAACTTCTCTAAACATTTTTTTATTTATAAACTCTATGTAATGATTCATTCTTGCTATCCTCAGAGGCTGAATGTGAGAATGGCAGATAAAAATGTTTAAATGCTATGAAAACTAAAACACGAATAATAAAAGAGTCTGTACTTGCTGCCATGAAGATAAAAAAGCAGATGCCTGAGAAGTATGCTTTCAATACTGCCAAGAATGTCCTCTTCTGTACATAAAAATCAAATCTGCTAAACCTACTAGTAATCACTGTTTCAGAAAATAAAGTAGTAGATACAAATGCTCATAGTACTATAAAAGAACCAGAACAGAAGACATGCACTAATTTGGATAGCTAAGTCACAATTCCTCAGAACAAGAACACACTTTCATTCTCAGAGTAATGGTTTGAGAAAACTGGAGTGGACAATTAGAACCCTTGTTGTCTAAAATTGGAAGAGATGAAAGTATGATGGGTTGACTTGAACAGCTTCGTAAGTATGTGCTCACACTCATCATAAGAGGGGACCAAAGGAAGGTTCCCCCTTTTGTTAGATTCCTCCAATTTTCTGGAGGATTTAGAACGAAAACTTGGCTGGGGGGCAGGTGCTGGTAAAACTACAGGTTGAGTATTCTTTATCGAAAATGTGTGGGACCAGAAGTGTTTAGATTTCAGATTTTTTTTGAAATATTTGCATATACATAATAAGGTATCTTGGGGAAGGAACTCAAGTCTAAACACAAAATTCATTTATGTTTTCTACACACATTACACACATAGCCTAAAGGTAATTTTAAGCAAAATTCTTAATCATTTTCTACATAAAACAAAGTTTGTGTCCATTGAAGCATCAGCAAGCAAATGTGTCACTATCTCATGTCAACATTCAACAAGTTTTAGATTTGGGAGGATTTCAGATTTCAGATTTTTCCATCAGAGATGCTCAACCTGAACACAATTGTTCCCGCCCAGTAAGGATGCTGATACTACTATTCTTTCCTTTTCTTTCTTTTTTTTTCTTTTATTTTTTCCCCACATAAGCTCAATTTTTTTTTCCTTACCTGATGCAGTGGTCCCATGACCTCACTACAACTGTGGGTACCAGAAGAATAGAGGATTATTAAGTAAGAAACTGTAGCTATACTTTTAAATTTAAATATCAGAATTCCTAAGGGCCTGATGAGCTGAGTTTTTACCTTCCTCCTGTTTGGTAAAATCAAGGAGTATAATGAATGCAGCCCTGTTGCTTAGCAATTGATATAGCCCACTATGAAAATGTAAGAAACCTACCCTAATGTAACTCTACCCTATGTGAATGGGAGTGTTCTGAGAGACAGATAAATTTGCTAGACTGGTATTCCTGCTGGAAAGTTGGACAAGCACAGAGGATGACACTAATAAATCTCCTGAAGGCTGATAAGTTTGGGTAAAAATGGAGAGAAAAAGGAAAGAAGGCTGAGCATAAAGAAATAAATACATAGTCAACACAATTAGAATAATACAATATTATATTGGTGCCTCAAAAAAGGCTCAGAGCAAGAGATAACTTTGTCTTTCAGGTCAGTTATACTGGATTTCTGAAAAGGTCAAATCATATGTTGCTGAGACCACTCTTCTTTTTGTCTGACAAAATCAAATGGAAGCCTACAAACAAGAGTGGTGCCACTTTGGAGGCATTTTGGTCATACAATAGGATAATGGACTAGACTATTCATCAATATCAGGCTGTAGTAATGTCTGCCTCTTATTTTTCAGGTAATATCTACACATCTGCAGCCATACTGGTATGGCCTAACACTGGCATCAATGGTCAAATGTATTGAAAATTGAGTTAAAGACCCCTGAGAATGTAACACCAACATAACATGACTAGCCTAAAGAATGATGGGATTTGCTAATTTATATGCAAAATAGTTCTGTACGAGTTTATCATAAGTTACAAATAGTGGTAGATCAAGGAACAAAACATGAAAATTTATGTAATGACTATCATATAGATTATTTATTATTTAAACCTATTTCTACCCCACACCGGCTTTTCCAAATGTTAGGCTTATTTATATTGATACAATTGCTATCTCTGTTATATAAATTCTCTACTAAATATAGGAGATCCTTGGCCAAAGCCCAGAGGGTAGCCTCTGCAGTAAGTAATTTAACCTTGAACAATGAAAGTCTGATGCTCATCCTTATCTCCCAGAGGTAATCTTTGTTTTTCTTGGCTCCTTCACCTATCTAAATAGTAACAATGTGATATAACGTGGGGACTAGCTATGCCAGAAAGACCAAGAATGTGATTTAGGATCAGGGTTTTGGATAACATGGTGTCAATTGACCTGAAGACTGAGATCAACCATATGGGCAATCAATCAATCATGCTTGCATAATGGAGCCCCAATAAAATTTCTGAATGCCAAGGCTCAAGTAAGTTTCTCTGGTTGGTAATACTTTATACATATTGCCACATATGGATGTTGGAAGACAAATGCATCTTCATACCACAAGAAGAATATAATAGGAATTCTGCATTTGGTAGTTCTTTGAAACTCTGCTTTTCTTTTGCCCTTAGCTAATTTTACCCTATTTTTTTTCACATAATAAACCACAGCTGTGTGTATTATACTCTTTAGGGAGTGCTACGAGATATTCTAGCAAATTATCAAACCTGAGGGTGACTGGATACAATTTTTTTTCTCTCCCCTCAAACTTATTGTGCATATCAGAGAGAAAGCAGTTTAGGGCATATGGCTTCTACCTTTATAGTTTGCTCAGCTTCATCTGAATGTGCCATTGAAGGATGTTTTGGAGTTAGCTGGCAAAATATATTAAAAAGACAGAAACAAGCTATAACTCCAATAAAGTATGCATATACCATTTACCAAACATGACAAATGAATATGTTTTTAAAAATTGCAAAAGTTGTGTCCAGAAAAGCATTACCACTCTTACTTAAAAGGATATTAGTGCAGATCAACAGATCCAGATCCATAGGTATAATGTCCAGTTGTGATTTGTCAGTGAACAGATAACATGGCTAACAATGAGACTTGATATTCTGTGAAACACTAGTCACAGTATCGAATTCAGGATAATATAGTGGGCCATAGCTAGGAATATTATTTAAAAATCATGTAGATTTTCAAAAAGTTAAAAAGAAAAATAGGTAATTGCAAATACTATGGAGTCAAAATATTTAACAAACAAACAATAAAAAGGCAAGGTATGTGGCAAAGATATGATCAATTTTACTGCCTTGGCTTAAGGCTATTTGTTTCAATGCACTATTTAAAGGCCCAAATGTATCTCAATATGTCTTAAAGTTGTCATTATTTGGGATCACTAAGTACAATGTAGGTAAATAGTATTGAATCAAGGAAAAATAATAAAAATTAGTGGGAAATATGAGGTATATTAATCTGTTCTTTTGGGGCTAATAGAGACATACCCAAAACTGGGTAATTTATAAAGAAAAAGAGGTTTAATGGACTCACAGTTCTACATGGCTGGGGAGGCCTCTCAACCATGGTGGAAGGCAAAGGAAGAGCAAAGGCATGCTTAAATTGCAACAGGCAAGAGAGAACATGTGCAGGGGAACTCCCCTTTATAAAACCATCAGATCTCATGAGACTTACTATCATGAGAACAACTCCCATGATTCAGTTACCTCCCGCCATGTCCCTCCCACAACATGTGGGGATTATTACAGTTCAAGGTGAGATTTGGGTGGGGACACAAGGCCAAACCATATCATGAAGTTTATTAAAAAACACATAATAGGGTCTGTCAAATAAGTGACTCAAATAATTTTCCATATAAAAGGAAAAGTTAGGGAAAATATAAGAAAATTGATATTAGTTATTTTAGTAAAGATGGATACATAAAGATATTATATGAGATTTTAAACGGAGGGAAACTACATAAAACAAATTAAAGATGTAAAAATGTTGAATATTTCTTCATTACATTAATTCATATCATAGGTCTGTTGAAAGAGAAATGAAATTCATCATAAATTTCTTAACACACTTAGAATATAATTAATCTGATTTGATATAACACGTTCATTATCGTGGGAAAGGCACATATTTTAATTCGCTTTTATATTTGAAAGCCTATTTTTCTAAACTTTCTTTTTCTAAAGACTAGCAAAGGGGAGATCATGTTGTCTACTTACTTCATTTTACATATGGGTTATCTGAGACCTTGAACGATCAGGGCAAATTTGTGCCCTTGACTCTTAATTACTAAGTAATTTTTAATCCTTTATTTTAATGCAGACATACTGAACACTATAACACTCTCTCTAAATCTTTTTTCACTTTTCTCAACAAATAATAATCTTTCCTATTGAATCATTTTTCCAAGAAGCTCTCCAACTTTTGAGATCTAATAGATTAGAATTGGTATTTTAAGACACAATTTGTCAGTTAAAATTACCAAATTAAAATAATAAAGACACAGTTAAATTGAATTCATTTTGACTTCAGAGGAATAGAGTTAAAAGAGGGAAAAGGAAAAAGCTTTAAAATGAATTTGGCTCTTGAAAGCACAATTTTCCAGCCAAATTAAGAGAATCTTGCTTGACATCAAGGTCAGATCAAATTCTAAACGTGATTTCATTCAAATTGATTGAATTTGCAACAAAAAGTTTAGCTGAGTTCCACCTGGGAGAGATTTTCAGATTAATGACATTTAGCCCAATATACTGCATGGAATATGAATGTAGAAACTATTATGCATTCATTTCAGAAATGCACCAAAATAAAAAAGATTCCCTCATACAGAATAAAATGCAATGAGCTGAAGGCCTTTCCACTGATGTTATTGTCAGGTCTGATGCTAACTTATAAAATCTGCATTATCTCTTTGAGTCACAGGTTCCTAAAGCACTAACATATGTATCATAAACACACACATACACAGCATATTTGAAGGAAATAAATGATTATACGATTATCAAATAGGTTTTAGAAATTGTATTAGTCCCTTCTCATGCTGCTAATAAAGACAAACTCGAGACTGCCTAATTTATAAAGGAAAGAAGTTTAATTGACTCACAGGTCAGCATGACTGGGGAGGCCTCACAATCATGGCAGAAGGTGGAAGAGGAATAAAGTCACATCTTACATGGTGGCAGGCAAGAGTGTTTGTGCAGGGGAATTCCCATTTATAAAATCATCAGATCTTGTGAGACTTATTCACTACCACGAGAACAGTATGGAGGAAACTGCCCCATGATTCAATTATCTCCACCTGGCCCCGCCCTTGACATATGGAGATTATTACAATTCAAGGTGAGATTGAGGTGGGGACACAGCCCAACCATATCAGAAGTGTATAACCCTTTTATAGACAGATACCTCCAAATTCAGAAACTTAGAATCCAAGTAGTTTAAGAAGCAGCATTTTTTGACCCCTGTTAGCTATCATCAGTCTTTACTAGGGGTCTGACTGACAAATAGTTATGAGGTGCTCTGATGCACCCATAGAGGTAGAACTGGAAATATCCCTCCCTGGTGGTAAAGGACAAGCTCACAAAGTAGGATCAGGCTTAGACCTTAAGGAGGCAATTAACTAAAATTAAAAACTCTCTTTACCTCTCAAGACAAATAGTAATTGTCCAATATAGCTTGGATATTCAGAGTTTGCTTGATGATGACAAGTTACAGATGCTAAAAAGGATCTATCACAGACTAACCGGGCTAAGAAAGTATTTTCTTAACTGGCCTGAAGACATAAATCACCTAGAAACATTTGATACAGTACAGCATACATAGCTCTTCCTTTGGAGATTCTCATTTAGTGACCCTCAGACAAGGACAGGGGTTGGAGTTAACGTTATGTATTCCAGGTGATTCTGATTATCAGGGAATTTGGAAAAGTAAGGACCAGGAATTATATAGGTTTGGAAATAATAGACTCACAAATTATTTTGTGGTTTTTAAAAGGGTGGGCTACGGAATTAGGCTTGTTTTGATTAAAAAAAAAAAGCTTGACTGCCACTAATTGGAACTTTGAATTAATTCAAAGATATATTTTGTGTAAAACATTAAAAATAATGTCAAGGATAGATAAAGTCCACAAATGTTAATACATTATTTTGTGGAAACTAAGTCAAATACACAATTATTTTAACTTACCTCTAACATACTGCCTATTAAATTATGACACATTGCTAACTTTGCATCAACTGTAAAACTAATCTCGATCTAAAAAATATTAAAATATAAAAAAGAAAAATGTATCTTTGAATTAATGTAATAAACAATTAGAGAAACCCACAAAGTAATATAAAACCATAACATAGGATGGGTAAGTAATTTTAGGAGAGAAATTTCTGTTAGGTTAATCCTTCCTAAAAGAGCTACTGAAGTGGATACCTCAGCAAAAAAAGAAGTAAAAAAGAAGCAGTGGTAAACACAAGAACTAAGAAACCATGTGGTTAGCTTTAAGTAATGCCTTCAAAATGCTTTTGAAATAAATGAATAATTACAAATAAATAGTGTTTTAAAAATGTTTAGTGTTTCAGAGAGCAATTACAAGGGTGAAAGGCTAAGAGT
This sequence comes from Homo sapiens, assembly GCF_000001405.40. Classification (NCBI taxonomy): domain Eukaryota; kingdom Metazoa; phylum Chordata; class Mammalia; order Primates; family Hominidae; genus Homo; species Homo sapiens. Next base: position 81,292,323 of record NC_000002.12, on the reverse strand, counting down.
GTTCTTCAATTAGTACTTAACATTTGCTAAAAACTTTACATTGATTGGGAAGGGACTAGACATACAAAATAGCTTTACACTAACTATAATATTGTTATAATCAGATGTGATATACATCAATTCAATGTAATAAGTTGATAAAACAATTTTTCAAACAAATAAAGGTTAAAAATTTTTTAAATATATTTTCAACTTAACAATATGTAAGAAATAATGAAAATAAAAAGCACTTGGTTAACAGAAAAGCAGAAAATAAGACCACAGTTACAATTTTTAAAATGTTAGAAATGTCAACAAGATGGTGCGAAAGGAGGTTTTAACCCTCATGCTACTGCTACCACCTCCATAAACAACTATTTTGTAACCACTAAGGGATGAAAATAACTTTGTGGGAGCCACACAGTTCAGCTGAAAGGATCCTGCACCTCAATAAAGCAAAAAATCTGAAAGTGGACACATTGAAGAAGGTAAGAAGAGAAGTTTCACGGTACTCATGTCACTACTCCATCAAGGCAACACAACTTGATGCCAAGAGAATTACTTTCAGCTCACAGTTTATTCCAATGGTGCAAAATAAGATTGAAGTAAGCACCCAGCTTTCTCAGCCCTGTGGGAAACTATCCAGTAGGGCCGCTTTTGTCTTACCCTCCTAGAATATCAAGGGGATTGCCTTACTGCTCTTATCTGGGGCAGCTAAGATCAGAAAGAAGAGGCAGAAACTCACAGAAAACAGTGTGAATCTCAAAAACTGGTCATGGAGCCTGCTAACTTGCTTATGGACTCCACCAAAAGCCCTACCCACAAATGCTGCAGTACAACTCACCTGTGGATACAGCCAATGCGTGCCCCCAGTACACTATGCTCCTCTCTGTGGCTAGCACCTCACACACTCCTGTGCATGGCACTCCATATAAACCCACAGACAGCACATCCAAGACCCTGCAAACAGCACATGGACCTCATTAGCATGTATAAATTTCAGCTGCCAGTTTGACTCTTCTGGATTGGGAGTAAGCTATATGACATTAAATATTTCAAGACACTTCCTTAGAAAAAATAAACTTGAGGTTCTCAGCATCCAACCTAGTTACGTGGTATGAAGAGAAGGCACGTAAGACTTTTTTTCCCTTAAGAGTGAACAAAATGAATGGAGTAGGTATATCCAGTGAAAGGGTCTGAGATACATCTAGAATCTCTAGTCAGGCCGATTGGTTAAGGTCAGTCAGTACAAGCTAGAGGAGGTGACTACTTTTTCAAATACAAAGACAAAAATGCAAGTCATCAAAAAACATAAAGAATCAAGAAAATGTGACACCACCAAACAAAATAAAGTTTTGATGAGTGCTCTAAAGAAATAGAGATCTATGAATTGCCTGACAAAGAAGACACAAGAATAATCTCCAAGATTAGTAAGCTACAGGAGAGTTCACCTAAACAAAATCAGGAAAGAAAAATACATGAACAAAATAAGGAATTTAACAAAGGTATGGAAACCGTAACAAAGAACCAAAGAGAAATTCTGAAGCTGAAGAATGCAACGACAGAATTAAAAAATTCAATACAGTTTTAACAGCAGACTTGTCTGAGCAAAAGAATCAGTGATCCCAAAGACATATAATTTGAAATCATTCAGTCAGACAAATAACCAAAAAAAGAGTGAAGAAGAAGGAAGACTACAAGACTCGTGAGACACAGTCAAGTGAAACAATATACGAACTTGGGGTGTCCAAGTAGGATCAAAAAAAGAGAAAGGGGTAAAAAGCTTATTTTAAAAAATAATAACAGTAAATCTCCCAATTTTAGGAAGAAAAATGAACTTCCAGGACATGAAGCCCAAAGAACCCCAAATAGGTTAAACATACAGATGTCTTTACCAAGACACATTATAAACAAATTGTCAACAATCAAAGACAAAGAAAGAATTTTGGAAGCATCAATAGAAAAGTGACTTGTCACAAAAAACAGATGCTCCATGAAACTATCTTTCAGCAGAAATCTTAAAGGGCTAACGAGAATGGTATGATAATTTTAAATCAAAAACAAACAAACAAAACATTGTCAATGAATAATACTATATTCAGCAATGCTGTCCTTCACAAATGAAGGACAGATAAAGACTTTCCCAGGCAAAGAAAATCCTGAGGGACTTCATCACCAATAGACATACCTATCTTAGAAGAGATGTAAAAGGAATTCCTTAAGTTGAAACAAAAGAATGCTAATTGGCAAAATGAAAACAACTGAAAGTATAAAACTTGCTGATGAATGTAAGTATTTAGTCCAATTCAGATTACACTAATGCTGTAGTGGTGTAAATAGCTTTTAGATAGCTTTTAAAGCTATTATAACATTTCAAAGACAAATGTTTTATAAGTAATTATAGATACAATATTTGTTAATGAGTATATAATGTACAAACATGGAAATTATAGCATCAATAACAAAAAATGTGAGGGAAAAGAGAAGTGTAAATTTCTATATGGGGCTGAAGTTAAGTAGTTATTAGCTTAAAATAGATTTTTATAGCTATAAGAAAATTTATTTAAACACATGGTAATCACAAAGGAAAATAAACCACAGTGGACATAAAAAGATAATTTTAAAAGAATCAAAGCATACTACTACAAAAAAGAGAAAATCTTCAAATCACAAAGGAGTACAGCAAAGAAGGGAACTACAAGTCAAACAATTAACAAAATGTCAATAGTAAGTCCTCATCTATGTATCAATACTTTACATGTAAATGGCTTAAACTGCCCACTCAAAGACATAATGCGACTAAAAGGATTAAAAAAATAACAAGATTCAACTATATGGTTCAAGAGACTCACTTCATCTTTAAGGACACGCATAGGCTGAAAGTGAAGGATGAAATAACATTCAATGCAAATATTAACCAAAAAAGAGCCGGAGTGGATATATATATATCAGACAAAGTAGACTCGAAGTCAACAACTGTCACAAAAGATGAATAAGTTCACTATATAAAGGGGTCAATTCATCTAGAGAATATAATGATAATAAATATGTATGCATCCAGCATTGGATTACCTAAATATGTAAAGCAAATATACAAAACTAAAGGTAGAAAGAGCAGCAATATAATAAGATTAGAGGGATTCAATAACCCATTTTTAACAACGAGTATGTAATCCAATCCAAAGAAAATCATTAAAGAAACAGCCAATTGGAGCAACACTATAGACCAAAGGGACCTAATAGACATATGCAGGACATTCCATTCAATAGCAAGAGAATAAATATTCTTCTCAACTACACATGGAACATTCTCCAAGATAGATCATATGTTTGACCACTAAATGAGTGTTGATAAATTTAATAAAATTAAAATCATATTAAGTATCTTTTCCAACCACAATAATAATGAAACTAGAAATCAATAACAGAAGGAAAATTGGAAAATTCAAAAATGTGTGGAAAATAAACAACAAATTCCTGAAGTACCAATTGGTTAATGAAGAAATAAAAAGGTAAATCAAACAGTATGGAACTACACCATACCTAAATGTATGGAATACAGCAAAACTAGTTCTGTGAGGGAAGTTTATAGTGATGAGTGTGAACATTAAGATGAAAAAGTAAGATCTCAAGTAAACATCCTAGCTTTACACCTCAAGGAATTAGAAAACAAAGAACAAACGAAGCCCGCAATCAGCAGAAAAAATGGAAAAAGATCAGAATAGACCTAAATGAAATGGAGATGAAAAATAATAAGAAGAAGATCAACAAATGTAACAGTTGGTTCTTTGAAAAGATAAACAAAATTGTTTTTGATAAACAAAAAGCTAGACAAATGTAAAGGAAAGATGACTGAGATAAATAAGCTTTTAAATGAAATAGGAGATATTACAACTGATGTAACTTTAATAAATGGAATAAATTACAACTGACATACCAAGGTTCATAAGCTAATACTAGGAGCAACTACAGGCCAACAGATTTCCCTACAAGAAAGGTGCAGGAACAGATTATTTTACTGGATAATTCTGCCTAATATTTAAGAATGAATTAATATCAATCCTCCTCAAACTCTTCCAAGAAATTGAAGAGGAGGAGAGAACACATCAAAACTCATTTTACATGAGACAAAATCTACACAAGAACGCTAAAAGAAAAGAAAATTAGGCCAATATCCCTGATGAACATAGATGCAGAAATCCTGTAAACCAAATTCAATAACACATTAAAAAGATTCCCCAACATAAAGTAGGATTTAGCCCTCGGACACAGGAACAGTTTAACATATGCAGGTAAATAAATGGGATACACTGAGTCAACAGAATGAAGGATTAAAAACTATACAATCATCTGAATAGCTGCAAAAACCCACATTTGACAAAACTCAACATCCTTTCATGACAAAATCTCTCAATAAATTAGGTATAGAATAAATAAACATCAACATAATAAAGGCCATATATGACAAGTGCATATCAAGCTGACATTGTGGAAAAAATTGAAACCATATCTTCTAAGATCAGGAATAAGACAAGAATGCCCATTCTCACCACTTCTGTTCAACATAATACTAAATGATCTAGTCAGAGTAATCAGGCAAGAAAAAGAAATAAAAGCATCCAAAACAGAAAGGAAGAAGTTAAATTGTTTCTGTTTGCAGATGACATTGTCTTATATATAGATAATTTTAAAGTCTCCAACAAAATATTGTTAGAACTGATAAACAAAATCAGTAAAGTGGCAGGATACAAAATTAACATTAAAAAATAGTTGCATTTTTATGCACTGAACAAACTATCTGGAAATAAAATCAATAAAACAATCCCATGCACAATAGCATCAAAAAGAATATAATGTTTATGAATAAATATAATGAAGTAGAGAAAATACTGCTACACTGAAAAATACAAATTTTTGATAAAATAAATTAAAAACATAAATTAATGTAAACATTTCTACGATCATGTGTTGGAAGACTTAATATTGATCAAATGTTCATACTACCCAAAGCAATCTACAGATTCAATGCAACCCCTATCTAAATCTCAATGGCATTTTTTTTACAGAAAAATAAACAAAATTCCTAAAACTTATATGAAACAACAAAAGACCCCAAAGAGCCAAAGTAATCTTGAGGAAGGAAAACGAAGATGGAAGCATCACACTTCATTATTTCAGAATACATTACAAAGCCACAGTAATAAAAACAGAAGATACTGGAATAAAAATAGACACATAGGCCAACATTATAATAGGGTCCATATATAACATCACGCACATATGGTCATCTAATCTTCAACATAGATTCTAAGAATATGCGATTGGGAAAAGATAGTCTCTTCAGCAAATGGTGTTGGAAAAACTGGATATCGACATGCAAAAGAGTGAAACTGTACTGTTATCTTACGCCATGCGCAAAAATAAGCTCAAAATTGATTAAAGATTTAAATGTAAGACCTATGGTTCAATGGATATTAAGTTTTAGTTATACAAGATGAATAAGGTCTAGAGATCACCGTACAACAGTGTTCCTAGAGTTAACTGTACATATATACTTAATACAGTGTATACTTACTTAAAACATTGTTAAAGGGATAGATCTCACGTTATCTGCCCTACCACAATTCAAATTTATTTATTTATTTACTTATTTGTTTGTTTGTTTTTGAGACAGGGTCTCGCTCTGTCTCCCAGGCTGGAGTGCAGTGGTGCAATCTTGGCTTACTGCAACCTCTGTCCCCCTGGGCTCAAGCTATCCTCCTACCTCAAACTCGCAAGTAGCTGGGTGTGCACCACCATGCCCACCTACTTTTTTTGTGTGTTTTTAGTAGATTTGGGGTCTTGCCTGTTGGCCAGGCTGGCCTCAAACTCCTGAGCTCAAGCCATCCACCCACCTCAGCCTCCCAAAGTGCTAGGATTACAGGGGTGAGCCACCATGCCCAGCCAAAACTTTATTTGATTTTAAGAAAATAACTATTAAATAACACTATAGAAACAAGAAGAGACTTTTCACAGAAGAGGAAAAATGAAGTTATTAAACATATGAAAAGTGTCTCAGCTTCCATGGAAATCAGGAAAATACAATTAAAATCAAAATCACTTTCCTTTCAGGTTGCAAAAATTTAAAAAGGCTTACAGTAGAAAATGTTGACCAAGCATTTAGAGGAACAGAAAAGAATGTACCCTGCTCATAAGAATCTAAATAAATATGACCACTTTGGAGAGACATTCAGAATTACTTGTTGAGCTTAAAGATACACATCCTCTGATGGGTAGGTATCTAAGAATACTATCACATATATAAACAAGAAAACACACTAAAAAATGGACATAGCAGGACTGTTTATAAGAGAGAAAAATCTAAATATTCACCAATAAAAAATAGACTAATATTTTGTGGTATGTAAATACAATAGAATACACTGTGAAAAATAAACAAATGATAATTACATGTATTAGAATGAATAATTATCACATAAAATCTTGAGCAAAAACAGTTAATTCTATCAGGATACTATGGCATATGATTTCTTTAAATATTAAATTATTAATTAAAACCTCATATTTTTAACTTATACATTTGTGAAGAAGTCTAAAAAGATGCATGGCCCTGAAAAACATCAAGTCTAGGTTGGTGGGTATCTTTGGTGTTTAAAGGATGGAATTAGAATAGGATACTGGGGAGCTGAAATTCTATTGGTAGGTTTAGTTGAGTAAATGTTGTTATATTATCCTTTAGAATTTTTGCATAAATTTGTAAAGTAATTTAAAAACTAAGACAAAATGTGGGGAAAGAAGAGCATTTCCAGGGATGCTTAATATCTGGAATGTGTCTATGTTTGTGCATAGATATTTTACTGCTATATTAAATATCATATATATCAATATAAGTTTCAATAACTTTGATAATTGAGAGGAGAAAACTTTTTTCCCAATTTTTGTCCTTCACCCCAAATAAATTATCTTTTGTCTTTTAAAAAGACTCCTCTAAAAAATGATACCTGTATGTATATGCACACATATATACACACGGACAGAAATATACGCTTATATCACTGGAAAGCAATGAAAAGCAGGAACAGAAGCTAGAAGAGGGCTCATTCTACAAACAAACAAAACTCTCCAACAGGTTTGAATTGCAAGCATCTTACTGCTGCTGCTTATCTGTTCTTACTACAAAAGGTAAGAATTGCAAGTTTGAGGCTTTTCACAGATATGGAGACAGAAACCTACAGTTTTTCTGGCTTTTGGTCCTGGACCTGGAGTTCAGAGGAATTAAGAAGTGAAAATAAAAAATGAAAGCTCTCTCAGTGAGAGACTTTCAGAAGAAAGACCAAATCAGAGTGTAAGCTCAGCATAAGTAATATTACAATAATTTATATCTATTAAAGCAGGCACAGCCATCTTGTTCTTAATCAAGAGTATTTTGGCTTTTCTGGCCCCGTGCCCTTATATATTAACTTTCCAATCAACTTGTCAAGATCCATAAAACTTTGCATTCAATTTATAGATTACAAAATATTAAGTCTTTACAATGTTGGACCTTATGTCTATGAAATGTTTATATCTCTTCTGGTACTTAAATTTTCTTAAATTTTTTTGGTAAAACCTTATGAAAAAAGGTCATAAGTCAATGCTTTTTAAAAGGGTTATTCTGAGATAATTATAATATTCTTGAAATTGCAAATGATGTCTATTTTTCAAACACATACAAATATTAGGTTGGTGCAAAAGTAATTGCAATTTTTGCAATTACTTATAATGACAATACTTTTAATATATACACATATATTTATAAACACATATATGCATATACACATATATAAACATATATGCATATACACATATATATTCATAGACAACAAATACATATTTGTATATTTATGTGTAATATCAACTTTTCTATTTTTGTATATAATATACACAGGGTTATTATATGTAATTTATTTTTCATTATTTAATATAGAAAAATAGATGCCTTAATAAAAGAAAAAAATACCCATTTAACCACAATTGGTATTAGGAAAACTAAAACATTAATAGTGAAGTTGAACATATATATTAACCTCTCACAAATGACATACTTTTCTTTGCACCTCACCAGAAGTAACAAAAATTCTGAATTTTGTGAATAAATTTGCCTGTGTATTTCTTTATGTTTGAACTCTCTATGATTTTCCAAATAATAAAATAGAATTTTTTGGTATCTGGTTAACCTACCTATAAACGTAATATTAAAATGTATTATGTTTCTGCAATTTGTTTCTTTATTAGGTCTTTTTGATGTCTTCTAAAATACATATATTTCATTTTGTGACTGTAGCATATTACTCAACATCCTCTGAATGAACTTTTATGTACTTTCTAGTTATAGACTACTACAAATAATGCTGTTATGCACATTCTTATTAATAAATATATCTCTTTCTGGATATGAACAAGAACCTCTCAAGGTTAAATACTTAGGACAAATTTGCTGAAAGGAGACATGTCTCTCAAGGTACTTATGAATCGTAAACATGATCAGATAGTGCTGGAAGTTCCTGCCTAGTAATTATAGCCTCTTTACATCCTTATCAGCACAGTGAGCCATTCCTATCAGGGAGTGGTGTGAACCCTTCTGAAATCAGTGTCCAGCCAGCAAAGGGTCCACCTTGCAAATACGCCTTTCTAAAGATGGGATTCTCAAGCCCGCTATGTTAACTCTTTTCTTCACAATCTCCTATTGGGTAATTTTAACGCACAACTTTTTAAGGGTTCTCTTATGTTACTCCTTATTTCTGCTGGCACCTTTTCTTGTTTCTTTATACACTTTATGATTCTTGATTTGTCTGATCTTAATCACAGAAATCCTGGAGCTAATGGGTTGTGAGTATTTTCCTCTGAAACATGTTTGGATTTATTCCTCTAGGAATTTGAGGGTGTTACTAAATCTAACAGTGCTCAACTGTGCAGTTGATGTAAATCCAAACCACAAACTCAAATGAGTCAAAATATAGTTACAATTTCTGAAGACATGTATGTGTTTTCTTCCAAACAGTGTCACCATGGAGACAGACATTCTCTTTGTTTACATGATTTATTAGCATGTGTATGCTTTTTGGCTCATCGTTTACTTAACATGTCTTCGAAGTCCCAGCTTTATGAAGTGGAGACCAATTCCACCTCCCACACTGTGCAGGGCTTGAGGGCTTTTAGTTTGCTTTCCTTGTAGGCTCTATAAAACCTGGTGCTCAAGGTTCCTGCTAATGGCAGGTGCTCCAGGGTAGTCTAGTTTTATTATTTCAGTTGCCACTCTTACTTCAGCTCATTTGTAGATTTCTGGAGCCTCAGAAATTACTCATACTTTCTTGTGATTTTCAAAAGTAGATGTTTTTTGATAATTGGATTTTAGAAAACTCTGGTCTCCTTCACCTTGTTGAAAGCAGAAATGTTGGATTCATTTCTCAACTTCATTGCTTTCTTTTTTAAATTTCCCATGATTCTGTCTTGGTTTTCATACTACTCTGCTCCAAATTCTCTAGGACTTGAATTTTTTTAAATATTTTTCCTGATATTAGTGCATTTCTTTCATTTGTTTCTTGTTTAATAATAAATGTATGTATCCATGTAAATTTTACTTTTGAATGTTGGTTTTGAAATAACAAATATTGATAAAAAGTGTGCTAGATATGGCTTTTCCTGCAATAAAGAAAAGAGAGAAAGGAAGGAAGGAGGGAGGGAAGGAAGGAAGGGAGGGAGGGAGAGAGGGAAGAAAGGGAGGGAGGGAGAGAGGGAAGGAAGGGAAGGAGGGAGGGAAGGAAGGAAGGAGGGAAGGAAGGAAGGAGGAAAGGAGGGAAGGAAGGAAGGAAGGAAGGAAGGAAGGAAGGAAGGAAGGAAGGAAGTTCCAAATCTCTTTTCAAAGAATCTGCTCACACATCTCATATTCTGTGAACAGGGAAAACTGGGGAAGAATTCTGGAGTATTTAAAATTCCCTATTATATATTCTGTTTCACTCTGTACTACGCCTGCAGAATACTTACTCCTGTAGAACACTGCAATTTACATTTTTGTGTGCTTATTTAAGTAATATCTGTTTCATGCAATGTGGGAATTCATGGATTCTCAAATTAAACTTATATATTGTCTCAATAAGCATTTTTGAATGGCTTACTAAATAAGGGAATACATGATAAACGATTGGTTTACTTTTCCAAAATTTCATTCCATTAGAAAAAGGTGGGAGGAATATTTTTTCCAGAAATATCAATGAAGCATTATTTTTCCTATATGTAGAACTTTTGAAATGATCTCCTCTAGACTCTTTCATAAAATGTATGTGCTCAGGCCCAAACGCAGGAGAGCAACTACAAGTAATTGTGGAAGAAACTTTTTAATATTTGGAGCTTAAATTATGTGCCAATATAGACTTTTTTTAGTCTTGAAAAAGAAAGTTAATGTAAACTTAAACAAAAAAATTCAGAACTCAAAAGATCCAGAAATGTATGTCTATCTATTAACCATACACCTTGTAGAAGAGTGAGAGAAAGATCCTGAAGGCTCATATAATACAATGTGATCATTAGTTAACAGGACACTGTGGTACTGTATGCAGGTAACATTCATGATGTCTTAGGAAATCAAGGATAGCTGAAAGAAGGGCCCAATGACAGGGAAAGGAAGGAAAGGGATTTTGATGGGCATGATCTCATATAGAATATAAGGATTATAAATAATGCCACCTATTAGAGGCTAATGTGCGACAAAGGCAATTTATTTAGGGGACATAAATAAAAATACTCTTAAAGAAAACTATGATCAGTTGTCAGTTTTAAAAAAAACTTGGAAACCTATACCCGGAATGTAGTTTCAGTCACTATTGTCACATCAAACAATATAAAACCAAGGTACTGAACATGAAAATATAAAGGGACATACATTTTCCCCTTTTCCAGTGTCTGATGTTTGTGTAGACAGAGAGTTCGTACTTTAGTGACATAAATGTGTGATGTGAAGACTCTTGAGTGGTTTTTAGGCTTGTAACATTCTGTTATTTGACATACTATAGTGTATGCAAATTATACCAAGTTGTAGGAAAATTCTATTTCTTTTATACTTTTGGAAACATTACTAAATTGTGAAGTACAACAGGTTAAAAGCCTGAACTTGAAAAACACAGAGACCTAGGTTCAAATTCTAACTCTACTATTTATTAGTTTTTTGACTGGACAACTCTAAGATGCACTTTCCCATATGGGAAGCTCACTGTATAACAATGAAAATTAAATTAGATTAAATGTAGTGTTGCTTAACCTAAGCATATTATTTCAATCTGTTTTATGAATTATTTTAAAATATCCACTGCCTATTTAACATTTTACAAATTACTTTCTCGTGGGTTTATTTTTGTTCCCATCTTAGAGCTAAAACTCAGATGACTATTTCTCTATTTGTTTAAGTATAAATAAGTAAGTAAACACATAAATAGTGTAGTCAACATCATCCTCTGTATATTCTGGCACCAAATCTCATAATTTATAAAAATGATCACTGGAGGCTTGTAGGTTTGACCACAGTAAGCCCTGGTAACAACTAAACTTAAAAAATGGGAAGGTGTGTTCGGTTTGTTTTTTTTCTGTGCATTTCATATTCTCCTTTCCTTTCTTTTTCTGCCAGCAAATATTCAATTTTTTACATCTACCCAGTTGCTTTCTCGAAGAATTTCTCAAAAAGTTTCTGTCCTTCAAAACTGTCTTCTGAAGAGTCAAGCAGATAGTCATTTATACTTTTTTATATTTTAGTGCTGACAAGGGGGAGGTTTTTTTCACATTTGTCTATTTATTCATTTATCTATTTACTTATTGTCCCTACATCTTGCTGGTTTTTACACTCCCTTGGTATATTTTTAAACATTCACGTTCTGGTTCCTCAAATTATGTGGACTGGATCAAAACTTTTCTAGGGTGTTGTTTATGTAATATTTTTATTTAAAAACTTCCAATGAATATGATGATCACTTAGGTCAAAAGCTATTGCCAATCCCAATCTTTCTATTTAAAATGCATGTCTTAAAGTGGATTTGGATGGCTTCTAAGATTCTTTTCAAATCAAAAATTCTGAAATCAGCAAATGTTATAACTAAAGAGAATCTGAGACTCTTTGCTCTAGCCTAGAGGCTTGCGAGTATGTTTACCAGGGACACTGTGTTATGTGCTAGTGCCTTAGGACTCACTACTATGTGTGGTCTTGAGGCTAAGTGGCTAAGGCTTCGACTTCACTTTTATGTTTGTGTGCTAAGATCCTGCAAAATATATTCGTCTGGTTATAGTAGAATCAAAGTATTTTGTGTCTTTCCTTCCCTAGATCCAGCTTTTCTTTGTTTCTAAAATATAACGTCAGAGATAATTGAGAAGATGGTGATCTACTTAAAATCATACAGAGGTTTATCTCGTTATTTATACATAAAGTTAATCTCAGGTCTTTGAGAATGTGATTCTTTCTTTTCTTTTATTCATTTATTTTTTGAAGACGTTTTATGATTCTGGGAAATGAAAATCTAAAGGTAGATTTCTTTTCCCTAGGGAACTGAACAAAACATCTTTGAAATAGTGGCCAGAGGTCAAAACAAATTATCTTCTATGAATTGATCTTGGGTCTGAATTAAATGACTCTGAGGTCCCCTATGGCAAAGAGTAACTGTAAGTCAGTCTCAAAGACTAGGAGGTGCAGGTACAATACTCAAGCAAATGCCCCTCCTCAACTTTCCATTAACATGGAATATTTCATACAAATGTCTCTATCATTCTATGCTCCTTATCAATTGCAACCCAATTTTTAGTTATCATTGCTGAGAAATAAATGGAATGGTCTCCTGTTATGCTACCACAAATCCTTTCACTTTCTATACATAAAACTTGCGATATGTTTATAGACCTATTTTCAAGTATCTGCACCTCCTAAGTTTTCCAGTGACTAGTACTGTCAGCAGCTAGCATGTTTCATTCTATGGGCCAATAATTATTAATGTAGCCTGCAACAATGAGTGTTTTATTAATTTATTAATACTTGCCATGAGCTAGTGGAGGGGTTAAGTGTATTCTGTTCCTTTTGTTACTGTGATAAGCAGCTTGCAAGTGTAATTTCATAACTTCATAACAAACTTACTAACATAGCTATTATGATTGTTAGCATCATAATCATCACCATCATCCCCATTTCCAGGGGAGAACAGTGAAGTGTGGGGGAGCTGACTAGTTCAGAATCATATAGCTACTAATTTGCAAAGACAGGACTCGAACACAAAGCTCATACCCATAGCCACTACAGAATTCTAAGCCATAATGGCCATCCATCTAAATTTTCAATACTGCATTTATTTTTAATAAATGAAGAAATAATGATCAAAGACTTATAGTTAAACTCATAATTTTATTGGTTATAAAAGCTATTTACAAGTGCAGTTAGAAATGGACACAGAGAGAAATGATTACTACTATAGAAATAAATATTTAAAGTACATCCTTATCCATAGAGGATGAGAGAATGTACCCAGAAGATAATTATTTTATGTGACTTTGAACGTTCATAAGTCTGATATTCCTTGAACCTCAGTTTTGAAATTTAGAAATTTTAAACTGTAATTTAAAAAAAAATATCAAATTGAGCTATTCACCTGTTTTTCTTTTAATTTAAATAACTGCTTTTACTGACATCAGGTTAAATGCAATTGGGTCCTACTAAACTGAATAGTGAATAAGAGCCAAGTCCACGGGATGACAATGGACTATCTGGCCTTCTGCAATTGTTTCCAGATTGAAATAGCTTAGCTACATATTTATTTTGTCCTGGTGACCTGATTTACATTTATATAATTTGAATAGTCATTGATATAGAGATATTTTTCTTTATGGGCCTAAAATAATTGGCTGGGAAGATACCAAAATTAAGAGTACCACATTCTAATAATTCATCAGTAATTAAACTCTTGAAATTTATAGGAGTTTTACTTGAAAAATTTTGTCCTGGTACCTTAATGGTTTACTGGTCTGTTCCAAGAGAACACTTTCATTTTAAAAGAGAATATTGATTTTACTATATCCCCTTTTAGGACTTCATTTTTTGTTGTTTTATGCTGGATTTAAATTTTAACCTGGTTTATACAATGTAATCTATTTTAATGGTTTAAAGGCATTACATTAAGATAATTTGCTTCCTCTGAACTGAATATTTTTAGCTCATTTTAAATTGCTGAATTTCTTAATTGAATATATTACTTAATGGAATATAGTGTCCAGTAAAATCTCTATACATTGCAGAAGTATATTTTCTGCATTATTAGAAAATGATTTTCTTATTTTATATACTCACAAACATACACACATACACTGTACTATAGTATCACTATTGATGAATCTATCAGTATGCATTCAAGTTTTAAGTATGTATTATCAAAATATTGATGATGATTATTATTAATTTTATAAGAGATGGACAAAAAAGTAATAAAATATATAAAGAATGAAAAGTGGTTTGCATAATTCATCACTATTAAAACTTATATTAGGCTCTATGCATACCATTCAAAGTTGTAAAGTAGATAAATTTTAGTCTTTGCAATTCTATACCTTGGCCAAATCCAGCACGATGTTAAATTACTATCAGCTCCCTTTTTTATGTTGATTGACACAAAATCAATCAGATTCCTATTTTTATTATAACTATTTTATTTGACATATTAAGCAAATGAATTAATAATATAAAAGAAACATTCATTCTTTTTTTTTCTAATTCTTAAGGTGAAATCAGAAGAGATTTGGAGCAGATCACACATATACAGGCAGCATAGGTACTCAGAGGAGGCAATCTAGCAAATAACAACCATTTAGGACCTTGAAGTGCTAGTATCAGATTTGCATTATAGACTCTCTTTCTTGCATAGTACCCCTTTTAAAGAGAATGTTAGTTCAGTTAGGCAAACATACAGTCTATATAATGTATTTTTAAAAATTGTGATAAGAACACTGAAAATGAGATATATACTCTTAATAATTTTTTAAGTACAAAATACAATACTTTGTACTTAAAAATAAATAAGGAGGCCAAGCATGGTGGGACACACTTGTAATCCCAGCACTTTGGGAGGCTGAGGCCAGCAGATCATGAGGTCAAGAGATAGAGAAATCCTGGCCAACATGATGAAACCATGTCTCTCCTAAAAATACAAAAATTAGCTGGGTGTGGTGGTGCACGCCTGTAGTCCCAGCTACTGTGGAGGCTGAAGCAGAAGAATAGCTTGAACCTGGGAGGCAGAGGTTGCAGTGAGCCGAGATCGCACCACTGCACCCCAGCCTGGCAACAGAGTGAGACTTTGTCTCAAAAATAAATAAATAAATAAATAAATAAATGGGATACTATGCATGAAATACACTTGTGTACTTAAGCACAAAATTATTTAAGTGCCTTTAATTAATAAGGCAAAACATTGTCCAGCAAATCTCTGGAACTTACTCATCTCATATAACTGAAACCTGATACTCGTTGAACAGCAATCTCTCATTTCCTGCTTCCCTCTGCCCCAGCAACCACCATTCTACTCTCTGTTTCTGTAAGTTTGGCTACTTTAGATATTTCATATAAGGATAATCATACAGTACAGTTGATCCTTTTTGAACAACCTGGGTTGGAGCTGTGAGAGTCCACTTAGAGTTTCTTTTACCTCTGCCACCTCTGAAACAGCAGGACCAACCCCTCCTAATTTTCCTTATCACAGCCTACTCAGCGTGAAGATAATGAGGATGAAGTTCTTGACAATCATGTACTTTCACTTAATGGATGGTAAATATATTTTTTATGATTTTCTTAATGTTTTATCTAGTTTACTATAAAAATACAATATATAACATATAACATAAAAATATGTATTAATCAACTGCTTATGTTATTGGTAAGGCTTGCCATCAGAAGTAGACTATTAGTTGTCAAGTTTTTCGAGAGTCAAAGTTATATATAAATTTTCGACTGCATGGTGGGGGTGGGGAGTCAGCGCCTTTAACCACTTTGTTGTTCAAGGGTCAACTGCATTGTGTTTTGGTAACTGGCTTATTTCATTTAACATAATGTTCAAGGTTCATCCATGTTTTAGCATATATCAGAATTTCCCTCTTTTTTAAGGCTGAATAATATTCCATTCTATGGACAGACCACATTCTGCTTATCCATTCATCCATTGATGGACACTTCTGTTGCTTCTACATTTTAGCTATCGTGAATAATACCGCTATGAACATATATATGAAAACATCTCTTCAAGACTTCAAGACCCTGCTTTCAATACTTTTGGGGATATACTCAGAAGTTAAATTGCTGGATGATATGGTAATTCTATTTTTTTTTTTTTAAGGAACCACCATACTATTTTCCACAGCAATTGTACCATTTTACTTTCCCACGGTGTTTAAGGGTTCCAATTTCTTCACATTCTTGTCAACACTTACCATTTTCTGTTTTTTTTTATTTGTAGTCATCTATTGGTGTAAGGTGGTATTTCATTGTAGTTTTGATTTGCATTTCCCTAATAATTAGTGATATTGAGAATCTTTTTATGTGCTTTTTGGCCATTTGTCTATCTTCTTTGAAGAAATGTCTATTGAAGTCTTTTGTCCATTTTTGAATCAAGTTTTTTTTTTTAATTGTTGACTTTTGAAAGTTCTCAACATAGTCTGAATATTAATTCCTTATCAGACAAAATCTACAAATATTTTCTTCTATTCTGTGGGTTGCCCTTTACTCTGTTAATATTCTCTTTTGAAGTACATATTTTAAAAATATTCATGAGTCCGATTTTTCTATTTTTGTTGTTGCTGTTGTTGTTGTTGCTGCTGTTGCCTATGCCTTTGGTGTTGTATCCAAGAAATCATCACAAATTCAGTGTCATGAAGCTTTTACCCCATGTTTTCTCCTAAAAGTTTTACAGCTTTAGGTCTTACACTTAGTCTTCGATCCATTAATTTTTTGTGTATTGTATTATGTAAGGGTCCAACTTCATTTTTTTTCATGCAGAGATTCCAGCATCATTTGTTGAAAAGATTGTACTTCCCCCTTTGAGTGATTTTGACACTCTTCTAAAAAAATCATTTGACTATATATGTGAGGGTTTATTTCAAGGCTTTTGTTTGTCTAAATGGCTATATTTATTCCAGTACCACAATCTTTTGATCCTCCAGCTTTGTTCTTTGTTTTTAAGATTGCTTCAGTTATTTGGGGTCCCTTGAATTTCCATAAGACTTGTAGGAAAAGGCTCTCTATTTCTGCAAAAAAAAAAAAAAAGAAAAAAAAACAGTGGAATTTTGATAGGAATTGCACTAAATCTGTAGATCATTTTGGGTGGCACTGACATGTTAACAACATTAATTCTAATTCATGATCATGGGATTTGTTTTCATTTGCTTATTTACATTTTTTTTTCAGCCAGGCGTGGTGGCTCACGCCTGTAATCTCAGCATTTTGGGAGGCTGAGGCAGGTGAATCAGCCTGAGGTCAAGAGATTGAGACCATCCTGGCCAACATGGTGAAACCCCATCTCTACAAAAAATACAAAAATTAGCTGCCTGTAGTCCTAGCTCTCAGGAGGCTGAGGCAGGAGAATTGCTTGAACCCAGGAGGCAGATGTTGCAGTGACCTGAGATCACGCCACTGCACTCCAGCCTGGCAACAGAGTAAGACTCTCAAAAAAAAAAAAAAATTCAGTTAATTCCGGAGTCTTTCATTCATTTTCATGCAGTTGTAAATGAAATTGTCTTTATAATCACTACACAGATTGTTCATTGTTAATATATAGAAATGCAACTGATTTTTGCATGTTGATTTTGCATCCAACTACTTTGTTGAATCCATTGATTACTTATTTTTTTGTGTGAAATATTTAAAGTTTTCTACATATAAAATCATTTCATCTGTGAGCAGATATCATTTCACTTCTTCCTTCCCATTTTGGATGCCTTCTATTTTTACTCTTTCCTAAGGTCTCTGGGTAGAATTTTTATTACAATGTTAAACAGAAATGGTAAGTATAGGCATCATTGTCTTATTCCTCATATTAGAGGAAAAACTTTCTGATTTTCACCATTGAGGGTGATGTTTGCTGTAATAGTTCATTATATTCTTTGTTGATTTTTTTATCATGATAGGCTATTACATTTTGTTAAAAGTTTTTTTCTGTATCGATTGAGATGATCTTTTTTTTCCTTCATTCTCTTAATGTGGTGTATTAGATTAATTTTTGTATTTTCGTATATTATAACATCCCAGTATTCTTGAAATAAATCTCACTTGCTCATGGCGTATAGTCCTTTTAACACACTGCAGAATTTGGTTTGCTATTGTTTTGTTGAGTATTTTGGCTTCCATGTTCATAAGGAATTGGTCTGCACTTTTATTTTCCTGTGGTTTCTTTGGCTTTGGTACCGTGGTAATACTGTCCTAATAGAATGAGTTAGAAAGTATTAAATTCTCTTCAAGTTTTTGGGCAAAGTTTGGGAAGAATGGATATAAGTTATTTAAATGTTCAATGAAATTTACCAGTGCAGTCATCAGGTTCAGGCTTTTATGTTATTGGGAGATTTTTAAACTGACTCAGTCTCCTTTCTACTTATAAATCTATTAAAATTTTCGATTTCTTCATAATTTATTCTTGGTAGGTTTTGTGTATCTAGAAATTTGTTCATCTAGGTTATCTAATTTGTTGACATACAATTATTCATATTAATGTCATAATAATTGATCTGTAGAATCAATAACAATGCCACAACCTTTTTTTTCTGATCTTACACAAATGTGAGTCTTTTTTTGTAGTCTATCTAGCTAAAGGTTTGCCAGTTTTACTCATTTTTTTCATGCAACCAACTTTTGTTTTCTCTTGCTTTTTTCTATTTTTTCTATCCTCTATTTCATTAAGTTCTGCTCTAATTTTTATTTTTTCATTGTTTCTGCTAGGCTTTGTGTTTAGTTTGTTCTTTCTTTCTAGTTCCTTAAATTGTAAAGATGAAGCTGTTGATTTAAAATCTTTCTCTTTTTTAATGTAAGCATTTATAGCTGTAAATTTCTCCCTTAGCAGTCTTTTATTTACTGCATATGTTTTAATATATTGGGTTTCTGTTTTCATTCTTGTTTAAGTATTTTCTTATTTCCCTTTGTTATCTGCTTTGATTCATTGTTTAGTTAAGAGTGCATTGTTTTATTTTCAGAGATTTGTGAATTTTCCAGTTTCACTTCTGTCAGTGATTTCAAACTCGATTCTGTTATGATGAGGGAAGATACTTTGAATGATATTCGCTTTTTAAAATATATTGAGACTTAATTTGTGGCCTAACATATGGCTTACCTGGAAAATGTTCCATGTATACTTGAAATCAATATGTATATGGTTGTTATTGTGTAGATTGGTCTGAGAATGTCTGTTTGATCTAATTAGTTTATTGCATTGTTTAAATCATTTACTTTCTTACCTATTTTCTGTCTTGGTTATCCTAATCCATTACTGAAAGCACTGAAAAGTTCAATGATTATTGTGTTATTGTATATTGTTAGTACTTTGTATTTGTAATGCTGTATATTTCTCCTTTTAAGTCTATTAGTTTTTGCCTTATATATTTTTGTGGTCTATCATTAAGTGTATAAACGTTTATGATGGTTATACTTCCTTGCTTTTTTGAAACTTTTAATATGTAGTGCTCTTTTTGTCAATTGTCAACTTTTGTATTTTGATTTTATTTTTTCTGATATTAGTATAAGCATCCCTGCTCTATTTTGGTAATTATTTGCATGAAATATCTTTTTCAATTGCAACTTAAAAGGATGTTTTTGTGTCCTTGGACCTAAAGTGAGGTTTTTCTGAATAGCATGTATGAGGATCATATGTTCTTATCCATTGACTCAATCTCCATCTTTTGTTTGGAGATTTCAATCTATTATATTTAAAGTTATTGCTGATAAGGAAGGACTTCTGTCATTTTGATATTTATTTTTTATATGTCTTACAGTTTTTGTTTTTTGTTCCTCATTTCCTGTATTACTGTCACCCTTTTGTATTTAATTTTTGTTTGTAGTGAAATGTTTAAATTCCTTTCTCATCCTTTTTGTATGTATTCTTATGGATTTGTGGTTACCATGGGGATTACATGTAACATTCTAAAGTTATAATAATCTAATTGGAATTGATACCAGTTAAACTTCAATAGCATTAAAAAACTCTGCTCCTTTCCACCTCCATCCTACGCATTTCAGTTGGTGTCACAAAATTATAGCCTTATAGATTATGTCCCCAAACATAAACTAATAATTCTTTTAATTGCATTAGTCTCTTAAATTTTATAGGAAATAAAATTTAGAGTTATAAATCCAAATTATAATAACACTGGTTTTCCATGCTGCTATAAAGACACATGCACACAGATGTTTATTGCGGCACTATTCACAATAACAAAGACTTGGAACCAAGCCAAACGTCCAACAATGATAGACTGAATTAAGAAAATGTGGCATATATACACCATGGAATACTATGCAGCCATAAAAAATGATGAGTTCATGTCCTTTGTAGGGACATGGATGAAGCTGGAAACCATCATTCTCAGCAAACTATCGCAAGGACAAAAAACCAAACACCATATGTTCTCACTCATAGGTGGGAACTGAACAATGAGAACACATGGACACAGGAAGGGGAACATCACACACCGAGGCCTGTTGTGGGGTGGGGGGAAGGGGGAGGGATAGCATTAGGTGATATACCTAATGTTAAATGACGAGTTAATGGGTGCAGCACACCAACATGGCACATGCATACATATGTAACTAACCTGCACATTGTGCACATGTACCCTAAAACTTAAAGTATAATAAAAAAAAATAACACTGGTTTTCAGAATGTATCATTCTCTTAAATCATGTGAAGGACAAAATGTGAAGTTATAAACTGTTGTTAAAATAATACTAGCTATTACAATTACCCGTGTATTTACCTGTCCTGAGATGTTAATTTTTTTTTAAATTTTACTTTAAGTTTTGGGATACATGTGCAGAAGGCACAGATTATATAGGTATACATGTGCCATGGTGGTTTGCTGCAACTATCAACCCATCATCTGGGTTTTAAGCCCCACATGCATTAGGTATTTGTCCTAATGCTCTCCCTCCCCGTGGCCCCCACCCCTGACAGGCCCCTGTGTATGATGTTCCCCTCCCTGTGTCCACATGTTCTCATTCTTCAATGAGCAATTGTGAATGAGAGAACTCTCACCTATGAGTGAGTACATGTGGTGTTTGGTTTTCTGTTCCTCTGTTAGTTTGCTGAGAATGATGGCTTCTAGCTTCATCCATGTCCCTGCAAAGGACATGATCTCATTCTTTTTGATGGCTGCATGGTATTCTATGGTGTATATGTGCCACACTTTTTTATCCAGTCTATCATTGATGAACATTTGGGTTGGTTCCAAGTCTTTGCTATTGTAAATAGTGCTGCAATAAACATATGTGTGCATGTGTCTTTATAGAATGATTTATAATCCTTTGGGTATATACCCAGTAATGGGATTTCTGGGTCAAATGGTATTTCTGGTTCTCGATCCTACAGGAATCACCACACTATCTCCCACAATGGTTGAACTAATTTGCAATCCCATTAAACAGTGTAAAGCATTCCTATTTCTCTGCAGCCTCGCCAGCATCTGTTGTTTCCTGACTTTTTAATAACCGTCATTCTAACTGGCGTGAGATGTATCTCATTGTGGTTTTGATTTGCATTTGTCTAATGACCAGTGATGAAGAGCTTTTTTTCATATGTTTCTTGGCCGCATAAATGTCTTCTTTTGAGAAGTGTCTCTTCATATCCTTCACTCACTTTTTGATGTTTTTTTTTTCTTGTAAATTTGTTTAAGTTCCTTGTACATACTGGATATTAGTCCTCTGACAGATGAGTAGACTGCAACAATTTTCTCCCATTATGTAGGTTGCCTGTTCAGTCTGATAATAGTTTCTTTTGCTGTACTGAAGCTCTTTAGTTTACTTAGATCCCATTTGTCAATTTTGGCTTTTGTTGCAATTGCTTTTGGTGTTTGAGTCATGAAATCTTTGCCCATGCCTATGTCCTGAATAGTACTGCCTAGGTGTTCTTCTAGGGATTTTATGGTTTTGGGTTTTACATTTAAGTCTTTAATTGATCTTGAATTAATTTTTGTATAAGGTATAAGGAAGGGGCCCAGTTTCTGTTTTCTGCATATGGCTAGCCAGTTTTCTCTATACCACTTATTAAACAGGGAATTCTTTCCCCATTCCTTGTTTTTGTCAGGTTTGTTGAAGATCAGATGGTTGTAGATGTGTGGGGATATTTCTCAGGTCTCTATTCTGTTCCATTGGTCTATATATTTGTTTTGGTATCAGTACCATGCTGTTTTGGTTACTGTTGCCTTGTAGTATAGTTTGAAGTCAGGCAGCATGATGCCTCCAGCTCTGTTCTTTTTGCTTAGGATTGTCTTGGCTATAGGGGATCTTTTTTAGTTCCATATGAAATGTAAAGTAGTTTTTTCTAACTTTGCAAAGGAAGTCATTTGTAGCTTGATGGGAATAGCATGAATCTATAAATTACTTTGGGCAATATGGTCATTTTCACGATATTGATTATTCCTATCCATGAGCAGGGAATTTTTTTTCCACTTGTTTGTGTCCTCTCTTATTTCCTTGAGCATTGATTTGTAGGTCTTCTTGAAGAGGTCCCTCACATCCCTTGTAAGTTGGATTCCTAGGTATTTTATTCTCTTTGTAGCAATTGTGAATGAGAGTTCACTCACGATTTGGATCTCTGCTTGTCTCTTGTTGTTGTAGGAATGCTTGTGATTTTTGCACATTGATTTTGTATCTGAGACTTTGCTGATGTTGCTTATCAGCTTAAGGAGATTGGGAGCTGAGATGATGGGGTTTTCTAAATATACAATCATGTCATCTACAAACAGAGACAATTTGACTTCCTCCCTTCCTATTTGAGTACCTGTTGTTTCTTTCTCTTGCTTGATTGCTCTGGCCAGAACTTCCAATACTATGTTGAATGGGAGTGGTGAGAGTGGGCATCCTTGCCTTGTGCCGGTTTTCAAAGGGAATTTCTTAACATAGCTTTCAGTTACTAACTATTGTTCTTTCATTTCACCCTACAGGATTTCCTTAAACATTTCTTACAGGGGTGCTCTAGTAGTAAAGAAATTCCTTAGCCCTTTATTTATCTGGGAACATCTTAATTTCTCCTTCACATTTGAAGGACAATTTTGTCAGATAGAGGATTCTTGGTTGATAGTTTTTAAACTTCTGTTTTAGCCTTTTGAATATATTGGTGCACAGTCTTATTGCTTCCAAAGTTTCTAATGAGAAATCTGCTAGTGATCTTATTGAGAGTCCATTGTATGTGATGAGTTGCTTCTCTCTTGCTCTTTTCAAGTTTTTGTTTTTGGCTTTGGATAGCTAGATGATAATGTGTCTTGGTGTGGATGTTTTTGAGTTCTTCTTACTTGAAGTTCATTGAGCTTTTTGGATGTTTATTTATGTCTTTCATCAAATGAGGAAGTTTGTAGCTATTGGTCTCTGTGCCCTTTCTCTCCTTGTCCTTCAAGAACAACCAAAATGTATGTGTTGGTCTATTTAATGCTGTTCCACAGGTCTCTTAGGCTCTGTTCGTTTTCATTCAATGTTTTCTTTCTTTTCCTCAGATTTAATAATTTTTATTTTTATTGTCCTATCTTTAAGTTTGATGATTTTTCCTTCGGTCTGCTGAAATCTGTCTTTGAATTGCTCTAGTGAATGCTTTATTTTATTATTGTACTTCTCAGCTCCAGAATTTACTTTATTCTTTTTTGTAGGTTTCCTGTTTGTTACTGATGCTTCCATCAATTTTGTTCATACATATTTTTTACAGTTCTCCACATCTTCCTTTATTTTCTTTGAGCATCTATAGGATAGTTGATTTAAAGTCTTTGTCTGATAGAAATACCATAGGTCTTTTTCAGGAATAGTTTCTGTTGATTTATTATACTTTTCCATTAAATGGGTCATATTTTTCTTTTTCTTTATATGCCTTGTGATTTTTTTTGTTTTAAACTGGACATTTGAATTTAATAATGTGATTAGTCTGGAAATCAGATTTGCCACCCTTCCCTGGAGTTTTTTGTTCTTTATTATTGTTTTGTATTTTTTTAAAAATTTTATTGTTGTAGACTGTGTTAGTAACAGGAATCATCCTAAGATGTAAAGTCAAATTGTTTTCGGATCTTTTCTGATCCTACACCTTGCCCTGGGGATGCATGATTACCATTTAATTTTTCTCATATATGTTGTGTTTTTTGAGTCTTTAAGGTTTGAGTTCCAAAAGGAGAAAAAGAGAAAAATGAAGAAAGTGGAAAAAAATGATGAGGGTGAAAGAAAGGGCAGTGGCTCTTTAAATCCACTGGAAGTCATTTCAGCTGGAGAGGAAAGGACTTGCAGCAATAAGGGAGGTGCAACAATGACCATTGCCTTTTTGCACCTCTCAGTTTAGAAGTATTAGTGATTACAGCACAGATCTTCAATATTTGGAGGACAGGGTCCTTTCTGCTGCTTTGGCTCCTGCTAAGTGCAAGCTGCTCCACATACAGTCGCATAGCTGTTTACCACGGCAGTAGGGGATGACTAGTTACTGCTGTGCTAAGAGCTGAAATTGACAAAAATTATCTGTAATTTCCCTTCTAAACCTCCCCTGGAAGTTGCAGACCTTCAATAGACTCTGTAATTCTAAAATAGTTAAATCAGACAGATTCTGCCAGTGCAATTTTTATCTAGGTGGGGAGACAGATTTCTGGTGCTTCCTCCTCCACCATCTTCCCAGAATTTTCCTCTTCACAGTAATTTTTACAGACTAATCCCTGCCCCATATTAAGGCATCTTCTCTTGTATCTCAATTTCATGCCTTTCTGTAATCATGGCAATGTACATTCTATAACTATTTGATAATTAAGAAAAATATGATTTGCTCACCAGTATTATTGATTCAAAACTTTGTAGGCCATGATAGGCTTGAATTGTCATGTAAGTTTTCATATTAGATATTCAGATATTCTCCTTCACATTATTTCTTTAAAAAATTGCTGATAACCTGATTTATATAACATATGTCTAATTTCTAGTCTCTGTATTTACAGAGCTTCCCTTGCCCTTCCTTACATTCTAGTTTTCCAACTCCTGAATTTCTTTAGATTTCCAGTAACCACAGCCTCTTCCTCTCTCCATTAATGGGCCACAAGTCTCAATCATCTCTTTTTCTCATGGTCTACCTCTTGTTACAATCCCACTGTCACCAATACAAACCCAGAGAATAAACTAGATACAATGTTCAATAGCATAATGAAGTCAAATACATTCAACAATTAAAATACTTTTAGTGTGAGGTTAATCAGAATGTAAAGTGCTTCAATCCTGTATATATGTCCCTTTATATCCAATATGAAATGCACAAATGCATAAAACATTGATTAAAATAGAGTAATGTCAATATGCCCAGGTACTTCTTGCTCTAGTGTATCATAATCTCCTCTATTGTTACTGCTCAGTAACTCAATGCTGAATTATCCCACCTGAAATCAAGAATATCTATGTAAACACATTCATGTTTGTTTTCCAAGATAGCTATGCAAGCTAGAAATAATGTGAACGTGTATTATTGAACTTACTGGTTTTCTGCAGTTTTAATTTTATTCCTAAAACATGATCTTTCTTATCTTTTAAAATATGCTGAAGTGTTAGGAGATTCACTGTTGAAAGAGTTTTCATATAATGCTATTTGCCTTAATAGATGTTTGTTTTTTTCAATAGCTCTTTCACATCTGGTTGGGAATCTGCATGTTGTCTATGAGCATACAGGCACTCACTTCTCTATTTTGGTGACATTCTATTGTTTTAACCCTTGTCAACTTTTTCCCTCTTTACACTCATTGACAGGAAGGACTGTGAGTGTTGTGACTTACATAGTTTTGCTTTCTTGGTTGCTTTGAATAGCGCCACCTGGAGACAAATGGTTTGCCAACACAAAGCATTAAACTTTATGTGTGAGAAGGTTAACTGCAGAATTATCACTAAAAATGAGGAGGGAACTGGCATATGATTTAGATGAAATGTTGAAAACATTAAAGGTGGTAGAGAATATTTTGAGAATGATATATTTTTTCTGCATGAGACTAGATAACACACACAAAAAACCCCATAGGTAACCAAGTTCATAAATCTGCTACCTTTGCTGAGTTATATAACCAAAAGGACCAGAATCTCCCTATAGGATTAACAGTACTAAAAACAGCAAAAAATACAAAGTTGCCATGACTTTATCAATTAAGTAGTTGTGATTTTTCTATACATTGAGAAATCACAGAGTTTCACTGAAAACATAAGTAACGTTTATTTATGTTCAGAGCCTGGTTATGGCAATGCATCAAATAAGACAAATTTGCATTAGGTTTTTTTTTTTTCCCAAAGTATTCATTCTTGGCAATGTTCCTGTTTCATCTCTTTATGAACAGATTCTATGCACACATACCTATATTGTACAGAAATCCACAACATGAGTGTCTTTTTATAGAACTATTTGGGTGAAGATCAAAGGCAAAGGAGATAGGCACACAACAGGTTTTGTATGTTTACAAAAGAAATAGAGAAAATTAGAGCAATGGTTAAATAGTACAGATTTAAAATAAAAATAATAATAATAATTTAGAGGTAAAATTATATGCTCTGTTTTTCCACTACTTTGTGAGAGGACTCTAGCTATCTGGATATCTGGTAGAAGCCTCATTGTATTAAAACATTCTGTATTTTTTGATATGTAATTAAATTGATATTACATCTTATTGGAACACAGTAAAATTATGACTGAAAGGAGAACTAAAGTTACTGAGAAATCATTTTGATAGCAAGCTGGAAACAGGCAGGATGAGATAAAATGATTCAGTACCTTTTATGTAGGCCAGGATCCAAATTACTGACTAGGAGAATCTTTCAGCTTTCTATTCGTGAAGGTATTTCTAACATGCTACCCTCTTAAGCTGCTTTCACTGTTAATAAAGGAAACATTATGGTGGAATTTATCTTGAATAAGGTAATAAAATTAGCTTATTTGATGATCCATCAATTATGTACTTTGGTGGTCATCTGAATGAGTTGAAAATTTGTGACTACCTAAAAATCTGCACAAGGATATTTATAGCAGCTTTATTAATAATTGCAAAAGCTTGGGCAACCAAGATATTCTTTAGTAGGTGAATGGATAAACTGTGGTACATCCAGACGATGGAATAGTATTCAGCACTAAAACCAAATTGAGCTATAGAGCCACAAAAAGACATTGCAAACCTTTAAATGCATATTACCAAGTGAAAAACCCCAATCTAAAAAGGCTATTCATGATACGATTCCAAGTATCTGACATTCTGGAAATGACAAAACTATGGAGACAGTGGTTACCAGGGGTTAGGGGAGAGGGAGAGATAAATAGGCACAGCACAGAAAATTGTTAAGGCAGCGAAAGTAGTCTGTAGGACACTAAAATGATGGATACATATGATTATACATTTGTCCAAACCCACAGAATTTTCAACACTAAGAATGAACTCTAATGTAAACTATGGCTTTTGGTGATAATAAATCAAGGTAGGTTCATCAATTGTAACAAATGCCCCCCTCTGGAAGGGGATGTTGATAAGAAAGGAGGCAATACATGTGTGGGGACAGGAGTTATTTGAAATAACTACACTTTCCTCTTAATTTTGCCATAAAATTAAAACTTAAAAAATAAAATCCTTAAAAGATTAGATATCTTCTTTCTGGGTAGTTTCAAAAAATGTGTCTGCTTAGGTTCTTGGTGACATTTTTGAATAGAAGAACTTTTGATTTTTGGCACTATTATTATTTTAATAAGAGTTGGTGTTAAGTTTCTGCTGTTCATATAGAAACAATTCAGAGGATTTTCATTTTTACTATGATATAAAATATTACAAATTACTTTCTATTTCCTTCTCTCTTTAAAAGTTAAATATAACTGAGCTGTGACATAATGTGATTCTGATATCTTTTTATTGGTATATTTTAACCTCCATTCAATATCTTTTGAAGTAAGAGAATACTATGTTGAGTAATGACAACAGATATGAGAACAGAGAGGAAATGAGTCTTCTGATGAAAACAGAAACTTGAGGTTCTCAACTTTCAGTGTTCATTAGTATCACTAAGGAACTTTTAAAAAAAGCTGATTTCCATTCCCAAAATTTTGATGCAATTGACCTGAGGTAGGAGGGGCCTGAGCATTTGTAATTTTTTATTCTAAATTATTTCCACTGATTGTAATGAGTATTCAGAGTTGAAGATATCAGGTTTTATATTTTTTAAGAAATTCAGATATTTTATTTAGTTCATAAAAATACTGAATTCAAGTTGTCTTTCATAATTCTTAACTTTATTAGTAACTATATTATGGATTTTATTTCATTTCTGATCTTAAGCATTCCTACTCTTTTTCTTTGGTTCCACATATAAAGTACTAATAATCAATGTTATTGATTTAAGAAAAACACAGTGTTGGAAGTATGTATCTTTTCTACTTAAAAAACACGTATTTTTATTAATTTCATTCTTTCTCTTAATTCTCTCTGTCTTTTTAGTTTTTTACACTTGTATATTTTTATAAACAATTTTTAGTTGCTTATTGTATTCTCTTTATTTGCATAAGTTCCAAGTTCCTATAGCTTTTGTCTTTTCTTGTGTGATAAAGACATTTGAGTCTTAAATTTATTTCGAGTTCAGCTTGCTTTTTTCCATAAATTTTGTGTTAATGTGTCTCTGTTGCTTTACAATCATTTTGTGGTTTCAGTTTGTATTTATTTTAAATTTCAATTAAGTACTTTTGCAAGTATTTATTTTCAAATAAAGATTTTTTGATAAGTTTTCACAATTTATTTTAATTTTCTTGCGTTATATAAAGACTGTAGTATGTAAATTCAATACACTTTCTTAAAATTTTATTGATTTTTGTTGATGTTCCATGGACACATTTAAAAAATAAAGAACATACTTGTTCTCTATTTCAAGTATTAAAATTTCTACGTATTTCTATTGACTCGATTTTGAAAATTAATTATATTATTTAAATTCTGAAAGCACACGTTTTTTTCCTGGAGCTGATTTTAAAGGCAAAATTCCTCTTTTAATCATCAATACTATATTCTAAAGGTTGTTGCTTTATATGTTAACATATTTTTTTCCGTTCTTCTTTCTCTTTGATTAGAGCCAGTACAGAGTAGTCCTTAGTTTTTAAAATTGATTTTGTACCCATAACTCCACTGAAGTTTTATAATTTATCTGTAGATTCAATTCAATTTTTTAAAGATTGAATATATCATCTGTAATGACAGCATTTTTGCTCTTTTAATCCTCCAATGTTATGTTTTTCTTTAAATTTATTTGACAGGTCCTCTATGTTCTCATTACTACCTATTTCCCTTACTTAAAAAGAATATATCAACAGGTTTTTAAAAATTACTTGTGAGTTTGCTTGAGGCTTTGTGTTAGCATCCCTCAGTGCCTACTCTTTAAGCAAGTACATTTAATTTATAATTCAGGACAGTTTATTCTTTTATTTATATTTGTATTTTTTCAAATTATTTAAGTGAATTTTCAAAAATGATATTTGGTTACCTGCTGACAGTTTAACCTTGGCTTATATCTCCAGGCACATTTGTAGTAAATACAGTTTGTTTTTGAAAGACATGACTAATAATACATATATCTCTTGCATCTGGGTGCCCGTTTCTACTGATTTATTTCTGCTGGTACTCACTCATGTTTTCTTTTTATCTTCATATGTCTGATTATCATTTATTGTGTTAGCTTTTAGGTATGAAAAATAATTTGGGCAAATACATTGAGTCTTAGATGACTTTACCTTCCCTTGCTTTTTCCATGTGTCAGAAGACATACATAATGAAAAATCATTTTAGTTATATTTGAGGACTTGAGGTTTTTGCTATGCAGATGACACGAAACTGGTCAGAAAGTCATGTTGTGGTTGATTTACTTCCATTTCCTTTAAATTTTTGAGTAGCATTTTGGGGACTGAACCTAAAGGATAATATATACAAATACCTGTGTAATTACCTGTGCTCTGACTTTTGTCTCTTAAGTCTTAGTCAGGTATCAAAACCACAAACTAGCTTCTCAGCTTTATTTCCTAGATTCTCAAATACCCTCAAGGAGAGGTAGCCCCATATGTTGGCATACTTCTGGGATCCAGGTCTCTCCTGAACATGTTCTCAGTAATTCATCATTATTCTGTTAAATATATCAGAAAAAAAATCAATAATATTTTATTGAGCTTTTAAAAAATTATCATCATCTGGAAAGATGGCATCTTATTATTATTATTACAATAGCAACACCACCATTACCATTACCATTATCATCATCATTTTATTCAGATTGTTATCTCTCTCCTACAGAAATTTTATGTTTCTGGGAGCCACATAATCTGAGTATACATTTTTTTTTCTTTATAGCTGGCTTTAAGTCTCTTTGGGTACATTGTCTTATGTGCATTTATAGGTTGCACAGATCTAATGGCAGAAGTTCCTGTACCAGAGGCAATACTGACAACAGTATAAGTCTCTTGGTCTCTACCACTGTTAGCAGCTGTATTATTACATGGCAAGTGGTCAGTGCATTGTCAAACCAGAAGAAAGAACTGTCTTAAGAGACTAAATCACAAAGAACATGAGCGGTTTTGATATTTTACCCATCACCCTGAAAGCTAAACTGACATATTCTTGAATGACTGTAGAACCTGTAAAAACACTTTGATCAATAGCTAGGGAGAAACTAATTTAAAAATAATTTTATACTTTATGTACATATATAATTTTTTTATTTGTAAGATTTCAATATGAGGCATAATTTTCTTTCAGTTTTATCTGTGTTATTGAATAGGTGTTCTTACTGATAATGTCAGGACATTATGTTTCGTTTTCGAAGACAAGTTTCATATGCTTCTCATTCTAGCATCAGGGCCAGAATATTATTTTCTCATTAATATTTTCTTGAGTACTTCTTTTGATTAATCATTACTATTCCAAACATATGTGCATAGGACCTGCCCTAGAATGCTTGAAGAATTAACTACCACAAGAAATGGATGCAACTTTTACTCACGAGCACACTGAGTTCCACACAGGAAGTAGCAACCTAGACGGGTATAGCTTACTAATGGTGAACAATCAATGCATTATTATTATTATCAATGCAATTTTACATAGAAGATACTTTGAGAGGTATTCCCTAGTGCAAAGATTCCTGACACTCTGCAAGTTAGGCAATCTACTTAACCTGTGCATCAGTTTCCTGATCTATAAACTAGAGATAATAATTATACCTGTATCTTACGATATGAGAATTAAATGAGTTAGTAGATATGAATGTTAGAGGAGTACCTGGCAATAAATAGTTGCTATTTCCAAGGTGTTGAAAGCAGAATTTAGGTAATAAATAGCTCTCCAAGGATTCATTCCATTTCTTTTGCAGGACCAGAGCATTATTATTCTAAAACTCTTCCTAGAACTTGAAAGCCCAGAAATCTTTTCAATATCATCTTACTCACCCATCCCTACCACATGGTAAGTACTTGCTTGGCCAAAGAAAAGTGGTTTCTTCTAAATCTCAGCTGTGAGCTTCCTTATCCCCATCTGGTCCCTCTCTCTCTTTTTTTCTTTTTCACCTCTTTGGCATCATGACATAAAAAACATGAGTCACATCTACAGTAAATGGTCAATTAATGACACTAGAAGATTGTAACTGACCAGCAAAACCGGTCCTTCTTGTCTTAGTCTGTTTTACTTCAGTATTTTTCAGAGTACTTGCTGCCACCCATTAGTAGGTTACAAAACAACTTAGTGTATCACAATTATCATTTAAATAATAAAATCAATTTATAAATTAATAAAATAGAGATGATGACATTGTAAAATTAAATATAATTTTATTACATTCTTATTTGTATGTGCGTGAGGGGAGCTTTTTTTTACATTATAGAATAAAAAACTTTTATTATGACTTACAATCAAGAAATTGAAAAGCACTACTTTATTTTATTTCTAGCATACCATAAAGAATAAAGAATAAATTTGTTTTTCATTAATAAAGAAAAAAAAACGAGAAAAAGTAATTACGTAAGTCTTAATTCTGGCCTTAAGGAAGCTGTTTTTCAGTGTCTTAAAAGGTGAAAAGCAGAGAAGATACTCATGATTATGACCTCACTGACACTGCTCAAAGAACCAGAGGATCTTTACACTTATAAACATGTCCTCAGATTGAAGATTTAAAAACATCTATTTAATAAACTCTTCATAAATAGTGACAATACTCAAGACTTGCTTCATAGCAGCAATTTGGTATTTCAAGTCTACTGAAACCCTCTAATCTCCCCTGACACCACCTTTCAGTTTGAAACATCTTGAGCTAAGGAAGCTACACTACAATGAATTGTGCATCCCACTGCTCTATAATGTAATATTATTTATATTAACATTATTAGTATAACATGCACTAATTTTGGCAAAATACCATGAAAATCTAATACAATTATATAGTACATATGTGGGTAGAGGAGGACACTTCCAGCAAATCATAGCCCACCTGAAAACTGCTGATTTAATGGAAAAAAAAAGTCCCATGAAAAGTAATGATAGTAATTTAAGATGAAAATTATCAGATGATGGTAATTTAAGATGAAAATTATCATGTCAAGTTAGTGTTTATAAAAGAGGAAAAGAGATGATCTGATGTAGGCATATCAGAAAATATAAGAATCTGATGATCTGATATAGGCATATCATAAAAATATAAGAATCATTACACAGCTATAATAAATGTAATCTTCAATATGTAAACAGAGAGTAAGGATCTATACCAAGTGCTTATGTGTGCCAGTTGATTTGTTGGAATAGTTTTAGTTGGAAATTATAAAATGGATATAAAAATGCTAACAAACCCAAGTCTCAATAAACTACAAATTGCAGATGTTATACCCAATTTTAGATTTGTCAACTCCAACTTCATTTTTCACATTCTTCCACTCCACAATTGAAAAAAAAAAAAAGATTTTAAAAAGTTATAGACCAGGAAGTAGAAATTGAAAACAAACCCACCACTTAGAATGAATCTTTATATGTGTAAAAGAGGCAAATAACAATAATAGAAAAAAAAAAAACCTCATTTATCCCACAGAGATATTACAAGCAGAAGGATGTAGCATTAAATAGTGGCTTTGAATGGCATCCAGTCTCTAGGCCAAAAAATTGTGAAAACCAAAAAGTTTAGAACTTTTTTTTTTTGAGACAGGGTCCCACTCTGGTTGCCCAGGCTGAAGTGCAGTGGTGTTATCTTGGCTCAGTGAAGCCTCAACCTCCCCAGGCTCAGGTGATTCTCCTATCTCTGCCTTCTGAGTACCTGGGACCCCAGACTCATGCCCACATGCCCGGCTAATTTTTTTTTGTATTTTTATTAGAGATGGGGTTTCAGCATGTTGCCCAGGCTGGTCTCAAACTCCTGGACTCAAGCAATCTGCCTGCCTTGGTTGCCCAGAGTGCTGGGATTATAGGTATGAGCCACTGTGCCCAGCCCCATCTTCAGAATTTTGTTGTCTGATTTATTATTAAACACTGAAGGGAAAAGATGAAAAATTTAATGGGTAGCTACAAAAATAAGAGATGTGCCAATGATGGTCAGATTTGGAAAAGGAAAACAGAAATCTTTAAGCCTGACAATGGTTTCTGTGGGTAAAAATAAATGGTAAGTTTATTACATGAAATATTCAAATATTATAGTAAAGACTGTCAGCTGATCTTCTATGTGCATTGGAAAGAACATAGATAATATTGGGCCAAGATAATTAATTTATTAAAAATGCATTTTAGAACAAACATTTCAGTGCTAGTAAGGAAAGTAAAATATATGTGAAAGAGGACATTTGAAGGCTTAGTTTGCTGCCAAAAGGTAGATGAATTTGGACATAGCAGGAAAATAATATCTATTCAGTACAGTTGTCCCTCAGTATGCATAAGTGATTGGTTCCAGAATCCCCTCTGGATACTAAAATCCACAGGTGCTCAAGTGTCTTATATAAAATGGTGTATTAATCGCATTTAAAAATAACCTATGCATATCCTTGTGTATACTTTAAATCATCTCTAGATTATTTTAATGCTTAATACCATGTAAATGTTATGTAAATTGTTGTTGTACTGTATTGTTTGGGGGATAATTACAAGAAAAAAAGTCTGCACATGTTCAGTATAAACACAATCCTCCATTTTTTTCCTGAATATTTTTTGATCTGCAGTTGGTTGAAGCCACAGATGTAGAACCCATAGATTCAAAAAAACAACTGCAGCTATTATATATCAGGCTATTACATGCATTATCTTGCATTTAACTACAACAGGTTTTGCTAGAATTATTTACTACATATTGTATATGAGAAAACTAAGCCTCCAAGAGGCTAGATAAATTAGATAAGTTTGTAAAGCTACCAGGTGGCAGAATCAGGATTTGAAGCTGGTTTTACTTTTTACTATACTATTTGCTTCTCATTTCCACCAACAAATTACTTGACTTTTCCAATAACAAGAATAATTAACTGGTAGTAGAACTTTTATACTAGGTAATGGAAGTTATTTTTATGTTGAGAAAATGTATTTTGCCTAGTGTCATCAGTAAGATGCCTATGAGCTGATATATAAAGTCAACTATTTATTGTAAATGAGGGTCTTCTCTATTCATTTGAATTACAATAAAGGTAACAAGATTTCTGCAGCCTGCAACTCATCCATTTCTGGTTATTTATAAACATTGTAACGGAATTATCATCAAATTGCTTTTCTTCTCCAACTCGACCCATTTGACTTGTTCCCTTTGCTTGTATTGTAGGAAAAATAATTTAGTAAATGCTAATGAATTCTAAATTTGCATGAATCATCTCCCTATGTGATTTATAATCCTGAATTAAGTATATCTCAAAATACCAATGTGCAAAGAAAGTCTATTATATGGGTAGGCATAATTCTAATAATCAGGCAATTTATAAGCTAAAAAAAAGAAGACTAGATTACCTCAAGCCACTCAGAAATGAGACTTTTCATTCAATTTTTACCTTTTTATCAGTCTGCCAATTAGAGAAGTATATTTCCATCTTGTATTATTTTAGCATTACATTAATGTTGGGTGAGTAATTAGGTTCCTTCACAAAATTTGCTTAATTTTTACACTAATAAAAACATAAGTAAATATGAATTCACTAATTTATTTATTTATACAGTTAATAGTATATTTTTATGATGGCTTAATAAATGCCAAGCACTATTTTAAAATCTAAAAATAAAACACTGAATAAGAAAGTATATGTGTGTGTGTGTGTATTCTCTCAAAGAACTTGCAACCTATGAAGAGAAGAGATCAGATAAATAAGCAAATAACTCAACACACATAAGAGATCAGATAAATAAGGAAATAACAAACATAACATTTTTT
Organism: Homo sapiens; assembly: GCF_000001405.40. NCBI lineage: Eukaryota > Metazoa > Chordata > Mammalia > Primates > Hominidae > Homo > Homo sapiens. Next base: position 81,256,739 of record NC_000002.12, on the reverse strand, counting down.
GCTATATTAAGAAAAGAAATCATAGTGGAAAAAATTGCAGGTGGGTACTATATTTTTTGTTTCTTTCTAACGGTGTGATTAGAATACTTTTCGCTGACATTTAAACTGAAATCTATAAAAGAAGAACCAGACCTTAATTTTGCAAGAAAAACTTGTTAATGAAGAATGCTGTATCCAGCACAGATATCCCTCAGAAATGAAGAACTAAAGTCTTTTCTAGACAAGCAAATGCTGAGGAAATTCATTGCTACTATACGTGTTCTACAAGAAATTCTAAAGGGAGTTCTGAAAATTGAAAGAAAAAGATGCTAATATGATGGCTATACTAATATTGTGATAATAGTGTATAAACCACTTATATATTTAGTAAGAAAACTTAAATAAAAATCTATTAAAATAATAATTATTACAACAATTTGTTATAAAATAGGCAATATAAAATGTAAATTGTGAAAAAAATTCAAAATATTTGCAGAGAATAAAGTTAGTATATACAGGGCTTTTTTGTTTCCTTTTTTTCTTCTGTTTATTTTATTTTATTTTATTTTACTTTATTTTATTTTTGAGACGGAGTCTTGCTCTGTCACCGGGCTGGAGTGCAGTGGTGCAATCTCGGCTCACTGCAACCTCTGCCTCCCGGGTTCAAGTGATTCTCCTGCCTCAGCCTCCTAAGTAGCTGGAACTACATGTTGGCATGCGCCACCATGTCCGGCTAGTTTTCGTATTTTTAGTAGAGACAGGGTTTCATCGTGTTAGCCAGGATGGTCTTGATCTCCTGAGGTGGGTGATCCACCCACCTCAGCCTTCCAAAGTGCTGGGATTACAGGCATGAGCCACTGCACCTGGTCTTTTCTTCTTTTTTTGCAATCGAAGTTAAGTTGGTATCAGTTTTAAACAAATTGTTATAACAATAGGATATTTTCTGTAAGCCTCCTGAAAACCACAAAGCAAAAACCTATAATAGATACACTAAAAATAAATAGCAACAAAGTAGCAGAGAAAATAACTTAATCACAAAGGAAGACAGTAAGAAATGAAAAAAGTAAGAGAAGAGCTACAACACAACCAGAAAACAAGAAACAAAATAGCAGTAGTAAGTCCTTACCTATCAATAATATCAATTGTAAATTGACTAGATTATCCAATTAAAAGACATAGAATGGTTGAAATGATAAAAATCAGACCCAACGTAATGCTGTCTACAAGAAATTTGCTTCACCTATGAAGAAATATATAGACTGAATGTGAGGGATGGAAAAAGATATTCTATGCAAATGGAACCAGAAAAAGCAGAAGTAGCTATAATTATATCAGATAACAAAGATTTTCAGTAAAAAAACTAAAAAGAGATAAAGAAGGTTTTTATGTAATGATAAATGTGGCAATTCAGCAAGACGGTATAACAATAGTCAATATATATCGACCCAACACTGGATAACCCCAAAATATAAAGCAGTCTCAGTAGATCTAAAGGAAGGAAAAGACTACAACACAATAGTAGGGGACTTCGACATGCCACTTTTAGCAATGGACAGATCATGCAGGCAGAAAATCAACAATAAAACATGAGAGTTAAATAATACTATTGACCAAATGGACCTTAACAGACATTTATAAAACATTACATCTTATTGCAGTGGAATATACATTCTTTTCATCAACACATAAAATATTATCCAGGATAGATAATATGTTAAGTCAAAAAACTAGTCTCAACAAATTAAAAAAGTCAATAACATGTCAAGTTTCTGATCACAGTAGAATAAAACTAGAAATCAATAACAAGAGAACCTTTGGACACTGTACAAATACATATAAATTAAACAACATGCTCCAGAATGACCAATGAATCAATGAAGACATTAAGAAAATAATTTTAAAAATTTGTGAAATAAAAATGGAATTATAATATACCACTAAGGGATAGAGCAAAAGTAGTACTATATAGCAATAAATGTTCACATCAGTAAAAAAAGACTTTGGGCAAACAATCTAGCAGTACACGTTAAGGAAATACAAAAGCAACAATGAACCAAACCCAAAATTAATAGAAGGGAAAGAAGTCTGAAGATCAGAACAGAAATAAGTTAAGATAAAAGAACAATACAAAAGAGCAATAAAACAAAAAGTTTTTTGAAAAGATAAAACCAACACACCTTTAGCTAGAATAAAAAAACGAAAAAGATGCAAATAGATAAATTCATATATGCATAAAAACACTACAAGTAATAACACAGAAATACAAAGAATCACTAGAGACTATAATGAACAACTATATGCCAACAAACTGGAAAACCTAGAAGAAATAGATAAATTTCTGGACACATACAACCTGTTAGGATTGAATCATGAAAATATGGAAAATCCAAACAGATTAATAATGAGATCAAAGCAGTAATAAAAGGCACCCAATCAAAGACAAGCCCAGGACCTGATGGGTTCACTGCTAAATTCTACCAAAAAAAAAAAAAAAAAAAAAAAAAAGCTGGAGACAGCACACTGACTTCACACTGTACTACAAGGATGCAGAAACAAAAAAGAACATAGTAGTGGTACAGAAGCAGACAAATACACCAATGGAACAGGTTACAGAACACATAAATAAAGCCACACACCTACCACCATCTGATCTTGGACAAAGTAGACAATAGCAAGCAATGGGGAAAAGAAATCCTATTCAATAAATGGTGCTAGGATAACTGGCTAGCCATCTGCAGAAGATTGAACCAGGACCCCTTCCTTTCAGCATGTACAAAATTCAACTCAAGATGGATAAAAAGCTAAATGTAAAACCTAAAACTGTAAAAGGCCTAAAAAAAAACATAGGAAACATCATTCTGGACATAGGCCTTGGCAAATAGTTCATGATAAAGACTCCAAAAACAATTGCAACCAACATGAAAATTGACAAGTGGGACCTAATTAAACTAAAGAGCTTTAGTTTGTATAACAAGAGAAACTAGTAGTGGAGTAAACAGACAACCAACAGAATGGAAGAAAATACTCACAAGCAATGCATCCAACAAAGGCCTAATATACAGAATCTATAAGGAACTTAAACATATCAACAGCCAAAAACCAAACAACCTGATTTAAAGACGGGCAAAGGACATGAACACACACTTCTCAACAGAAGACATACATGCAGCTAAAAAGCATATAAAAAATGCTTGACATCACTAATCATTAGAGAAATGCAAATCAAAACCATCATGAGATGCCATCTCACACTAGTCAGAATGGCTATTATTAAAAATTCAAAAAAAAACATGTTGACAAAGTTGTGGAGAAAGGTAACACACATATGTTGTTAGTGTGAATGTAAATTAATTCAGCCACCGTGCAAAGATGCTTAGAGATTTCTCAAAGAACTTAAAACAAAACTCCCACTTGACCTAGAAATCCCATTGTTGGGTATATAGCCAAAGGAATATGAATTGTTCCATCATAAACCTACATGCATGAGTATGCTCATTGCAGCACTTTTCACAATAGCAAAGACATGGAATCAACCTAGATGCCCATAAGTGGTGGGCAGAATAAAGAAAATGTTGATACATATACACCACTGAATACTAAGCAGCCATAACAAAGAATGAAATTATGTCCTTTGCAGCAGCATGGGTGTAGCTGGAGACCATTATCCTAAAGGAATTAATGCAAGAACAGAAAACTATGTTTTCTGCATGTTCTCACATACAAGTGGGAGTTAAACTTTGAGTACACGTGGACACAAAGAGGGGAAAAATAGACACCAGAGTTTCTTGAGGGTGGAGTTTGGGAGAAGGGTGAGAAAAAAAAAACTACCTTACAGGTTCTATGCTCACTACCTGGGTGACAAAATAAATCATACACCAAACCCTAGTAACATGCAATTTACCTAGGTAACATACTTGTGCATGTATCACCCTGAACCTAAAATAAAAGTTGGAGTAAAAAACATCATTCACCATTATCAATTGGGATTCATTTCAGGGATGTAAAGATGGTTCAACATAGGCAAATCAATAAACGTGATACATCACATGAACAGAATCAAAGACAAATACCCTATGTCATCTCAATAGATGCTGAAAAAGCATTTGATAAAATTCGTTATTCCACCATGATAATAACTCTTAATAAAGTAAGTATAGAAGTATCATATCTCAAGGCCAGTTGCGGTGGCTCACACCTGTAATCCCAGCACTTTGGGAGGCTGAGGCGGGCGGATAACCTGAGGTTGAGAGTTGGAGACCAGCCTGACCAACATGGAGAAACACTGTCTCTACTAAAAATACAAAATTAGCCAGGTGTGGTGGCACATGCCTGTAATCCCAGCTACTCGGGAGGTTGAGGCAGGAGAATTGCTTGAACCCAGGAGGTGGAGGTTGTGGTGAGTCAAGATCACACCATTGCACTTCAGCCTGGGCAACAAGAGCGAAACTCCATCTCAAAAAAAAAAAAAAAAAAAAGCAGTATCATATCTAAAAATAATAAAAGTCACATATGACAAAACCACAGGCAATATCATACTGAATGGGAAAAAATTGAAAGTCTTTTATTCGTTAGTAACTTGACAAGGATACCCACTTTCACCACTTTTATTCAATGTAGTTCTGAAAGTCCCAGCCGGAGCACTTAGGCAAAAGAAAGATATAAAAGTCATCCAAATTAGAAAGAAAAGTGTCAAATCATCTTTTGTGGCAGATGACATAATCTTATACTTAGAAAAACCTATCAACACCAAAAAAAAAAGTAAAGCCAACCTCTAACTGGTATAAAATAAATAGTAAATTTGAAGAATAAAAAATCAACATACAAAAATCAATCATATTTTTCTAAGTATATGTGAGAACATGCAGAAAACATAGTTTTCTGGTTTTTTATTTTACAAAAATGATATTAATTTTTCCAATATGCTAATAGTGATCAGTTTGAAAAAGAAATTCAGAAACCAATTACATTTATAATAGCTACAAAAATAAGAATAAAATACCTGTAATAGCTTCAACCAAAGGAGTGAAAGATCTCTATAATAAAACAATCTCAATGAAAGAAACTGAACAGGACACAAATGAATGGAATTATATCTCATGCTCATGGACTGGAAAAATTAATATTATTAAAATGTCCATATTACTCAAAGCAGTCAACAGATTCATTGCAATTTCTATATGAAAATAACAATGACATTCTGCACAGAAATAGAAAAAATTTCTAAAATTTGTATGTAACTAAAAAAAAAAAAAAAAAGAACAGATAGAAATCAATCCTGAGTAGAAAGAACAAAGCTGGAGGTATCTCATTACCTGGCTTCACATTGTACTACAAAGCTGTGAAAACCATGATACTGGCATTAAAACAGATGCATAGACCAGTGGAACAGAATGGAGAAGCCAAAAATAAATCCATTCATTTACAGCCAACTTATTTTTGATAAAGGTGCCAAGAATATACATTGGGGAGAAGATAATTCTCTTTAATAAATGCTGCTGGGAAAACTGGATATCCATATGGAGAAGAATGAAACTAGATTTCTATCTTTCATTATATAAGCAAATTATTCAAAATTGGTCACATACTTAAATATAAGAACTTAAAATATGAAACTACTAAAAGAAAATACAGGGGAAAATCTATAGAACATTGCCAAATATTTTTTGAGTCAGACCACAAAAGCACAGGGGACAAAAGCATAAAATACACAAAAGTAAGGCTTAATGCTTGCCAATTGATTTAATAAATATCTCATCCGAATCTTCTTGAGAATACTTCTTTATATTATTAACGGTAGCTGTAATGATCATAAGAATCTTATAATTTCATTTGTCATTAAAGTCTTGTAGATCCTTGCTTTCTTTGTTCTCTCTCAGTAGGATCTGAATTCCAGAAATATACCAAAGAAAGCAAACTCTCATGACAGGAACATGCGTATAATTCACTAGATTCCATTTGTATAGATCAAAATAATTAACTTGATTGCTGCAGTAAACAGTTGGTCAATTCAGAACAGAAACGTATTATGTAATAATCAATTCATTTAAAGATACTACATGGATAAACTACATAAGTGCATACAGTTGAGTAGCATGAATTAGGTACTTCTTTGTGTGAAGGACTGATCATTACATCGTATGGCACTGGGTCTGCTAAGGTCAACAATTATCTGTCTGCACCCTGACACGGAAAACAAATGGACTGCAGCTGATACTCTATTTTCTCGCTTGCTGTTGCAACCTTCTATTCACATTATCTACTGTGAGGATGGGTGAAATGAGTCAGTATAGGTTCAATGAAGTACATCCAAATAACCACAGATGAGTTATTCATCAACTAGGAACATAACTCTTTATTAGTTCCTATATTCTAAGTTTTCAGTATTCTGCCTCTTGCTTTCTTCACATATCTGCTCTGAGATAATGCATTCCTCAAGCAGTCTTTACTGATCATGCAAACAAGTGTTTAGTTTATTTAATATTCACTAAAAAGTGAACTCTCAGTATCTTTTTTTTTTTTTTTTTTTTTTTTTGAGACAGTCTCATTCTCTCGCTCAGGCTGGAGTGCAGTGGCAAGATCTCGGCTCACTGCAAGCTCCGCCTCCTGGGTTCATGCCATTCTCCTGCCTCAGCCTCCAGAGTAGCTGGGACTACAGGTGCCCACCACCACACCTGGCTAATTTTTTTGTATTTTTAGTAGAGACAGGGTTTCACCGTGTTATCCAGGATGGTCTCGATACCCTGACCTCGTGATCCGCCTGCCTTGGCCCTCAAAGTGCTGGGATTACAGGCGTGAGCCACCGTGCCCGGCCTCAATACCTTTTTATCAATGGTAGAGTAAGAATGAATTTATAAACTTTTCTCAATTTCTTAAATAATTAGAATGAAGAGACAATATCAGATAATGGAGACAGAATATTTTCGGAGTTGGTGATCTGAAACCCAGTTATGGCTGAGTCATTCTGTTACTCTAGAGGATTCCTTTGCCCCTGCTTGGGTTACAATTTCTCCATTTGTTTGTTAAGTAAGAAACCTGAGCTTATTGATATTAAGGTCCTATTACAGTTGGGGTAATTTAGTTTCAAGGTTTAGAAATTTGCTTTAACTAGTAAATGGGGAGTTTGCTTGAAGAAGATAGGGTTCTCAAGAGGAACTAAGTGTAAAAAGTAAAAATTTAATTCTGATTTTTCTTGGCTTTATTTTTCCTTACATATGCATTTTTTCTTAATGCATTTCTGTACATTACAGTTGAATTGCTATCCAATATCTTTGTTTTTGGTTTTGTATGATCTTCCAGTTTCAACATCTATAGAGACCAAATACAATGTTTGTATTCTAAATACAAATGCCCAGAAGAGACAATGCCTTTCACTCAGCTGGAGTCCTTTGTGACATTCCAAATGGCCAGTCATCCTATGTCCAGGAGCCATGTGAGCTGATAAAGAATAGAATGGACAAATTGCATAACAGGGTAAAGACATCTCTTATAGTTGTGTGACACTATGTATAGTTTATACTGTTTTTCTACATGAATTGTACTTTGTGTCAGGGCAAAATCCTGAAATAACCAAGGTTTCTTAGGCGACAAAGTAGCAGGAATTTGGATTGAAAGCCACATCAGGATAGGTTTATGTGTAGGGATTCTCACCAGAGATTATTTTCCCCTTCTGCTGAGTGCAAGGATCAAGAGAAATATGCTTGCTTAGAAAAGGGATGCAATCTTTAGTTTCTTGGTTGGTTTTTTGTTGCTGTTGTTGTTGTTGTTTGTTTGTTTTTCTAGAGTGTTCCTTAGCATTTTCACCATAGCAAATCTGGGGATTTATCCCCCAGTTTCCATGCCTCATCCATTTGAAAAAGCATGAATTCAAGGTTTCTAAAGAAACTCGTAGTCTGAGGGCTGACTTTGTCTTTTACTTACCTTTGAGAGTTATTAAATTCACTAAATTTTGGACTTTCTCACTTGTCTAGTTGTTTCAGCTTGGAAGTTTGTTCAGAGTCTCCAATAGGACATCATAGTAGAAAAATAAATTTAAGGCTATGGATTTAACTTTGAACAGCAAACACTTCTCTGTGAAATTTTAAGAATCTCGTGCTCCCATAGTAGCCTTATAGAAACTAACAACTAACGAACATTGTCATTTATTAGTGTGCCATGGGTCTGGCACTGGTTTGGAAGTGTGAGATAAAAAGATCATGAAGTCTTTCAAGGCTTTATAAAATTTTATAAAAATAAAGTCAGTTTCCTAATACATAGAAAAGCCAACTTCCTTGGTTCTCTCCAGAAAGAAGCATAATTATATGGCATTGTTGGTTGTTTATTTGCTCATCATCAGCCAATAAAGAAGGAAGTATACAGATGAAGTAAACATGCTGTTTCTACATACCTTATGTTGTCAGGTTTGGCACCTCCTTTTGCGTATATGGTTTTTCTGCTTGCCTGTTTTAAGGAGGCTGTTTTAGCTTCTGAAAATATAATTAATGATAGTTGCACATGCAATTTTTAGACTCTAAACTGGTTAATGTTCTAATGCTTTGTCAAATCTCTTTGTAATATTTGGATTATAGTCATGAAAATGAAAGAGAAGGCAATGGTGAGAGAAATTTGCAGGCTCTAAAATCAGAAACTAGCAAATGCTAATCATCTGGGTAAGTTAATTGGATTTTGAAAGAACCAAAAATGAGAATGTCAAAAGTAGATTAAGTTCTGACTTAATCAGGCTAATATTAATTCCGATCAATTTATCTAATAATTTAGCCCCTCTCTTCCTTGAGAAATGGCATCCTTGCTTATATCTGAAAGATATTCTGAATGGTAGCATATGGTACAGGCATCTGTAAGTTGCAGCTGTGAATCAGAGTTGCTGCTTTGTGGCTTAGGCAAGACCACAGCTTAAATATTGATTTCTAGAGCTCTGACATAACAGCAAACAAAGTGAGAGGCTGAACTTGAAGGTGCAAGGGTCAAAGCACAGGACCAACCCTCCGGGTAACTGTAAAGAAAGATTGCGTATCTTGCCTTTCTACATCTCTTCTATCAAGAATCCAACCCCTTATGCTCACAGCAACCTCCAGGAGCCCTTTGGCTCTGTAGTCTCATCTTTCAAATCCAGTCCATGCACATCCAACCTCAGGAAGACAAATTCTTTCCAACTTCTTTTCTCACCAGAACATCAAATATTTCTCTTCCACGTTCATATCTCAGAATTTCACTGTGAGTTAGGAAACTGGATAAGTGAAATGTTCCAAAGTTGATTTTTAGATAATGAGCCCCTATTAAAACTTGCATTTTTTTTTTCTATTTTGAACATCAAATCAAAGAAAAGAGTGCCCTGTTCAAAGAAGCTCCCAGGAATTACTCACCATGAATTTTATGTTTGAGTAATTGTCAAGTCACATTGACCAACTGCAATCTGTACATAAACTTGTGTCATTTTCCTTGATCTGAAACTTAAAAGGGTATATTTAATTATGCTCATTTCATCTTATACACAGATAAATATATGATGCCTTCCATAAAACAATTATTAAAATGTTAGGATTTTTTGATGCCTGAGAAATACTTTGATGAAATAGAAAATTCACTTTTGTGTGAAATTTCAGCCCTTCTCCATATACAGAGCACATAATTTATCCATAGGAGACTATGTAAGTAGAAGATAATGACTAAGAACCTAGAGTATTTTTTTGAAGTTTTATTTTCCTATTTTTATAGTTAGGTCCAAGTTCTCATACATGAGTCTGGCAGTAGAATAATACATTTAGTCTTAATACTCAGTTTCATTCCTAAATAATCATCCCAGATTTTCTTCCTGACAAAGATTACTCATTCCAGCTGCTTAATTTGGAAAGATTAAAATTGCAGTGAGCAATTTCATCTGAAAAACTAAATTCCATAGAACATTAAAATATATTGAGATTTCTGGTATCCTATAATTTTCTGGGTTAGGGATAATTGTAAACTCACATTTTAAAAGGATTCATAAAGTAATCTCATAGAAGTTGCATGTGATTGCTTCCTATTATGGAATAGTAAGCCCAGGTCTTCCACCCTTATAATTCTTTTTTATTAAAATTATGACATGATTTACATTCGGACTAAGTGGTAGGCAGAGATAGACCTTGCACTGAGAAAATTCTGTAGTTATTTGACATTTTAAATGATTATTTTCCTTAATTTTAGCTAACTCTAGAATTAGTCAAAAATAATCAATTAAGCTCCAAGTTAGTGCCAGTGTGTGAAAGAATTAATCTAAAACTAGTTATATGCCTTATAGAACATCCAATAATTTAGAGCTAAATGGTTTATTTTTCAAGGTAAGTGTTATAGGGGGCCAGAGAGGAAAAATACTGAAAGTTGGAATAGGAAAGCTTTATTCAGAAAACGGGATTGTTACTGACCATAATTTAGGTGTTCTGAGAGAGATTGGAGATATTTAAGCTAAAGAGAGTTGTTTCTAAACACAAGTGAATGAGCTATGATTATAACTGAACTTACCAAAAACTGGAGTTGCAAAGTTTCCATTATGCTTTGCCAGTCTCTAAGCAAGAGTACTATTTCCTAGTGTTCAAGATCTCAGATTCAAATTTATATATAAATTACAGCTTTATCACTTTGTAGTTTTGTGAAATGGATATTGACTTAATTTCCCTGTTTCACAGTTCCCCAATGAGGAAATTGAAAAAAAATAAAAGTATGTACTATCTGAGAGGCTGAAAAGATAAAGAGATGATCTAAAAACAAATCCACAGCAAAGTAACAAAAATAAAACAAAACAAAAAACCATGTGCAGTGTGCCTGGCAGGTCATAAAGATGTTATTTCACTACTCTTACTTCAGAGGTTTCCTGATTATCATAATTATAGATGAAAGAGTGTGCCTGTAGTGTTTCTATTCTGATATAATAAATTCTATCATTAAAAATACATTCCCATGATTATTCCTGGATTACTCTTTGCAATATTTTTGACACAGATACATAATAGAACATACTACCTCCTTCTTTAACTGCTTTTTTTACTTATTGATCAAATATTTTAAGTTTCTACAATATTTATGGTGACTTTTTACATGATAAATAAGTATAAAATGGTTGAACCACAAGCTAGCTGTGCTGCTGTTGTTAGAAGATAGGTTTAGTGACATTTCCTGAAAAGCATAATGGCATCTACATTTTAGGCATATATACAACATTTGCATATTTTTAAAAGATACATTGCTGTTTCCCACTGTAGATGCCACTTAACATCCTTTTCTAGAAACTTCTTATCTTACATCCACAATCTTTCCCAATTTCGTTGGTAGAACTCCATCTAGTTGCTCAAGTTAAAAAAATCTGGAGTTGTTCTTACATATTTCCCTTTATTTGCATTCTATATGTGATATGACAAAAATAAATCTAGCTTTCTGTGCCCTCAATACAGCTACACAATCTGTTTATTTCCATCTCCAATGCAGCCACTGTGGCCATCATCCTCCTCTCATCTGTACTGCTACAAGAGCCTCATAACACACCTCTCTCCTCCTTGACTTTCTACTGTCTACTTAATGGTTGCAAAAGAGATTCATTTAAATGCAATATTACATAGCTACTCTTTTTAAACTTCGCCAATGTCCACCTTTCCTCTCAATAAAAAATATTTTGTGATGAAAAAAGAACAAATTATTATTGTGATTATATGATGGTTGTTGCCAAGTAGAAGTACAAAATGCTCTAGGAGTATCTAATAGAAAAACCTTGCTAAGTCTGTCAGATCAGGAAAGACTTATCAAAGGAAATAATATTAAGTAGAAACCTGAAGAAGAGTAGGAACTAGCTGTACATGGTGGCTAGATATATAAGGAAGATGTAAATAGAAAAGCCTATTTCATAGTACTAAGACAAGAAGAAGTGTGACCTGTTTGAGGAATTTAAGGAAAGTCACACTGGCTGATGCTGACAGAATGAGAGTGGCTGCTGATGTCACTGAAAATTTAACTGATAACTTCCCTGAGATTCTCCTCTTCTGAGCCAAGTGCACCTTTTATCTAGCATTCACAATTAATAGAGTCTAGGAATGAGCCACCCATGGTGTTGTGGAGACTTCCTACTAGATTTTGTTACTGAACAACTCAGTGTGTATATCAATCTCCAAACTTGGATTGCCTGCAGGTGGATTGGAGCAGGAACAAGGCTTCTATGAGCCTATCTCACTGATTCATAGGAGATATGAGAGTCACCAGGACAAATGTGGAGTTTCTGGAGATAGAGAGACAGGAGTTGACAGGAGATGTCTGGAAATAGCAACTTCAGGGCTTAGATTGAATTGTACCAATTGTTCTCACTTATGAAATGCTGTGTTAGAGGTTCCTCTTCTGTAATGCTTTCCCCAGCTCCACTGATGGATTAATTTGTCATTCTGTTCTTATAGGAAAGGTGTTGCTTAAATGATTTTCAGTTTTCTTTTCATTATGAGAGATTATATAAAATCAAGTTTAAGAGTACAGGCTTTGCTAAAACTGGATCGTAGTACTGAATTTGCCATTCACAAATGACCTTGGTGAGGTTATTTCTCCTTTATTAGCCTCCACATCATTATCTGTGAAATGAAAATAATTCCCTCACAGGATTGTCATGATTATTTACATGATGCATATGAGTTATGTAAATTCATGCCAGCCATATAATAAATACCGAAGACATGCACACTATTACTTGTATTAAGATTTTACATAGCTTTCTCCATATTAAGTTGTAAATTTCCAGGACACATGAAGACCTTCTTACACATTTAAACTCAGCATGATGTCAAAACATTGCCTTCCCTATAAAGGGGCTTAATTATGTGTGAAGTTGAACTAAATAAAAATGAATAAAGACTAGTAAACTTGGGCAGAATTATGCAGGAAGTCCGAATTTACTCAATTTACTGCCTCCCACTCTCTTCTCGGTTTACTATTTTCCCTGACCTCAGTGAGCTTTTCATCAATGATAAGTAATTTCCTTTACGGCAATTTCCTATACATGGCCCCTCAAGTCTATTTAACACACTTCTGCCTTCTGAATGTCCATGCCATTTTATTAACAGCTAACAAAATTCATCTGTAATTTATTGGAGAATTTAAATAAACATGTTTTAAGCCAGGTACCTGCCTTATGTTGGACATGTGGGGAAATAGTATTTTTTTCTGATTTGTCTCAGATATAACATGGATACAGCAATCCCTCTCCTATTTTGGTGGAATAGCTGTCTGCTTATTTTATTTAAACTCAGATATGAGTATTGGAAAGGATTCCAAAAGGTCCAGTCCCATGCTTCCAGACAGATAGGATAAGTTTTCTCCCATTTTTAAATTTTATATAATGTGATGTCCAATGATATTAAGTACCTTGTTCACAGACAGACAGCTAATAAGGGACTGGGTGATTTGTACTTTCTCCTGCCTTCTGCTTACAGCACCACACAGTGTTTTACACCTCATACTACGACCAAACAAACCCCTCTGGCATTAGAAAAATCTATCAATCGTACCCAAAGCCAATATAATAATGAAAGTTATTAAGTAGAGGGACTTGCCTATTGATGTGGATCTCTTTGAATAAAAAGCCTAACATGGATTTCTCACTGGCACCAATGTAGCCTCAAACCCATTTTATTTTTTTTCTTTTTATGTCTGATTATAAAACTTTGAAGTATAAAGCTTCAGCATGAAATCTCTGACATAGTCTTAACTACCGTAAAACCAGAAGGCAAAGCTATAATAATTTCAGCTTTATATTATAATCTGAAATTGAATTACTCTCATTTCATGGCAAAGTCAATATTGCTAATGGATTAGAAACATGGCTGATAAAAGTATTGTTGAGTATATATATATGAAGAATCTCATGAAAAATGATTTCTCTGTGGTCTATGTCATTTGAAACTTGGCACTGATCTGAAAAGAAACTTCATGGTATGGAGCACTTTAGTAAGTAAATGCTTGGAAGTCAAGATAAATGAGGCTAAAATGTGTCTGGTAAAGCAGTTGCAAACCTCTCCTGACGTGTCCCATTTCACTGCCAAGCTACCGCTGAAAGAATGCAGCCTAACTGTGAAAGGCCTACTCTACCAAGGTGAAAGTCAGGTCAAGAGGGTACCCATGAAATAAAAATGTTGTGATTTCCTCAAGCATATTCTCAGAGTCCTTTAGGAATCTGTCAGCTGGACAATACACTGGGAATCCTAGGTGAGAAATTAAACTCTACTAATTTTTAGCTCTGTAAATTTGGGCAAATCATCCTTTAGCTGGGTTTACTGTATTTACCAATAAAGAGATGGTCTACAAGAATCTGACTATTTGATGCTTCTGTGATTCTACAAAATCCAGTAAAGAAGGATATCATAACTATCACATTTAAAATGCTCTACATTTGCAGGTGATGATTAGCTTTTGGGGGCTGGCTGTAATACTGGATGTAGCCTTATCCCAAAGAAAATGTTCTCAATTTTTTTTTTCAATAAAAGAGCAAAATACTTTAAAATTAAAACTGAAGTTCTGGAAAAGCAGATGTTCCCTATATCCATAATTAACCAAGAACTAGTGTTGAAAGCTTCTTTGGAGAACCAATTCTAGCCATATCATAAGTAAATCTATATTCTGAAAGTATGATTCAAACTTTTGGTGTAGCTACACCTAGTCTTAATTATTTCACATTCATAAAAAATATCAGATCATAAATAAGCTATCCATAGCACCTATAGTTAGTGGTAAGAGCCTTGAATTCTTTACTTCAGTTTATCATTCTAGGTATCTTCTGTGCCACACTTCATTTCTCAATATAAGTATTTTCCATCTTCCAAAACTTATATAAAATTTTGTCTGCCAGAATGTGATGTTGTTGCCAAAAAATGTATAACTTGTATACAAGCATGATGAAATAATCATAGACAAATACACAGATGTACACTCACATACATACACTCACAAAGCCTATATTTTTTAAAATTGATGCTATTAAAGACAACAAAAAGAGTGAAAAATGTTCTAAATTAAATAAGCCTACAAAGTCATGAAAATTATATGTAATAGATAGTTCTGGATTAAATTCTGAACAGAAAAAGAAAGATCTTATTAAGGATGGAACTGGAATTATTTGTGAAGGTTGAAAACAAACTATATATTAGGTTATGGCAGTATATTGGTGCTAACTTTTCTGAATCTAATAGCTGTGCTGTGTTCATGTGAGAAAAACTTGTTCTTAATAGATTTATGCTCAAGTGCTTAGATTGAAGGCTGATGATGTCTGCAACTTACTCTGAAGAGTTCAGCAAAATAATAAGAACAATATTAAGAAAAAGAAGAATACGGCCAATGTCAACAATTGGAGAAACTAGGTGAATAAGAAATCATTAGACTGATTTTTAAAAATATTTGTATATTTACTTTTTTTTTTTAAAATAAAAGGGTTTAAAAAGACATTTGTTTTACAGTTTTTAAAAATTCCTTCCCTTCAAATAGGAACACTTTTACACTGTTGGTGGGAATGTAAACTAGTTCAACCATTGTGGAAGACAGTATGGCAATTCCTCAACGATCTAGAACTAGAAATACCATTTGACCCAGCCATCCCGTTACTGGGTATATACCCAAAGGATTATAAATCATGCTACTATAAAGACATATGCACATGTATGTTTATCGTGGCAACTATTCAGAATAGCAAAGACTTGGAACCAACCCAAATGTCCAGCAATGATAGACTGGATTAAGAAAATGTGGCACATATACACCATGGAATACTATGCAGCTATAAAAAAGGATGAGTTCATGTCCTTTGTAGGGACATGGATGAAGCTGGAAACCATCATTCTCAGCAAACTATCGCAAGGACAGAAAACCAAACACTGCATGTTCTCACTTATAGGTGGGAATTGAACAATGAGAACACTTGGACACAGGGGGGGGAGCATCACACATGTGGTGGCCAGTGGTGGGGTTGGGGGATGGGGGAGGAATAGCATTAGGAGAAATACCTAATGTAAATGACAAATTAATAGGTACAGCAAACCAACATGGCACATGTAAAAATATGTAACAAACCTGCACGTTGTACACATGTACCCTACAACTTAAAGTATAATAACAAATAAAAAATAAGTAAAATTAAAAATTCCTCTCCTTCTTTGAAAACTATGACATTTTAAATATATTTAATTTCACACTTAAGCTTATCTAAAATATGTTTCTGTTTAAATTATGTATTCATTAGTAGAATATGAATACCTTAAGGATAAAGTCACTACTTTATTCATTTTTATCCTTTTCAGTGTCCAGTAGAATATTTGTATATAACATGTATTCAACTCAATAATATATTGGTCAAATAATTAATTCAATCCAAATCTACTGATATGTACTATGTGCTAAAAACAAGGCTAGTTTTGGAAATTACATTAATGTATTGCATAAAATCTTCCAAAGAATTCCCATGACACTTTAAACTTGATATAAATATGTTCTTATACATTCTATTCTTCCATATTTTAAACTAGTTTGAGAAAGAGCCAGGATAGGACGCCCAGACATATTTGGGAGGCACAATGAAAGTGGTGATAAGTCAGAAAAAATTGTTTTTGAGAAGCGCAGAATTTCTTCTTCAACAACAGTGGGAGGGGTATGCACAAAGACAAAGATATGGCATTTTCAAAAAATTAGAATAGTTGAGTGTGGCAGAAACATACAGAGTAAGGTAAAGAACACAGAAGCTAACATGGCTGAATGAAACACATATTGGTTCACAAATAATATTATATGCAATGCTAAAAGACTTGTTTTGAATTGTATGAGGACAGTTTTAACAAAAATAAGCAGATAATTCATACCATAAGAAATGAATTAAAAGACAAACATTTAGAATGGCAGGGTGGCAATAAAATAAAGGAAGCAACAAAAATCAAAGCAGCAACACATTTAGAAGGTTGTTTCCTTAATCCAACAGAGAAATTAAGAGTTTTAGCCAGTGGCCATGAGGTTGTTGAGGGAGTGGAGGATGGAATTAAAGAATATCAAGGAAATAAACTTATAGAGTTTATTGATTTATTTGAGGAATAAAGGGGAAGGCAAAATAAACCAAAACATGATTCCTACTTTTTTTTTCTGGTTTAGGAAAATAGGTTCAGTGAAGTACCAGTGATTAAGAAGAATAATGCAGAGAAAGGAAATTCTGATTCTGCCAATAAGAAGTCACTTATAATAACTAACCTTCATGCTGAGAACAGCTAGAAGATCTAGTATTTGAAGCCATTACAAAGACATCTAAGAAGGTAAGATTTTCAGTGTCAAGACAGGAAAAAGTAGAGAATTCTGAGGAGTGAGGCTGATTGTTGCTGATTTTCTTCTGACTCATTAGAAAGCGGTAGTTGAAATATAAAGAAGCTGAGGGGAGAATAGCTCAGATTGATAATTACAGAAATGGAGTTGAGCTCTCAGTATTCTAATGGAACTTGGAGAACAAAAAAGGGTTTCAGGATCTTCCAAGAAGGAAGATCCATGGTGAATTCAGGCAGAAGGAAGATCAATTCTAATACTAAAGAATGACTGTAATTAACTCAATACATGGGCTTTACAGCAAGTTAAAAACAATGGAAAAAAATTAGTGGATTGAATGACATAGAAGAATATATCCTGATTCATCGTTGCCAATTTAAGAAATACTTTAGATATTCAGGAAGAAAGTGAAAATTATAATATACATATAATTGGAACCCAAGAAAAATATGATAGTAAAAATGAGATTAAAAAAAGAACAAAAAGTGAAACAGAGCTTTCCAAAACCAAGGAAATACATAAAGCCACAGAGTTAACAATAAGCAACATACTAAAAGATTATATGCATATATATTTATTATCTATACAAAAGATAAATATAAATAACATCATGAAATATTAAAGCAACCAAAGGAAGGAAAAGTATAATCTCTCAAAAAACAAGAAAAAACTTTGCTACTGAATTTTCAACACAATTATAGAACCCAAAAGAAATCTTTATTCTGAAGTAAAAAAGGCAACACAGCATTTAAAAATAAAGGTTACACAGAAAATATTTTCAGTTGAGCAATAACTATGAAATTTGAGTAATGAGTCACATACACACATAAACCTCACAAACCTAAAATGTACTTTAAGCAGAAGGAAGATGAATTCAGATAACAAACTTAGAAATGCAGGGTAGAAACGAGTAGAGAAAAGGTAGGCATGTTGATAGACAGTATTAAACCATAATAATTATTATCGTGGGGTCCTAAACATATAAAGAATTAAAATACATGCCAATAATGAAAACTAGAGCGGGAGAATAAACAACTTAAAATTATCTCTGAACTTTTATTTTTGAAAAATGATTAAATGACCAATTTATATTAGATGTGAATAAAGTATGCATTTTTAATATCTAGGATAAACACTAAAAAATGAGAATGTATAAATAATTAATTGATAAATAAAATGGAACAATGAATGAATAATTAATTTACCCAAGACAAGTCAAGAAAAAAGAGGATTGTGAATAGAGAACATTAAGGACAAATACAAAACAAAAAAGTAGTAAGATAGTACATTTAAACCTGCATATATTACTCATTATATTAAAGGCTATGGAACTGATTTAAATGATAAAGATGGTCTTGTTAAAACAGAATCACTTAGATAGACGAAGATGATGATAGAGAAATTATCAAAACAGCTAAAGTGATTAACATCTTACCCCTTTTTATCTTAATGTAAAGTCATTTGATGATTAGATTGTTATTATTTTACAAGAAGAACAAATTTAATTTAACCAATAGATAGATATTTTGTGGCTGTTAGTGTCACCATAATCCTGAATACTATAAGAAACTTAACTTAGGACAACAATGAATAAATGTCATACTAGGGTTTTATTCAGAGTTTGGAAGAATTAACCAAACTGCATTTCATAGATATGTCATTTTTGTTATCAGTCAAATTCAAGACATTATCATTATGTCTTCTACCATACACTCCTCTCCAGACTCTTCAGACCTTTCTTTCCCCATGTCCCAACTGTCTGCTGCTACCTTTCCTCTCTAGATCTCTATTCCACAGCACAAATTTCTGTATACCTTTAAACTGTGTTATGAATTGCCTCTTTACCATTTTGCTTTAACTGAAAATTAACTTCTCATGCAGTCATTTTAACAGAACATTGTCCATTCCCCTGTACCAATGGATAATAACATGATTACATGAGTTAGCAGCTTTTCTAGCTCCAAAATGCTACAAATGTGTATGTATGTGTGTTTGGTGTATCCTGAAAGCTAATGTTTCCATCCAACTATATTCATGTCTGTGACTACTCGTCATTAACACCTATCAACCTATGTGGTCATTTTTATGTATTTATCAAACACGTTGACAATAAACTCAGTTTTTTCAATGTCTAGTCCCACTCTGATCCTGCAATTATTTCAATACTCGTAGAGTTGACCTATTCAACATTCTACTCTCTCAGTTCTTTAACATGCTCAACTTTTGTGATCTTCATTCTATAAACATCAAATACCCTAAATCTTGTTATTATATGGAATCACTGTGCTTTTATAATATGTAATTTAAACATCACATTTTCTGACTGGAGTCTTTTAATTAAAGCTCTCTTACTCCTTGCTTCCCACAAAATCCCATTTCTGACTATATCCTTCTACTCCCTACTATAGTATTCGTACTCCCTTTATTTTACCCCCCAACCATTTATTGCTTTTGCTATAGTTCTTAACTCCTTCCCTTCCTTTGCTTTCAGCATAGTGGCCCTCCTTACTTGATATGCTTGTTTAATAAGCATAGAATTTTTAGTATATTATTTTAAATTTATTACTTACAAGCAACTTAAACACCCTTGCCCATTTACAATTTCCTGGATCTCCCTGCACTAAACCACACACTTAGACCAATACAAAAAATTTGCTTTATTCCAACATTTACTTGGGTATCTATAAAAAAAGCAATAAAAACAACCAGAACATAACCTCTTCACCAACTCTCAATCACCCTAAAAAAGTTTTTGCTTCTCTTTTTTAACCACAAGGAATATAAAGCAATTAGAAAAAAATGTTCTAAATGATTTACCTCTATATAAACCTCACTGCAGTTGTGTCTATCTTTATCTCAATTTCTTATTTCTCTAGTGTGACAGTTTCTTCAATCTATCTTAATTTATACCCTTATATTATCTTCTTGTTTTCATAACATTGTGCCTCTTTAGGGAAAAAATTCCATTATTATTCTTTTGTCTCTCTTGATATTCAACCTTTTCCACATAGCTTTTCTCTGCCTTCCTCCACCAAGGACATATATTTCTTAAAATTACCCTCAACTAAAAAAATACATATTAACCTTACATCTAGCTAAGCAACACTGTTATTCTTGCATTGTCTTTACAGAAAAATATTCTCTTAAAAACCATCTATACTTGAAGAATGAGTTTTTTCAAATACCATTCATTTTTTGTACAGTATGACAAGTCATTTTTTTGTAACTATTATATGTACCAGCCCTGAAGCTGTGCTCAAAAATATTATAAAAGGTTATTTTGCAGCAAATTTCTTAAAAAATATTTTTATGCCATATTTCTGCAGTATTGGGCAATTATTGCAATTTAGGCTCCTTGAAGAGCAGATGTAAATTAACATGAAGAGGTTTCCTTGTGATCAACACCTATGGAGTTTACAAAGCAGGATTGGGCAGAGGAAGAAGTTGAGCTTTGATACAGTCACACTGGAGGCTCAGCTAATCCTATGGAGAATTCTAAAGCTAAGATGACTCTTCAGAGTTGTCTTGAGTTAGGACAAGAAGCCTGGATCTTTAACCCCAATACACATCAGTTATTGTGTACAGACCTTGGGAAGGGAGGGTGAACTTGAGTGAGGCAGTCCTCTTCAACCACTGTAATGCTTGTTGAGGTTTAAGAGTTCAAGGCTGTCTGCCTACCGCACTTCCACCTGCTGGACAAGTAAGTACTTCACTTCTGAAGGGAATCTAGATAGTGCATTATAGCATTCACTACAGTAATGTTTACCAATCCCAATTTCTTAAGAAGTTTCTCTTTTCATTTATTCTACAACTACATTTATAAGCCTCATCAACAAAACTTAAGTATTAAAAATTGATATTTTATTATTTCTGTCAACTGACCGAATTTTTTTCTTGGCTACTCATCTTTCTTTATGAGATGTATGGAAGATAATGCTAAACAAAAAGGCACCTTACACTAATTGCATATCTGACTGCATTCCAAGGCTTTGTTCTGGTCATGCTTCCTTATCATAAATTCTTAACTATTTTGTTAATTCTAATGGAACTATATCATGAAAACTCTAAAAACCTTAATGTCAAACCTAGCATAGTTCCCTGAAATTAAAGGATACAGATCCAATTTTTTATTGTGTACTTTCATGATTGTCTTTACAACTTCAAACATCTAAAACTGAACTCATCGTCTTTCATGATAGAAATCCTTATTTATCTATATCCTTTTTTGAAATAAAACTTAGATATTAAAATAGTTCATTCATAGAGAAAAGTTAACAAATAATGACTGTACAGATAAGTTATCTAAAGTAGATACACCCATTAAATGTCATCTATGTCAAGAAATAAAATATTGTCAGAACAATAGAAACTTTTCTCAGGCCCTTCTCCTTCTCTCCAAAGGTTAATTACGATCATGATTTCAAGTTTTTATTTAATTTTATTCATGCCACAAAAATTAACTCTTATTAGCAAAATAAACTTATGCAATCCCCTTATGTATAGTGATTCTTTCATCTCTATGTAGTGCCAATGAATCAACACTGACTCATGTTTAGAGTTTGTTGAGTTGAGTATATTAACCAATGCCTGGCTAGAGAGTCTTCTCAACAAATAAGGCATGTGGATGCTCATGCCAAACCCATAGTATTCTTGAAGAATCATACAAAAAATTTTTCTTATTGTCTCTTCATATTTACTCTCTGAATCTAGAGATATATCCACAGAAATTGGGATCATTAACCACACCTCAAGTTGCTCTTTTAAAGATTCCTTCTCATCATTTACATATTCACATAAAAAGCATCAATTTATTATTACTTCCATAAACAAATACTTTTGAGATCCCTTGCTACATAAAGGGAACTGGATAAGTCTGTAAAATGAACATTACTATTCCTGGAAAGACTATGTACTATTAGTAGAGAAAGAAGTAGAATATACTGTCACAAACGTGATTTGATTGATTTAATTAAATAAAAATTTCACTGGACTTAGATATGTTCCAACAGGATTACCTGGGGAACATTAAAAATCCTGTACTGACCACTGAATCAGATCTCAGTAGATATTGGTTGAATTGAATGGCATGTTTTGCATTTTGTACACTGCCATTTTACTGCAAAAGATAATAGAGCCAAGAGAAACATAAATATATGCTCTGATACCTCAAGAATGAAGACATATTAAGATATTACACTGATGTACACATGATTCATTGACATACTTCAAGGTACTTCTTGTTTGTAGAAGTGAAGATAAAATAATAGAATTTCCCTCTTCTGATAGATAAACTTGTTATTAGAATTAACGTTAAATGATTATTCATGCCCGCCCTCTCTAGTATTTCAGGTTTTGGTAGAATTTTAATAATGGAGATGTTAACATGCATTATGCTGATAAGATTCTATCAGTAGATTGTATAGATAATAAATTTATGCCCATCAATTTGAAATGTGAGTTTAGGCAAAGAAAATCTAACTAATGGATAGATTGTCCAACTTGAAGATTTATTTTATTTTAAATTGATTACTTCTCTCAAAAAGCATCAAGCTACTTGAAATAATTAAGCAACCAGGCTATTTGCTGTTATTTGGTAACCCTAGCATATTTTCAGGGCATGGTGCAATGGATGAATTGATCTACCAAGCACAATTACATCTGTTCATTGGGCTTATAAAAGAGTGTTAAGAAATTTCAATAAGTAATTTCAATCTGTTCTAATAAATGGAAAGTAAATCTGAAAAGCTGTTGGATTTGAGACAAGAAAAAAGAGAAACAAACAGTTTATTTTGTTTTGCAAGTTTGTCCTTTGTTAGTTCTTAAATTCATCCAGTGAAATTAATAAAGCATACATCAGTCTGGCATAAATGAGTAGAACTGAATTTTTTCACATTGCAGAATAGTATTATTCAAAAAGGAACACAGTTTTCACATGTTGAGCAATTGTTGCTCTTCACGCTCTCAGCAGAGTGAAAAAAAGAGTGAGACTACTGTAAAGCAGCAAAGATTACACTATGAAGCAAGGATAGATTTCCTGAATTTCAATGATGTGTTCAGGGTCATCTAGCCCAATATCTCCTCCAGTGGTAATACAGGTGCAGGTTATTTATCTGGGTTATCATTGAGATAAAAATAACTGTCAAATGTCCAAGAACAAGACAGATAATGAGATAAACATTTATGTGTTATACTGTGCTATGCAGTAGCATGAAGAGATAGAGAATATATATATGAGATATATATATATATACATGAGATAGTATATATTGTATATTGTATCTCATGTATGGGAATATCAAATATATACACATGGTACCTGACTTACTATGGTTCAACTTACAATTTTTTAATTTTACAGATGGTGCTAAAGTAATACTCATTCAGTAGAAACCATAGTTCAAATTTTTTGGTTGGGGGGCAGGGTGTCACTCTGTCACCCAGGTAGGAGTGCAGTGGTGCAGTCTTGGCCCACTGCAGCCTCTACTTCCCAGGCTCAAGCAATCCTCTCACCGCAGCTTCCCGAGTAGCTGGGACTACAGCCACATGACAACATACCCAGCTAATTTTTCTGTTTTTGGTAGAGATGGAGTTTTGCCATGTTACCCAGGCTTGTCTTGAACTCCTGAGCTCAGGCAATCTGCCCACCTCGGCCTTCCAAAGTGCTGAGATTACAGGTGTGATCTTACATTACAGGTGATTACAGGTGATTACAGCCACTGTGCCTGGCTTCAGATTTTTAATATTGATCTTTTCTCAAGCTATTGATATGCAGTATGGCAGTCTTACAATTCCCCAGCATAGGCTGCAAGCATAGCTCCCAGTCACCCACAACATCAAGAAAGTGAACAACTGATACTCTACAGAGTACTGTGTTTCCAGATGATCTTGCCCAACTGTAGGTTAATGTAAATGTTCTGAACATGTCTAATGTAAGCTAGGCTAAACTTTAATGTTCAGTAGGTTAGGAATATTAAATGAATATTTTCAGTTTATGATGGGTTTATTAGGACATAATTCCATGATAAGTTGAGGAGCATCTATAGCTATCTGTATCTATATCGATAACTCCATATCTATCTACATCTATATCTGTATCTATGTCTATAACTCTCTCATCTATATATCTGTGCTCTATTATCTATCTATCTATCTATCTATCTATCTATCTATCTATCTATCTATCATCTATCTATCTATCTATTTTGCAACGTTTCCAGCTGCAAAATATGAAAGAAAGCAAATGGAAACAAATACAACTAAATCATTTAACTAAAAGTTTTTCTTCGTATCTTTACTCAATAAGAAATCTGGAAGCTGGCAGTCCAGGGCTGGTCCTGATGCTCAATACTGCCTTTGGAAATAAGGCTATTTCAACCTTTCTGCTACAGTATCTTTAATGCATCAGTTTTCATCCTATGTTTTATTAGTTAAAATGGCCTAGCACATGCTATGATATTTTAGAACCCCTATATCTCAGGGGCTCAACATAACCAAAGTTTATTTTGTTCATTCCAAGTCCACTGTGCATCTAAGCGAATCTCCTTGGCAGCTCCTCACCATGCAATGACTGCTTCATCCTGGAAGAGGTACATGTCATTTCCATCCACACTTCATTGACCAAAATCAACACTAGACCAAAGAGTATAGTTTTACAAGTACTAATGATGCAAGGATATTGAAGATATTGAATACTGGGGGTGATAGTAATATATACCTTACCAGGTTATAGTTACAAGATGACAGCTGTACTTTTAGGCTGAGAGAGAGAGAGAATGGGAAAGAGATCACAAATGTTTTTAGGTAGTCATATTTATTTATTTATGAGAAGTATACTACCACTAGTATAGGCATGTTATAATAGAAAACTGGGTTGTGATATTTTTTGTAAGAATCTCTGTTCCAGAAAGCATTACAGAAAATGTTGTCCAGATGGTGGTGAATGAGCTATTTGAATTGCAAAGACTAAGGCTGAATTTTCATTTATTATCTAGCTTTTGGAAGAAGTAATCCTTCACTGCACCATCAAACTGAGGTATGTGTATTAATGTTGGCAGCATTGGGATCATAAATAATGGGACTCAAAAAGCTTGGAAGTGAGTCTTCTTTCTATATATCAGAAAGGACCAAAGTTACAGAATCCACTGATATATCAGTTACAAGATGCTAGTGTCCAAGGAATCATATAAGTGGTAAAGGATCAACAGTTTGGAAAACGGTCAGGGAAATTGCCGAACTTGAAGTGTAAATGTTTCAGAATTGTTTAGATTCTGGTCTAACAGCAGCCCAAAGAACAGCATGTGAATAATTTATCTGAAAGGTGTTTAAGAGTCTTTAGTGAATGTTAAGATGGAACAAATTTGGCTTTTCTTCTAGAATCTACAGAATGGTCAGGCTGCCTCTTAATGGAAAGGTGTCATTCTGGCTCGCCCATGAATGTTCTAGTAAATGCTTCCCCAATATCAGGCTGTGTGTTTTGAAGAAAAGAAAGCACTGAGGAAGAGACAAATACTTCTGGGATTATCGGTATAAGAACCACCCATTTCTCTCTATCAATGTTTTATAATGACAGTAGTGAGAAAAAGGCAATAGTTGCACGGTACTATTGTGTCTCTTAGTAACTCTCTAAATTCAAGACCTCAGAATGATAATAATGTAAAATGGTATTAGTTTTACATCATGAAGATGAACCATGCCAATTGTGGAAGCATTGAAAATTAGGGATTTTATGCCGGGCGCGGTGGCTCATGCCTGTAAATCCCAGCACTTTGGGAAGCCGAGAAGGGCAGATCGCTTAAGGTTGGGAGTTCGAGACCATTCCTGGCCAACATGGTGAAATCCTGTCTCTACTAAAAATACAAAAAATTAGCCGGGCTTGGTGACAGGCACCTGTAATCCCAGCTACTTGGGAGGCTGAGGCAGGAGAATCTCTTGAACCCGGAAGGCGGAGGTTGCAGTGAGCAAGATTGTGCGCTGCACTCCAGCCTGGGTGACAAGAGTGAAACTCCGTCAAAAAAAAAAAAAAAAAAAAAAAAAAGAAAAAAAAGAAAAACTAGGGATTTTCAAACAGTGGTCATAAAATAACAAGTTTAACATAAACATGTCTCCCCAGTTCTGCTTTTAGTTTTCTCTATTTAAACTGTTCCAAAGTTTAATAGGGTCTTTAACTGATATCTATCAGCTAGAAGGATGGTTGAACACAAGTGTTCTGTTATCACACTTTCTAGGCCTGATTACTGGTTCTGTTACTTTGCAATCTTGTGTAAGTTAATTAAATTCTCTGAGCTTTGGCTTTATAACATAAAACATTATTAAAATAATACCTGTGTAATAGAGTTCTTATGGGGTTAAAATACAAATACACTGAAAGCTCTCCATTATTATTATTATTTTACTATTTAACAGGATGAGCCCAGGTGTACATTATCTATAAAAGGAAATTCTAGTATCAATAATAAAGCTTGGCCACAAATTATGCCTGTGACACCAGAAAATTAAAGAATAGGCTGAAGGTCACAAACGGTGGACATTTCTGGTGTTCTTTACAATGACATGTCTGTTATATATACTAGTAACAAAAGTGATATTATTGTTAGCCATATACAATATAATTCGAATAAAGCAATAAAATGTGAAAATTCTTTGAATGCAGTTGAACACATTGCTCAGTTTTGTATTTTTCCCAAGTGTCTTAGAGTTGAAGGGGACTGAGGAAATCCACTCCCATTTCCTCAGTGTTATTTTCAGGATGAAATTATTAAAATAAAGAGGTAGTCCCTTTTACCTTGCAATATTGAGGCTCCTCTAGTCTTCATTTTGTCTATCTAAAATATCAATACATGATGCATCTAATGGCCTGGCCCAGAATATCAACAAAATATGCCTGTGCACCTGCTGGTCACTTGAGTAAATTGAGGTTCTCAGAGTTAAGGATATTGTTTATAGGCAGGAAAATAATACTCACTTAAAATTTTTATTTATTATGATATTGCAATCACTTTTTTCCTTATACCTTGTTTCTTCCAGTGATACTGCTAAATTACTCAATATATTTGAAATCCATTAAAAATCATAGAAAACTGTGCTAATACTGTTAATTGAAATAAATATAACTTCCTCAAACCCCCATTGAGTCCTGACTGTCAGGTACTGTACTAACCCCTGTTTATAATATCTTGTTTAATCCTCATATCTGCTCTATGAGATTATCATCTCCATTTTCTAGAGAGCTGGAATGGTTTAGAAAATACCTCTCTACCCCAATGCAAGTACTTTTAGCACTTGTGCTATTTGAGACATTTCTCTAATACAGTGTCTGCTGAGCACATGATGTTTTGTTGAACATTATCAGTTGAATAAATGAATTAATAAAATGAACTAAAAACAAATGAAATAATTGTATTTTCCCATAAAGGTTACTGAACCAAAATAGATGTAAGATTTATAGAATTGATAGTACATTAGAGTTAAAAAATTTTAGTATAGTTAATTTTTAGACAAGTAAACCATCTGGGCTGAAGGAAAAGAAAGAAGAGATATTTAAAATAGTCAAAAAAATAAAACAGTGACCATTTTTAAAATTTAGTTTTGAATGTTAGTAAGTAGTGATAGGTCAGTAAAAATATCTTCCATAAACTAGACCAGTGTATTTCAACATTTTGTAACCTATTCTCATTTTGATAAACAAAAGCAGAATCAATGACCTCCATTAATGTTACTGAAAATTTCAAAATTAAATTATTGCCAATAAATGGAGCTGGAAAAACTATATATTCATATACAAAAAGAACTTCCAGGCTCAAGCAACCCTCCAGCCTCAGACTCTGAGGCAGCTAGGACTATAGGTGTGCACCACCATGCCAGCTAATTTTTAAAAACTTTTGGTAGAGATGGAATCTCCTTATATTTCCCAGGCTGGTCTCAAACTCTTGGCCTCAAAGGCTCTTTACACCTTGGTCATCCAAACTACTGGGGATTACAGGTGTGAGCCACTGCACCAGGCCAATAATTTGCTCTTAAAAGACACTGCTTAAGGTAACGAAAATTCAAGCAACAGACTTGGGAAAAATTTTTTGAATATCACTTATATGATTAGTAACTCATAACCAAAATATATAAAGAACTCTCAAAATTAAATAATAAGTAAACAAACAACCCAACGAAAAATGAAAAAAAATGTTTGAACAGACATGTCACCAAATAAGATATTTGGACAGCAAGGAAGCCTATGAAAGGGTGTTCAACATCATTAGTTACTAGGGAAATGAAATTAATACCGCAGTGAGGCACCATTACATAGCTATTAGAATGACTAAAATTACAAGACACTATACCAAGTGATGGAGATGATGCAGAATTCTCAGGATACTGTTGGGGGAAATGAAAATGGCAGAGCTATTTTGTCTCCCTGGGGACAATTGGAGATGAGATTTGGGTGCAGACACAGAGTCAAATTATGTCACTAACTTTATGACTTCTACATTTTTTCTTGATGCTATGTTAAAGAGAAGTACATGTGTTCATAATTGTGTTATATTTGACCAGTGGCAGACTCTTCGATTTGTCTCCTTATATCAGTTTGGTATGTCCCTATAATTTTTTGAACCCCATTTTACTTGGGGTACAAAAAAAATATTCTTGGTATATGCCTCAGCCTTGTAATCAGCCATTTATTTGAGGACACTTGGTTTCCCATAATGGAAAACCAAGATCAGAGTACTAGATATGCTCATTGCTACTGGATTTTATTCTTTCTAGATGCTCTCAGTATAGAGGCTTGGAAACAAATGTATGTATATTTATACATACATACACGTGTGCATGTGCATACACATGTATACACACCCACAGAGATTGTCATCCATTTTTATATCTAGCTCTTTTTATGTATTAAAGTTTATGAGCTCACATTTATATTTTTAATTCCATTCTAACACTGCTAAGCTTAGGAATAGGACAAGATCATCCATATTTCTACTACTATTCAACATTGTATTAGCCAATGCAGTTAGAAAAGAGCTAGAAATCAAAGGTATATAAATGGCAGTAAATTACTTTAAAATACTTATATTGACAGATTATATGATTATGTGCTTGAAAAATTGTAGACAATCAATGATAAACCTGATTCATATCATACAAGAATTTAATAAAATAGCAAATTATAAAGTTAACATACATAAATCAAGAGCATTCATATATACAAACAATAACCTTTTATTGAGGATATAACAAGAGAGAAATTGTATATATTAAGAATATAATGGTAGTAAAACTCCACTTAAAATAGAAACAATTTTTTTAAAAAAACCTAGAATTAAATTTGACAAGAAATGTTCATAGCCTGCATGAAGAAAACTTTACAATTCTCTATCTTTTGACTATCAATGTTCTCTTTCAGAATTATTTAAAATAGAAAGTTATAAAATGTTTAGCTTGAATGGCTTTTTAAATTGTATTAATAATGTCTCATGTTATTACATTGTAATTGAAAAGTATTGATAGCAATACTTTTACTTTATAAATTTTTCTGTTATTTGTGACAAATTATGATAACTTTTGTAACTGTCTTATATACACTGAAAAGACAGTTACAAAAGATAACTTTTGTAACTGTCTTCTATAACTAGTGTGTAAATTCAATATATAATCATATAAGCCTATTTGATCTGACTTGTACTGAGAGCAAAGTATTAATATTTTCTAGTATTTGTGTGTTTCTATGTCTTCTTGCATATCTGGAAAGTTTTGATTTATTTAAGTGGTTGATGCACTATTTTGTGTATAGATATTCATATGCATTATTTCTCCATTTAAAACGTAAGTTTTATTATTAAATTCTTTTATTTTTCTAACATTTAATGTTTTGTGGATTAAACTCTACTTTTTTTAATATTGCTATCACTACCCATGATTTCTTTTTATTTCAGTTTGGTATATCTTTGCTCATCCCTTATTTTTAGCTCTTTAAAATAATTTGGTATAGAAGTATTTCCTATATACAGCATATAGTTGTCTTTTTTGCAAGTGAAATTGAAATTTTTTTTTCTTTTTAACAAGTGAGCTAACCCCATTCACATTTAATAAGGCTGATAATTTTCTTTCCATTCAACCTAATCTCTTTTAGAATTATGTGTGTTATGTGATATGCTTATTTGTTCTTTTATATTTTGAAATTTCTTTTCATAATTAGGAAGGTTTGTATTTTTGTTGTTATGTAACATTTTAATCTCTGTTTGGTAAATTTGAATGAACTTTTGTTGTTTGCTTTGTTTAATGAAGCCAATTTCTGCAGTTAACAAAGCTAATATTTTTTTAACATACAGTTTTCAGTACCCTCAGGGGGTGTAACTGGTCCTCAGACCTCGGTTAGAAGGAAGGAATACCTCAAATATAAAGACTGGAATCCTTTTGTTCTGGCAATCACTGTCTTCCAGAGTGTGAGCCTCAGACGTAAACTGGAGATCAAATACTTGAACTATTACCATCTGTAAGCGGCCAGTTCCAGGTTTCTTGACATTTGCTGACAATGACACATTTGTTGTTGGAGCTTCATAGTGCATACACTGAACACATCTAAGCGAATATGTAACTATTCTTCCTTTCTAGATCTAAGGGTATCCTCATACTTTTTTTACAGTAAACAGTTAAATTTCTCATAGAAATACAATAAAAATTTAACATGAATGCTGATCAAACTCAGTAGAGGCCTCTGACAATGTTCTTACAGCAGGCTCACAATAGGTGCAGTAATATGTCATAAATGTGTTAGTGCAGTATTAAAGTGATCCTGTACCACAATTTGTAGAATCAAACATAATTGAAATGTCTTCAATAAACAGGTGAGATAGTGTAGGCTATGACACTGGAGTATATTTTATTAATAGACAGGAAAGGAAATGTAAATGATGTCAACTAATTACTGACCACCGTATCTCCCATTATTATGTCTCTCCTCTTCTACAGTGTAGATTAACTGCCAATATGCCTCTTGACCTTCTAGGGGATTCTGACCATTTTATTTAATCCAGACAACCACTGAAATGAAAACATCTTCTCCTCCAAACTTATCGCCTTTTTTGGACCAGAAAAGAACAAAAAACTTTCTTTCTCTCTCCCTTTCTCTATGAAACGCGAATTATTAAAATCATTGCATATAAACTGAGTTCATGAGATAAAAGTATTTTTCCTTTAGATAACTTCATATGAATACTCACATTTTTGAGAAACAGTTTCTAAGACCCTGTTTATTTCAGAGCAGAAATGGCATGACTCCCAACTGTACACCCCGTCCCTATCCAAGGATGATCATTCATCCACAGTCAAGAGAAATGAAGTGTTAATATACATGAAATTAATGAGTGTCTCATTAATACCACAATGTTAGGATGTTAACTAATACCCCAAATGTTAGATCTGTATCTCTGCGTAGTGTTCATGATTTTAATCTGCTAGTGTATACTAGATGCTGTATGTCATTGCATTGAAGTCATAACATAAGAGCATTTAGGATTGATCTTTTTCTGAGAAGTCAGGATGTTAGGGTATTCATATTTCTCTTTTTTTTTTTTTTTTTTTTTTTTAAAGAGTCTCGCTCTGTCACCCAGGTTGGAGTGCAGTGGTGTGATCTCGGCTCACTGCAAGCTCTGCCTCCCAGATTCACACCATTCTCCTGTCTCAGCCTCCCAAGTAGCTGGGACTACAGGTGCCCGCCACCACACTCGGCTAATTTTTTGTATTTTTAGTAGAGATCGGGTTTCACAGTGTTAGTCAGGATGGTCTCGATCTCCTGACTTCGTGATCCGCCCACCTTGGCCTCCGAAAGTGCTGGGATTACAGGCATGAGCCACCGCGCCTGGCGGGTATTCATATTTCTCTAATGTAATGTCTGAACCCTTGAGTTACTAAGTTGAATGGGATTTCAGCGGGGAAGGGCTGTAATTGGCAAAATAATGTTAGACTTGAGTACGTGAAATCTGGGGTATTGTTCTGACAGCCTAAGACTCAGAGAATAACTGCCTGAGTAGAGTTCTGCACATTTGTTAAGAGTCCACTGGAAAATATTCTCCCCAATATTAAACAAATATGAACTGGAGAAAGAGATAAAGAGAGAGAAAGAGGGAGAGATTTGGTAAGGTTCTCTATGATACCATACTATAATATGAACATAATTTATATGTTGCTATTATATCCATACATATTGCTGTGTTCAAACTATGCAATTTTCTTAAACTCTCACCTACACCCTCTGCAATATATGGTAAACCTGAGTATGGGATGAATTTTCGTCTTAATACAATTTCTTAGTTCAGGATAAAAAGAGGGTTATGGGAAAACAGAATCAGTGATTGTTTCTGATTGTCCTGTGGAATTTGTTATTTTTCTTCTTTGATTTCTAGAAAAAAAACTGAACTCTGTCGAACATTATATTCCTGTAAGATTGAAATAAAGCTGGGTTTGGCAAAGACAGTTGAATGCATAAATGTTCTTTGCGGCCATACGAGGACTATTCTTCAAAATCAAAGGTGGAACTGATTTGTTAATTCCCATTATCTACCTGACATAATAATATTCATTAAATACAAGTACAAGACAGGGTTAAATTATTCATTGGGTTGAGTGTTTATTTAGTAATTTTTGCATTCACCAAGCATTAAATTCATATGTTCACAAAACATTATCTGCAATAATAGGAACCATAACACATTGACAGATAATGCATAGCACTCGTCTTTGAATAGCAAAATTTTTAAATATCAAGATTTTTAAAATAAACCTATAGACCATTTTTTTCTTATAGCCTATATATGTGTTCCAATGGCCATAACATGATTATTTCAGTAACTGCCATATTTTTGTTTCCCCCTTTGCAGGAAACAAAAGATGACTGTTTTCCTAGTTAGGCGAACAACACGGCTTGACTTAAAAGAAGCTCTTTTGATTTCCAGAACCCTCTAATGTGGCCATTTTCCAGGGGAAATCCATACTGAATACTACCTGTCCAAACCATCAAAATCTCTCTTTCTGAAAGTATATAGATGAGGAGCATATAGAACCTGGAATTCATTTTTATTTTATTATTATTTTTTAAATTTTACTTTAAGTTCCAGGATACATGTGCAGAATGTGCAAGTTTGTTATGTAGGTATACATAGGCCATGGTGGTTTGCTGCACCTATTAACCCTTCATCTAGGTTTTTAAGCCCCATATGCATTAGGGATTTGCCATAATGCTCTCCCTCCCCTTTCCTCCTATGGAGCAATAGGCTGCAGTATGTGTTGTTCCTCTTTCTGTGTCTGTGTGTTCTCACTGTTCAACTCCCACTTATGAGTGAGAATATGTGGTGTTTGGTTGTCTGCTTCTGTGTTAGTTTGCTGAGAATGATGGCTTCCAGCTTCATCTATGTCCCTGCAAAGGACATGAACTCATTCTTTTTTTTATGGTTGCATGGTATTCCACGGTGTATATGTGCCACATTTTCTTTATCCAGACTATTGTTGATGGGCATTTGGGTTGGTTCCAAGTCTTTGCTATTGTAAATAGTGCTGCAAGAAACATACATGTGCATGTGTCTTTATAGGAGAATGATTTATAATCCTTTGGGTATATACCCAGTAACGGGACTGATGGGTCAAATGGTATTTCTGGTTCTAGATTCTTGAGGAATTGCCACATTGTATTCCACAATGGTTGAACTAATCTACACTCCCACAAACAGTTTAAAATTGTTCCTATTTCTCCACAGCCTTGGCAGCATCTATTGTTTCCTGACTTTTTAACAATTGCCATTCTGACTGCCATGAGATGGTATCTCATTGTGGTTTTGATTTACGTTTCTCTAATGATCAGTGATGATGAGCTTTTTTTCATATGTTTCTTGGCCACATAAATGTCTTCTTTTGAGAAGGGTCTTGTACCAAAACAGATATATAGACCAATGGAACAGAACAGAGACCTCAGAAACAACACCACACATCTACAACCACCTGATCTTTGACAAACCTGACAAAAACAAGCAATAGGGAAAGAATTCCCTATTTAATAAATGGTGCTGGGAAAACTGGCTAGCCATATGCAGAAAACAGAAACTGGACCCTTTCCTTACACCTTACACAAAAATTAACTCAAGATGTATTAAAGACTTAAATGTAAAACCCCAAATCATAAAAACCCTAGAAGAAAACCTAGGCACACTGACTTCCACAATGGTTGAACTAGTTTACAGTCCCACCAACAGTGTAAAAGTGTCCCTATTTCTCCACATCCTCTCCAGCACCTGTTGTTTCCTGGCTTTTGAATGATTGCCATTCTAACTGGTGTGAGATGGTATCTCATTGTGGTTTTGATTTGCATTTCTCTGATGGCCAGTGATGGTGAGCATTTGTTCATGTGTTTTTTGGCTGCATAAATGTCTTCTTTTGAGAAGTGTCTGTTCATGTCCTTCGCCTACTTTTTGATGGGGTTGTTTGTTTTTTTCTTGTAAATTTGTTTGAGTTCATTGTAGATTCTGGATATTAGCCCTTTGTCAGATGAGCAGGTTGTGAAAATTTTCTCCCATTTTGTAGGTTGCCTGTTCACTCTGATGGTAGTTTCTTTTGCTGTGCAGAAGCTCTTTAGTTTAATTAGATCCCATTTGTCAATTTTGGCTTTTGTTGCCATTGCTTTTGGTGTTTTAGACATGAAGTCCTTGCCCATGCCTATGTCCTGAATGGTAATGCCTAGGTTTTCTTCTAGGGTTGGGGGGCGGGGGGAGGGGGGAGGGATAGCATTAGGAGATATACCTAATGCTAAATGACGAGTTAATGGGTGCAGCACACCAGCATGGCTCATGTATACATATGTAACTAACCTGCACATTATGCACATGTACCCTAAAACTTAAAAGTATAATAATAATAAAATAAAATAAAAAATAAAAAAAGATACAAGATATATAGAAAAGAAATAGCAAATGGAAGATGTAAGCCTTACCTTAGCAGTAATTACATTAAATTTAAATGAATTAAGCTCTCCAGTTAAAATGGAGATTGACAGAATGGATTTTAAAAAAACTATTCAACTGTACTACCTATAAAATCAACACACTGTTTATTTAATTATGTAAATAGGTTGGAAGTAAAAGGATGAAAAAAGATATATCACGTGAAGAATAATCAAAAGAGAACTGGGATTACTATAGGAATATTACACAAAATAAAATTTAAGACAAAAATAGTAGCAACAAAGAAAAATATTTAATAATGATGAGTCCAATTACCTAGAAAATGTAACAAGTATAAACACCCATTCCTCTAGTATACTGAAATAAGTGAAAGAAAGCTAAAGACATGCACAGAGAGAAACCTATAGCTGTAAATAGCTGCATTAAATTTTTTTAAGCAAGCTAAGGAAGAAAATAATAGAGGTTTCAGTGATTAAATGAAATAAAAATAAAAAACAGTAGAGGAAACTAACAAAATCAAAAGACAGTTTTTTGAAAAGATCAACAGTATTGACAAACCACTATATAGACTGAACAAGAAAAGGAGAGAGAAGAATTAAATTACTAAATAAAACATGAAGAATAGGTCATTCCTACAGAATTTACAAAAACAAAAAGATTTTGTGAAAACACCATGAGCATGAGCCATTATATGTTAACAAATTAGATAACTCAGATAAAATGGGAAAATTCCTAGAAAGACACAAACCAGCAAAACTTACTCAAGAAAAAAACCCAGCAAGTTGAAATAGAATCACAACCATTGAATTAACAATCAAAAAACTTCTCACCAAGAAAATCTCAGGACCACACTACTGAAGGCATGTAGTCCCGAGGTTTTAATAAACACCAATACTTTCAAACTTTTTCAAAAACAAGAGGAGGAGGAACCACTTTTGAATTCATTTGATAAGGCCAGTAGTACTTCAATATAAAAACCATGAAAACATAGTTTTAAAACTCTGTAAACTAATGTTCTGTATTAATAGAGTTTCATAAATCCTCAAGTAAATACCAGCAAACTGAATCTAATAACATAAAGAGAAATACACATCATGAATAAGTGAAATTATTCTATGAATGCAAGGTTGGTTCAATAAACAAAAATTAACCAGTGTAATACCCCATATTAATAGAAGAAAAGACAAAAAGCACATGATCATTCCAATAAAAACTGGAAAAAAAGAACCCTGACAAAATTCAACACTGTTTCATCTTTTTTAAAAACTCAACGAACTAGAAGAAAATGTCTTGATCCAATAAAGGATGTCTAACATATAATTTTAAAAACTCTACAGTTAACATCACAGTAAGTAAATTCAGAAATAAGGTGAAGCTGTCTACTGTCATCAATTCTACTTAATATTATATTATGGTGGAAATTAAAACTAGCAAAATTAGGCAACAGAAAAATTCAAAATATCCAGATTGTAAAGAAAGAAATAAAAATCTCTATGTGCAGATGACATGATCATATGCATAGAAAATAGTAAGGAATTCATAAAAATACTAGAGCTTATAAGTGCATTCGGAAAGGTCACAAGCTGTAAGCTCAATATACAAATATCATTTGTATTTCTACATTCTGGCAATGAACAATCTGAAAATGAAATGAATAAAACAATTCTATTTGCAATAGCATCAAAAGAAGTAAAATATTTAGGGATAAATTTAACAAAAGAAGTGTAAAACTTGTACACTGAAAACTATAAAATATGATTAAAAAATAAAGAAAACCAAATAAACAAAAATTTATTTAATGTTCACAGACTGAAAGACTTGTTATTGTTAAAAGGCAATAATTCCCAAATTGATAGAGTAAATGTAATTCCTTTTAAATAAGAGCTACTTTTTTTTTCCTGCAGATATTTTCAGACAACACTGATCAGATATAAAATACAATCAATAAAAGCAATTATAAAATCATTTATATCCCCAAAAGAGGCAAGGACAAATATTGGTGAAAATATGAAGAAAGGGGGAACTCTCCTGTTGGTGGGAATGTAAATTAGTACAACCACCACAGAGAATAGTTTGGTGGTTACTCAAAAAAATAAAAATAGAGCTACCACATGATCCAGCAATTCCAGTCCTGGGTATACACCCCAGTGGAAGGAAATCAGTATATCCCAAAGAAAGGAAATCAGTATATCAGAGAGATATCTGCATTCTCATGTTTGTTGTGGTACTGTTTAAAATAGCTAAGATTTGGAAGAAATGTAAATATCCATCAACAGATGAATGGATAAAGACAATGTGTTACACACACACGGAAGAGTACTATTCTGCCATAAAAAAGAATGAGATCTTGTTATTACCAGCAGCATGGATGGAAGTGGAGATCATTATGTTCAGTGAACTAAGCAAAGACAGAAAGACTCACTGCATGTTCTCCCTTATTTATTGGATCTAAAAATCAAAACAATTGAACACATGGACATAGAGAGTAGAAGGATAATTACTAGAGGCTGAGAAGGGTAGTGTGGGGCTGGAGGGGAGGTGGGGATAGTTAATGGTTATAGTAAATACAGAGAATGAATAAGTCCTACTATTTGATAGCATAATAGGGTGACTATAGTCAACAATATCTTAATTGTACATTTAAAAATAATTAAAAGAGTGTAATTGGATTGTTTGTAACCCAAAGGATAAATGCTTGAGGGGGTAGCTACCCATTCTTCATGATGTGATTATTTCACATTCCATACTTGTATTAAAACATCCTATGTACTCCATACATATATACACTCACTCTGTACCAGCAAAAATTTAAAAATTAAATTTTTTAAAAAAATTGCCTGCTGAAGGACATCTTGGGTGTTTCTAGCTTTTGGCTAATACAAATAAAACTACTATGTATTAAAAAATTAAATTAATAAAAGACAGAAAAGTTAAAAAAAATAATTTGAGTACACATTTATCCAAAGAAGATATATATATAGTTGTATAGTCAATAAGCACATGAAAAGATTCTCACTATCGTTAGTCATTAAGGATGCATTAGTCCATTCTCACACTGTTATAAAGATACTACCTGAGACTGAGTAATTTATAAAGAAAAGAGGTTTAATTGATTCAAAGATCCACATGGCTGGGAAGGCCTCAGGGAATTTACAATCATGATGGAAGTAAAAGGGGAAGCAAGAACTATCTTACCTGGCAGCAGGAAGGTGGCGGGGGTGGGGGAACTGTCAAACATCAGATGTTGTGAGCACTCACTCACTATCAAGAGAAAAGCATGGGAGAAACTGCCCCCATGATCCAATCATCTCCCACCAGGTCCCTCCCTTGACACCTGGAGATGACAATTCCAGATGAGATTTGGGTGGGGACACAGAGTCAAACCATATCAAAGGAAATGCAATGGATGGCTACAACCTGAAAGATAGTTGACAGTAGTATTTACAAAGATGTGGATAAATTGTATGCCTTATACATTGAAGATAAGAATGTAAAATAATGCAAATGCTTTGGAAAACAGTTTAGCATTTTCTTAAATAGTTAAATATAGAATTACCTTATTACCCAGTGACTTCATTCCTAGGTATACCCCCAAGAGAACTGGAAATATATTTATATAACAACCTGTACACGAATGTTCACACCATTATTTATTATGTTAATAGAATAATTTTAATTGGAAACAACCCAAATATCTATCAGCAAACGAATGGATAAACAAATTGTGCTATATGCCTACAATGGAATATTTTTCAGCCATAAAAATGAGTGAAGCATTTCTAGATGTTCTAGCATAAAAGAACCTTGAAAATATTATACTATCTGGAAGAAGCTAGATACTAAATGCTACATTACAGAATGATTTCATTTAGATGAACTGT
Organism: Homo sapiens; assembly: GCF_000001405.40. NCBI lineage: Eukaryota > Metazoa > Chordata > Mammalia > Primates > Hominidae > Homo > Homo sapiens. Next base: position 81,217,654 of record NC_000002.12, on the reverse strand, counting down.
ACAGAATAGGCAAATCGATAGTGAATTGCCAGGGCCTGTATGGAAATGGGTAAGGGTGAGTGGCTGTTCATGAATTATACACTTTAAAATTGTCAGTTTTATAGTATGTTATTTGTGTCTCAAATTTTTAAAATCCTCAAATAAAATAAACCAACAAAAAATACTATCAAGACTATTGTGGTGGAAGTGACAGGGTGTAGCACACCTTTTTGCATTATCAGAACTTCACCATTGAGTACAAACTCGTGGGACTAGCAGCAATAAAACATGAACTGGTGGGGATTGATTTCTCCCCTCAGGACAGCAGCTGTGATGGTGGGCCCCAAACAGTATACGTGATGAATAACGAGGATGAGGGATCCATGATTAATGTAGGTATACCCAGGAGGTTTTAAGAAGAGATAGGAGGGAAAACTTAGACAAGGACAGGGCTGCCTGCTAATAAAAAATGTAAAATGCTGTAGTCTTCTAATTCAGGTGTTAAGAAAAATAAGGCCTAATTTTATAGCAATGCACTTTCAAAGCCAAAGCACTTGGTTTTCAAATTTATCATTTAAAAAATCCACATTGAGCAAAGTCCAGTAGTTATTCTGATAGAAAATATTCATCTTTATGTTAAGGAATTATAATTATCTTGCTAAAAGCTTTTCTTAGAGATGGATATTTCACTTTGTAAAATGATTTTTGGCCATTTATTTAGAGCATCATATGTTTTTATCTTATTAATGTGATGAATTTTAATAGTGTAATTCTCAATATGACTCATTTTTCTAATTTTAAATAAATCCTACTTGATAATTTTATAGAGTTCTTACATCTAGTACTTTATTCTAAATGTGTTAAAATGCCATATTATATAACCTCTAAAATCTTTATGCATGATAACAAAGAGTTTGTAAGGTTTTTTCCCTATGTTTTATAGTTTTATCCTCATGTTAAGCTACAATGGTATTCAGAAGCATTGCAGAGCTATCTATACTCATAATTTATTCCCTAAAGTCTTTAAAGTTTTAAATGAGTCACTCAAAAAGTTGAAAATGTGAACATATTTTATTTTTGATAGTTTATTTCAACCATTCTTGAGACTAGAGTTTGATACTGTGATAGAAAACAGAATTTGGAGTGGTGTAGGTTACTAGAATACGTAAGGCAGAATACCAGGAGGACAAAACTGCACCGAAAGACAGCTTGGGAGAACTACAGTTTCCTCCCTTTGTCCACTGAGTACTAAGATATGCGGGAATGGGATGAAACTCTCCAAAGATGCAGAAAAAACAACCACAGAAGAGCAGGCTCACCAAATCCTGTAGGTAAGACAGGATCATTAGGGAGAGTCCTCAGAAGGAATACACCTTAGTAGTAGGGCTAAATTAGCTTCAGAATAAAGGCTCCTTTGTATTTGGCATAATAAATAATAAAATGCAAAGCTTGAAATAATCAAGCTGTTGCCAATTAACTCTGCTAAACCAACATCCAATATCTTTTTTAGAAATACAAATTTGACACTTAAGTCCAATAAAAAATTGTCAGGTGTGCAAAAAAGCAGGAAAATAAAATAGAGAACCATGAAAAAATCTATCAATGGAAATAAAGATTCTATGATTAGCATTCAAGGTAAAACAGGTGTTATAAATCTTTAAAATATGCTCACAGAAATGAAGAAGAAACATAATAAAGAAGTTAAATAACCATGAATTAAAAGCCAAATTGAACGTAATAAAAATGAAAAATATAATATCAGAAAAGAAAAGCATATTGAGACTGAATTACCAACAGATGTAAGAAACAATTGGTTAACTTAAAGATATTATGCATATTCATAAATAAGAAAAGAGAACAACACTAAGAAAAATGAACAGAGCCTCAGTGAAATGTAGAATAAGTGTTTTAATATATAAGTAATGGGGGTTACAAATGGAAAGGAGAAAGAAGGAACCAACAGAAATAGTATTATATTTAAAATTGATGAAGTTTATTTTTATAAATAATTCCTCATTAAAATTAATTTTTAAAATTCTAAAAGTGTCAGGTTGGCTTCTGTCATTTAGAGCTATTGAGAAGTGTCAAGTTAATTTTTTCTCTTGTTGGCAGTATATCCTTCACTTTTGAACAAATGCTGAAATTAGTGAAAATTATTTTATTATTCTTAGCATGCTATCTACAGTAAGTGAAGCAGTGAATACCATGGTGACGCAATTGCTTAGAATGGGTTAAAATTTGTTGGCCTTTTTTGCAGATTTTAGGAGGCTCAAGGATTAACAACCTTAACTTCATACCTCCAGCAATATCTCAATATTGTACTTTACCCTAGTCCCCATATATGAAGTTGCTAATGGTTATTTGTTGGGTTTGCTTACATGTATTTCTTGATCAATTGATTTCTTTTTCCTCCACACATGTGGTGAATTACTGGCTGTTCACGTCTCTTCTCACACTAGTTTTGCCTGCAATATCTAGTTGCAGAAGCCACTTATCTTGGTTTCAAAGTTGTTAAAAGATTTACCTCTTTACCTGTGAAAATTGGGAAAACTCTAGGGAAGTAAACGTGTGGATGCAGAAAATCATATTAGAGAATTTTGGGGAATTTTAAAAATAAATTGAGATAATGAATGTAACATGATTTCTCTTATTCCACTATGTGTAAGACCCTGGGAGTATGCATTTAAAAACTAATATCTCAGTTAAATATGTTGTAATAAGGAAATAAACCTTTGGCAATTATGCATTAGATATGTTTCGACAGTTTTAGTGGAAGTGATGTCAATCAAACTCTGCATTGACTTGAATACACAGATTTATCAAAACATTAAAACCAGATCTAAATATATGTCTATATGGACAAAACTTATATTCTGCTAATCTAAAACATAAAAATATATAGATTCTTCAAACTGTTTACTAACATGAAGGTAAATAGAAATTAATGAAATAAGTTACTTCTGTATTTTAGTACTTAGATTTTTTTTTATTATTCTGCTAAGATGGATCTTAGAGAAGACAGATAAAACCTTTAGTTCTATAGATATTTAAATTGAAGACACAATTATACTGCTGCAGTTGACTAAGTGAAGTTCTACTTAAAAGAGGAGTTGTGATACAATTTTCTTTAATAATTTCTACTAAAAGGACACCAAAATTATCTTTTATCTTATATTTTCTTAATTGACAAGAAATAAGAAACTTTTGTTTTTGTTTTCCTTTATTTCCAAAACACCATCTCTGGAGCTACATTCAACTTGAGAGACAGGTAAACAAAATAATTAAGTTGTTTATAGCCAACTTTTTACTAAAAACAAATAAATATGTTACAAAATGTAATTTTACAAGCTAGTTGCTTGCATGTAACAATTCCTTAAGTAAGAAGGCATGGAACACAACTATTGCTTGATTTGGTTTAATTTTAAAACAAAATTAGATGAAAATTCAATGAGAGAAAAGAGAAAGCAGAAACATTTTAGGAGACAATAATAATTTCACAATAAAAAAAAGAACACATTTTGAAAGAGTCTGCAGTAGTAACTTGAAAGGCAGTTGACAAGTACAGCCTGATTGAGAAGCATGTATGATATCAGGAACAAAACCGAGAGAGAGAGAATAATGTTTAGTTGAAAACAACATAAAGAAACTTCAAACCCTGACACCAGCCAAAAATCTTTTCTAGGCTGAGAAATAATTGCAAACAGTAGGAAATACTCATTTAGAATTCACTAAACTGTCACAGCTTGAACCTAGGATACATTTCATGACCGTAAACAATCTTGAGTCTCATTTCAAGATAAATGAAGCACAAGGTAGAACCATTCACTCTTTTAAAGAGGGTCAAGCATACTAGACCACAGTCAGTTTTAGCAGACACAGGTGTGGTATCGAGGAATTGAAAGCAAACCAAGGTCAGCATGTGGGCATCAAGCCATAACAGGCTAGAGTTGATGAACTTTCTGTCTTTTCTTATCTCTTTGTGATTTAACCTAACAATTGTCCATATTTCTGGGACAGAGACAGCCTTGGGAAAATAGTGGTAAAGGCAAATTTATCTGGTGCCTATGTGTTAATTATATCAGCACTCTTAGTTTTTCTTCCTAGGCATCTGTTTCCTACACTCCAATTTCATGAGACCTTGCTCCAGGATACCTGTTAAATAATCAATTTTTAGCATCAGAGCATTACTTACTTATATGATATTAGAGAAAGCAAATATCTTAGATCTTACTTTATGATCACACACTTGATTCTCTTCCAATGAGACCAACTTATAAGGTATATAATCAGGTATATAATCCCTGATCCCAGGGATGAATTTCATTAACCACGACTGTGTGTAGTGATGCTGGTGGTGAACAACTTAGTGGTAGGAGCCATGGGATCACAGGGAGCCTGATCCAAGGAAACACCCATGGTCTGGCTTTTCTCTGTTTCTTTTCACCAGATGACTTGGCTTCAAACAAGGCCAGTGGCCGCAGGAGCTCCAAAATTGTTAACAATCTATTTCTTAGACTTGTACATTCCAAAACTTACTACTTGTTTGTTCTTCTAGCAAGGAGAAATATATCTTAACAGAATTTACCATGAGCTTTAAATATAATACGTGATATGTATATATTTTAAATATAATACCTTGGTATCTTCCTAGGTTACCAATTTACAAGGATATTAATGGTCATTATGTGAGTATTAGCTTGGAATTCTCGGAGAAAGTATTATATATCTGCTTGAACACTTTTATTTTTTATCTCCATTCATCGTGAGTCAACTGAAGCTCAAAGACATTAGGTATCTTACCTAAAGTCACATGGCTAAGATATGATGAAATATTATAAAAGGGCTATTTCTTGTAGCAAGATATGTTCATATGACTCTATTAATGACGTTCTGAAGAATCAAGTTCTGAAAAGCCATGAAAATGGTTGCCAGATAAAATATAGTATGCTCATAAAATTTGAATTTCAGAAAAGCAAAATAATTTGTATAAGTATGTCCCAAATTTTGCACAGGATATATTTATACTAAAAAATATTATTTGTTACATTTCAAACTTACCTTAGGGTGTGTCATTTTTATGTACTAAACCTTACAATCCTACCCATGACCCAAGCAAATTGCCATAAACTCTACCTGCTTATTAGTTGATATCATGAAAGGCTCTATCAGAGAAATTTGATGACAAATAAGAACACATGGAGAAGAAACATTTACTTACTAAAGACTGTGCTGAAACAGAAAATATATGGCGAAGTCCTCTACTTTCGCAGAGTTTATAATTAAGTCATGTGGAGGAAAATAACCCATAGAAAGTAACAATGAGTGAAACAAGAAAATGAGCTAGTAGGTATTGTGAGTTATGAAGAGAAGAAAATCAAACAACATCAACTAGCAAGGGAAGATATCTTTAAGGGAGTGGAGAGGATGAATAGTTGGAAAGTGAAACTGTCTGGGGAAAATATTGTAAATTGCTTCTGATTCTTCCACTTGTGAAACACAGGAAATTTCAATACATTTCAATGCCTGTCATTGAATATGTGCAAAGGAAGCCAAAGCTCTCTCTCAAGCAGAGACAGCAACATAAGTGTATTCATCAAGAAAGGAATAATGAACAGACATAAGAGGAGACAATGATGTGAAGGTAAGAAAACTTTGAAGAGAGTAGAGCAGTTATTCTCAGTTAGGATCTCGATAGTGGCATCAGTATTACCTAGGAATTTGTTAGAGATGCAAGTCCTCCGCTTCACCCAAACAATGCTGGACCAGAATCCCTGGGGCCGAGGCCCAGCCATCACTATTTTATTTTTATTTTTTATTATACTTTAAGTTCTGGGTTACATGTGCAGAATGTGCAGTTTTGCTACATAGGTATACACATGCCATGGTGGTTTGCTGCACCCATCAACCCAGCACCTACATTAGGCATTTCTCCTAATGTTATCTCTCCCCTAGCCCTTGACCCCCTCAATAGGCCCTGTTGTGTGATGTTCCCCTCCCTGTGTCCATGTGCTCTCATTGTTCAATTCCCACTTATGAGTGAGAACATGAGGTGTTTGGTTTTCTGATCTTGTGATAGTTTTCTGAGAATGATGGTTTCCAGCTTCATCCATGTCCCTGAAAAGGACATGAACTCATCCTTTTTTATGGCTGCATAGGATTCCATGGTGTATATGTGCCACATTTTCTTAATCCAGTCTATCACTGATGGACATTTGGGCTTGTTCCAAGTCTTTGCTATTGGAAATAGTGCCGCAATAAACATACATGTGCATGTGTCTTTATCATAGAATGATTTATAATCCTTTGGGTATATGCCCAGTAATGGGATTGCCGGGTCAAGTGGTATTTCTAGTTAAGTTTAAGTAGTCGTTCATGCATCTTGAGTTGATTTTTGTATAAGGTGTAAGGAAGGGGTCCAGTTTCAATTTTCTGCATATGGCTAGCCAGTTTTCCCAACATCATTTATTAAATAGGGAATCTTTTTCCCCATTGCTTGTATGTGTCAGGTTTGTCAAAGATCAGATGGTTGTAGATGTGTGATGTTATTTCAGAGGTCTCCGTTGTGTTCCATTGGTCTCTATATCTGTTTTGGTACCAGTACCATACTATTTTGGTTACTGTAGCCTTGTAGTATAGTTTGAAGTCAGGTAGTGTGATGCCTCCACCTTTGTTCTTCTTGTCCAGGATTGTCTTGGCTATGCAGACTCTTTTTTGGTTCTATATGAAATGTAAAGTAGTTTTTTCCAATTCTGTGAAAAAAGTCAGTGTTAGCTTGATAGGGATAGCATTGAATCTAAAAATTTCTTTGGGCGGTATGGCCATTTTTATTATATTGATTCTTCATATCCATGAGCATGGAATATTTTTCGATTTGTTTGTGTTCACTCTTATTTCCTTGAGCAGAGGCTTGCAGTTCTTCTGGAAGAGGTCCTTCACATCCCTTATAAGTTGGATTCCTAGGTATTTTATTCTCTTTGTAGCAATTGTGAATGGGAGTTCACTCATGATTTGGCTCTCTGTTTGTCTGTTATTGGTGTATAGGAATGCTTGTGATTTTTGCACATTGATTTTGTATCCTGAGACTTTGCTGACGTTGCTCATCAGCTTAAGGAGATTTTGGGCTGAGACGATGGGATTTTCTAAATATACAATCATGTCATCTGCAAACAGAGGCAATTTGATTTCCTCTCTTCCTATTTGAATACCTTTTATTGCTTTCTCTTGCCTGACTGCCCTGGCCAGAACTTCCAATACTACGTTGAATAGGAGTGGTGAGAGAGGGGATCCTTGTCTTGTGCCAGTTTTCAAAGGGAATGTTTCCAGTTTTTGCCCATTCAGTATGATATTGGCTGTGGGTTTGTCATAAATAGCTCTTATTATTTTGAGATGCATCCCATCAATACCTAGTTTATTGAGAGTTTTTAGCATGAAGGGCTGTTGAATTTTGTCAAAGGCCTTTTCTGCATGTATTGAGATAATCATGTGGTTTTGTCATTGGTTCTGTTTATGTGATGTATTATGTTTATTGATTTGTGTATGTTGAACCAGACTTGCATCCCAGGGATGAAGCCGACTTGATCATGGTGGATAAGCTTTTTGATGTGCTGCTGGATTCGGTTTGCCAGTATTTTATTGAGAATTTTCGCATCAATGTTCATGAGGGATATTGGTCTAAAATTCTCTTTTTTTGTTGTGTCTCTGCCAGGCTTTGGTATCAGGATGATCCTGGCCTCATAAAATGAGTTAGGGAGGTTTCCCTCTTTTTCTATTGACTGGAATAGTTTCAGAAGGAATGGTACCAGCTCCTCTTTGTACCTCTAGTAGAATTCGGCTGTGAATCCATCTGGTCCTGGACTTTTTTTGATTGGTAGGCTATTAATTATTGCCTCAATTTCAGAGCCTGTTATTGATCTATTCAGAGATTCAAATTCTTCCTGGTTTAGTCTTGGGAGGGTGTATGTGTCCAGGAATTTGCCCATTTCTTCTAGATTTTCTAGTTTATTTGCAAAGAGGTGTTTATAGTATTCTTGGTGGTAGTTTGTATTTCTGTGGGATCAGTGGTGATACCCCTTAATCATTTTTTATTGTGTCTATTTGATTCTTCTCTCTTTTCTTATTAGTCTTGCTAGTAGTGGTCTATCAATTTTGTTGATCTTTTCAAAAAACTGGCTCCTGGATTCATTGATTTTTTGAAGGGTTTTTTGTGTCTCTATCCCCTTCAGTTCTGCTCTGATCCTAGTTATTTCTTGCCTTCTGCTAGCTTTTGAATTTGTGTGCTCTTGCTTCTCTAGTTCTTTTAATTGTGATGTTAGGGTGTCGATTTTAGAACTTTCCTGCTCTCTCTGGTGGGTACTTAGTGGTACAAATTTCCCTCTAACACAGTGCTTTAAATGTGTCCTAGAGATTCTGGTACGTTGTGTCTTTGTTCTCATTGGTTTCAAAGAACATCTTTATTTCTGCCTTCATTTCATTATTTACCCAGTAGTCACTCAGGAGCAGGTTGTTCAGTTTCCATGTAGTTGTGCAGTTTTGAGTGAGTTTCTTAATCCTGAGTTCTAATTTGATTGCACTGTGGTCTGAGAGACAGTTTGTTGTGATTTCTGTTCTTTTACATTTGCTGAGGAGTGCTTTACTTCCAATTACGTGGTCAGTTTTAGAATAAGTGTGATGTGGTGCTGAGAAGAATGTATATTCTGTTGATTTGGGGTGGAGAGTTCTGTTGATGTCTATTAGGTCTGCTTGGTGCAGAGCTGAGTTCAATTCCTGGAAATCCTTGTTAACATTTTGTCTTGTTGATCTGTCTAATATTGACAGTGGGTTATTAAAGTATCCCATTATTATTGTGTGGGAGTCTAAATCTCTTCGTAGGTCTCTAAGGACTTGCTTTATGAATCTAGTTACTCCTGTATTGGGTGCATATATATTTAGGATAGTTAGCTCTTCTTGTTGAATTGATCCCTTTACCATGATGTAATAGCTTTGTTTGTCTCCTTTGATCTTTGTTGGCTTAAAGTCTGTTTTGGCTGGGTGCGGTGGCTCACGCCTGTAATCCCAGTACTTTGGGAGGCTGAGGGGGGCGGACCACGAGGTCAGGAGATCGAGACCATCCTGGCTAACACAGTGAAACCCCATCTCTACTAAAAATACAAAAAATTAGCCAGACGAAGTGGCGGGCAACTGTAGTCCCAGCTACTCGGGAGACTGAGGCAGGAGAATGTCATGAACCCGGGAGGCGGAGCTTGCAGTGAGCCGAGATCGTGCCACTGCACTCCAGCCTGGGTGACAGAGCGAGACTGTCTCAAAAAAAAAAAAAAAAGTCTGTTTTATGAGAGACTAGGATTGCAACCCCTGCTTTTTTTTTGGCTTTCCATTTGCTTGGTAGATCTTCCTCCATCCCTTTATTTTGAGCATATGTGTGTCTCTGCACATGAGCTGGGTCTCCTGAATACAGCACACTGATGGGTCTTGACTCTATCCAATTTGCCAGTCTGTGTCTTTAATTGGTGCATTTAGCCCATTTACATTTAAGGTTAATATTGTTATGTGTGAATTTGATCCCGTCATTGTGATGCTAGCTGGTTGTTTTGCACATTAGTTAATGCATTTTCTTCGTAGTGTCGATGTTCTTTAAAATTTGGAATGTTTTTGCAGTGGCTGGTACCAGTTGTTCCTTTCCATGTTTAGTGCTTCCTTCAGGAAGGAGCTCTTGTAAGGCAGATCTGGTGGTGACAAAATCCCTCAGCATTTGCTTGTCTGTAAAGGATTTTATTTATCCTTTGCTTATGAAGCTTAGTTTGGCTGGATATGAAATTCTGGGTTGAAAATTACTTCCTTTGAGAACATTGAATATTGGCCCCCACTCTTTTCTGGCTTGTAGGGTTTCTGCTGAGAGATCCTCTGTCAGTCTGATGGGCTTCCCTTTGTGCATAACTCGACATTTCTCTCTCGCTGCCCTTAACATTTTTTCCTTCATTTCAACCTTGGTAAATCTGATGATTATGTGTCTTAGAGTTGCTCTTCTCGAGGAGTATCTTTGTGGTGTTCTCTCTATTTCCTGAATTTGAATGTTGGCCTGTCTTGCTAGGTTGGGAAAGTTCTCCTGGACATCCTGAAGATTGTTTTCCAACTTGGTTCCATTCTCCCCGTCACTTTCAGGTATACCAATCAAACATAGATTTGGTCTTTTCCCATAGTCCCATATTTCTTGGAGGCTTTGTTCGTTCCTTTTTATTCTTTTTTCTCTAATCTTGTCTCCTCTCTTTATTTCATTAAGTTGATCTTCAATCACTGATATCCTTTCTTCCGTTTGATTGATTTGGCTATTGATATTTGTATATTCTTCATGAAGTTCGCCTGCTGTGTTTTTCAGCTCCATCAGGTCATTTATGTTCTTCTACATTGGTTATTCTAGTTAGCAATTCGACTAACCTTTTTTTAAGGTTCTTAGCTTCCTTGCATTGGGTTAGAACATGCGCCTGTAGCTCGGAGGAGTTTGTTATTACCCACCTTCTGAAGTCTACTTCTGTCAGTTCGTCAAACTCATTCTCCATCCAGTTTTGGTCCCTTGCTGGCGAGGAGTTGTGATCCTTTGAGGAGGAGAGGCATTCTGGTTTTTGGAATTTTCAGCCTTTTTGCACTGGTTTTTCCCCATCTTTGTGGATTTCTCTACCTTTGGTCTTTGATGTTGGTGACCTTCAGATGGGGTCTTTGTGTGGACATGCTAATCCTTTCTGTGTGTTTCTTTTCCTTCTAACAGTCAGGCCCCTCTGCTGCAGGTCTGCTGGAGTTTGCTGGAGGTCCACTCCCGACCTTGTTTGCTTGGGTGTCACCAGCGGAAGCTGCAGAGCAGCAAAGATTGCTGCCTGTTCTTTCCTCTGGAAGCTTTGTATCAGAAGGGTACCTGCCAGGTGCCAGCCAGAGCTCTCCTGTATGAGGTGTCTGTCAGCCCCTACTGGGAGATGTCTCCCAGTCAGTACACACAGGGGTCAGGGACTCACTTGAGGAGGAAGTCTGACCCTTAGAAGAGTTCAAACGCTGTGCTGAGAGGTCTGTTGCTGTCTTCAGAGCCATCAGGCAGGGATGTTTAAGTCTGCTATAAGCCCCTGACTGGGGCTGCTGCCTTTTTTACAGAGATACCCTGTCCAGAGAGGGGAAATCTGGCAGTCTGTCCACAGCAGCCTTGCTGAGCTGCAGTGGGCTCCACCCAGTTCGAACTTCCCACCGGCTTTGTTTACACTGTGACTGTAAACCACCTACTCAAGCTTCAGCAATGGCAGATGCCCCTCCACCCCACCAAGCTGGAATGTCCCAGGTGGATCTCAGATTGCTGTCGTGCTGGCAGCAAGAATTTCAAGCCAGTGAATCTTAGTTTCCTGGGCCCTGTGGGGGAGGAATCTGCCGTGCCAGACCACTTGGCTCCCTGGCTTTGGTACCCCTTTCCAGGGGAGTAAACGGTTCTGTCTCACTGGTGTTCCAGGCGCCACTGGGGTATGGAAAAAAAAAGAGCTCCTGCAGCTAGTTCGGTGTCTGCCCAATTGGCCGCCAGTTTTGTGCTTGAAACCCAGGGCCCTGGTGGGGTAGGCACCAGAGAGAATCTCCTGGTTTGCGCATTGAGAAGACCGTGGGGCAAGCACAGTATCGGTGCTGGAGTTCCTCAGGCTCAGACCCTCACTGCTTCCCTTCCCTTGGGTAGGGGAGAAAATTCCCCAACCCTTTGCACTTACCAGGTAAGGCGACCCTGCCCTGCTTTGGCTCGCCCTCCCACTGTCCAACCAGTCCCAAAGAGATGATCTGGGGACCTCAGTTGGAAATGCAGAAATCACCTGCCTTCTGTGTTGATCTCACTGGGAGCTGCAGACTGGAGCTGTTCCTACTTAGCCATCTTGAGTCCTCCCACCATCACTATTTTAATAAGCCCTCCTGTGATTCTGATGCAAGGTAACATTTAAGAAACACTGAACTCAACTATGTAAAGGCATCTTCTTTTTTCTGCCTTCTAGAACAGCCTGGGAAGGATATGTCTACACTACAGAGGGCTAATCTCCAGTATCAGGAACAAAGCTGACAGATATCTAGGCATCTAATTTGTCCATGCCTCTCATTTCCTCTTGAAATCATTCAAAATCCCTGTTAGGTGGTAGAACCATGATAATTATGAGGTCAAAATTCTTGAGCAGACTCTAATATTAAGAAGGCTGTTTCTGTCATGGAATAATACACAGACATAAAAAACTGAAATTATGTCTTTTGCAGCAACATGGATGCAGCTGGAAGCCATTATTCTAAGAGAATTAATGTAGGTACAGAAAACCAAATACTTTATGTTGTCACTTATAAGTGGTAGCTAAATATTGAGCACACATGAACACAAAGAAGGGAAAAACAGACACCAGGGCCTACTTGAGGGGAAAGGGTGGGAGGACGGTGAGGGTCGAAAACAACACCTACCAGATACTATGCTCACTATTTGGGTGATGAAATCATTTATACACCAAACCCCAGCAAAATGCAATTTAACCATGTAACAAACCTGCACATGTACCCCTGTATTTAAAATAAAAGTTGAGAAAACAAAAAGAATCTGGTTTCTTTCTAGAGGTATTAACTTTCACTTTCAAGTATTCAAAGTAATCATTTTATTCTTACAACACCTACCTACTTTATCTACTACTATTAAAATAGTAGGATATTATTTTTTTCTCATAAATTTCAGTCCATTTAATTAAAACATAATGCAAAATGTTTTTAGAAAGTTTCTGTGTCATTGTTGGAAGTTCAAATATAACTTGAGAATAAAATAGCTCAAGGGGACATTTGAGCTTTAGGTTTTAGGGCAGTTAATTGTGGATAATAATAATAGCTTACTGAGTGAGAGCTATGAGTCAGATGCTGTTCAGAGGCTCGTATATGTATAGTCTTAGTTAATCTTCATAAACAACATATGGAATATTATTATCCTTATTTTTACATGAGAAAACTGAGACACACAAAGGTTATATAGTTTTCTTATGGTCATAAAACTACTAAGTGAGAGAAACATGTTTATAATGGAGGCAATCTGCCTGCACAGCTCAAACTCTTAACCGTGACAATGGACTACTTGCCATATGTGAGCAAGAGCTGACAAGTAAAAGATGGAAAACTCTATGAGATTATTTGATAAATGGAAAGTAGTTTATGAAGATACATTTGGTTCTTAAAGGAAAAACACTTTTGATATGATACAGACATGAGAATATTGATTGTAATTTGAGAAAAAGTTGTGATTCTCTATCAAAATCAGTATAAAAAGCCAATTAATGTATTAAAGCAAAAAAAAGAGTAATATTTAGGATGGCATAATAACTAATTAACTTTTTAAAAAACTTGAGGCATTCCATACAAATTAATATTCAAAATGTTATAAATTATAGCCATTTATGATGACAATCTTTCAAAATCAGATTACAAATACACATGTGTGTGTGTATATACACATAAAAAATACATATACTTTTTTTCTCAGAATAATTTAAATATAAATCAGACTGTTTTTGTTGTTGAGAGTTCACATCATAAATATTGGTTCTGATGCAGTAAGTTCTTATACGGGTTGGAAAACATGAGACACATTTGTCCAGTAATAAGCAGTATCTGGCTCATAGTTGGCCATATATATATTAGGCATAAGATTGAAGTTGTGTTTTGGGATCAAATCATAGAGTGCTGTTGTGTAACTTAAAGACCTTGAATTTTATTTGGCATATAATGAGATATAGAATCTATTATTATTTTTTTAAATCAGGAATTGTATAATCAAGGATAACTTTCAGAAATAACAATGTGTAAGAAGGACAAAAACAAAAAAAAATAGACTCAGAAATAAATTGTGAGGTTACTGAAATTTTCTAGGCTAGAGACAATGGAGGTATAAAGTAGAGTGTTTCAAATGGAGTTTAAAGGAGGAGTCAGAAATAAGGGGCATTTCAGTATCATAATCAACACCAGGTGAGAATGAGAGAAGGGAGAAGTCAGGGATGATGGCAAGACTTTAAGCCCTAAGTGATCGATGAACAGTGGCATCGTTAATAAGAAACACTAAAATAAAAGCTCTCCAGCCTACCTCCACCACTGCAGTCACCGCTAAGACAACTGATTCCACTTCTGACAGTGACAAGATGGGATGTGATTTCTATAAAATCTCTTTCAGCTCAAAAAGTCCATAATGTTATAAAAATACATTTGAAATTAAAAGTAACAAAGGCATCTTATCAGGTATATAATGAATATATAGAGATAGGTGTTAGTAACAGGTTGGAAAATGCCCCAAAATCAAATTCTAACATGTTTACATAATATTTATGAAGACACACACACACACAAACACACACACACCCTAAATATGAGATAATTGATTCAACTCTTGCTCTATGTCTCTTTCAGCAATTTGAAGACCTCTAATTTGCTAGCAACAATGATACCACTTTTATGTTACTGAGTATGAGTAATATTGTAAGGTTTAAGTTTAAGACTTGGGTTATGATTTGCAGAAGCTCAGCTGACAGCCTTCCTTAAGAACTGAGGAAAAATTCTGCCTCATGGTAATAAAAACCTTTTCTTCTAACTCCTCAAGAACAGCTTTAATTAACTCTTTCTTTTGCACCTACATTGGGTAACGTGGTCTTTACAATCAGTGTCTCAGATAACGAACATAGTTCAGAGAAAAGAATCTGGCTCAAAGTCCAGATGTACCAAAGTATTGTTCTTTCCTAACCACTCAACCTCCTGCTGCTTATTTTTTTAAACTCTCTTCCAAATTTACATAGTAGAGAAAATGATAACTTTGGAGAACACTCATGTTTTTGCCTGTGGTATAAAAATAAATCTCAGGTTATGAGGCTAAGGTTTGCATAAGTGCACTACCTAGCACTGTGATTCTATTACATTTATTTTCTCCTTCTTCAAACAATTCTAAATACTTCTGCCAGAGCAATTTTTTCTTTTACTATATCATTTTCTGGCTCAAGAATTGTCAGTGTTTTTCTGATTCCATATCAACAATTTTCGGACTCTTAGCTGGCATTCACTGTCACCCAGTATTTGATCCTACTCAAATTATGCCACTTTCTCTCGTTTTAATTTTGACCTGCTCTCCAGTATACACTCTTTCCCACCAACACAGGCCATTCTCAACTGCCTGCACAGTTTTCTATGTGTTCCTCTCTCTGTCTAGAATTACCCTTTTTTCCTCCTTCTCCCTAAATCCTACAAGTTTTTAGAAGTGCTGCTCTAGGTCCCCCTCTTCTAAGACTCCTTTTCTGGTCTACAGTGATCTCCATCTACTCTGGAGCTCTGCTGCACATCTAATAAACTTAAACACATTCATACTTAGCTCTACCATTTGTTTCACCATCTCAGTTCTATCACTCCAACTAGATTTTTTTTATCCAGAGTAATAGGTGATACAACATCTTCTTTAGTCAGTATTTGGCCATGTGATGGGGACATACTTTGATCTATCCATATGCGTTTTCTTAAAAACTCCCATCTTGTTTATGATTATTGTGTGCAGTATCTTCTACCCAAATGTGTCTGTCTGTTTCATGGGTTGATTTAAATAATGGTCATTTTGTTCATTTTAAACAAGTGTTGAGATATCTACTACATTGTAAACACTGTAATAAATATAGAGAGTTAAACATAATGCTACAAAATAAACCACCAGAAAATCTCAGTGGTATACAAAAATAAGCATTTATATCTGTATCACAGATGTCTTCACATCATCTCAGGTTTAGCCATCTAGGCTAGGCTCAGCTGTGTTTGGCCCCAATGTCTGAGGTTGTTCTAGGTCTGCTCTAAGTGTTATTCATTATCCTTGGATCAGAGGAAGTGCAAAGTGGTGCTGCCAATGGAAAAAGATGGAGGAGAAGAGCACAAAGTCAATCATATATGCTCATTTCAAGTGTTCACTCATATCTTGTCCATTAATATTATGTTCGTGAAAACAAGTGATTGTGGCCAAGCACCAAGTCAATGGAGGTAAAGGAAGCCATGACAATGGTATGAGGATGAGTATGTAAATAACTACTACATGGAACTGATAAATTGGAAACAATAATTCACTCTATTACAAGAAGGTAGACATACAAAATTGACTTTTTTTGGTGGTGCTATCTTGAAGCTTATATTCTCTTTAGGGAAACTGGTAAGCTAAAAAGTGATTACAACTTAGTAATATAAGTGAAACATGTAAGATCCTTTTCACACTGGCCTAAAGTAGTATATAAAACCCCACTACTTATCTGCAAGATGTAGAATAGGTATTAGCTGATATTGATGCTTTGTGGTTATTGAACACAGGTTAGATATTCATGAAAGCAGAGAAGTGGTAAGTAGCCATAATTAGAAAGAAGGTTGTTGAAAGAGTAGAGGAAGCCATCGAAGGCATTATTTTTTATTTTTTTTACCATATATCTATGAGTCACTGAAATAGAAGAGAAAGGTGCTCTGAATGAACCTGTTAAAAAAGTATTACAGAAAAGAAACAAAATCCAATAGTTTTATCTCTATACTCAAAATGGAGGTTAAAAGTTACACTAAAAATAACACTATTGCACCAAAGAAAGCATCCCATCATATTCTGTCAGACACATCAGACGAGGAGGACGTGAGTGTCACCATGGGGACACAGGAGAGAAGCTGAGACTCTCGGCACATACAATATTGCCTGGTAGTAAGAAATGGGAGGCTTCTAATGCCAAGCAGCAGAAGGAAAAAAAAATGAAAAAGAAGTGAAGGAAAACAGATAAACAAAAGGCAGAGAGGTTTGCTTTGGAAAATGGATTGACAAGTTCTTTTCCTCAGAGTCGGAAAGTGAGTCCTCAGAGAGTGGGGAGGATGACAGGGACTCCATGGGGAGCTCCAGCTGCCTCAAGTGTTCCCCGCTGGTGTTGAAGGACCCCTCCCTGTTCATCTCCCTGTCTGCCTCCTCCACCTCATCTCATGGGGGCTCTGCTACCCAGAAGCAGAACCCCAACAATACAAACCAGCACACCAAGCACTGGCAGACAGACAATTGGAAAACCATTTCTCTCCTGGCTTGGTCAGAGGTCAGTTCTTTATCAGAATCCACAAGGAGGAGACTGACAAGCCAGTCTGATTACTCCTCTGGGGGCTCCAGTGTGGAATCGCTGAAACCAGTGAGGAAGAAGCCAGAGCACAGGAAGCTGGGCAGGCTGCAGGGCTCCCTGTCAGAGAAGAGAAGCCCCTTCCTCTCCAGCGCAGAGGGCACCGTCCCCAAGCTGAACAAGGAGGGGAAAGTTGTCAAAAAAACATAAAACAAAACACAAACACAAAAACAAGGAGAAGGGACAGTGTTCTATCAGCCAAGAGCTGAAATTGGAACGTTTTACGTATGAATATGAGGACTACAAGCAAAAGTCAGATTAAGGCTATACTTTTAGAGAATGATATTTCCACTGAAAATAAGTTAAAAGTGTTATAGCTTGATCGAGACCACTTTAAAAAAGAAGAGAAACTTAGCAAAATGATATCAGAAGAGAAAGAATGGCTCTTTAAAGATGAGATCATTAAGGTCTCCAAAGATGAAAAATCACTGAAGAGAATCAAAGGCATGAACAAAGATATCAGCAGATCTTTCCAAGAAGAGAAAGACTGTTCGAATACAGCAGAAAAGGAGAAATCTCTGAAGGAAAAGTCTTCAAAGGAAGAAAAACTGAGACTGTACAAAGAGGAGAGAAAGAGTAAGTGAAAAGACGGGCCGTCAAAATTAGAGAAAAAGAATGATTTAAAAGAGGACAACATTTCAAAAGAGAAGGAGAAGACTTTTAAAGAAGATAAAGAAAAACTCAAAAAAGAAAAGGTTTATAGGGAAGATTCTGCTTTTGATGAATATTTTAATAAAAATCAGTTTCTGGAGAATGAAGACATCAAATTTAGCCTTTCTGACAATCAGCCAGATCGGTGGTTTTTTTGACTTGTCTGATTCATCCTTTGATTTCAAAGTGGGAGACAGCTGGGACTCTTCAGTGACAGACTACAGGGACTTGAAGAATAACTCTGTGGCCAAGCTGATCTTAGAAACAGTGAAGGAGGACAGCCAGGAGAGGAAGCAGGACAGCAGGGCCCGGGAGAAGCGAGACTACAGAGAGCCCTTCTTCCAAAAGGACAAGGACTATTTGGATAAAAACTCTGAGAAAAGACCAGACTGAAAAGCACAAAGTGTCCCCGGCTACCTTTTGGAAAATGACAAAAAGAGGAGAGAGAGTCCGTAGAGGCCAGCCAGGACAAAAAGGACACCCTCCAGAGCTCCAAGGAGCACAGGGACTGCAGGGCCAAGCCAGAGGAGGCACACCGCACACCGCGAGGAGCTGAAGGAGTGAGGCTACCAGAGTGTCTTCAAGGAAAAGTCTGACTGCGATTTTGGGAAGGGCCTGGAACCGTGGGAACTGCAAGACCCAGTGCAAGAGAAGAAGGACGGCCTTGATAAGGAAAGGAAGGAGAAAACAAATCCAGAAAAATACAAACAGAAGTCCAGTAACAAGGACAAAAGTGAGAAATCTATCCTCGAAAAATGTCAGAAGGACAGAGAATTTGATAAATGTTTTAAAGAGAAAAAAGATACCAAGGAATAAACACAAATACACACATGGCAAAGACAAAAAAAAGGAAAGTGTCTCTTGACCAAGGGAAAGAGAAAAAGGAGAAAACTTTCCCTGGGATTATCTCAGAAGACTTCTCTGAAAAAAAAAATGACAAGAAAGGCAAGGAGAAAAGCTGGTACGTCGCAGACGTATTCACAGAAGAGAGAGAGGATGACAAAGACAACTACATGGGGAGTAGGTTCAAGATCGGAGAGGCCAGCGACTTACAGAGGATGGATGACCTCTAGGAGAAGGACGAAGGGCGGGAGGCCTATGCCTCTGACAGACACAGGAAGTCCTCTTCTGATGAGCAGCACCCAAGAGGCAAAAGGACAAGGAGCCCAAAGACAAGAGAAAGGACACAGGGGCTGCTGACGGTGTGACAGATAAAAAAGAGAAAGTCCTTGAAAAGCACAAGGAGAAGAAGGTTAAAGAGTACCAGAAAAGTATAAGAACAGGACGGAAAGAGCTTCAGTGGACTCCACACAAGATAAGAAAAATAAACAGAAGCTCCCTGAGAAGGCTGAAAAGAAACAGTCTGCTGAAGACAAGGCTAACAGCAAACACAAAGAGAAGTCAGATAAAGAATATTCCAAGGAGAGGAAGTCCTTGAGAAGTGCTGACATGGAAAAAAGCCTGCTTGAAAAGTTGGAAGAAGCTCTCCATGAGTACAGAGACGACTCCAGTGATAAAATCAGTGAGGTCTCCTCTGACAGCTGCACAGACTGAGGGCAGGAGCCAGGGATGACTGCCTTCCTGGAGATCTCTCTCAAGCAGCCACCCATGTAGGAGGAGGCCAGGGAGAGCGCCTGCCTCCCGGAGAAGCTGAAAGAGAAGGAGAGGCACAGACACTCCTCATCCTCATCCAAGTAGAGCCACTACTGAGAGAGACAGCCAAGAAAGAAAAGTCCCAGAAGAGAAGGGCAGAGATTACAAGGAGGGCGGCAGCAGGAAGGACACCGGCCAGTATGAAAAGGACTTCCTGGAGATGGTTGCTTATGGAGTTTCTTACAACATGAAAGCTGTCATAGAAGATAGGCTAAATAAAACCGTTGAATTATTTTCTACCGAAAAGAAAGATAAAAATGATTCAGAGAGAGAAACTTCCAAGAAAATAGAAAAGGAACTAAAGCCTTATGGATCTAGTACCATCAACATCCTAAAAGTGAAGAATAAGAGAGAGAAACAAAGGGAGAAATTGACAGACGAGAAGAGGAAGAACCGGAACAGGCATGCAGACTGGCTCCTGCGGCATCACAGGGACCAAGCAGAAGCCCACTGCCAGGGACAAGGACAGCCCTCCCCGTGCACTCAAAGACAAGTCCAGGGATGAGGACCCGAGGCTCAGGAAGGCCAAACTGAAGGAGAAATTCAAGGACAGTGCAGAAAAAGAAAAGGACGACTCTGTGAAGATGAGCAAAGGGGATGATAAAGTATCGCCATCCAAAGACCCAGGCAAGAAAAATGCCAGGCCCAGGGAAAAGCTCCGGGGGGATGGCGACATGATGATAATCAGCTTCCAGAGGATGTTCTCCCAGAAGGACCTGGAGATCGAGGAGCGCCACAAGGGGCACAAGGAGAGGATGAAGCAGATGGAGAAGCTGAGGCACCAGTCCAGAGACCCCAACCTCAAGGAGAGGGCGAAGCCAGCAGACGACGGGCGGAAGAAGGGTCTGGAAATTCCTGCCAAGAAACCTCCGGGGCTGGACCCTCCCTTTAAAGACAAAAAGCTCAAGGAGTTGACTCCTATTCCACCTGCTGCCGAAAATAAGCCACGCCCAGGATCAGGTGCAGACTCCAAAGACTGGCTCGCAGGGCCTCACATGAAAGAGGTCCTACCTGCATCTCCTAGGCCTGACCAGAGCCGACCGGTGTGCCCACCCCTACGTCGGTGCTGTCCTGCCTCAGCTACGAGGAGGTGATGCACACGCCCAGGACCCCGTCCTGCAGCACCGATGACTACACGGACCTTGTGTTCGACTGCGCCCACTCCCCGCCCTCCACGCCCGTGCCCACTGCTCCCTCCAGTGCCTGCCTGCCTCCTTTTTTGACAGGTTCTCCGCGGCATCAAGTGGGCTTTTGGAAAACGCCAGCCAGGCTCCTGCCAAGCCTCTCTCCATAAACTTTTACCGCTAGGTCTCTGCTGATATTAGGAGGACTCCCTAGGAGGAATTCAGCTTGGAAGACAAGCTCCTCAGGCAGCAGAACGTTCCTGCCGCCTCCAGCTACGACTTTACCCTGCCGCACTAGACGGAAGACAGGGCGCCCCTGCCCCCGGTTCCCGTGGAGAAGTTTGCTTGCTTGTCCCCAGGGTAATATTCCACAGACTATGGCCTCCCCTCGCCCAAAGTCGATGCTCTACCACTGTCACTGTCACCCCGTCTCCAGAGGGCGTCTTCTCAAATTTACAAGCAAAACCTTCCCCTTCCCCCAGAGATAAGCTGCTGGTTCCTTCCCTCGAAGGGGCCATTCCCCCGCACCTGGACGCCACCGAGGACCAGCAGGCTACAGCCCCCATCATCCCCCCGGAGCCCAGCTACCTGGAGCCGCTGGAAGAGGGTCAGCACCGTCATCACTGAGGAGCCTGTCGAGTGGGCCCACCCCGCCGAGCAGGCCCTCGCTTCCAGCCTGATCGGGAGCGCCTCTGAAAACCCTGTCAGCTGGCCTGTGGGCTCAGAACTCCTGCTGAAGTCTCCACAGAGATTTCCTGAGTCCCCAGAATACTTCTGCTCCGCGGACTCCCTCCACTCTGCAGCCCCAGGGCCCTTCAGCGCCTCAGAGGTGCCATACCCGCCCCCCCCTTTCCGCCTCTCTCTCCCAGAACACTCTGCTCATCGCTGAGCCAGGACTGGAGGATGTCAAAGACAGGGTGGAAGCCATCCCCGCCACCATCTCTACCTCAGAGGCGGCTCCTTACGCCCCTCCCTCCGGGCTGGAATCCTTCTTCAACAACTGCAAGTCACTTCCGGAATCTCTGCTGGACATGGCCCCTGAGGCCTGTAACCACTGTGGCTCAGGTGGAGGCTCTGGAACCCCTGGAAAATAGCCTCCTGGACAACAGCCACAGCCTGTCTACCCTCCGCCAGGTGGAGCCGATGCCCTGGGCAGACGCCTTCGCCGGCTCCGAGGACGACCTGGACCTGGGGTCCTTCTCACTGCCGGAGCTTCCCTTGCAGACTAAAGATGTCCCAGATGTTGAAACAGAACCCACAGAAGAAAGTCTTGCTCCTTCAGAAAAGATCCCTCCAGGGGCCCCTGTGGTCGTAAGGGTGGGGATGTTTCCGCTTTAGTGGCTAAGGAGCAGCCGTCACTGCCTCCTGACCAGGCCTCCACCCAGCTCCCCACAGAGCTCGAGCCTGAGCCCTCAGAGGAGCCAAAGCTGGACGTGGCTCTAGAAGCTACGGAGGCAGAAGCAGTGCCAGAAGAGAGGGCCTCTGGGGATCTGGACTCCAGCATGGAGCCCACACCCGTTCGCCCTGAACAGTGCCAACTGGGAAGCAGAGACCAGGGGGCCGAGGCTGAACACCTCCTACCCCCTGCCGCATCCCTCTGTGCCCCCGACACCCCTTGCCCCCCATGGACACTGTGGCACAAGCCCAGGCTGCGGACAGTGCTGGCCCCCACGACAACACTGCGGCCTCCCGTGCTGCCGCCCCAGCCGAAGGCCCTCCCTGCGGCATCGACCCAGAAGCCACAGAATCAGAACCAAAACCCACGGCCGAAGCCCCGAAAGCCCCCAGAGTGGGGTAGATCCCTCACTGCATCACCAGGAACCGGCAGATGCTCGTGAACGAGAGCAAGTAGGGCACACCTCACTCCAAGGAGTGTGCCTCAGGCCCGCGGCTCGGAGGAGGACTACGCCCAGCCCAGCATCCGCGCAAACGCCACTTCCAGCACTCCACCCAGCAGCTGAACACGTCCACGCAGCAGACGCGGGAGGTGATCCAGCAGACGCTGGCCACCATCGTGGACGCCATCAAGCTGGACGCCATCTACCCCTACCACAGCGACAGGGCCAACCCCTACTTCGAATTCCTGCACATCAGGAAGAAGATCGAGGAGAAGCGCAAGATTCTGTGCTGCATCACGCCACAGGCGACCCAGTGGTACGCCGAATACGTCACCTACACGGGCTCCTATCTCCTGGACGGCAAGTCTCTCAGCAAGCTCCACATGCCCATGATCGCACCCCCTCCCTCGCTGGTGGAGTCCCTGAACTAGCTGTTCAGGCAGCAGGAGCCGGTCCGGGAAAAGCTACGTCTGCAGCACAGCATCGAGCAGTAGAAGCTGATATGTCCTATGAGCAGGAGATTCTGCAGGTTCACTGCTGGGCAGCCAGGATCATCGCCAACCAGGCAGTGCCATTCAGCGCCTGCACGATGCTGCTGGACTCTGAGGTTTAAAACATGCCCCTAGAGAGCCAGCGCGACGAGAACAAGTCAGTGCGCGACCGGCTCAACACCAGCCAGTTCATCTCCTGGCTCCATGACTTGGACCACAAGTACAACCGCATGAAGACCTGCTCACGTGGCAGCAGCACGAGGCCGCGGCCCTAAACGCCATGCAGAGGATGGAGTGGCAGCTGAAAGTGCAGAAGCTGGACCCCGCTGGGCACTAGTCCCTGTGCGTGAACGACGTGCCCTCCTTCTACGTGCCCATGGTCGACGTCAACGACGACTTTATGTTGTTGCCGCGGTGCGGGATGACTGCAGGTTGCAGGCGAGGGCTGCATGGCTGCGCTGAGCCCCAGGGGCCGAGGAGGGAGCGCCACGTCCACCCGGGCGGGGAGAGACCCCCAGAGAGACGCCACAGCGTCTCCGTCCCTTCCAGACTGGTCCAGACGTCGAGGAGGTAAAACACGTCTCTTGTCTACCAGCTGCCGCGGCGGGGGCAAAGCCCCCAGAGCCTCACCGGCCCCGGCGGGAGGAGAAGACCATGCCGGGGGCACACGTGGCAGCTTCTATCTGAAAATGGTAACCTTCGGACCCTTTTCTCCAGCCAACTGCAGAGGCATTTCAGGAGTTGGAGAATGGAGTGGATTTTTAATTTTTTTTTGTTCCATTCTGATCAACTAAAGAAAATAAAATTAAGGTGTCCATGTCTCACAAACAGTGACCTCCAGGTAGGAGGGGCAGGTGTGCCGTCCCAGCCATGGTCCTGTTGCCACAGAGCTGCAACGGCCTCAGACTGGGCTTAGGACCTGGTGCGGAGCAGGACATTGGCCGTGCCACCTGCCCAGGCAGAGGGACACAGAACCAGGACCCCCGTACTGTTTTTAATGCAGTCAAATCCACGTGGTTGGTATCTTTTTTCTTTTAATCTTGGGCATTTTGTTTCTCTTTCTGAGAACATAACTTGAACCACTACAGAGCCAATAATCATATAAAAAGTGTATCTGCAAACGCTGTATAGTTTTATGTAAATTCACAATGTACTTTTGCTGCCTTCTAGATAATTTAGTTTGCAACACATTACTGCACAGTTGTAAATAACTTCTGTACTGTAACATCACTTTCAGCTATGTGTAAAGGAATAAATAAATTAATTTTTTAAAAAGCTAGACATGTGGCAGGAGCCTCTAGCACAGTCTGTAAGATGCTAAACTCCTGGAAGTAACTCATTTGATGTTAGAAATTGTTTAATTTGTATTTTCTCCCCCTTATAACTCAATACATAGCTACTGCAACAACTGAAATTACCACATGATGCTCACACACACATACAGGCACACACACAGCCCATACATAGGAGGAGTTCTGAGTTGGTCATTGGCAGAACAGCATTATCAGGAGTATAAAATTGAGACAGCACACTGAGTAAAACTTTTAGAGTTACAAAGGATTTATAAAGGGAAAAACTCATTCAGTTGTTGGGTCAGATAATTCTCTGATAGAGAGGTCCAGGGAAAATGTGGTGGTGAGTAGAAAGCTAAGCCTAATTCAGCTCTTTGTGTCATAAAGGAGGGGTCCTGTTAATCATTTCCTGGTGTTACAGTGAGAATGAAGAAGGATCAAACAGAAAAGATTAAGCATTAAGTGTAAGAAAAATGTGTCAATAATTAAGTTACCCTGTTTGCTATACCCTATGCTTTAATTTATAAATCATGAGTCTCCTTAACCCACTAATTACCTATTCCATTCATTAGTGTAACCCACTAATTACCCATTCCATTCCATAGGAATGTAAATTTGAAGTTCAAGTGTTAAGACACATTCTCTGTCATTAATAACAGGGTAGGCTTCCATAAAAGAACTCAGAATCATGGTCTCAGCAATGGATCATAGCTCAATGCAGCCACAGATTCATGTAGAGAATGGCAAAGTTTCTGGAACCTGCAGTTGGAAAAAAGTAATCCTACTTTGATGTTTCATAACTCAAGGCACAATACAACTTCTGCTCCTTCATCCCATCCAACTCCAGCACCAGATTCCCTACCCATTCACAGCCTCATATCCCAAATTTCCATTCAAAGTAATTTGGGATAAGATGTATATGAAGTCCATTTATGGTGGAGACTTTGAATTTTTAAGGCAAAGCTTGTTAACTGCAAAAGGATAGAGTGAATTGCCGAGTTAGAAATTAGAATCATATATACATGATTCTAATTTATATATGATTAGAATTATATATACACTATATATATTCTATATAATATATATATTCCATATATATATATATATATGGAAAAGAAACAACCAGAACTGAGGGCTGATCAGGCCAAAGGTTTGGGATAAATGACAGCACAATTTGCAGGGGGGAAATCAAGAGTGCTTAATCACAGATAAGAGATCCACTTATAAGTGAATCTAATCAGATCTGACAATCCTGCACATTCAAGTTGGAGGCAAGCAGTTGGCGCTGTGGAATTTGTGAGCAGATCATAGGGCAATTGCCATCAGAGGCTCTATACTTCAGAGAAATTTAGATGTTATACAGTTTATAAAGACAGAAAATCAAGTCTAAGGGAAAAAAATAGTGGTTGTTAGAACTACAACATGGACTATAGTTCCAGGAGCAAAGCAAGTGTTGGTTATCAGGACTTCGGTACTCACAAGTTAAACGTAGCTGATGAGTAGAAGGTGGCAATGTTGAAATCCTTAGAATTAAATTGGGGAGGATTTAAATACTTCAGTACTGGCCTTAGAAACTGGATAGAGCTTACTCTGGTAGACAAGAATCTAGAAACACCAACTGTGGGTAAAGAAAATAAACAAGATGAACATTAGTGAACACCCAATGTATTATAAAACAGAATGGATTGGTGAATAACTCCCTATTTGCTGAATAGCAAACTGGTCTTGATAAAAATTTCTCGATTCTCCATCCTCTCGGGCAATTCCAAATTATATGCCAGTCCAAATGCAGTT
This sequence comes from Homo sapiens, assembly GCF_000001405.40. Classification (NCBI taxonomy): domain Eukaryota; kingdom Metazoa; phylum Chordata; class Mammalia; order Primates; family Hominidae; genus Homo; species Homo sapiens. The sequence continues at coordinate 81,191,664 of NC_000002.12, read as the reverse complement.
TTTTCTGCAGAATCTTTATGTCTGGCCAAATAATGGCAAAGTAAATTAATATAATTGATGTGACACTATAATGTGGCCCACATCTAGAAAAACATGAGGATTTACTATAGTTTGGCTTCCCTTTTAAGAGAATTCTCCTTGGAAAAGTGAAAATACGCCCCACCAAAAACAGGGGTTTCAGTTTGCATGCTTATATAACTTTTTATTTTTGAAAAACAAACGTTTATACCTAGAAAGCTATCAACCTAGAAAAAAAAGAAATAAACCCAGAAAGTTTATATTATTTATCTGAGGCAAAAATGCCCGTATCATTAATTCCAAACACATACCTCAACTTTCACAAAAATTCCAATATTTGGTGCCCATGTTAGGTCTCACAGTGTTATAAAACTTCCTCAGATCTTTGAGCTTATGAATCCTTAAGTGACAATGATGATGATGATGAAGATGATGATGATGATGATGGCAATAATGATGAAATAATACCAGCTACTATTTATTGAAGACCATAAATTATGTAGAACATATTTTATCAATTTTTATATATATTGATAACTACAATATAGGTATTATAACTACATTTCATGGATGAGGAAATGTGCTCAAAAAATTTGGACGATCTCTTTGAGGTCCCACAGCAAGTACACACAAGTTGCTTTGCAAATTTAGGCCCAAGCCTATGCTGTGGTGCTTCTATTCTAGGGCATAAGAAAGAAGGCATTGTCTCCTCAATAAAGGACTTAAAATTCTGTCTTATATGCCTCTCCCCAGTTTATTTCCCACATAGATGTTTGAGGATTTATTCACATATGTCCACAGCTCCAATGGGAAACACCTTGACATAATCCTAGAGAAACAATATGGCTTAGACATATATTAGAGAACATTGCTGGCAGAAATCAGCTAGGAGAAACTCAACTTGTTTCCATCATTGATGGAACCTCATAAAACATCTGGGGAGACCACAAAAGCAAAGGCAGCTTGTATCATGGAAGAGATGGAAAACCACCTTGCAGTTTGAGATAGTAACAGATGTTGAGGGTCAGATATCAGATTCCAGATATCCAACATACCCAGTTTACTGTCGAATTAACCATCATGACAGAAACGAGGAAAAACTCAAACAGTTCCTAAAATAAGTCAATAGCTGGCCGGGGGCGGTGGCTCACGCCTGTAATCCCAGCATTTTGGGAGGCTGAGGCGGGTAGATCACAAGGTCAGGAGATCGAGACCATCCTGGCTAACACGGTGAAACCCCGTCTGTACTAAAAATACAAAAAATTAGCCGGGCGTGGTGGCGGGCGCCTGTAGTCCCAGCTACTCGGGAGGCTGAGGCAGGAGAATGGCGTGAACCCAGGAGGCGGAGCTTGCAGTGAGCCAAGATCGCGCCATTGCACTCCAGCCTGGGCGACAGAGCAAGACTCCGTCTCAGGAAAAAAAAAAAAAAGTCAATAGCTTGTTACGATTCTGAGAGAAATATTATAATTCTTGTAGCTTCTAATTATTGTTTAATGGGCACTTTGGTTATCCCCTGAAGATAGATTGAAGAAGTCAACTATTTTGACATCCATAAGCATGTAGGAGATTAGGAATTGCCATTGTCATTTCACAGAACAGGCAACAAAATTTCATACTGATAGAGTGGTCTGTTCAAAGTCATATAATTATCAGTGGCTGCATGACTAAAGGCACATCCTTTTCTTAATGCAGAATAGCTATGGACTAAATTGTGTTCCCCAAAATGAGAATGATATGTGGTGATGAGATGTTTGGGAGGTAATTAGACACAAATAAGGTTACGAAAGGGGAGCCCTCATGACGGTATTAGTGTCCTTATAAGAAGAGAAATGAGAGTGTGCTTTCTCTCTCTCTACCAAATGAGGACACAGTGAGAAGGTGGCTGTCTGAAAGCTCAGGAAGAGAGCCTTCTCCAGTAATTCGTCCACACCTTGATACTAGATTTCTCAGCCTCCAGAACTATAAGAAAATACATTTCTGTTGCTTAAGCCGCTCAAACTCTGATTATTTTTTATGGCAGTTGGAACTCACTAAAACAAGGATCCTTTCCTCCTCCTACTCACCTTGTGGGAGTATGAAAACTGAGGGGCCCCAGACTGCAAAGAAGGGTTCTGAAGGCAGTATTGCTAATCTCCTCCTGACTTAACATCTGCTATGGTTTGAATGTGTCCCCTCCAAAATTCAGTTGTTACCAATGTGATAGTATTAAGAAGTTAGTCCTTCAAGAGGTGATTATATAATAAGGGCTGCTTCCTTATGAATGGGATTAAAACTCCTATAAAGGAGACTTCAGGCAGCATTCCTCTGGATTGCCCTTCCACTTTCTGCAATGTGAAGACACAGTATTATTTTTTTCTGGAGGATGCAGCAACAAGGCCTCATCTTGGAAGCAATAAGTAGCCCTCACAAGACAAATGAACCTGCTGGCACCTTGACTTTAGACTTCATGGACTCCAGAACTATCAGAAAATATGTTTCTGTTCTTTACAAATAACTTAGTCTCAAGTATTTTGTTATAGCAGTGCATACAGACTAAGGACACATCCCTTCCCTTCTTGATCTTATTTTTTCTCTCTTCTTTCATCTAAGGGGTTTATTTGAACCAACTTTAACTGCCTTTTAGGTTGCGAGTTTCTGAAAAGGCTCCTTAAAGTCATTTCCAAAACCAAAAGAGGCTTCAATTGTGAAGTGGTGCACTGAGATTCTCAAAAAGACTACTGCTATTCTTCCTGTAGTATACTTCTCCCTACTTCTGACAGATGCCCCAACCAAATGTAGCCAAAAAAGACAGTTATTTCCAAAGTTACCCAGGGTGATAACTTTCATTCTTAGCTTTACTTTTGCCAAAGAGACCAGATGTTAGAGTCATTTTGAAACATAATACATCCCTGGATTAAGGACCATTTGTATAAAAATTTATCATTCTTAATTGATCCTCCGGATGGCTGATTCTGGTTTTTTCACATTCTTTTTGATCTTCCAATGAACACGTGAATAGGCTCAAAGAACTAGAAATATTTTTTAAAGGTGAAGATCAAAGAAGATAAAAAGATGAGGATAGTTAATTTTTTAAACACTAAAAATAAGAGTGAATGAAGGAAAAGATGGCAAACTGTGAAACCCAAAAAAGAACACACACTTAAATAAGAATTGGCAAGGTACTGGTTCCTTGAGTTTGGAGAAGCTGTAGGGTGACAATGGCCTTTTTATTCCCAACTAAAAGTCACTACCCTTCAGAGATCCACAGCTACCCGGGTATCTGCAGAGCAAAGGCAGCGCCATGTAATCATAGATCAAATAGACTTTTGTAAATGGTGAAAAGCAATCCCCAAACTGTTAGTAGATACAAACCATGGCTGGACTGTACAACTCAGGAGCCATGGATGAATGCAACAGATTTTTAAGATATAGGTATAACAAGTTCTCTTGCTCTTATTATTATAGAAAGACTCTAAATTGTTCTTTTTGTCTATAATATCTTCTCTCTCTTTATTGAGTAATCATTCTAGGCCTAATTTCTGGGTTTATGTATTATCATTCCTGGTCTAACTCAGGCTTCAGTGTACTCTGTACTGAGAACACCAACAGTTATATAAATACATACACATAAAATATATATACATACTATATAATCTAGATATATTGTATAACATTATATATATATATATTCCCTATCAACTTTTATAAAGTTTCAGATATTATAAACTCTGTCTTTATTATGCACTAGATGCATACAATCAAGAAAAGTTTATTCTTTATATTTAATTAAATATGTATGAATTGGCTACTTAATCCATAAAGTAAAATGCTAGGCACTGTGGGAAAATGAGTTGAAAAATCCGTGGTAGAACTCAGTCAAAGAGAATAAATGGTATAATTTATAAACATTTCTAAGATAAGCTACACTGACTTTCATATGTAAAAGTTTAGAGTTATAAAAGTATAGTTGAGAGAGAGAAAAAAAGTTATATTGGAGAAATGTGAGAAGGCTTCCTGAAAGAGTTGGGCTTCTATTGTGAGCTTGAAAATAGAATTATCAATGAAGAGAACAGATTGGACAAAATGATACCTCTTAGATGTGTCCTGTGTTTTTTTATTTACCACATTAAAAAATGTCTATACACTTGGTGATTCTCTTAGAAAGCCTTTTATTCTGATAAACTAGATTCCTATGACCTGTATCATAATTGTACTGTATTTACTCACAATGTCACTTTGCTACAGATATGTGCATGTTTCTAAATTGGCATGTATTGAAAGGTATATTAAGATTTTTTTTTTCATTTCTTTTTTTTTATTTTTAACTTTTTAAAATTATACTTTAAGTTTTAGGGTACATGATATTAAGATTTTTAAAAATAAGTGATGAATTGATCATATACATTAAAAAAGACTCCTCTATGAATCTGAGAAAGAAAAGCAACTCTAAAGAGCTGTGAAGTGGGTTATGGAGATGATTGCACAACTGTATACATTTATTTAAAAGTCATTGAAATGTATAATTCCAATGGGTGGATTTTATAATATGTAAATTATGCTTAATAAAATTGTTAATTTAAAATTTTTAAAAATAAAAAGCTGTAGTTGTAAATTTTTAATGATATATAATGATTATGTAGTATCTTCCTGAGATGGAATGGTCTCACATTTTCATATACTTGTCTTAGAACTTTATATATTTATAATTCTTAAGAGAGATTCTAAAATATACTTGCTTCTTACTCTCTCATCTTTCTTTCTTTTTCCCATCTGTTGCTCTCCATAAAGGAATACATTATCCTCCTCTATGATACCTTATAAAATATGGAATGTATATGTTTTTAATTAAACTTGTTTGAAGCAGATAACAAAAGATAAGCACATTGCAATGAATAATGGGTGACAGAAAAGTTGAGGTTTTTCAAAAAACTTCTTTTTCTCTAATGCCCCACATAAAGACTTCTTTTCCAATGACACTGATTATAAACTTCCACCAGTAAAAAAGTGTCTAAAAGTATACTTAGTAGTACTTGGCATGGGAAAATAGTCATTTAAAAATCATTCTTATTTCGTTTTTACAGAGTCTGCTTCAAAGAACATCAATATGTACTGAAATACAGCAAAGCAACTACAGGTTTTTTTTTCTAACCAAAAATTGGTCAATCTCAGCAATAGCTGTAAAAAATTATTGTCTTCAACAATTCACTTTGTCCCAGATCTTTAATGAGGCACATTTAGGTTTTCCAATGTCAACTCTTTCTCTTAAGCTCTGCAGATCTGGACTATGACAACACATTACCTGAAAGTGTTTGTAAAGAGGATAAAAGCACTAGTCTCTCAGGATGATGATTCTATCCCAAAAAAGAGCAAAATGTTTACTTCAGTTCCTCATCTTTTCCACTCAGTTTTTGTACTTCAGATTTATTAGGTTGGTGCAAAAGTAATTGCTAATAAAATGTAGTCTACTGTGAGAAAAACATCAGAAATAACCTATATCTATATTCACCTAGATTTCTCTTATTTGAATAGTGAAAAAAAAGACAAATACACTTAAAATATATCACAGAATATTTGATTTTGTGCAAATTCATTGTAATATACAATCCAGATAAATTTTAATTCCACTTGTTCTATTGACCAAAATAGGTCTTTTAAAGATATAGACAGATATATAGATGTCCACAGAAATACATAGACATATGTACACTCATGTTTCAGTTAAATGGTTTCTTTATCAAATTAAAAACAGCTATTTAAAAATAGCATATACAACATAATTAATTTGTAGGTAACAAACATATTTCCTGACATTTACCTCATGGATGGTTGTAAAATGCAGGCAGCCTAATTTCCCATTCCTTCACCAATAACTCACTGCTTTATGGACAGAGTATTTAACCTTGTTTAATTATAGTTTTGTCATCTGCAAATGGGAATATGTGCATCTTATATATCCAGCGAGTGGCTGAACTCATTGAGACTTGAGTTCCCTCTGCTGTGATTCTACAATGTCAAGGCAGAATTAAGATTTTGATCAACTATGTCTCTATCATTCCTTCTAGTTCCATTCTGTTATTTTTTATTTAAAACGTGCCATTTCTATTTTCTCATAAAAACATGAAAAAAATATTTTCAACATCAAAAATTCTCCTCACATCCTTGAAGAAGCTTGACAATAAAAAGCTGTTCGAGACTGAAACCAATCACTGCAATACCTTCCAGCCCCAAGTCTACTATTCTTCTCATTTTGCCTCCTTCTTCATCCAATGAAATTGACCTACCTTCATGTATTTCCTGCAGCAGAGATGCTGTCAGATTGAAATGAACATTTGTAGAAAGCTTTAATCTTCCGTAAAGAAAATTTCTTATAAAAGATTATTAGATCCAAAAGTGCTTTCATGGTTGGGTGTTTAGACTTTTTCAAATGCCAAGGACAATTTCAAAATTTTGGAAGATTATTATAGGGATAGAAAGTCTGCCCTTTTTGGATTTTTTCTGACTCCCAGCACTGGAACTTAATAACCATTCCAAAAAAACAAACAAACAAACAAAAAACCTATTCTTTAAAAAGTTTCTGTGTCCCAAAACTATCTATTTTAACTGCCATGGTCACCCCTTACATCTTGGCAGATGTACATAAGTGATCTTGTTAGTGACTTTGAGAGACTGCATGAAGCTAAATCAGCTGGATTTTTATTATTTTGCCATTGTGTTACCCTGTCTTAAGTAGCCACTTTCTTCTTTAGTGAGTTAAAGAACTAAATATAGGCCCTTAAATGGACATATGTTTTGGTAGATAAACACAGCATATTGAAATTATTCTGTTGCTAGCATTTTTGCAAGATTATTTGAATGGAGAATAAGTATCTGGAAAAATGGGACACTAACCTGCTAAACTTGGCCCTCTTTATGAAATCTTTAACTAATTTAATCATTTAATTAACACTAAGTTATGAACATAGGAGTTGCCATCCAAAGACAATAGTTAATATGCCAGCTGTTTCTTCTTCCTCAGGATTTTTTGTAGTAGTAGTTGTTGTTTTTTGTTTTTTTGAGACAGAGTCTCACTTCGTCGCCCTGGCTGGAGTGCAGTGGTGCCATCTCTGCTCACTGCAACCTAGGCCGCCCAGGTTCAAGTGATTCTCCTGCCTCAGCCTCCTGAGTAGCTGGGATTACAGGCACCCACTACTATGACCAGCTAATTCTTCCTCAGAATTTATTTACACTCCATCTTACCAGTATCACTCTTACTGACCTTCTCCTAACTGTTCTTTCTCCTTTCTAATCTTGGCTGTCTTAACTCTAACCTCCATTCTGCTTTTAGAATAACCAAGTCAATTCTCTGCTACAACACTTCCCTTACTCTCAGAGTTTCGAATTGTGATTCTCAAGGGGGGTGTATCCCCCTCCAACCCAGAAATACACTTGGTAAATTATTGATGTGTAGGAGGAAAATATTAGAATTTCCACTTATGGTTTGTCTTATCCTTTAAAACATGTTTTGTTTGTATGAATGTTTTATACTGTTTCCAATATATTGCTGTAATAATACTTGGATATCACTCATAAATTATATTGAAAGTGCATTCTTAAAATATTTTTAGTGATAAAGATACACAATAAAAACATTTTTTAATCCATTTGCCAAAGAAAAAGCCTTAGCCTGACCTATGATGCTGTTAGGTGACCTCCACAACCTCATTCCCTGCCAAGCTCAGCCTCCTACACCACTCTCTAATTATCCTAATTATAAGTAGTTTCTTCTACACATTAAGCTATTTCTTATTTTTGTGCCTTTGCCTATCTTCTCTCTGCCAAGATCACACTTCCCTGATCCTTTGGCTCAATTCACTCAATTCAATTATCAGCTCCTCTAGAAAGCGTCCCATAGCTATCTAAGGTCAGTTTAAGAGCTGCTTCTCTGTGTTTCCTTAACACACAGGACCTACTCCTATTATTGTAACAGTAATTATCAGTGCATGTGTCTCTTCTTCTTGAGGACAGGGCTCTCACTTATTCATCTGGGTATTCATAGGTAATATTTCCAAGGAGTTGCTTAAAACGAATTTGGTGAAGTAATGTAAAAAAATGTGCAGTAGACAATGTGCAGTCTCTGATTTTTGAAAATCTTGCTGTAATTTGTGAGAATGTGCTGGGTCAAGAGTTTTCCGAGGTTAGGTTGAAGGCATTGTTTAGTTATATCAAATATTCATGCTGTTATTTTATTGTATTTGCAACTAATACATCCATTTTCAAAGTCAGGGGAAAATATGTGTTGTTTCTCAGTGTGGGCATTCATTTACAGCACTGTTTCCTGGTTGTCTCTTCTAATGCTTGGCATTTCTTCTTCTTATACAATAATCCTTAGGTAAGATTGCAAGCATAAGTAGCAGGATCTAAGGTGGATTTGATTTAACCCAAATCAATTTAAATCACACTTTTAAGCCACAACTTTGATCATTTAGACAAAACCTAGACTCAATTACCACTTCTCCACAATGTGCCCAACTATTTTCTAATAAAACCTTAATGCATGTGTTTCCAGATCCAGACATATTAAATGTTTTACTTTAGATGGCCGGGCACGGTGGCTCACACCTGTAATCCCAGCACTTTGGGAGGCCGAGGCGGGCGGATCACGAGGTCAGGAGGCGGGCGGATCACAAGGTCAGGAAATCGAGACCATCCTGGCTAACAAGGTGAAACCCCGTCTCTACTAAAAATACAAAAACAAAATTAACCGGGCGTGGTGGCAGGCGCCTGTAGTCCCAGCTACTCGGGAGGCCGAGGCGAGAGAATGGCATGAACCCGGGAGGCGGAGCTTACAGTGAGCTGAGATCGCACCACTGCACTCCAGCCTGGGCGACAGAGCAAGACTCTGTCTCAGAGGGGGAAAAAAGTATATAGTCCTATGTGCAGATTTAAATAAATAATTTTTAAAATTTACAGTCAATATACTTAGAAAACCTAAGTATCTGTTTGTTTTGGTTATTGGATCAAACACTCTCATGATAACAGTCTTGCCTCACTCCTAGTGCTTGCTGTAATATGAATATCGTTATTCCACTCCTTGGTCATCCCCCATTTTACCAAGTGTTGAGGGTTTGTTTGTTTGTTTGTTTGTTTGTTTTGCTTTCCCACAATAGCAGCCATTTTCTTTCAGGATTAATTCTACCCCCAATACGTATTCTTTCCACGTGTTACTCAATCTCTGACGTGACTTACAGCAATCAATTATGTAAAGACTGAGTTTTTCCATCTTTATTACTGTATGTCTCTAAAGCATTTTCTTCCATTTTCTTCTCTCAGTAGACAAAGGTGTACTTGCTTCTCTCTGTACTTAACAATGGCATTCATATTCTCAGTTTGAACCATTCCCATCTTGCTATCTTCTCCATAGCACCTGAATTGTCCACCTACTTACCACTCTCATACATATGCCTTCCAAGACTATTTTGGAAGTTTTAAAAGATGCATATATTTCTTTTTATTTTTTGTGAAATAGACTTAACTTAGGTGCCTCTCTTTCTGTCTAAATGAAACAGAAACACACCATTTCAAATGAAAAATTTTATCTATTTTGTTTACATAAATACAGATTAGTTGAGTTATTACTGCCAAGTCAGCATGAGCAAATTGCTGGCTTGCATGTCCCAAATGTAAGCTTTTTCTACCTGTTTATCAGTGAATTAGAAATGAAATATGTTTTCCTATTTTATCCTGCTTAATGTTCCTTCACTTTCCAATTTGTTTAGCATACATTATTTAGAGAGAGATGGGTATGGGCTAGAGATAATTCTTAAACCTGTAAATGGAAAGTCTATTATAAGAAAGCTCAAAAACAAATATTCAATTGTAACCTTTATATACAAGTAACTGTCTTAGCCTTGAGATAGCTTGTAGATTGCTCCATTGGACTGAACTATTCACCATTCCCTTATCCGAAACATTCACCATGTCACTTTACAGTTCCTTCCGCCTCTGCAGGTTAAATTTACTTCACCACTACTTGGCTTTTTGTGTGCTCATGTGACTTGCTTTGGCTAACGAAATGTTAGTAAATATGATACAAGCAGAAGCAAGAAAAACACTTTGTTGGGCTTGCTTCCTTCATCTTTGTCATCTCCACGAGAAACATGAGCACTATGTAGCCCATTGGTCTATGGCTCCCGAGTTCAGACAACTGCTTTAATAAGTATTTCTAAAACAAATTATTACTGGGGTAATTTTAACACCATTAAGTCTATGAGAAACTCTGTTATAAATCTAAATATAAATTTATTAATTTTTCTGAGATTTTAATATGTAGTTCACATACTCTCTTTGTTTTCTGATGCATCTATTCAGTTATAATCATAAATTCCTTTCTGGATATTGAGAGTGAATACAGGCTAATTGGGAGAATTTAGCAAGCATTTCTGCAACTAAGATAACTGGAAATATTTCCACCAGAATTATTCTAAATTATTACATTTTAGCGTCAGGGCTTTATCTCCTGAGCAGAGGCAGATAAAATTTTAGTCTTAAGAGTCTTATTTTCCATCCATTTTTCAAGCTCCCTCTCTTCTCTCTCTCTTCCTCTTTATATATCTATATACATACACACACACGTATATAAACGTATATAAAATGTATTATTAAGATGAACATACACTAGTTTGGCTGCACATATGTATAAGTGTATAGCTAAGGTAATATATGTGCATATTTTATTATGTAGTATACACAGGCTTATAAAGAGGAACTATGTCTTTTGCTGATTATCTTCCTCTGTCTATATAGCCATGTGTCACTTAATGACAGGGGTGCGTTCTGAGAAGTGTATCATTAGGCGATTTCGTGGTTCCCTGAACATCATAGAATGTATACACAAACCTAGATGGTAGAGCCTGCTGTACACCTAGGCCACATGCTATAGCTTATTGCTCCTATGCTATAAACCTGAACAGCAAGTTACTGTACTGAATACTATAGGCAATTGTAACACAGTGGTAAATATTTGTCTATCTAAACAAAGCTAATCATAGGAAAGGTACAGTCAAAATACAGTATTATAATCTTATGGGACCACCATTGGACATGTGGTCTGTCATTGAAAAGTCATTGTGTGACACGCGTCTGTTTATGTTTCTAATTTTTTGATTTATCAGTTTTTGCTATCTCTATCTCCTAATGTGATAAACACTAACTATTCTAACTACTATGGAATATTCTTTCCTTTCTCAAATAATGAATTCACTATTTTAGATTTCCTTAATATATACATTTTGGAAACATACCATTTTGTGATTCATTTAGCTTTTGTTTTTACAAACAACCAAGCTGTGTCTATGCTGCTCACTTTGTAAAATAAGCAAACTATCGACAATTTTTTTCAACTCTATTTTCCCTTGACCTCTGAACTCCTTTTATCTGTATTTTAATGCCAAGGTTAATAGCATTTATATTCTACTTCATAATATAATCATATATTCTGTGCTTTGTCTATATGTTGATTCTAAATATTGAGAATCAATGAAGTCTTTTCTTTGTTAATGACTATGCATATATGATTTATTATGCAGTTAATTAATACATAGTTGGCCTTCTGTACCTGTAGGTTCTGCAGCCATATATTCAACAAACCAGATTACAAATTTTTGGAAAAAAAATGGAGGTTGCATTTATACTGAACATGTACAGACATTTTTCTTGTAATTATTACCAAAACAATACAGTATAGCAAATATTTATATAGCATTTACATCGTATTATGAATTATAAATAATTAAGAGATTATTTAAACTATATTGGAGGATATGTGTAGCTTATATGTAAATACTATACCATTTTCTATAAGGGACTTGAGCATCCAAGAATTTGGTTATCTGTGGGACATCCTGGAACGAATTCCCCATGAAAACTGAAGGATGACTATATTGTTATTGTAATACTTTTCTTATACATCCATTGCTTTTTCTTGAGTTTTAAATGGCCTTTTTACTTGTTTGTATTCAACACTGTGTCAATGTAAAAAGTTGATCTGACTAAAAGGACTCACCTAAATTATAAGTCTTGCTTGATACCAAACTTTTTGTATTTATAAAAATGATATAAGTGAGTACTAGGCATAGTCAAAGCATTCACTTCTCATATAAATTTTAAACTATCATATGCATGTTTCAGAAAATTCTTCTTTTCTGTATTAAGATTTGATTTTATTTCATAGTAACAGATAAATCTTGAGCAATATAGGCAAAAACAGTGCTCACAAAAGAAGTCATTTCTTTTTTTTTATTACTCTTCCCTTTTATGCCGCTTCAGTAATTTAATTATGACCCATAAATTTATAATCACAGGTATACTTACAATAAACACTCTAGTCAAACCAGGTATACCCTGCTAGAAGACTTTACGAGAAAACAACTTTCAAATGTCTTTCTCTAGCCAATCCCATGTATATTGTACAAGTGTACCTGGTCAAGTTCATTAGCAGGTTTATAAGGAAATGTCCTGGTCACTCTATTCCACCTCCTATAGCAGAGAAGGGGTAAGTAATAGGAATGCTGTAAATACTTTTCTCACATTATTCAGATGTTTCCATTTCTAAAAGACAGTGTCAAATCTCTACACTCACCTAATTTCCTTTAGGCTCGGGAGCTTTCTATCACCTTCTCAAGTAACTGAGCAGGAAAGGTAAGAAAAGTCCATATTCTGAATTATTGTGTCTTTGAAATATCTATATTGTATCACATATGATTGATTTTAGGGGCTGAATCCAGAATTCTAAGTTCATTATTATCTTTTCTCAGAATTTCAGAGGTCGTATTCAGGTATGCCCCAGCATATGGTGCAGCCAACATGATGCATTTATTATCGTTAGACCTTTATGGGACAGCTATGTGTTTAAGAATGTTTAGGGCCAGGAATTTAGGTGGAAGTGATATGGACAGGAGACAGGGAAATACTGGGGAGAAGGGGGTGGTTCCCCGCAAAGGCCCTATCCTCAAGCCTGGATACTCGCGGCCATAAATGAGGACAGGCATTCCTGTTTTCGTGCCCAAAAAGTTGCTTTTTGGCTCGCCACGCGCCCTATCCTGTACCCATATAACCCCCAAACCTCAGGCTCCAGAAGCAGACAAAGCAGGCGAGGAGACCAGGAGACACGCAGACGGACGCGGCAGCAAAGAAAGAGAGAAAAAGAAGGAACATCTGAACACTGAGAGGAGTTCGGCTAGGGGCGGTTGGAGAGGAGTTCGGCTACTGGATGGCCAAACTCCAGGGGAAGATCATCTTCCCAATCCATCCCTTCTTCCTGGTCCCCATCCATCCCACTGAGAGCCACCTCCACCACTCAGTAAAACTCCCGCATTCATCCTTTGATTCTGTGTATGGCCCAAGTTTTCCAGGACACTGCATAAGAGCACAGGACATATAAAGCTGTCACACTGGCCCTCTGCTCTTGCAGAAAGGCAGAGGGCCCATTGAACTGATTAACACTCAAGCCGTCTGTGGATGGCAGGGCTAAAAGGGCACACTGTAACACACACCCATTTAGGGTCCTTTACCTGTTCATCTGTGTGCTCCCCCTCTGGTAAGGGGTTTGAGTAGTGCCCACGGCCAAACAGATGAGCCACACCCCTGTCACATGTCTGGGAGGGGGATCAGGGAACTCTCCCTTTTCAGAAGAGAGAAGACATGAGTTTATCTGTCCACTCGTTATTGCTTAATTTATTCAATTTGGTGTACTATCACAAATGGCTGTCATCACCCATTTGCTAGTTATTTGACAAACAATTTATTTCCAGAATCATGCCAATTAACTATCATTAATTGAATATTTTGCTGGTGCCTCCACTGCACAACACGTAAAACTTTACTGAGAAGACTCACTCTGAGAGATGAGGAAAAATTATACTATTTATTAACCACATTCTAAACCGGAATTTGCTAAATGTTTTACTATTGTCCTATTTTACCTTCACAACAATTTGAGGTCAGATTATCCTTACATACACACTTTCACCCAAATTTCAGAAAAATAATCTGAGCTTTAGAGAGATTAAATTTGCTATTAGGTCACACAGATAATATGTCGTTGAGGTAGAAGTAAATCCAGAACTACCTTACCTAGATCCTACTCAGCACATTAAATTATTTCCCTTTCAACATGAGGAAGAGAATGCCCAGTTTAAGATTTCTTCTAGTCATCAATTTTTTTATCAAGAACAAATACGTCTTCAAACATTTGTCCAAGTTTCTTGCTTGATTTTTTTTTTGTCCTTGAGAAATCATATCTGTGCTTTCTCATCTGTCTAAGGATAGTTGCTGAAGATCTATTCCTGGTGGGCAGTGATTTGTCAGTTTTTTATTATGGCCAAATGAAGATGCTCATTTATTCACATCTACACCATAATGTCAGTTTCATAATCAGAAAAGAGTACTTCAGTTATTTTTCTTATAAATGTCAACCATCCAAAGATTTTAACCATATGAGGCTAATAGCACTCACCAGAAATGATTCCTGCAAGCATACTGAGCTAAAAACGGAGAAGATGTAATTAACTATCACAAAATTCACTTAGACCCAATTGTCTGGTGGGATTGGCCTGTATTCCATAATGCAAAGCTAATTGGAGAGAGGAAATCAGGCCTCTTTCACAATTTTTCTCACAAGTCTAAAAGTGAACTTCACCAGGATGTTCTTACTTTGAGACTCTGAAGCATCTGTAGTCAGATGCTACCTGAAATGAATGTCATCATTCCCTTTTTCTGGAACCTGTGCTAGAAAGTCTGTAACAACGGGGCATCTTCCTCTCTCTCCACTATAACTTCATGTAGGCTTTCTCCAGTATCTTCTTAGAAGAAGTTAGGCTTCTTATCGGGCTACTGAAAACTCTGAGAGTGCTTTTCCTAGATAAATCAGCAGACACTAAATGGCTTTTTCTAAGCTGTGGTCAACAGTCACACAACATCACTTCCAATGCAATCTACTCATTGAGACAGTCACAAAGGCATGGAGAGGAAACAGAATTCACTTTTTTATAGGAAGAATATCAAGTAATTTCAAGTTATATTTTAAAACCACCACGTCATGCTCAACTAGGTTATTAATATGAAAATATGAAAATATCGGCAAATCTCATCTTTCTTTCCTCTTTTCCTTTTCTGTGCATATGCCTGGTTCCTTTTCCATATTTCTCTCCATTACATTAATAAATTTGTACATTTTTAAACAGTGATTTTATCTATTTTCATTGGTTTCTCAAATGTTTCTCAACATTTTTCTTGGCTGTAGCTTCAGAAGTGTTTAGTCACAGTGAATTCGGAGAGTTCAAAGAATGAGAGACCATTAACTGAAACCATCACACCTTTGAGTCTCCATGCTTCTCTTTCATCATTTTTAGGCTCACATTTTACTCATCTTGCTTATACTCATTACTCCTCCTTATTTTAAAGATCTAATGCATCAATGAACTGGTGAGAAATCTTAACCACACAGCATATGTCATTAAACAAGGACCCACAGATTCATATTCAGGAGATTTTCAGAGCTAAGAAATGAAAGAGAAAAAAGGAAAGCTGCTTTCTGTGGAACTACAAACATTACATTTAGTCTGAACACATCTGACTTCCGTAAACTGCCAGTGTACCCTAAGCAGAAGCAAAAGAAAATCATTATGTGATACATTTTAATTTCATTACCAAGCTTATTAAAATGGAGTTATAGGACTTTCTTGAGATACTGAAATTTCTGTATACCACAGGTTTTAAATATAACTTGTCTGTCTTAGCATAAGGAAGCAAATTATAGAGAGTAGGAAAGATTCTGGAAACCAAGAAAGTTGACAGAATAGAAAGTCTGTTACTCTTGCAAGTTCCTTCATCTCTACCTCAAACGTGCCTTGCTATGCTTTGTCTTTAAATAGAAAACAGAACTCCTCTATTAATTTAAAATGATCTCCAAAGCAAGCAAGCACATTTGACCCTGCCCATGCCCTTCAGCCAAAGATGACCAGGAACACACCTATAGTTGAGTAAGTTGGGTATCTTTTCTGTTGCATTGAGGAAAAACACATACCATGGGAATCGTGGGGTTTCTCAATAGGGGCATGTTAGAAAAGACTTTTATGGAACTTAGGGTTATCTTAGTTAGTTTTGATAAGCATTTGAAAGAAATGAGGCTTTGCTCTGGCTTAGATACTATGATGAAGTGTGGTTAATTACATGATTATTTATATTAAAAACTCATATCTAAAACCCAGAAAAAATAGGCTGAGGTGAAGTTATAATTGATAAAGAAGTAGCAGTCACTCATTAATAAGGATAGGGGGTGTTTGTGACTTGGAAAATATTCAATTTTGTGCATGCATTCAGGGATGATTACAAAATAGCCAGATTTTGGCTTAATGACCACCCTTATCTTGTGTGGATGTTCTGTAAAATTGGTGAGCACCAAAACACAGTTGATGGTACCAGGCCAGCTCCCAGCTGTCAAGAGATGCTTTATATTTCTCCACCTTATATAAGTTGCTCAATTTCCCTCATCTTTAGTTTCCTTCATATAAAATGAGGATATAAGAATAACATTTCCTTAATAGAATTGTGGTGTTTTGATTCATAGCAAAATCAAAGGAAGACACTTACTTCCATAGAGTTTCATCCACTGTTGATATGTGTATGTGTCTGTGTGTGTGTATATACACACACATATTTATATATACATATATATGCACATATATATGAATGAGAGAAGAGATGAACTAATTGAACTAGAGCTCAAGAAATTTCAACATCGTTCCTTTATCACCTTTCTTTAAATCCTTTCTATTGTACATCTCAGTTTTCTAATCTTTATATTAGATTAAAAGTGATTCTATTATAGTCCTTTTGTTCTTGAAAACATATCTTCCTTTGACTTTTTTTCCTTTTTATAAGCTTTTCTAGATTTTTTTTGAACTAAAACACACACATAGAAAAGTGCAGAAAACAGAAATGTGAACACCAATGTAAACACATAATCCCTAGAAGAAAATCTAGAATGACCTTGCGTTTGGGGAAGACTTTTCAGATAGGACATCAATGGTGAAATCCATAAAAGAAAAAATTGGTAAGATGAATTAAACTTAAAGATTTATGCTCCATGAAAGACACTGTCAAGAGAATAAAAAGATAAGCCACAGACTGGGTGAAAATATTTGCTAAATACGTAAGTGATAGAGGACTGCTATTCAAAATATTGAAAGAATTCTTAGGACACACAAATAAGAAAACAACTGAATTTTTAAAATGAGCCAAATACCTTAACGTGCACCTCAACAGAAGAAGAAAAATATATGCAGAAGAAAATTAACCATATGAAAAGATTCTTTATATCATATATCATCAGAAAAATACAAGAAATAGCAATGAGATACCACTACATGCCTATTAGAATGGCTCAAATCCAAACCACAAACAACACCAAATGCTAGAAAAGATGTGGAGCAACAGAAACACTTGTTCATTGATGATGGGTATGAAAACTGGTATAGCTACATTGGAAGACAATTTGGCAGTTTCATTAAAACTAAATATATGCTTAACCTACAATTCAGCAATCATGCTCCTTGATATTTACTCAAAGGAGGTGAAAAGTCATAAGTCCACAAAAATACCCACTCATGAATGTATATAGTAGCTTTATCAATAATTGCCAAAACTTGGAAGAAACCAAGATACCCTTTAGTAGGTGAATGGATAAATAAACTGTAGTACAACCAGACGATGAAATGTTATTCAGCACTAAACAGAAATAAGATATCAAGCCACGAAAAGACATGGAGAACACTTAAATGCATATTACTATGTAAAATAAGCCAATCTGAAAAGGCTAGATATTATATGATTCCAATTATATGGCATTCTAGAAAAGCCACAACAGTGGAGAGAGTAAAAAGATCTGAGTTTATCAGGATGGATGAATAGGTAGAGCACAGAGGATTTTTACAGCAGTGAAACTACTTGGCAGGATACTATAATGGTAGATACACTTAATTATACATTTTGCTAAACTCATGGAATATACAACTCTAAGAGTAAATTGTAATACAAACCGTGATCTTTCAGGGATAACACTGTGTCAGCGTATGTTCATTGACTGTAACAAATACACTACTCTGGTGGGGGATACTGACAGTGGATGAAACTCTATGGAAGTAAGTGTCTTTCAATTTTGCTATGAATCAAAAATGGCTGTAAAAAGTGAAGTATATTTAAAATAAATAAATAAAAGGAATTTGAGTACATTTGGAAGCCAAATATGTGAAGCAGTAAAAAACAAAATAGAAAGAAGAAAAAGGTAATGATGTCAATTAAGACTATGATGAAGAAAGCGGAGAATAAGAAACCACAACCACTGGTACCACTCTGGCCTCTCCTGTGTTCCACCCCAACCTCAATCATTATCTTCTCCCTGAGGATATGGGAGAAGTCTCCCATAAAGAATATGGGAGACTTCCTATCTCCCAAAGTACAGAATTTTATGGTAATTATTTAATTAATATAAAGTGTTTATTTTTATAGGTCTATCTTTGTTACTATATGAGACGTAAATCTTGAGTGTGCTTTGAATGCCATACTTGTTTTTGGAAGAAAAGATCAAATGTATGAGTATGCCTCTTTGGGTATGGATGTTAAAGGAGAAGAAGAATAAGTAGTGCAATTGCAAAAGCACACTGGTAAGTAGACACCATTTTGTCCCATGTGTATGATTCAAAAAGATACCAGCCCAAGGCAAAATAGATGGAGTTGACTTTCATCATCTCCAGCCATTTTGCCTGTTTTTCTAAGTTCCCAGTGGCTTTAGGTCCTCTATTTTTTCTCTTAGCCTTCCCACCTGTTTAATGGGAAAGACTCTTATATCATCATTCTTGCTTCAGGACAAATGTGTGTACTATTAGCTTAGTGTAAACTACCATTCTCTCTTATTAAAATGTTTGCATTTTAAGAATTTACTCATTTTATATTCCTGCTGATGAGATTTTAAGAATCAGTCAGTAATGAAAAATGACATTTTGGACATAAATAGGTTTCCTTGGCAACCTTAATATCATATGATGCTGATATATGTTGATATTAGTTTTGAACAAATGACAGTTTCCCTGATTGGTGATGAAAAGAGGCCTGCACTGGAAATGAGTAGACTTGACTTCTCAACCCAGTTCTAACAGTATGACCTTGAAGAAGTAATTTTGTCATGCTTGCCCTGTTGTTTGATTGGGATCTGCTAAGAATTAACCTCAATTTGAGCTACAGGAAGGTAGTGATATAAAGCATTAGCTCTGCCTTTGAAGAGACCTGAGTTAATGGGAGAGACAAGTAAGCAAACTGCCAAATTAGGCAGCTTATGATATGTGATATGATAAAAGTGCCAAACAATATGCCACAGGAAAAACACAAAAAGATCACTGGTTCATAATTCAAAGACAAGCAAAACTTCTTGTGGAAGGTCAACCTTAGAAGACATGGAGGAGTTAGCCAGGTGAAGAAGGAGGAGAGAAATTCTAGGCAGTGAAAAGACAAGCGATGAGAAAATGAACAACAAAACGCAAGTAGCTAGTAGTGTGGTTTCATCTGGAAATTAGAGCTGGAAATTAGTGGTGGGTAAAGGGAAAAACATGCTCACTACACTCATCTTGGGGCCGTGAAAGTGACAGGGTACTATTGGAGGGTAACATCATCAGATAAATAGAAAAGCAACATTAATTTTCAAATTCATAAGATTATGCCAGCTACAATAAGAATAAAGGATTGGACAAATCAGAATCAGAACTGAGGACAAAGAAAACAAGTAAGTGATTGTCTATGTAATAAGAAACTTAGAATAAGAAATTTGGCAGTGGCAGATGATTAATATAGTTTCAGACATGTCAATTTTGATGTTTCTGGTAGAGTATTAAAACATACTTTCTGTGTGCATGAATAAATAAGTGAATGAATTAATAAATAAACAGCTGCTTTGAGCTCAGAATTTTGAATCTGAGGTACTGAATAGAATGACGTCAGCATATAGAAAATTCTTGAAGTCATAAAAATGAATATCATTTAGTGAATGAAGAGAAGAGTATCAAACCTCTCCTACCAGATGTGAAGTGTGGCCGAGGATATTGAAAACCCCTGTAGCAGTATCCATGACCCTGATTTGAAAATAGGACTACAGCACAAGTACTGAGTTGTGATATTGACACTTAAGGTTCATTATCCTACAGAATTGTCAACTGTACCTTATGGGTAATCTCTAAAGTTCTCACAGCTGTGCCCAAGAGACATGGATAACAGAGTCCATTGAGGGAGTTAGTTCTAATTTCAAAATATTAGAGAAAAAATTTCAATGTCTCCCTAGAAGACAAAACATAAATAGATAAACACATTACAATCATCCAAGGATATATTATTCAGTAAAAGAAATACATTAGGATTGCATGTATCAACATGAAAAATATCTCATAAGCAATGATGATATGCATGAAATATCTTTAAGAGGCCAACTATGTAAAATTTGAAAACACAGAGAACTATGCTATATGTTTTATATGGATAATTTGATATGTAAAAATATCATAAAACATGTATAGAAATATAAACTCCAAAATCCTCATAGGATTACTTTTTGAAGGAAGAGAAAACTTGAGGGTTTCAATTGTACTGTAACATTTTAATACATTTTAACTCTTTTTTAAATATTGGTTTTGTAGGTTAAAATAAAACATTTCATATGAAAAATATCACATCATATTGTTTGGCATATTTACAAACTTTATATAAATGTAATGACGCTCAATATATTTTTCTCCAATTTCCCATATCTGCAAACTGCTATCTTTTTAAGATTTATATATGTGGATGTTGTTTTACTATTGCCTGCTCTCTTCTATATGGTTAAAATATTTCATAGCAATATTTTTAAGAAAGCAAAGAAAGGAAGTAAAGAAAGAAATACACAATAATCAGAAATAATGTGAATCTAGGAAAATTATTTTTGACTTGGTTCTGAGTTTGCTGCAGTAGTTTATATTTCAGTCTTGGTTTCTGATGTGTTTGTCCTGGGAACAGATCAGCAGGCTGACTGTATGTGTATAATACTACCTCATGCCGTCTTTCCAATCTCCCCTCCCTAAAGCCAAGTGAGTCTAGATCCTCTGGCAGATTTCTGAAGTAGACAAGATTTTGCAATTATCCTCCAGTTCACCACTTTCACATTAGACCTGGAAAGGCAGCAGCCCTTACAGGAGTATCTCACTTACTTTAACATATGATTTTTATTTCTCCTCTGATACTACAACCTATCACAGTGGCAGAGGTTGAAGAGCTGGGATTTAGTGTGCCATAACAGAAGGCAGTGCGACACAGTAGTAATATTCATGGTTGGGGGAAATTACAGTCAGGAAGCCACAGAGTTAATAATCAATATCACCGTAAGGGTCCCAAGAGCTGGTCCTCTACACTCAAACATAAGTAGTAAGAATATGCCTACAATTGAACCAGAAGATAATTTTCATTCAGCGACTTGTTCCTGTGGTTTGATAAAGATATTCCAGGTACTGCTCTGTGGTGTGCCAAAAGGTGTCTTTGAGTTTTATCTGAGTTACCTACGATTCCTCCAAGCAGGCTAGTACTTGGAGGTTATTAGTAGTACTGAGAGTTGTAAGAAAACATCAGAATTTGAAGTCACGGTTGCTCTGAAATAGATTTGTTAAATGGAAAAACAATGAAGTGAGTTGTTTTAGGCAGTCAGCTATGGTGAAGCAAGTAGACCAGTCACATTGTCAGTAGTTGGTATAAATGTTTGTATGAAAGTATAAAAGTTAAGGAATTTGCAAGTAGAAAAGTTAAGTAATACGAGAATGACCTCCAGTTTAATCCACCTTGCTACATATAACAGGATTTTATTATTTCTTATGGCTGAAGGTCATTATGTTAAGTGAAGTAAGCCAGACACAGAATGACAAATATCACATATCTTATATGTGAGAACTGTAAAGGTGGATCTCATGGAAGTACAGAGTAGATTGATGGTTATCAGAGGCCAGGAAAGGTAGGAGGGAGGGGAATAGAGGTTGATAAATGAGCACAAAAATACAGTTAGAAGGAATAAGATCTATTGGTTGATAGTACAGTAGAGTGACCATTCTTAATAATAATTTATTGTATATTTTTAAATAGCCAGAAGAGAAAAATTTGAATGTTTCCAATATAAAGATAAATATTTGAGTCAATAAACATCTCAATTACTCTGATTTGATCATTACGCATTGTCTGCATGTATCAAAATTTCACATTTCCACCAAAAATGTATAAGCATCATATATCAGTACAAAAAGAAATATTTAAATGACATGTCTTTTGGCTGGTTTTGGGCGGTTGGGCTCATTAAATATGTTGATTATTTACAATAAGCATTGAACAGTGCCATCTAAAACTGTAATATAGTCATAGATTCATGCACTTGGAGGCAGATAATACTATGGATAATGCTTTTAATCGACATAAAACCACTTAGCTGGGGTTGATTATGTCCCTCAGGAGACGTTTGGTAAACTTGCAGTATCTGAAGATATTTTTGGTTGTCACAACTTGGGAGAGGTGCTGTGCTACTGGCATTTTGTGAGTAAAGACCAGGAAAACACACACACACACACACACACATTATCTAGCCTGAAATGTCAATACTGCTGGCCTTGTGAAACCATGATGTAGAATATACAGGTGGCTAGACTAAGGCATGAGATGGTACAGAAACTGCACAAATCTTAAGGCTTCTATCACCACAAGGATGGTATCATTACTGTGAGCATGTAATAAGTCAAAATTATAATCTGTTACACTGATGTCAACATATTAAAATATGCCATGTAAATTATGGATCCATTATGAACCCTATATCAAGGTTTTGTCTGGACCATGGTAAGGGCCAGTTTGACATCATGGCCTTGGGTGAGGACATCCTTAGCCTAAATATAATTCAATTTTTCATCCTTTAGACCAGATCATCTCAGCCTTCTATGTCACCAGGGGTCCCCTTTAATAAGCCTGAATCTTGGCTTTCTTATAATGCATAGGTATCTTGTGCTGGCATACTGTCTGTTCCAGACAGTATCTTTTATTTGAAGACTAGGAATCAATTCTTTGTCTAAATCCATCTGTGCCTTTTTGTTTTTGTTTTTGTTTTTACTTTCTAGGTTATATCACACACAACTCAGAGAATTGACACCTAACATGGAGTGTATTTTGGCATTGATCTCAGGTGTTTCAAACGGGTAGTGTTTTCCTTATTTGCTAATCTGTGCCACAAAGACAACACTGATGGCCAGCAAGTCCTATCCCTGAAGTATTTATCTTTTTTCTAGTAGTAGTTTTTTGCAAAGTCTAACATAAAGAGGGAAGTTACTTTAATGATTATATTCCATTATATAAGACTTAGCAGACCAAAGAAAGGGACTCATTTGGTAGCTTTGAAGAAGTAAGCTGCCATGTTGTGTGAGAACCTCATGACAGGGAATTGCTGGTGAGCACTAGGAGCTGCGAGTGGCCCTCAGCTGACAGCCTACAAGAAAACAGGCACTTCTCTCCTACAACCACTAAAAAATGAATTCAACCCAAAACCAAGTCCCCGCAGGAGTGGATTCTTCTCCAGTTGAACCTCTGGTCCTGAGAATTTAGTCCAGCCACATTTTGCTTGCAGTGCTATGAGACCTTAAGCAGAGAACTTAGTTCAGTGATGCCTGGAATCTTGACCCACAGAAACTGTGAGGTAACAAATCGTGGTTGTGTTAAGCCTCTAAGTGTGTGGCAATTATGCAGCATAAGGAAAGAAAGCACTATACATTAAATAAATTTGTAAAACCATATTTTGTATATTAACATGTATAGGTTCACTATTCTTACTCATAAATGGATAAACAATCTTTTAAAACATTTCTTGTTACTGATTTCTCATATGGTAAACACCAGTGAGTACAGTATAAACAAAAGCTCTTTGGGCTCCTCATATATATATATATATATATGCAATTTGCAAAGTCAGGTTCACACTTTATCTCCACCTCTGAGCTCAAAAAAATGAATAGTATAGTAGTTAAGTGCACAAGGATCTGAATTGCCAATCATACCAGCTATATGACCTTGCATAAGGTACATAACCTCTTGGCATTTCAGCTTCATATTGTGTCAAGAAGGTGTAAGTCAATAGAAAAATGTAAAAGTTAATTGATAGAAGCTAGAAGAATTGAGCTATAGGCTGGGCGCGGTGGCTCACGACTGTAGTCCCAACACTTTGGGAAGCTGAGGCAGGTGGATCACCTGAGGTCAGGAGTTCGAGACCAGCCTGACCAACATGGTGAAACACTGCCTCTACTAAAAATACAAAATTAGCCAGGTGTGGTGGCACACACCTGTATTCCCAACTACTCTGGATGCAAAGTCGGAAGGATCGCTTGAATCAGGGAGATAGAGGTTGCAGCGAGCCAAGATTGCGCCATTGTACTCCAGGCAACAAGGGTGAAACTCCACCTCAAAAAAAAAACAAAAAAAAAAAAACAGAAAATAATTGAGCTATAGTAACAATTAAATAAACAAATCTAAAATAATGATGAGTGATAACTGTTTGGGGGGACTTATTATGTATTAGAAAGAAATGGCTTTACAAAGTTTATTTTATTGGATCCTCATAAAGATTCTACTACAAGTATATTCATTTCATAAATAAAGAGTCTGAGATGTACAGAAGTGAAGTGTCTTGCTCAAAATTCACAGCAGGTACTCTTGTCTCAGGCTCAAGCTCTGAACTGCATGGCCTCCTAAGGTAAATTACCCTTTATGCAGACTTCTATCATAGCTCTTACTTTCTTATCTTTTTTTCAACTTTTGTTTGTTTGGCTTTTCTAGTTATATTAGATAATTCATTAACTACTCTTACTTTTGAGCAGGATGTATCTTAAGCCTTTTAACCTCAGTATTGATCATATGTTCCTATTTATTTTTGTCATAGCATATATTATACAGTGATTATTGTATTTATTTCTACGTTACATTTTTGTCTTCAGGAATAGAAACTTTGACTCTTTTTTTTTCACTATTATTTCCATAGTGTCTAGAACACTTCCCAACATATATTAGGCATTCAGTAAATATTTGCAGAATGAATAACTATGCCTGATGGATGGAAGTAAGCAATTGATTGCTGTTGAGTGTCACTCTATCTATTTAATTCATCCACCACAACTGTCCACAATTCAGGTTTTCATTATCTGACATATTGTGTCTCATCACCCGGGCACATATTTCTGTATTCTTTCCTCAAATTGCGAATGCTTTTTCTTTTCCTTTTGACTAACCCAAATCATTCACATTCTGTGAGACTCAGATTAAAATGAACTCTACTTGAAGCCTTTTCTTAATCATTACAGCTCACAGTGATCTGGTCCTTTGCTAACTGCCCATGCTAGGCATTAATTATTAAAAAGAAAACTTTTTAAACATTTACATAATTTTAGACACTGTTCTAGGTTTGAGGATAGAACATGAAATAAAGGCCTTTTCCCTAGCATAACTTACATTTTGAGTTGAAGTCAGGAAACAAGTAAATACATAAATAAAATCATTTTGCATCATGATGAATGCTATGAAAAAATAAACTAATGCAGTTTTGCTGAAATGAACAATAGATGGAGGGCCAGATAGTATAAAAGCCATGTGGATATCTGTAGTAAGAATGTCCCAGGCTGAAGGAACAGCAAAGAAACTGTAAAACCAGAAAGATAAATACCATATATTGTCATATGCTTATTTGTTTCATATTATTTGTTCTCTAACTGTTCCATATTTGTTAGTTTTTTAGTTACATCTTGATTTTATATTTTCTGATGGTAGGAATACTGTTGTATTCTTAGGGTTTATACCATAGCACCTCAGAACCAGAATGTAACATATGAAACAAATTTTATATGAGTACTTACTGAAAAATTATTATTCAAAAATGTTTTTAGTAACAACTCCTTCTCTATTCCTAGTTCAATACATTAAGATTGCTAAGTTTCTTCAAGGAAAAACATTTTATGAGTAATGTATTATTTATACCAATAAATAAATGAAAAATGGAATAAATACATGTCCCTGAGCCCATTTTCTCAAATGTAATTTATGTCTGCATTCAATTTGCATGGCCATTATAGTTCAGCAAAAAGGGGAGCATAATTTTCATCAATAAGTTTTCATCTTCTTGTTTTTTTATTTGAACAATGAAGAGTGCCATGCATTAATAAAATTAATTGTATTGACCAATCAAAAGATGGGAAATGTTGATGATTGATGAAATGTTAATAATTTCTTGTAGTAAAATAGATGTTATATTGTGAGAATTTGGTAAGCATAGCCGGAATTTTTTTCTTTTTTTATTTTTACAAGACGAGATTTTATTCTGTTTCCTAGACTAGTGTGTAGTGGCACGATCATAGCTCCTGCAGCCTCAAATTCAAGCCATCCTCCTGCTTCAGTCTCCCAAAGCTCTGGAATTACAGGCATGTTCCACCACTCCAAGCATCAAATTTTTTTTAATCACATTTCTCTATCCTGCACTGCCACATTTTCTCTCTCCTTAAGAGCCTACTTTTTTGGACAGCACCTGCTCTATAATGAAGACACTGGGTGTGATCCAAAAGCCAAGGGCGTGTCTCTCAAGTACCTCTTCATGCAATCTGGGTACCACCACATCTCTGAGAGCAAAAAGGGATCATAGAGATAATCTATCTTGGTCCTTAACATGTGCAGAAATGCCTTCTGCAACATCACAGAGACATGATCATCCAACATGTGCTGAAACACTTCCTGTGAATGAGAGCTCAACACTTCCCATTTTTGAGAACTCTGTTACTATATTCTTCTTCATGCCAAGCCATATTTACTTATTTCTCTGTATTCTAAGACTGCTTTTGAAATCCATGAGAATAGAGTGCAATTAAAATGATAAAATATCTTTGGAGATCACTAGACCTAAGTTCTAATTCTGGTTATACCTTTTGCTGTCTGGATGACCTTGCATACAACACAAGCTTTCTAAACCATAGTGTCTTCCATGGTAAGAAAATAGCTCTACAAATGATCGTAGGCTTATAACATTCACAAAATTATTTTCTTCAGCCACATAATCAATGTACAAAAATACACAATATACAAAAGCCTAAAGCCTTAGCATCATATAAACACAGATAGTGATCAGAAAACAAAACAAAACAAAAGTATACATCGGTGCAAAAGTAATTGCGGGTTTTGCCATTAAAAGCAATGGCATAATATACACATAATGAGCTGTTTCACCTAAATGTCTTTAAAATTCTGACATTTTTATGATAAACGGAAGTGAAGAGTTTTCTTCAACGTATATTTCATTAGAGGTTCACATTTGTTTTTATAAAAACATTTTACCTTTATACCTACCTGACACTTTTGTACATTCCTTTACTTTGTCATTATTTTTACTTATCATATAGCATTTATTATATGGTTAGCTATATGATTGAAGATTTGTGGGCTACACAGAGAAATAAAAAATATAGACCTGTCCTCAATTCGGTAGCAATCTAGTGATGGCTAAATAGGATATGAATGAAATGCAATAGGAGCACTCAGTAAAGAGCAATTTTTATATGTTTGTGAAGAAGTTAGAGAGAATAGAGAAAGAAATTAATTGGATCCTTGCTCTCTCATGCTAAAAGATCTCCCACATCAGGAAACAAATGAAGTGGTCATGTTGAATAAAGGAAATCTTTTCTCTCTCCTTGAGGTTAAATTATTTACTGATACTTCATGTAAAGGAGTCATAAAAGTTAGATAACAAATCAATTTAGAAATTTATACCATCTTTTGATGACATCATATGCCGAGCATTTAGTCACTTGTTAATGTAAAATGGTCACCTTACTAAACTAGTGAGTAATTTTTATTTCCCATCCACTCCCCTTGCTGTCCCCTGGAAGAAAACTTACTGACTGATACTTACGGCTAGAAAAGAGTCTGTTCCAGTAAAGAGACTTTTATACAGTACTTATATCTTTCGTAGCTGGCATCCAGTTCACCTTGTTCCTCTTTGTGTTTCTAGTTGCTGGGCTCTGGATTTTAAATAAAAGATAGCTTTGGTGACCTCAATGGATTTCTGTTGTCCAGGATCAGAACTGATAAATAATATATGCTTAGAGTATCCATTATTAATTCTTACAATCAGCAGTAAATAATGAGAGCCTAGCTTCATCTCTCCTGCCTTTTCCACTAGAGGCAGTTAGCTCAGTCCACAAGGTGCTTTTCAGAACTTCATCTGCTTATTTATATGTATATTCTGAGAGGCTGTGATTGGGAAACTCATCACAGAATATTTTTGCATTGGGCCCTAAAGGAAGTCCCATGCAGCAGCTTGCTGGACAATGTTCAGAGAAATAGTACATCCTTCCACAAAGCCACAAACCATGCACTCCAAAGCACAAACAAATCACACTGCACTAAAATCCCACTCTTCAATCAACACTGTATTCCAGTCTGTCATATCTCTACAACAGCTGCAGAGGGAATAACTCTTGTATAGAGTTTTAGAGTTTGCTTTGAAAGTAGGATGTGTGTACAAGTGACTTGCAAAAAAAGACAGTAATAAAACTCTGCAATCTTTTCCAATTTTCTCTCTCCATATTTAATGGTGCCTGGCATTTCTATAGATGACATTTAATATTTGAAAGGGCATAATTTCCCTCAATGCACAGAGGAGTTTCTGTTCTGTTTCTGGCAGATAGAGAGAAATTCATATCTCTACATGAGATCTGCATTGAAATCACTACATATGATGCATGTTTCTCAGTACTTACACCCTCTGCATCGTACCTCAAGTGTGTCTACAAAAATCCTCTATGTGGTATTTCTTTACAGGTCTACAGTCATTCAAACTAAGTAACAAAAATGAGCCAATAATTCTGGAGCTAAAAGTAGTTAGGGAAAAATCCAGTTTGATGCTCTTCAAATTGTATTAACCTGAGACCAGGAGTTTCGGAAGGCACCTCAGGGGCAAATGAAAGCTCTGGAAAGTCCAATCTGCTCAAAGCAGCTGTGCTTTAAAATGTTTCACACATTAAACTTTTCAGTGAAGTTTTGTTGGAAATGGGATTACATTTATTTAAAACAAAGACAATAAAAGACTGACTGAGTTCAGTCCATTCATTTTACAAATAGAAAACTTTATAAAAGATCAGAGACCTGGGAGGGGCAGAATCTGAGCCTCTGATCTCTTGTTGTAGCATCAAGTCCAAAGAAAAAAGACAGGAAACAACAACAAACCAACAAATTTCACAGTGACATGAAATAGAGTGAGTATGCTGGGAAACTTGCCTGGAGTGAAGAAAGCATGAGTTCCATTTTATAATTACATTGCTACAAGCACTAGCACCACACAATTTGCCCCTTGCCTAATATAAAGGTAAATTTTCAGTCTTCATTTGATTAATGACTAAGCAAAAGAGTAGGTCTCCAAAGTGTTTCACTCTGGTAAAGACCAGAATATTTTTTTTACAGTTTTAAAGCAAATACTTTTAATAAACATTATGACAAAAATGAGATACTTTTGTTGCTAAAGACGTGAAAAAAATGTGAATTTTGACAAATTCAAAAGAGTATGAATATGTTTCAAAGAAAGTTTTCAGAATCAATTTTATTTAATGTCTGCACCTAAGATTGCAGCTCTCAGTCTCCCCTCTAACCACTTACAGAAATGTTATTTCAAAGCGACCACAGTACATTAGCAGATACACAGGAGAATGGAGAGCCTCCTTACATACCTAATTGGAGAGAAATTATAAATGTAAAAACTAGAATATTAAAGTGAACACTAATAACAGGTTTAAAAATAATATGCTAGAAATACAGAATAGTAGAAAATGTTTCAATCAAAAACAATTTTGTAAAAGCTCACAAAATGAAAATGGCCTACGGCATAATTTCTAAAAATGTTTTAAATAGTGCTATTTTTACCTAAGAAGAAAGCTTGATATTTCGTAATAATGCGCTAGATGGGCATAATGGAATTATAAGAACAGGAATTGGAAAAAAACGGTTTCCATCAAGATGACATGAATTACAAACTTGTTTAGAAGAGGGAGTTGTATTATTTCTTCTTATAACTTCTGTAATTCATAGTACAGTTTGTTGTGTGCATGTATATATACAAATATATGTACATATGCAAATATATATACATTATGTGGTGTGTGTATACATATGCATAATGTATATTAAAGTGTGAAAAGGTGAATACATGAATAGATCGATAGACCTACTTCTTGATTTTTTTATTTTGTTGCTGAAGGAATTTACCAGTCTTGGGCTTTTATAGCCATCCTGAGTTATATACAAGCAAATGAGATAATAGTGGAATACTGAATTGCCTCAATTACCTAATTGAGTTAATCTATTTATTAAAAATTATCTGTTGAAAAGGTATGACACTGTTAAAGCTTATGAAATACGTCACAGGCTTGGTAATTTCCCTGAAAGAATTTCTAATCCCTAGGAAATTATTGACAAGTGGTAAAGAGCTAATAGTGCTAAGAACCCATAACAATGGCTCACAAACTTTGCTGCACGTTGTAATCACTTGGGAACCTTTAAAAAATACAAGTACCTAGTAATCATTCTCAAACATTCTGATGTAATTGTATGGGGTGCAGCTCGAGCCTCTGGGAGGCCATGTAGTCATCTAGGGCTATATATATTAAAGTTACTTTGGGTTCTTCAATATCCTATAGGATACTCTTTTCCATATAATCCTCTTTCTTTTTTGTTATTACCAAGACTCTATCAGGGTTGAAACATAAAGACTTCTCCATTTGATGCTCCAAACTTGATTCAGGTGTTTTCAGTTACAAGCAATTCATAGCATGCAATGGGCTCATTCACTCTACTTTGGCTATTAGAAAGTACTTAAACTAGCCTCTGGTTTAGGCTTGCGATCAGCTCACAGTAAACTTTCATCCCTTCTTGCACATGAGAAACATCTGAAAAGCTTCTGAGACATTAAAATGCCGTGCCCAAACTTGTTGCATATGAAAGTTTCCTAAATCAAAAGTTCACAACGCGTACATCAGAATGAGGATGAGACCCAGGCTTCCAAAAATTTTAAAGATCCTAATACGATTCCAATGTTCAACACTTTTCTAATGTCAGAACTCCATATCCAGAGTTTTTGAGGCAGAGCCTGGGCATCAAGATTTTTCGATTCCCCAGGAAATTCTAATGCTCACCCAGGATAGAAAATACTGACAGCAACTGCTCAAACATGTTTGCTTGTTGAAATGAGACACAAATACACATTTAAAAATAATATTTTTTTTTACTTTTAAAAAGGCAGTTAGGCCGGGCGCGGTGTCTCATGCCTGTAATCCCAGCACTTTGGGAGGTCGAGTGGGGTGGATCACGAGTTCAGGAGATTGAGAGCATCCTGGCTAACAAGGTGAAACCCCATCTCTACTAAAAATACAAAAAATTAGCCTGGCGCGGTGGCGGGCGCCTGTTGTGGTCCCAGCTACTCAGAATGGCGTGAATCCAGGAGGCGGAGTTTGCAGTGAACTGAGATCGCGCCAATGCACTCCAGCCTGAGCGACAGAGCGAGACTCCGTCTCAACAACAACAACAACAACAACAACAACAACAAAAGGCAGTAAAGTTTGATAGACATTGATTCAGAGCTCTGTTACTCAAAGTATGGCTCATGGGCCATTACCTGGTCCCAGTTAACAATACAGATTACAGGGTTGTTTTATAGACTTACTAAATCAAACTCTGAAAGAGTTTGGGCACAGAAATCTTCATTTTAAGACATTGCAAATAAGTTTAACTTGTAGATCTGGAACAGTGGTTTTGAACCCAGGCATAATTTTTCTCTTCAGTAGATATTTGGCAATGTCTGAAGACATTTTAGCTGTCACAAATGGAATGGGCATCATTGTTATCTAGTAGGTAGAGTTCAGGGGTGCCGCTAAACCTCCTGCAATGCCAGTGTGAATGACAGCCCCTTATAAAATTACCAAGCCCAAATTGTCAATAGTGCCGAGGTTGAGAAACCTCATTCTAGAGCAGTGGTTGTCAAAGCTTAGAGTGCAACAATATCACTTAGATTACTTATTAAAACATAGATTGCTGGGCCCCACCTTTCAGAATTTTTGACTTGGGAAGTCCAGGATGGGAACAACGAACCTTCATTCCTAACAAGTTCTGGTGATGTTGATACTGCTAGTCTGGGTACTATACTTTTGAGAGCCATTGATCTAGAGATTGCCTCTTAATTTTCATCTAATTCCTTTGACTCTGCCTGCCCAGAAATGAAGTTCATCAAGAGGCAGAAATTTTAATATAGCTGTGGAATGCTACTGACAATTTGAAAACACATGACCAGAGTACCTTTAAACCTCTGACATTAGACTTCTTAGACAGAATTTCTCCATCTTTTTGGTCAGCATCAGTATTAAACTATAGAGCCATACTTTTGATTTTAAATACTTCACACACTCCAATCTAATGATTATCATTGAATTTGCTTGTTCTGCAGGTGATTCTGGCATGAGTCTGATAAAGACGCCTTTAATAACATAACCACAGCACCTCAAATATCTGTGATACATCTGAGGTAGAATTACTAACCAACTCAATAACTTTGGCAAAAGCAAATTCTTTTCATACAATAACTTATTTTTAAAAATGCCCTAGCCAACAGAACAAGATAGGCTGTCTCAGACCCGCTTTGAGACTACCTGCTTCTCACTAATTTTCTCTTAAGACCATCCCTTCCCCAGATCACTGTAATCAACAACACCAGACACACACAAAACGTTAACATTTCTGAATAGAGATTTAAAGTGTTTTCATTAGGCCCGCAGTCACTGCTCTCTCCATTAGAGCCATCAATAACCAGAGAGACAAAAATTATAAATCTGTAACTAGGCAACAAGGACAAAGCTCATGAACATTAGGGCAGAGACTGTAGCCTTTATAAATAAAACCCAAATAGCACCTCGGCTGAATATATTTTTCTGCTTTATTGCTGTTTTGACACAAATGAAACCAAGATATATTCCTCTTACTTTGTTTGTTTTTTCCTTTTTTTCCCTCCGGTTTATGTCTTCTGTTATTACTTTGTGGAAAGAGACAGAGTGGATGTAAAGAAGTCCATAAATTGGAACAAAACTGTTTTACTGTAAATATTTCTACATACTTATATTGTCTTATTTAGTATGTCTAATCAGCAGGTTTTCCAAAGTAATCCTGGGGGCTGCCTTTGTGTTTAGTCATGCTATCTGTAATTAAAAGGTATAATTTGTGAGACTAGCAGAAAAAAATCTGAATGAAAATGAATATGTGTGTAATAATGAAACAAAACTTACAGACATAAGCACATATGTTTTGGTTTCTTAATCTCCTTTCAAAACAGGAAACAAAGTGTTCAGAAAATCTAGTGAATTCATTATATTTATATAAATGTACAATTTCACTTCAATTATAGACATTCCCTTTTTCTAGTTTAGCATTTTGTATGGTTGATTTTTATCAAGCATTAAACTACAAAAGAGCTGAAATTCCTTAACATAATTCTAAGGTAACTTTTTCCTGCGGGATTCTCTTAAGGGGCTTCTTATTCAATGGTGCAGATATTAATTTAATGCCCAACAAAATAAATATAATAAGCCATTGTAACTAGAGGGATATTTGTTTTCAATTGCAGATACAGTCAGTTGAACTTGCTTGTTTTGTTTTATGTTTCATTTTAGCAGAAAGACTAGGAGACTTTTACCACGAGAATCCCATAGAGGTGCCTAAACTATCATCTATATGTGGTCCATTGACTTCTGGCATCCCAGAAAGGCCTTCTTGAGGTTCAGTTTTAACTTGAGTAGTAGATCCTTTTGCAGAAATATCAGGATTCTAAAGGAGCCTGTGAAAATGTTTCATAGAAGCCACCAGAAAAACACTAGCCCCAACTCTGCAAAGGATGCTTCAGGTAGGAGAAGAGAATTCATTCAGTCTCTATCCTAAGAAAAAGTTGATTCTTGGTAGGGAAAAATGACATCAGGTGTATAACTATGTAGTTTCACTCATTCTTTCCCAATGTAGAGAATAGATCACACTAAATTTCCTTAAGACAACTGTATAAATAATAAAGACTTTCCCTTTAATAGACCACTGAGAATTTATAATACAATTAAGATGAGAACCACTGTCCCTATTAGCATTGGTGGTTACAAGAATGACTACAAGGTTTAGAGAGGTTTAGACTGATTGGTTCACACCCTAGATTACGGGAAAACCAGTTCACAATCAAAGGAATAGCACAGGGCACAAATCTAAGGCATCCACTGACCAAGTAGAGATTAATACCAGCTGCTATACAGGAAGATTTTGTGCAACCCAAGGTAATCTCAGTAAAGTGAAAAACACACATTTTAAGTTTTGTGGTAGGATGGCAAACATTTAAAACATTCTTTTTCCCTCTATACATTATGATTGTACTACCATAATAAACCCTTAGCTGAGGCACTTTGAAAATAATAGGTGGCCTTTATTTAATAAAGGGCGCTTGAGGTGAAAAGAAGACAACAGTAGCAAAGTTTTTTTAAAGTAGAAGCAGCAGCATCAGGAAAGGAGGACAGGGAGAAAAAGATAAACCAAATGATATCCTCAGTAACGTACAGAAATAACTTGAATGTAGAAGAAAAAAATGACGTTTTAAAGATTCAGTTAGTTGTTATCTTTGGTTAAAGAAGATTTTCCTCTGTGAAACAAAGGCATCATGTTCTTGAAGTCTAAAGAATGAGAATGGTTCATTACATGAATCTCACACCAGGGCCTTTGGCAAGAACAATCTCTCAACATTTTACAAATTATATTAACCACTAATAAAGTGATTATGATGCTGCATGAAAATGCAACATTTAAGTTTTAATTTAAAATGAGTGAACCAATGAATATTCCCTAAAACCATAGAACACATGCTAATTGAATGGAAGGCAATATCGATTGGAGAGCAAATGACTAGACTGCCAATTTGTATCCATCCATCATATACCATCACAATACACATTTAAGCAAATGTGCAGATTCCAATGATTGTAGTAAATAGTCATGGAGAGCTCATCAAAACCAGGCAAAAGGCAGAGTAACATATCCTTATTCTTCCCTTTTCCGCTTTGCGTAGGAGTCTAAGAGTAAGTATGTGTGATGGCTGGGGTGAAGGATTATTTTCTCTTTTTCTTGACATGTCCTCTTACAAACTGAGCTCCAAGTTTTAGTACCAGCAGTAATAGAAGGCAATGCACAGAGTGAGAGCTACTTTTGTGGCCTTATGGTTTAGAGAGAACTTGGAACAGCTCAGAGATAGAAAGAGGATGAAAGTCAAGACAATCAAGGAAATAAACAATAAGTCCCTGGTACGTCCCCTATAAATTGTTGGAAATCAAGAGAAGAAAAGTTAAGCAAACAAAAAAAAAAATTCCTAGCCTCAAGAATTGTATAGTCTTAATGGGAAGTATATTTTCTCCTTTGATCATTTAGTCATTTATTAAATATATTTTGAGTGCCTACCATGTGTCAGGCACTGTGCAAGGTGCAGAGATACTTAAGATACTTTCATCTACACTTCACTGACTCTAATACAAAAAGGAGAAAGGAAAAAAAGTGATCTTTTAGAGATGCAAATCTGATCAATTATTTTTATGACTTTTTAGTCTTGTTTTTATGATGTTTTCCAACTTTAGGGGGCAGCCTTCTCTGGATTGCAGGACCTGATCTTTGCCTTCTCCTAAGCCTATTTTGCACTATTCTTCCCCTTGGCCTTTGTGCTTTAGCCCTGCTGCCCACCTCATCACTGAATACACCATACATTTCCCTGTGTTCAGAGGGACTACTGTAGAACTGTAGAGCGTCTGTCCTAGAACACTCTCTCTCTCTCTGTTAGCCACATTCTTCTCACAGTCGTGTTGATTTCACATTGCATCCTTTTACTGTAACTTTTCTGAGCACTTAACAAAATTGTAATTTATGAGTCATTTAGTTAGTTGTTTATCTGCTGTTGTTGTTGTTTATTCCCAAATAAACTGTCTATAAAAGAGGCGATGTGTCTGTTTAAAAAATAAAATTATCCCAAGGACTTAACACAGAATCTAGTGAGTATTATGTTCTATAAATATTTTGTTCAAGTTATTATTTTAGTGGCTACGTTTAGTGACTATGTTTCATAACAGGGAAGAGGAGAGAAATATGTTGTACCCAATAAACACGTTAGGGATATCATTGCGCAGTGATTTCCTGAGTTAAGCTGCTTGAATAGCAGTGACCTGAGAGCCAACAGAAAAGTCATTTGGAGTCAAAGTTACCAATGTCTACATAGTTTAAAATGGGTCCAAGATGAAACATCAGACTAGCTAAGTCAGAGGGCTAGGATTAGTGACAATTCAACATGACGATTTCACAGGGGTTTTCTTCTCCATTTACCATGGAGCAAACCTGTTCATTTGACAGAAAGAGCTGACACTGAGGTATAAACTCCCTGTGAAAAAACAAAGGAGAGATTTCGGCTCACTGTTAAGTGGTGAGTGGCAGTCTCCAAGCCTCTCTGAAAATGGGGCTTATGCGGGAAGAAGAAAGAACTTGAACTTATAATGAACCTATCATGAGAAAGTAAGTGAGTTGTGAAGGTGGAGAAAAGATACAAAAGAGAATCTGGGGCCAACAGCATCAACATGATTAGTCTCAGAATTTTGTTTGTGGCTAGTTTCAAATTAAAGAAGGTATAGACTTGGGTTACTTAGTATTATTTTTCCAGAAGTGCTGCTCACGTTGGAAGAGGAATCAAAAAGCCAAATACAGCACTTTTACATGTATGTGAGAAAGAATTAATTCAGCAGGCCTGGGTTGCTCAAACCCTGCACATTCCCCAAAAAAGTCCTGTTTCCATGACAGGCCCTTAGCTGACTCCTGGGAACTGAGCTGTCTGATAAGAGTGTTTTTGAAGCATTCTGTGCCAGTTTGTTCAGGTAGTTCATTATATCAATGTCATCTATTCTGAGTGCCTACCTTCTCTCTGGGAGTCTGGAACTTAAGCAACAAACATCCACATAGGTAGTATAGGCTTATGTGACTGACCGCCAATAAAAACCAAGAAAAATCAGGCTCAAAAGAGTGTCCCTTCTTATCAATACTTCCCACGTGTTGTCACACATTTTTACTGGGGAGAATTAAGTGCATTCTATGTGACTCCATACTTGAAGGCTTGCTAATTCTTTCCTCTAGACTTCACTCCATATGCTTCTTCCTTTTGTTGATTTCACATTGCATCCTTTCACTGTAATAAACCACATGGTAGGCATAACAACTTCTAAGTCCTGTGAGCTCCTCTAGTGAATTATCAAGCTTGAGGATGGTTCTGGAGACCCTCAAAACAAAATATCTTCTAGAAATCCAACTACTGAATAATCTGACAAACCATGAGGTCTCCACCTGGGGAACCTCAGGTTTCTGTATTTCTCCCGCAATGCAATCTCAAGGAAATGGAAAGAAGCCTGTCTCTTCTGATGAGAGATACACATGCAATCTTCTCCTACAATGTAGATAGCCTCGTTTGAACACACAAACCTAATTTCTTATCTATCCAAACTAAGAATGAAAACAAAAAAACTATTTTGCTATCAATGTCTGCTTTAAGTCTAAACAAAAATGTATTGGTATAAAGAAGAAATACACTTTCCCAAGAAGATAGTTGTGACTAGTGGAGTCAACAGCATTAAATACCATTATTAGTCTTGTCTCTTATACTTATGTTTTTGAGAAAGAACTCTTACTTTCTTCATCAGTACCTATATATTCATCTCTTACATCATTCTGAAGCTGTGGAAATTATTTTCTGTTTACCACACAGCCAGAATTACTTTATCCAGCTCAGTTTTATTCTTCAAGGGCCTGACCCCTATAAACTGCCTCATCCAGATTCCCTTCTCCTATGACTTCATGTTGAGTTTAGTCAAAAGGAGTAACCCTCTTGAAATTTGAGGGAGGAAGGAGAGAAAAATAGAAGCAATTCTTTCCACTCCCTCTCTACCTTGGTACTACTCCTCTGGCAGAAGCTATATACTTCTACAAGCACAGCTCCTTCCTGCTAGGCTGAGTCCACAGCACTAGAGCTCTCTGGGCTCTGCTTGTTTCCTTGTCTTGCACCTTCTGGTGTAGTGGTAACAACAGCTTTCAGTGGACTCTTCACCGTGCAAGAAGAATGTGCCTTTTGATTTCCACCAATCAGGAGACTGGTAAAGGGGTATCTACTGCAAGCTTACCGAACACATTTATAAGCAATCACGTGAACAAGTAAATAAATAGATGAATGAATGAATGAATTACTGCTCCCTCATAAATTAAAGAAACCACTTTGATAAATAAAGGCAAGCTGAAATTACTTCAGTTTAATTTGCTACAATTTTCTGAGTTGCAGTTTAACAGGGGCATTCAGAGGTAACTCAAAGACAACATACCAATGATGAGGACTTCATGTAAAGTTGGAAGGGGGAATGTAGTGGGCACACAAGAGGATTGGTGCTTATAGAGCCGATGCAGGGGCTAACAATTTCCTCTGCCTTTGTGTCCTGGGATCCCAACATAACTACCAGGTCTTAAAATCCCAATGAGAACAACAATGACAACAAAAACAGGCATAGTCACAATAAGAACTAAATTCACACTCAAATTTTGAAACAAGAAGATCTTAAGGAAGGGGATGCCGACAGAAATGGGGAAAGCTTTACCACCTTTAGGAGGCTGCTCGGAGAGAGTTCGGAGCCAGGAAAGAAAGAGCACCTGATAAGAATCCCAATTGATTACTGGCAGAATCACAGAGCTGAGGCAGGAAACAAGGAAGGAAAATAAAAACTCTAAACCCTCTTTCATCCTAGCTTACAATCTACTGCCAGCACCCTCCAATGGCCCAGCCTAATTTAAGCCAGAGGATAAGGGTGATGCAATTCAAGCCTCCTGGGGAACATAGCAAGGTAGAAACTGGATTGGAGGATTGAGAAGTGAGACAAGCTGAGAAAGCCTGCATGGCATGTTTAGAACTTTCTCCAAGGGATGTGTTAGGCCATGCTTAAGTCTTACTTAGTAAGAACACTGATAACCAGGACTTTCATACAAAGCTGCTGCTTTTGAAAGCAAATTTCTGATACTAAGAACTATCCTATGAGGGAGGATTGCTAAGTACTATATAACACCTGAGATAATCAGACACACTGGATATTAACCAGATACATCAGATAGACAATAGTTCATCAATCATAGCCTCCCTAATGATACCAAAAGTAGTCCGTACTGGCCACATATTTCAAATTTACTTTCCTGTTCTCCTTTTATATTGAATGTTTTTCCCTAGTACAGTCTGTGACCATACCACCTCTTTTCTTTTAAAACCCTGGCATAAGCTTTTGTTTAGCCCTATTCAAGCTGCTCTGCCTGAAAAATCACTGTGCTTTAAGTTTTACCAACCAATAGCCATTGGCTAAAAATGATTATAGTTTACCCCAAGAGGAAGCCTTTGATCACTGGAGCCAGATCCAGCCGTGAAAATGTGTGTTTTCCTGCCCTGTTCTAACATTTTCTCTTAATTAGGGCAGGAGAAACTGCCTTGGGAAGTTGATTCTTCACCTGCACACATAATATCTGTACTTACTTTCTGCGTTTCTGTGTTCTCTGAGGAGGCACTTGGGAACTCATTGGCAAGAACTTGTTTTTGAGGTAATTGCAAAGGAAAAACAAAGCACACATCAATGAAAATTCATTTTGATTCTATTCCCTTCTCTCTCTTTTTTTGAAGTCAAGCAGCTCCAAATTTCAAGTTGCAAACACTATTATTCAGTAAATTTTACTGATGGAGAATAACCCAATGGAACAGCCCAAGGCAGTATGAGAACATCCTGGCCACCTCATTCTGGAACAGTTTTCCTCTCTGCCTGTCAGAGGCTCTTACCAGAATCACCCATCTTCATATTTAGTGCCATGGTATGCAGAAGAGGTCAAA
This sequence comes from Homo sapiens, assembly GCF_000001405.40. Lineage (NCBI taxonomy): Eukaryota > Metazoa > Chordata > Mammalia > Primates > Hominidae > Homo > Homo sapiens. The sequence goes on along the minus strand of NC_000002.12, from coordinate 81,151,577 downwards.
GAGGTTCCATGGAGTTCTAAATAAAATGTCCACAGGATTAGCACAGGGTACTGGGAGCCTTTATATGAAGATAATTGAGAAGATTAGGGTTTAAGAGAAGAGAACATGAAGCCATGTTTGAAGTTATGATTGAAGTGAAACAACAAGAAAGATGAAATAAGAAACTAAATCCCCGAACACAAGGACTGGAAGTTTGCCACCAAAGTTTAAGAGAATTTAATATGGAACAACTTTAGCCTAATAGGGAAATTGTGTTGACATTTGCAAAATCTTATTGTATTATTAAGGAAATTTAGGATGAAGAGAGGATGGCATTTCTAATACTTGAAACTGATACCACAAAGGATAAAACTCACTTCCTTGGTATCTGCATAAAAAAAATAAAGGTTTGGATTGCAGATCCTTTGGATCTGACCCTTTCTACGAGTTTGTCTGGTGTTGAGCCATGCCCGTGACCACCTTTAAGTGTGTCCTCTCAATAAGCCCAGATTCAAAGCCCTAAAGCAGCTTCCTGCCTATGACCCTCACCTCTCAGCCTATATTTCGTTTGATCAGGGCCATGAAATGAGCTACCTAATGGCATGACTAAATAAAGCTAGTCCATGATCAAATTCCAACTGGAGAGGGCTGTAACAATGAATTATTTTACCACAATATAAAGTCCTTGTCTTTTCTAATTATCTGGTGTCTCAAATGGTGAAGATATAAGAAGGGAGGTTATGAAGTGTTTTGAAGCAAGAAGACTTCTTGCTAATCACTGGAGTAATATTCATTTTACCTTCAGATTAAATGCCAAGAGCTATGTTTATAGCTAAAAGTTGGTGGAAATAAATATTGATAAGTATACTGTATACTTGTATATTTATAAATGGCAACTGAAACATCATTAGGATAAAATCTTGATAGAGTTAATAAAGTGTTTGTTTTTATTCGATTTTTTCATTCTAATCTTCTGTACCAGTTCTTGAAAACATGAGGTTTTGGCTTTTATTTTTTTAACACTTTACTACATTATGATCCCACTCTAATTAGATGGAAACCAAGGTAGAGAAATTTCAAACCAACTAGTGAAGTTGATGAGAATTTAGGTGAAAGCCAGCCAGAGAGAAAAGACTTCTAGAACTTAATCAATAAAAACATACCAGTACTGGCCAGGTGCGGTGGCTTACTCCTGTAATCCCAGCACTTTGGGAGGCTGAGGCGGGCGGATCATGAGGTCAGGAGATCGAGACCATCCTGGCTAACATGGTGAAACCCTGTCTCTACTAAAAATACAAAAAAGTTAGCTGGGCGTGGTGGTGGGCGCCTGTAGTCCCAGCTACTCGGGAGGCTGAGGCAGGAGAATGGTGTGAACCCAGGGGGCGGAGCTTGCAGTGAGCCGAGATCGTGCCACTGCACTGGAGCCTGGGCAACACTGCGAGACTCTGTCTCAAAACAAAAGAAAAAAAAAATACCAGTACTTAGAGTCATTTCACCAAAGCCCTGCCTTCCAGGTGGACAAATGCTAAGGTTGTAAAGGTAATAAATGTTTTAATAACTTTCCCCTCAACACAAATACAAACAGATCCCACCCTCCACGTGTACATAAATATGCACACAACTAACACTTCCCCACTTCACAGAGAATTTTCATTTTAATGAGGACTTTTGATTATGAATGGATAACCCAAAGAAATTACTCAATCCTGGAATTTTAATTTAGGTAAAACTTGAAGAATACTTTGGGCACACTTCTCAGTTCATAAAATATAGTTGCTACCCTGCCCTCCTCACATATTCCTCTAGTGTTTGACACTTGGCTGAGGAAAATAACTTTGTATTCCACTTTTTCTGTGACTTGATACATCATCTATTTTGTTTTAGCCAGAGAGAGACTTAACAAAGATTACTGGATCCTAAACTCAATGGTGTTTGTTTTTTGAGAGATAAATTTTTCTTTCAAAATTCTTTTCTTCAAAGGGTAATGAGATGCACTGCTCTGCTGGAGGCCAGAGTTAGGTAGGTGGAGAAATTGCAACAATTATTCTTAATTGCCACCAAAACTTTGCTTTTTTAGCAGAAGGGGGAACTGGTTGAGTTGACAGAAGTAGGTATCTGCTAAATAGGAGAAATGCAATTAGTGGTTAGTTGAGAGGTAGGAAAGACGGATTTTATATTGTAACAACTGTGAAAACAAAAAATGGCTTGGACATTATTTAAATTAGGTAAAATGTATGAACCAACTCAGAGACCGTACTGTCCAAAATCAATCACAACTACCAACTGTACCTTTTTTCTAAAACATATTCCAGAAATAAGTGAGTTTTACCTTTCTAATCTCATTAAATATAAATCTATTGGTTAATTAGAAGTAGAAAATTTGGAACTTTGCAATTAGACAACTCCCAGTGTGAGTTGGGCTCTGCCATTTATAAGCTATGTGACATTGCACATGTTAAACATAAACCTGTTTCCTCTAAAACTGATTAATAATATCTTCAAACAGTTGTTACAAAGTTTAAATTGGATTATTATTTTTAAGAATTTTTTTATTCACATTTAAATATATGTTTTTATTAGCTTCACACTAAGCAATTTATTAGCTTCACACTAAGCAATTTATTTTATTAACTCATTATCTGTGAACTACATCTAATAATGAACAGCTTTCAGTTACAACATGAGAATCCACCAAGTGTAGTTCATATATCATGAAGTATCTGATATGGGCCTGTCATACAGTAATTGTTCAAGAGGTGTCTGTCCTCTATTTTCTCTCTAACCCCACTCCCTGTCCCCCTTCCTGTATTCTTTCCTTCTTTCCTTCACTGATGAGATACAGTTAAAAGGTTGAGAACGATAATACCTTGAATGTAACTACTCAGAATTCCTCCAGCATTTGCTTCCCATTTCCCCTTGGATGCGCTATATCGGCAATTACTGAGCCTGACAGACTTAGGATAAATAAGTCACCAACTTCCAATCTAAAAACTTCAGAGGTGAAAGATGGGCAATTTTACGTGTAAGGCCACACAGCTCATCCCTGTCTCCAATCAGAAATCTAATAAAACAGTAAATCAGTGGACTTCCCCCTTTCCCTTCCCCTTTTCACTTTCAATGTAAAGTGTCACTTTGACTCATTAAAGACAAAACAATATAACAATATTCAGAAGATAAATTGGATCAAAGCCCGAAGGTTTTCTTGCCAGTAGCCTTTCCTTGAGCCTGGGACAAATACAAGAATCAGGCCATGAATAATGACTCCTATGCTTTTCATAGACAGTATCTGTATAGCAAAAGTGCTTTAGAATTCAAGTGGCACTGCTGAAAAAAACCCTCTCCTTTATGTCCAACTCAATATCTGCATCCGCTATGCCACTTTTCCTGCCTCCTCCAGTCTCTCCTGTCTCTGAGTTCTGGAGCATGCCTGGGAAACATGAACTCATGAAGAACCTATGGTGTGTTCTCAGTTGGAAACCAAATTTATCGAACTTCGAATGTTTTCTTTTTTTCTCTCTCTCTCCAGGATAGTCTACCACAATGACAGCCACATGGTTACTATTTTTAAAATCTTAGATTATTAACTACTAATCAATATTAACTATAGTTCAAAGTCCTAGAGAACTATATTTAAAAATAACTTTAGTCATATACGAAAATTACATTTCAGATATAATTTAATGTACTGGGAATTGGCATGACCTAAAAAACGAAATGAAAAAGATAACGTATGAATCAAATTTTGCTGTAATAAAACTGCATAGCAAACATCCTCAAAACACCAGTGTCTTATAACAATAAAAGTTTCTTCTCCTGTTCACAGGTCCATGGATCAGCTGTGGCTTTACCATGCCTGGCTTCAGGCTTCAGACTGGCTACTTATCTGCTCAATATGTTTTTTTATTTTTATTTAGCCAGTAGCTACCTGGGCCATATTCTTATTTTTATTGAGCCAGTAGCTACCTGGGCCATATTCTTCTCACTACAGATTACAGGAGCATAAGAGAGAAAGCCAAACTTGGCCAAATAAAGACTGCCCTTGAGCCATGTCAGCAATGTACACTTGGAAAAAAAAAAAATCACATGGCTAAGATCAAAATTGGTACAACAGGAGATCAAGATTGCCAATCATGAGAAGAACTGAAAATTATATGACAAAGCATATGGATGTTAAATTTTATAAAAGGAAAGGAATGAAGAATTGAAAACAAACAGGGCATCAGTAAGGTGGCAGAATAGTAGTTCTGCACTCATATTCCACAACAGCTGTCCATGTACAAAAGGGTCTTCGTGGGGACTGGAATTCAGGTAGGGGGTGGTGAAATGCCAGTGGAATCCAAAACCTAGGAAAGCCATTTGGAGAGAGCATAAATGTGCTCAGGCAGGGCTACCAACCATGGTCCCAGCTCTAGACCCCATGTGGACTCCCCTGCAACCCTGATTGACCATGGTCCTGCTTTCAGAACCATCAGCCAAGGGACCCAAAAGTTATGCCCTCATGATAGGGTTTGCATGTCTCGCCACCCAAATCTCAACTTGAATTGTATCTCCCAGAATTCTCATATGTTGTGTGAGAAATGCAAGAAGAGGTAATTAAATCATTGGGGCAGGTCTTTCCCATGCTCTTCTCGTGATAGTGAATAAGTCCCACAAGATTTGATAAGTTTATCAGAGGTTTCCGCTTTTGCATCTTCCTAATTTTTTCTCTTGCTACATCCATGTAAGAAGTGCCTTTCGCCTCCTGCCATGATTCTGAGGCCTCCCCAGCCACGCAGAACTGTAAGTCCAACTAAACTTCTTTTTCTTTCCAGTCTTGGGTATGTCTTTATCAGCAGTGTGAAAATGGATTAATACAGTAAATTGATACCAGTAGAGTGGGACATTGCTGAAAAGATACCTGAAAACGTGGAAGTGACTTTGGAACTGGGTAACAGGCAAAAGTTGGAACAAATTGGAGGGCTCGGAAGAAGACAGGAAAATGCAGGAAAGTTTGGAAACTCCTAGAGACTTGTTTAATGGCTTTGACAAAAACACTGATAGTGATATGAACAATAAGGTCCAGGCTGAGTTGGTCTCAGATGGACATGAAGAACTTGTTGGGAACTAGAGCAAAGGTGACTTTTGTTATGTTTTAGCAAAGAAACTGGTGGCATTTTACCCTGCCCTGGAGATTTGTGGAACTTTGAACTTGAGAGAGATGATATATGGTATCTGGTAGAAGAAATTTCTAAGCAGCAAAGCATTCGAAAGGTGACATGGATGCTGTTAAAAGCTTTCCATTTTAAAAGGGAAGCAGAGCATAAGAGTTCAGAAAATTTGCAGCCAGATGATGCAGTAGAAAAGAAAACCCCCCCCCCTCTTTTTTTTTTTTTGAGGAGAAATTCAAGCCAGCTGCAGAAATTTGCGAAAGTAGCAAGAAGCCTAATGTTAATCCACAAGATCATGGGGAAAATGTCTCCAGGCCATGTCACAGACCTTCACTGCAGCCCCTCCCATTACAGGCCTAGAGGCCTAGGAGGAAAAAGTAGTTTTGTGGGCCGAGCCCAGGGTCCCTGTTCTGTGTGCAGCCTAGGGACTTAGTGCCCTGTGTCCCGGCCACTCCAGCCATGGCTGAAAGGGACCAATGTAGAGCTCAGGCTGTGGCTTCAGAGGATGGAAGCCCCAAGCCCTGGCAGCTTACATGGGGTGTTGAGCCTGTGGGTGCGCAGAAGTCAAGAACTGAAGTTTGGGAACCTCCACCTAGATTTCAGAAGATGTATGGAAATTCCTGGATGCCCAGGCAAAATTTGCTGCAGGGGCAGGGCCCTCATGGAGAACTTCTGCTAGGGCAGTGCGGAAGGGAAATGTGGGGTTGGAGCCCCTGCACAGAGTCACTACTGAGGCACTGCCTAGTGGAGCTGTGAGAAGAAGGCCACTGTCCTCCAGACCCCAGAATGGTAGATCCACCAACAGCTTGCATCATGCACCTGAAAAATCTGCAGACACTCAACACCAGCTTGTGAAAGCAGTTGGGAGGGAGGCTGTACCCTGCAAAGTCATAGGGGCGGAGTTGCCCAAGACCATGGGAACCCACCTTTTGCATTAGTGTAAACTGGAGGTGATACCTGGAGTCAAAGGAGATCATTTTGGAGCTTTAAAATTTGGCAGCCCTGCTGGATTTTGGACTTGCATGGGCCCTGTAACCCCTTTGTTTTGGCCAATTTCTCCCATTTGGAACAGCTGTATTTACCAAATACCTGTAGCCTCATCATCTCTAGGAAGTAACTAGTTTGTTTTCGATTTTATAGGCTCATAGGTGGGACGGACTTGACTTGTCTAAGATGAGAATTTGGACTGTGGACTTTTGGGTTAATGCTGAAATGAGTTAAGACTTTGGGAGACTGTTGGGAAAGCATGAGTGGATTTGAAATGTGAGGACATGAGATTTGGAGGGGTCTGGGTGGAACGATATGGTTTGGCTGTGTCCCCACCCAAATCTCATCTTGAATTGTATCTCCCAGAATTCCCACGTGTGGAGGGACCCAGGGGAGGTAACTGAATCACGGGGGCCAGTCTTTCCCATGCTATTCTTGTGATAGTGAATAAGTCTCACAAGGTCTGATGGGTTTATCAGGGGGTTCTGCTTTTTTATCTTCCTCATTTTTTCTCTTACTGCCATCATGTAAGAAGTGCCTTTCACCTCCCACCATGATTCTGAGGCCTCCCCAGCCATGCAGAGCTGTAAGTCCAATTATACCTCTTTTTCTTCCCAGTCTCAAGTATGTCTTTACCAGCAGCATGAAAATGGACTAATACACCACAGGTGCCTCAGGTGACAGGCCCACTGATCTTGGTCCCAGGTGTGGACCCTTAAATGGCCCTATAGCTTGGCTGTCACTCCTCTCAGCTGGTCTGAGAGCAGCCTTGCCTTCAACAGGGACCTGCTCGGAGACAAACCCATCTGTGTTCCTGAGGCAGGCTTGCCAATCTCCATCCCACCTAAGATCATGAAATGTCCCTGAAACCCAGATTCAGTCCCTCTTACCCGTGCTGTTCAAGTAGTCCTGCCTACTCATGGAACCACTGGGAGTCATGGCCATCTGTGACTCTGCAGGCAGGCCCACTGAAAAACTAAGTAATGAGCCAAAAATATACATGTGACTCACTTTATTGCAAAATTAATTTTATTGCAGTGATCTGGAATTGAACTTGCAATATCTTCAAGGTATGCTGGTCCAGGTATGCTATACATGACTGTTGCATGCACTAAGTATATAAAAGTTATGTTTATACTATACTGTAGTGTAGTCTGCTGAGTGTGCAATATAGCATCATATCTAAAAAACAATGTACATTAATGTACACTTAATTAAGTGTACATACCTTAATTAAGAGTTTTCTTATTTTTTTTTGTTTCTTTTAACAAAATATTTTTTGTGGTATACAGTGCTGTTTGATAACATTTTATCCACAATGAAATTTTTTAAAAATTGGAATAAATCCTTTCAAAACCTGCTACTGCTTTATCAGTGAAGTTGATGTAATAATATTCTAAATTTTTGTTGTCATTTCAACAAGGTCCACAGCATATTTACCAGGAGTAGTTTCCACTTGAAGAAACCACTTTTTTCCCTCATCCATAAGAAATAACTCTTCATAATATTAGAGCAATTCAGTCACATCTTCAGGCTATACTTTTAATTCTAGTTATCTTGCTATTCTATCATACTTGCAGTTACATCCTCCACTGAAGTCTTCAGCCCTCAAATTCATTCATGAAGGTCGCAATAAACTTCTTCTAAACTCCTGTGGATGTTGATATTTTGACCTCCTCCCAGGAGTTGTGAATGTTCTCAGAGGCATCTAGTGGTGAATCCTTTCCAGAAGGTTTTCTGTTTATTTTTCACAGACCCTTCAGAGGAATCATTATCTACAGCTACAGCTGTACAAAATATATTTTGTAAATAATAAGACTTGAAAGCCAAAATGACTTCTTGATTCATGGGATGCAGAAAGGATATTGTATTACGAGGCATGAAAACAACATCAATCCTCTTGTACATCTCCATCAGAGTTCTTGGGTAACAAGATGCTTTGTCAATGAGCAGTAATATTTTGAAAGGAATATATACATTTTTTTATGAGCAGTAGGTCTCAACAGTGGGCTTGAAATATTCAGTAAACCATGCTGTAAACAGATGTGCTGCCATCCAGACTTTGTTGTTCCATTTGCAGAGGACAGGCAGAGTAGACAATTCTGAAGGGCCCTAAAGTTTTTGGAATAGTAAATAAGCATTGGCTCCAATTTAAAATCACCAGCTTCTTTAGCTCCTAACAAGAGAGTCAGCCTGTCCTTTGAAGCTTTGAAACCAGGACTTTACTTCTCCTTTCTAGCTATGAAAGTCATAAATGGCATCTACTTTCAATAGGAAGTTGTTTCATCTACACTGAAAATCTGTTTAGGGTAGTTGCCTTCATCAATGATCTTAGTCAAATCTGGATAACTTGCTACAACTTCTGCACCAGAACTTGTTGATACATCTTGTGTTTTTATGTTATAGACATGGTTTTTATTTTCCTTAAATCTCGTGAATAAACCTATACAAGCTTCAGATTTTTTTTTCTGCAGCTTTCTCACCTCTCTGAGTTCTGACAGAATTGAAAATAATCAGGGCCTTGCCCTGGATTAGGCTTTGGCTTGAGGAATTTTTGTGACTGATTTCATCTTTAATCCAGACCACTAAAGCTTTGTTCACATCAACAATAAGGCTATTTCTCTTTCTTGCCATTCATGAGTTCACTGAAGTAGCACTTTTGATTTCTCTAAAGAAATTTTCTCTTGCATTCACAACTTGGCTGTTTGGTGCCTAGTTTTTGGCCTGTCTCGGCTTTTGACATGCATTCCTCACTAAGCATCATTTCTACCTTTTGATTTAAAGTGAGAGACATGTCACTGTCCTTTTCAATGAACATTCAAATCTATTGTAGGGTTATTAAGTGGACTAATGTCAACATCGTTGCCTCAAGGAATAAGGAGCCCCAAGAGAATGAGGGATCTGCAAGTTGGTGAAGCAGTCAGAAACATATATAACATTTATCAATTAAGTTTGCTATCTTATTTGAGTGTAGTTCATGGTGCCCCAAAACACTTATATTAAAGATTGCTGATCAAAGATCACCTTGCTGATAAAATAATGATGGAAATGATTGAAATATAGCAAGAGACTCAAAGATATGAAGTAAGCACATACTATTAGAAAAATGGCACTGATAGACTGGCTTGATGTAAGAGTTTCATAAACCTTCAATTTGTAAAAAATGCAATAAAGTGAAGCACAGTAAAATGAAGTTTGCCTGTATATGAAACCCTAAAGATTCTGTCAAACACTTAGAACCAATAAACAAATGTAACAAGTTGTATTATATGAAATCAACATACAAAAATCAACTATGTTTTTATACACTGATGCTGAACTTTCCTAAAAAGAAATTAAAGCAACAATAACCTGGTTGGGAGAGGGGATGAAGAGAAGTTGGTTATGGCCACAAACATACAGTTAGATAGTAGAAACAAGTTCTAACGTTTGAGAGCAAACTGAGATGACTATATTTAGCAAAAATATTTTATATATTTCAAACTAGAAGACCTGAAATTATACCATAGAATTGATACTCAAGCTATAAATATCCCAAATACCCTGATTTCTTAATTCTACATTCTATGCATGTGACAAACCCTTATATGTACTCCATAAATATGTAACCTATTATGTATCAATAAAAAATAAACAATATCATTTTCAATAACATCAAACCTAAATCAATTTAACTAATGAGGTGAAAGATCTATACTCTGAAAACTGTAAAGTGTTGAAGAAAGAAATTAAAGAAGACACAAATCAGTGGAAAGATATTATGTGTTCATAGATTAGAAAAGTTAATATTGTTAAACTATTCATATAACCCAAAGTAATCTTCAGGTTCAATACAACCCTATCAAACATCCCAATGACAATTTTTATAGAAATAGAAAAAAATCCTAAAATTTTCATTGAACTAGAAAGGACCCCAAATAGCCAAAGCAATCTTGTGAAAGAAAAACAAAGCTGGAGGTATCACACTATCTGATTTCAAATTATATTGCGAAGCTACAACAGTCAAAACTCCAAAGAGGGAAAGACCTCTTTGGCATTAGTCTTGGCAGTGAACGTTTTTTGGATATGACATCAAAAACACAAACAAAAATAAACAAGTGAGACTACAACAAAGCAAAAATCTTCTGTACTGCAAACTATACAATCAACAAACCGAAAGTCAACCCACAAAAAGGGAAAAAAATTGCAAACTACATTTGTGAGAAGGGGTTAATATCCAAAATATATAAGAAATTCATACAACTCAATAGCAAAAATACAAATAACTCATTTAAAAAAATGAGCAAAGAACTTGAATAAACACTTTTCCAAAAAAGACATACAAATGACTAACAAGTGTGTGTGTGTGTGTATATATATATATATATATATATATATATATATAAATGTATATATAAATATAAATAAATATATATATTTTTTCTTTTTTGAGACTGAGTCTTGCTCTGTTGCCCAGGCTGGAGTGCAGTGGGGTGATCTCGGCTCACTGCAAGCTCTGCCTCCTGGTTTCAAGCCATTCTCCTGCCTCAGCCTCCCGAGTAGCTGGTACTACAGGTGCTTGCCACCATGCCCGGCTAATTTTTTTGTATTTTTAGTGGAGACAGGGTTTCACCATGATAGCCGGGATGGTCTCGATCTCCTGACCTTGTGATCTACCCGCCTCAGCCTCCCAAAGTGTTGGGATTACAGGCGTGAGCCACCGCATCCAGCCACTAACAGGTATATTTTTAAATGCTCAACATCACTAATCATCAGGGAAATTCAAAGGAAAATCACAGTGAAATATTACCTCACATCTGTAAGGATGGCTATTATCAAAAACACAAGAGATAACAACTGTTGGTGAGGTGCACTACTGGCAATAATGTAAATTGTTACAGTCATTATGGAAAAAAGTCAGTATGGAAAAAAGTTACAGTCATTATGGAAAATCAAGAAATTAAAAGTAGAACTACCATACAGTGCAAAAATCTCATTTCTGGGTATACATCCAAAGGAAATGAAATCAGTACTTCAAAGAGATATCTGCATCCCCATGTTTATTGCTACATTATTCACAATAGTCAAGAAATGAAACAACCTAAATGTCTATCAACCAATGATAAAGTAGTATAAACATACATGAAAATATTATTTACCCATAAAAAAGAAGGATGTCCTGTCATTTGCAACAAATAGATGAACCTGGAGGACAGTATTCTAAATGAAATAAGCCAGGCATAGAAAAGAAAATGCTGTATAATTTTACTTATACATGGAAAAGATATGTGGAAGAAGAAAGCCTCATAGAAGCACAGTGTAGAATGATTGTTATCTAAGACTGAAGGGTGGGGTAAATGACTAGAAGCTGGTCAAAGGTTGCAAGCTTTCAGTATAAGGTGAATAGTTCTGGGGATATAGTACACAGCATGGTAACTATAGTTAATAATACTGTTGTTTACTTGAAATTTGATAACAGACCAGAGAAAAACAAAACCCTTCCTCTGCCACAAACACATGCAAATGACAACTATGGATGATGACAGATATGTTAAGTAGTCTGATTATGTTAATTATTACATGATGTAAACATATATCAAATCACATTGTGCACTTGATTATACACAATTTTTATTTGTCAAATATCTTAAAATTTAAAAGAACTTTCAAGCAATAATCTTTACACTGAAGGATTCTGACTGCTTGACATCATAAACGCATGTATTTTTTGAGAAATAGAACTTTTCTATAAATATTCACTCTAGATGAATATTCTGCTTGGAAGTGTTCTATACTTTAACTCAAATCAATTTTTTATTGATTAAAAAGAGAATTAGAAACAAAAATTTAATCTTCATGGTAACTAATATTAAAGTTCTTTTTAAATTTTATGACTTTGTTATTTCAATAGCTTTTGGGGTATAAGTGGTTTTTGGTTACATGAATGAGTTATATAGTGGGGAATTCTGAGATTTTAGTGTACTTGTCACCTAGGTAGTGTACATTATGCCCAATATGTAATTTTTTAACCCCACACCCTTCTCCCACCCTCACCATTCTAAGTCTCCACAGTCCATTTTATCACTCTGTATGCCTTTGTGTACTGATAGCTTAGCTCCCACTTATGGGTGAGAACATGTGGTACTTAGTTTTCCATTCCTGAATTACTTCACTTATATAAGGGCCTCTAGTTCCATCCAAGTTGCTGCAAAAGATATTGTTCTATTCCTTTTTATGGCTGAGTAGCATTCTATGGTGTGTGTGTATGTGTGTGTGTATATATATATAATATTTATATAATATTATAATTATAAAAAATATATAAAACATTTTCTTTATCCACTCATTGCTCAATGGGCACATAGGTTCATGCCATATCTTTGCAATTGTGAATCGTGCTGCAATAAATATACGTATGCATGTGTCTTTTTCATATAATGACTTATTTTCCTTTGCATAGATATCCAGTAGCGGGAATGCTAGATTGAATGGTAGATCTACTTCAAGTTCTTTAAGTAATCTCCATAGTGTTTTCCATAGAGGTTTTACCAATTTACATTCTTTTCAGCAATGTGTAAGTGTACCCTTTGCGCCACAGCCATACCAACATCTATTTTTTTTGACTTTTTAATAATGGTCATTCATTCTAGAGTAAGGTGGTATCTCACTGTGGTTTTAATTTGCATTTCTCTGATGATGAGTGAAGTTGAATCTTTTTTTCATATGTTTCTTGTCCATTTATATATCTTCTTTTGAGAAATGTCTATTAATATTATTTGCCCACTCTTTGATGAGATTATTATTTTTTTCTTGTTGATTTGTTTGAGTTCCTTGTAGATTCTGGATACATGCACCAAATATACATCCAGAATCTATATCTGGATATATCCTTGTTGGATGCATAGTTTGCAAATATTCTCTTCATTCTGTGGGTTGTCTCCTTACTTTGCTCATTATTATTATTATTATTATTATTTGCTGTTTGGAAGCTTTTTAGTTTAATCAGGTCCCATTAACTTTTTTATTTTTTTGTTGCATTTGCTTTTCGGGTTTTAGTTATGAATTCTTTGCCTAGGCTAATATCCGGAAGATTTTTCCCAATGTTATCTTCAGAAGATCTTAGATTTAAGTCTTTGATCCTTCTTGAGTTGATTTTTGTATAAGGTGAGACCTAGGGATCTGTTTCATTCTTCTACATGTCGCTAGCCAGGTTTCCCAGCACCATTTATTAAATAGCACATCTTTTCCCCAATATGTTTTTGAATACTTTGTTGAAGATCAGTTGGTTAAAAGTATTTTGCTTTATTTCTGGGTTCTCAATTCTTCTCCACTGGTCTGTGTACCTACTTTTATATTAATACCATACTGTTTTGACAATTATAGCCTGGTAGTATTATTTGAAGTTCAGCAATGTGATGCCTCTAGATTTGTTTTTTCTGCTTAGGATTGCTTTGGCAATTTTCCCCAGTATTTTATTTACCGAGTTGAATAGTTCAAGCTTCAGGTCAGTAGCAGATGTGTCCTTGGGTAGAGATCAGTTTTGGCTAAAGCAGGGGGATAAATGCAATACCCATATGTAGGCAGAGGCACCAGCCTTGATAAAGGTGGTTGGGGAAGCTCTCAGTAAAACGCACTGAGGTTTACGTTTTAGGATAATGGCCACCTCAACTCCCATGCCAGGACAGCAGGAAAGATATCCACTTCCCAAACACACTCCTGACCCAGTGTCCTAGCTATCCAGTTCAGATAGGCACCTCTTTTTATCTGCAGGAATATTGATGTTCCAAGTAGAGAGAAATTTTGAGTCTACCTCTTGTGTAAGCCTGAACCTGGAGGGTGCTCCTCCTGTGGGGATCCAGTCACCCTGAAGTGTTCCAGAAAGGCTGTCTACAGGTGCACCCATACCTAGCCTCCATGAGAAAATCCCCAGCTGTGTCTGCAGTGATGGATGAGGGGAAAAGAAGTTCCCTTCTTCAAGACCCTTCGTGAGCATGAAGGCTGCCTGACTGTTGGGGTAGAGCTTGAGACTTTTCCTGCTGAAATAAACTTCCCACCAGCTGAAATATCTGGAACTAAAGGCTTACCATCCAGATTATTTTGTATCATAAAGTGTTCCTTTGATGTGGTACACTCCCCCTTTCCCTAAGAGTGGGAGTCCATGAGAGCCAGTCTACTGTGAATGCTGTTGCTCCTCTGGGTCTAGCCACCCAATGGGGCTGCCACACTCTGGACTGTTGTTGAAGAATGTCTGCAAGGGATCCAGTAATGTGACCTGTCCTAAAGTCTTCCAGCAGTGGATACCAGTACCAGCTCTAATGGGGGTGGCAAGGAAGTGAAGTAGACTCTGTGAGATTCCTTAGTTATAAATAGACTTAACCTGTTGGCTTTCTCAAATGCTGGTTGTAATATTAATGAACTGTTCACATGGACAGACTCAGGACCTCCTTGTTAGCCAGGGTAGTAGAGGCCATGGTGATAGTTGAGGTCATGCGCAAGTTTTCCCTTTCTTTGGTGCAGTGTTATTCTACTGGGAGATGCTGTAATGGACTGTGTCAGTGGCCTCCAGCCAGGAGATGATACTTTCAGAAGAGTACTAGCTGTAGTAGGAGCAGTGAGATTTGTGCTTCCCTTATGTTACTGAAGGGAGGTACTCTGATTTCTCAGGTGATAGGTAGGGCCATAAAGCTTCCAAAAGTTTCTGTCTTTTGTGTAAAGCCACCAGGGCAGGCAGAGGGATGTGGAGGTTGGGTCAGCCTGGGTCAGGCAGGTCCATGTGGAGGCTGGATCAGGGAGGTCCACTCTCTGGCTCTCCTTATGCATGGCAAGCAGTGGGCCCTGTAGAAGTCAAGGGGCAGTTCCCTGGCCACTAGAGTAATGTTCTAGAGAGGAGTGTGGCTGCCTCTGCTGCACAGAAGTGTTTGCACAGGGAATGGGGAGTAGCAGGTGGCAGTAAGCCTCACCCAGCTCCCACACACTTGGCAAGGCAGATCTCACACCAGCAGTGTTTCCTAGCAGCAACTAGCTAAGCTCCAGGCCATCTATACTCAAAATTCAAAACTGCCCCAGGCCATAAGCCTTCCTTTCAGAGACAGAAACCATGGCTTTCAGGCAACACCCCTCCTAGTCCACCCACAAAGCCAGGGTGCCCAGCTTCTACACTTGTGGATGCAGCACACTTCCCACATGCCCTCTAATTTTAGTCAAGGGAGCTCATCCTTACTTGAGGTTATATTGCAAAATTCAGTTGGGAGCTTCTTTCAATCTCCAACCACTGGCTGAGTTAGTTGGCAGGCTTCTGTGAGGTACCCTGTGAGGTAGAATAAGAAATGGCTTCCCTTGGTCTGTGCTGGAGATGGGGAATGCATGCAAGGCTCTTCCTGCTGCTGCTTCTACTTTTATATTCCTCACTGCTCCCTAAATCAGCTTAAGCTCTGGTTGGGGTTAAGGTCTTATCCTGTGGCCTGGATTTCCAGATTCCCTGGTGGTGGTGTATATCCTGGAGGCAGTCTCTCTTCCTCTCACACTCTTGGGACTTACAGTTTTTTACCTGGTTCATGGTATAGGTTGCAGCCTGCCACTTCTTTCAAAGGGTCTGTGGATTTCAGTTTTCCTGTTAAGTCCCTGCATAGCTTCTTGGATTAAAAAGCTCACGTTGTAAACCTCTGCACACAATTTTGTCTTTCTAAGTGGGAGAGGAATGCTAACACTGTATTTCCATTGCAAACAACAACAACAACAAAAAACTAATACCAAAGTTTCTTGTAGGTACCAATCATGATATGATGTTGGGTGATTTGCAAATATATATATTTTTAATTTTTACATTACTTGTGATGTATAATTTAATATCTCCATTATATAGGGGAGAAACATGCTCATGGAGTTTTAACAATTTGTTCAAAGCTAAGGAGAAATGACACATTATGAAACAAGTATTTAAGTTTAGGTCTATTTAGTTGCAAAATCATTAGAATGTTCATTAAATCATATTGATTCTATAGAGTGCTCATTCAAAAATAACTTTTATTATTATATTTTGTTAGCACTTTACTTATATTAATCCTGCCACCATCTCTATGCATTATATAATATTGCTATGTCTCATTTCATAGATGAGAACACTGAGGCACGAAAGGTTGAAATAATCTCTCCAACATCCAGATTATCTGTCTCTACTGTTTTGCTATGCTGCTTCACAGTAAGCCACAGTCTTTCTGGTACTTACATGTACAATGATGATGAAAACAATAAGCACAGCCTATAATAAACACTGTATTTTCACATAATAATTATTGACATTTAACCCTCCTGCTCACTTTACAATTTGTCTTAATAATATAACCAGAATCTGTCCATTTCTCTCCATCTCTACTTGCAACTTGCTAGACTCTAACTGATCATATTTTGACTGAATTTGCAGGAACTTCCTAATTGCTCTTATTTCCTTCTTTTCTCCCTGCAATGCATTTTCCACATAGTAGCCTAGTAATCTTTTCTAAAATGTAAATCTGATCATGTCACTTCTCTACTTGGAAACCCCAATGGCTTCTGAGAGAATTTTAAATAACATTAAAATCCTTTATTTGGCCCATACAGCTTCACATGATCTGATGATGCCTGCCTACTTCTTTGATCACATCAAAAATTACTCTCTTCTTCACTGCCCAAGTGCCAGCCTGTAGCTTTCTTCCTCTTCAAACATTCTAGGCTATTTTCTGCCTTAGGGTCTTCATATTGACCCACCTACAATATTCATAGGCTAAACAACACCCTATTGAATGTTCTTCTTAGTATTAACACTATTTGATATTTGCTTGCTTTGTATGCTTATTTCTTTTCTCCTGAGTTCGATGAAACTCTAAAAGTTGGAACCTTGTCTGCCTTGATTCTATTGTCCTTCCCATTGTCTAGAATAATACCCACCTATAGTAAGCACTATGTTAATATCTGTTGAATAGCAAATGAATCTATAAATAAGTTTTTAAAACCCATATGTGTGATGCAACTATTATATCTTATTTAATGCCTATGAAGAAAAATACCCATTAAGCATATTCAGAGTTTGAGTGTTAATATGAAAACAGCATTAAGTAAACACTGCAAATAAACACAAATAAGCACATTTTAAAATGCTTTAAAATGCTCAGCAGTAATCCTAATTCTGTTCTCTCTAGGCATTTTGTAGTTATCATAAAGGCAAAATGGTTCAAATGCCGAGACAAAAGCATAAGTGTATTTGTATGTATGTGTGTGGGAGAGAGAGAGAATTGTTTTTGTATAGGCAGATATAAAAAAATATTTGTTTTGTATTTTTGGAATGGTTTTAAATATTTGTAGGGGAAATATTGAGTATGTATGACTTAAATCTTAAAACCTCCTTGGAATAAAACTCTTAAATTGTGCCTTTACTGCGCTGTATGCATAAATGTATACATTCCTTCAATGTACATTTTTGTACAACCTAGAGAAAAATAAATGCTCTATAATGACTTTAGATTAATACAGATATAATTATTTACACTTTTTCAATGTGCTCATCACTGAGGGATATATTTTAACTCATTAAACACAAAATTATTTTTAAATGCCCACTCTATTTAGGTAATTAAAAATGTGGTCTTTGTCCACAGGGAACTTGTAGTATAATACAGAAGGAAAGCTTGATGTTTATAAACAGAGTATCAAAAAATATAAGATAAAATATAACTAAGATTTTAAAAGTAGGTAATGAGAATAAAAATACAAAGAGACAAATAGAGTGTTCATAGAATATAACATGTTATTAAGCAGCAAAAGAACTGGTACTGTTGATAAAAGAACTGGTAGTTTTTTTTCCTAGTCAGAAAAAAAAATGAATTTGCCTCAGCCAGTAAACCATGTGGGGAACTCCAGATTAGAGGAAAGGCATGCATATGTGCATGTGTGTCTCCATGTGCCTGTGCTTCCATGTACTTGTGCAGCTACGCACATATTAGACAATAGCAAGTAGGAAACCAGAAATCCACATAACTCTCCACCCTTCCCCAATCTCTATTTGCCTTTTCCATTTGATTTACACTATGTAGACCTCACCTCATGGACACAAGTTACCTCCTAAGAATAAGGGGATACATGGCTTAATTTCATGGAGGTAAATTTTCAACAGAAGGAGAAAGAGTAACTTATATCTTTTCCCAACTCCATAATTGCAAATACTCTCACCAAACTTGAAAGTGCTCCTTTACATAGGCAAAGGATTGGTATTAGGTTTTAGAAGTGTTTTTTGTATGTTTTGTTTTGTTTTTTTCCCACTCATATCAATTGCCGCCCAATTTACAGAAAGGAAGAAATTATTCCTTATTCAGGAAATGGAAGCTACTTCTGTTCATTTCACATAATGGTCAATTTAAGTTAGAAATCTTATCTGTTTCCTAGCTTGGTTACCTGTTTCATAAGCTCAGCACATTCTTGGATGCCCATTTTATGAGGCTAGCAAAGATATTCAGAGAAATTGTCCATCATGTATTTTATACCCAAGGATTACCATGCTCATCCAAAAGACAATACTGGATTTACTCCAATTGTTAGGAAACTTTAGTACTACAAAGATTAGTAGATACTTCAGGATCATTTATCAACCTTGAATTCAAATTACTGCAATATCAATGGAAGGACACTCTAAATAGTTTAAATATTTATACACTGTTAGATATATAGAATAAATCAGACAGATTAGCAAATATCAGTGAGAACAGAACAAATGGATCTCAATAAACATTTTCCTTTGTAACCTATAAAACCGTATATTTATTCCAATAATGATCGTGTTGCTCAGAAGTTTAATGGAACTACTTTTAAAACAGTATATTTGAAGTAGTTTCGAAAACAAGCAAAAGAGAAGTCACATGAGATTTAATCAAAATCTAATTTTTGACTCCTAAATCTTAGTAACAAGATTAATACACAAATAACGACTTGGTATAAAAATTAACAATTGAAATCAATGAAATATGGTCTCAGGAAACCTATTTCACCTCTTCCCACCAAAAACAAAATCCCAAAATTTTAAAAAAGTGGTAAAGAGGCATAACATCTAATTTTTAAAGAAAAATCCCAGAATCAATCTGTATAATAAAATAACATTAATAGATTATACATTGTATGTGTTTATTTTGTTGGATGAACTCATCTTTTGGGTGTACAAATTCTACTCAATCTGTGAAAAATTAATTCTCATTAATGTATACACATAGTTTACTTATTAAGATTACTGCAATGCAGGCCATGCTGTAGAATGTATTGCTTTTTTTTTCCTCTAAATTTCTGTGAAGAAATTAAGACATAGCACAGTTTTATGTTGACAAGATAACTTTGAGAGAAACAAAAACAGGCTGTTACATTGCTGATTAGGAGTAAACTCTTTTACAATTAGTTTAAATTACAGAAATTTAAAGATATTAGAAACTAACATTCAACCTTTTCTTTTTAAAAGCTCTGTAGATCAACTAGAATAAGAAAATCCTATAGAATAGTTATTTTCAGTATGTTTGCTATGCTGTCTGTCCATATTATTGACTTGAAAAAATAAAACTCCATATGGCAGGAACTGTTAACTTTATTTCTCAAAGCAAATTCATCCTTTTTCATTGGCATGGGAATTTGGTTTTGTTTCAGGATCTCTTAGCTTTCTGTTCAAGTAAGTCACACTCCACTTTAAGATAAATCATAGAAGTCCTGGCCAATGAATGATAGGTGTCTGCATGTACCCATTGAAACATAAAAAGCAGGTAGCTGGGGGCTCTTGTGCCTGATTTACTCCATGATGAAAGAGATAAAATGAGGAGAAACCCTGACCTTCCTTATTACTCTGAGAATTGTTGTCTGTGGCCATCGTGCAGAGGTTTAAGTGCTGTGATGTGGCTTTAAGAAGAGACCCAAAAGAATAACAGAGGTGCTCCTTAAGCATCTTAACTTTGCTGAGTTGCTGAATTAGCCAAATCTGAAAAGCTCTACTTTCAGTAATCTCCTTATGTAAGATATAAAACCCTATTTTTAAATCACTTTTAGGCAGGTATTCCATTACTTAAAGCAAATATATATATATGGTAAACTTCAAATGAAATCATTAACTTTTATCAAACATTTGCTAGATTAATTATACTATGATACGCACATGGGACAAAAAAATGAAAAACTAAGGTAGAATGGCCCTGGCCCACAAGAGGCTTCTATTTTTAGTAGTTTACAACTCATATTCTTATTAATTAATTCACTCATATTATCTTTTACTGTAACAGTAAGCTTTTATTAAACACTGACAATGTGTAAACACTTTGCTAGATGCTATGGGGAATACAAAATTAATAATTTATCCTTCAATGTCATTGAGTCTCAGAAGAATTTAAAATACCTTCTCAATTTTCAAAGGGGTGATATTTATTTATTCCTCAACCTTATTTCAAAAATTACTGCAATAGAGTATGGAAACAGATCTGATGTTAGTAAGTTAAAAATTGATACAGAAATCATGACTGGAAGAAGAGTCACGTTGGGTGGAGTGCCCTATCTCTAAATTTTTTTTAATTATAGTTAAAAATTTTATTGCTATTTGGAATAAAGATAGAAATATATAGATCAAATGAAATGTTACATGCACAATAGTAACATGTGAGATAAATATAAAGAAAAATCATCTGAGAACATAATCTAAAAAAAAGAAGTTACAGTTGCACTTGATCCCCAACCTCTTATAAACTCCCAGTTAGTTGAGACAGACACATTTAGACATAACATGCAAAGTGTTCCTAAGGCAAATATGCATGTTATTTTATTTCTTTATAAAATAATTGGAAGGAGACAGAAAATACCTAGTTAACTATGTAATAATGAAAGATTCCTGACCAGCAAAAAAGAATATTTAGGATTGTAACTTAGCTAATGGAGTTCTCTTGCCAATGTGGCTGCTGTCAGCCAGAGACCTTAATGTGTATACATTTATGCTGCTCAAGGTGCTAAGCCAGCTCTTATGAGCAAACAGAAAGGGGACAGGAGAGAGACTTCACAAAGGGGGAGGAAACAGCTATTTAAAGCCATCTGGAATTATCTTTCTTCAGAAATGGGATAGAGATATAAGAAATGGACCTTGGCACATAGGAAACTTGATATTTAAGAGAAATGGCATTACTCATCAGTAAAGAAAAGCAAAACTATTCAGTAAATAGTTCCAGAATTATACATTTGGAAAAGTACAATAAAACTGGATCCAGCCATCAAACTATATGAAAAATAAACATCTAAGGGGATTTTTTTTCAGGCCAAAAAGAGAGAACACTAGAGAATAACTCAAATCCACATGAAACAGTGAAAAAAAAACATGTAAATATAAAAGAGGTGCAATATGTGTTTTTCATTATTTGTAATTTTTAAAATTTTCCAACTTATATATCCTATTGTTATAATATTATATAAGCATATACCATACTAATAAAACTGTAGTGTTATGCATACAATGCATACAATTGGAATTTGTATACCAATAACAGCATAAAGATGGGAGAGGGAAATAGGCTATACAGAAGCAAATCTGGTATTAATATAAATAACATTGTTATAAACTAAGATGTTAATTGTTATCCTCCCAGGACAATCAAAAGAAAATCATTCAAATATTATAGTAAAAGAAAAAAGGAATTAAAATGGTAAGCTATAAAACATATATTTAATACAAAAGAAGATAGTAATAGTCAAAGAGAGAAATTAAAAAGACATTATACATATAGAAAACAAATAGCAAAGTGGCAGAAGTAAATCTTATGTTATCTGTGGTCACATTAAATATAAATAGACTTAAGATTTCAAACAAAACCAAACTGGTAGAAGGGATTTTTAAAAAATAATTCAGCTATATATTGTCTGCTAAAGCAAACTTTAGATTTAAAGCTACAGTAGTTTCAAAAAACAAGAATGAAAAAACATATGCCATGCAAACTGTAAGCAAAGATAATTGGATCAACTATAGTAATACAAATTTTTTTTAAAAAGAGGTAACTAGAGACAAAGAGAGATAAAACAGTCAAGCCATGACAAATATAAAATAATAATAAATATTTATGCATCTAAAAACAGAGAACCAAAACACTTAAAGCAAAAATTGACAAAATTGAAGAAAAAGATAATTCAACAATAACATAGACTTCAGTATCCCACTTTCAATAATGTACAGAAAATTTTGATTTAAATTTAACAGGGAAATAGAAAACTTTATCAACATTAGAAACCTGCTAGACCTAATAGTTCTAATCTATAGAATACTCCATCCAACAACATTAATATATACACACTCATAAGCTCATGTACAACAGTCTCCAGAATTAGCCATATGTTAATTTATAAAATAAGTTTCATCAAATTTAAAAGAACTGAAATTGTACAAAATATGTTCTCTGGCAATAATGAAATTAAACTACAAGTAAATGCAATAAGAAAATTTGGGAAATA
Organism: Homo sapiens; assembly: GCF_000001405.40. Lineage (NCBI taxonomy): Eukaryota > Metazoa > Chordata > Mammalia > Primates > Hominidae > Homo > Homo sapiens. Next base: position 81,129,009 of record NC_000002.12, on the reverse strand, counting down.
CACAGATATGTGGCCATTAAACAACATACTCCTGAAAGAAAAATCAGTCAAAGAATAAATCACAAGTGATATTAAAAATATTTTGAGATGCAGGGAGGCAGAGCAAGAAGGCAGAATGGAAGATTTCACCAATCATTTCTCACCTGCAAGGACACCAATTCAACAACTATCTACACAAAAAGCACCTTTATAAGAACTAAAAATCAAGTGAGAACTAACAGTACCGGCATTAACTTCATATTGCTCATAGAGGCACCAAAGACATAGGAGAAACGGTCTTTGGTTTTTGTGAAAGAAAATGCTCTAGGGTCTTAAATAAATTTGAAAGGCAGTCTAGACCACAAGGACTGCAATGCCTAGGTGAATCCTAGTGAACTGGGCCCAAAGCCAGAAAGCTGGGGAGGCCCGAGACCTACTTAAACATCAGCTGGGGTGACTAAGGGAGTGTTGACATCATTTCTCCTGTAACCCAAGGATTTATTAATACAACTTGCAGCTCCAAAATAGAACCCTTTATTCCACTTGAGGAGAAGAGAGGGAAGAGTGGGGAAGATTTTGCCTTGCATCTGAGATACAAGACCAACCACAGTGGGATAGTGTGCCAGTCAGAGTCATGAGGCCCTTTCTAGACCCTAGCTCCTGAACATTTCTAGACACAGCATGGGACACAAGGGAACCTGCTGCCTTGAAGGGAAGGACCCCATCTTAGCAGGCTTCATCACCTGTTAACTGAAGAGCCCTTGGGGCCTAAATGACCAGCAGTAATACCCAGGTGGTACACTGAAAGCCTTCTGTGAGACTCTGAGACTTGCTGGCTCAGAGATTTCTGTTTAAGAAAGGTGGAGTGAAACATAAAGGAGATTTTTGCATTGCATCTTAGGCACCAGCTCAGTCATAGGGGGCTAGAGCACCAAGTGGGCTCTTGAAGTCCCTGATTCCAGGTGTTGGCTCTTGGAAAGCATTTCTGGACCTTCCCTGGAGCAGAAGGGAGCCTACAGCCCTGAAGGGTGAGTCCCAGGCCAGGCAGCATTTACCACAAGCTGACTGAAGAGCCCTTGGCCCTAGAAGGAACATTGGCAGTAGTCTGGCAGAACTTTCCATGGGACTGTGGTGGGGGTGCCCCGAAGGGAAGGACACAGGTCTGGATGGCTTTGCCACCTGCTGATTGTAGAGCCCCAGGGCCTTGAGCAGACAGGCGGTAACCAGGCAGTGATTACAGCAGCCCTTGGGCAAGACTCAGTGCTGTACTGACAGCAGGTCTGATCCAGTGCAGTTCTTCTGATGGTTGCTACCGCAGTGCTTGTTTCACTCTACCCCCACATTTAGGTGCCTCATAACAGAGAGAGAGAGGCTCCATTTGTTTGGGAGAAAGTAGAGAGGAGAACAAGTGCGCCTAGTTGGTAATACAGAGAATTCTTCCAGATATTGCCCGAGGTCATGAGGGTGGTAGCTCTACAAATCTGTAAGACCAACAGCATTACTGGACTTGGGGTGCCCCATAAGGCCAACAGAGCTTAGACCATAACACCCAAGTCCTTTCAAAAATCTGGAAAGCCTTCCCAAGAAGGAAGGATATTGAAAAGCATTCTTTTCACTACTATGATAAATACCTAACTCCTAAAGACTACAATAAATACCTAACTCTTAAATGCTCAGACACCAAAGAACATCTACTAGCATCAATACCATCTAGGAAACTCTGACTTCACCAAATGAACTATATAGGGCATGAGGGACCAATCCTGGAAAAACAGAGATATGTGATCTTTCAGAAACAGAATTCAAAATAGCTGTGTTGAGAAAACTCAAAGTCATTCATGATAACACGGAGAAAATTTATCATATTCAGTCAGATAGATTTTACAAAGAGATTGAAATAATTTGAAAGAATCAAGCAGAATTCTGGAGATGGAAAATGCAACTAGCATACTGAAAGATGCATCAGTCTTTTAATAGCAGAATTAATTGAGCAGAAGAAAGAAGTGACCTTGAAGACAGGCCATTTGAAAATACACGGTCAGAGGACATAAAAAGAAAAAGGAATAACAAGACAATTAAGCATGCCTACAGAATCTAGAAAACAGCCTCAAAAAAGAAAGTCTAAGAGTTATTGGCTTTAAAGAGAAGTTAAAGAGATAGGGGTAGAAAGTTTATTCAAAAGGATTATATCAGAGAAATTTTCAAACCTAGAGAAATATATCAGTGTCCAAGTGCAGGAAGGTTATGAAACATCAAGCAGATTTAACCCAAAGAAGACTACATCAAGACATTTAATAATTAAACTCTCAAAAGTCAAGAGTAAAGAAAAGACACTAAAAATATCAAGAGTAAAGTAGCAAATATCCAATGGAGTTCCAAAGCATCTGGCAGCAGACTTTTCAGTGTAAACCTTATAGGCCAGGAAAGAGTGACATGACATATTTAAGGTGCTGAAGGGGTGGGGGGGGGGAACCTTTTACCGTAGACTAATATATCTGATGAAAATATCCTTCAAATATGAAAGAGAAATAAAGGCATTCCCAGACAAACAAAATTGTACCAAACGTTTATAGAAGAGCTGGTACCATTCACACTCAAAACTATTTCCAAAAAATGAAGGAGGAGAAAATACTTCCAAACTCATCCTACAAGGCCAGTTATAACCCTGATTTTAAAAAACAGACATAGACACATCACAAAAAGAAAACTAAAGGTCAATATCTCTGATGATGATTGATGTAAACATCCTCAATAAAATACTAGCAAATTGAATTCAACAATACGGTAAAAAGATTATTCATCATGACCAAGTGGAATTTATCCCAGTGATGCAAGGATGGTTTAACATACACAAATCAATCAATGTGATACCTCATATCAACAGAATGAATGACAAAAACTATTTGATTATATCAATTGATGTTGAAAAGCATTTGAGAACATTCAATATCTTGTCATAATTTAAAAATACCCTTAAAACAATGGATATAGAAGGAATATACATCAACATAATAAAAGCCATATAGGATAGACCCATAGCTAGTATCATACAAAATGTGGAAAAACTGAAATGCTGTCCTCTAAGATCTGGAGCATGACAAGGATGCCCACTTTCACCATGGTTATTCCACATAGTATTAGAAGTTCTACCTAGAGCAATGACACAGGAGGAAGAACAAAAGGACATCCAACTGGAAAGAAAGAAGTCAAATCATCCTTGTTTGCAGATGATATGATTTTACATTTAGAAAAACCTATAAATGTCCCCAAAAATTTAGAACTGAAAAACAAATTCATTAAAATTGTGGGGTAAAAATTAACATTAAAATTAGTAGCATCTCTATATGTCAACAGTAAATAATTTGAAAAAGAAATCAAGAAAGTAATCCTATTTACCACAGCCACAATAAAATTAAATATGTAAGTACATAGGAATTTACTTAACCAAAAAGTGAAAGATCTCTACAATAAAAATTATGAAACACTGATGAAAGTGATTGGACACCAAAAATAGAAAGACATTCCATATTCATAAATTGGAAGAATTAATATTGTTAAAATATCCATACTATCCAAAGGTATCTATGGATTTAATATAATCCCTATCAACATACAAATGACATTGGTAACAGAAATAGAAAAAACAATCCTAAAATTGATATGGAACCACAAAAGACTCAGAATAGCCAGAACTATCTAAAGCAAAAGGAACAAAACAGGAGAAATAACATTACATGACTTTAAATTACACTACAGAACTACAGTAATAAAAACAGCATGGTACTGGCATAAAAACAGACACATACACCAATGGAACAGAACAGAAAACCCAAAAATGAATTCACACATATTCAGTGAACTCATTTTTGAGAAAGGTGCCAAGAACATACACTGGGGAAAAGATAACCTCTTTAATAAATGGTTCTAGGAAAACTGGACTTCCATATACAGAAGAATGAAACTAGACCTCTATCTCTTGACATACAGAAAAATCAAATCAAAATAATTTAAAGACTTAAGTCTAAGACCTCAAACTATGAAATGACTACGAAAAAATTAGAAACACTTTATCCAAAAGACAGGCAATACCAAATGCTGGTGAGGATGTGGAGAAAAGGGACCCCCTCATAGCCTGTTGTTGGGAATATAACCTAGTACAACCACTGTGGAAAACAGTTTGGAGGTTCCTCAAAAAACTAAAAACAGAGCTACCATATGACCCAGCAATCCCACTGGTATGTTTATACTGCGAAGAAATCAGTATATCAAAGAGATATCTGCACTCCCATGTTTATTGTAACACTGTTCACAATAGCTACAATTTGAGTGCAACCTAAGTGTCCACCAACAGTTGAGTGGATGAAGAAAATGTGGTACTTATAACACAATGGAGTACTATACATCCATTAAAAAAATAAGCCCTTATAATTTGCAACAACCTAGATGGAATTAGAGGTCATTATGTTAAGTGAAATCAGCCAGGCACAGAAAGACAAACATCGCATGTTCTCACTTATTTGTGGGATCTAAACATCAAAACAATTGAACTCATGAAGATGGAGAGTAGAAGGATTATAACCAGAGGCTGGGAAGGGTAGTGGGGGGTGGGGTGAGGTGGAAATAGTTAATGGGTATGCCCCCCAAAAAATAGAAAGAACATACAAGACCTGGTATTTGATAGCATAACAGAGTGACTATAGTCGATAGGAATTTAATTGTACATTTAAAAATAATTAAAATAGTATAATTGGATTTCTTTGTAGCACAAAGAATAAATGCTTGAGGGGATGGATACCCCATTTTTATGACATGATTATTATGCATTGTATGCCTCTATCTCATGTACCTCATAAATACATACATCTACCATGTACCTACAAAAATTAAAAATAAAAAAATTAGTAAACAATGGTTAGTAAAACAATATTTTGAGATGAATGAAAGCAAATACACAACATAAGGAAATTATGTGGTGTAACTAAAGCAAGGCTGAAAGAGAAATTTAGAGCTTTCTATGATTTTTTAAAGAAAGATTTCAAATCAATAACCTAATATTCTACCTACAAAAACTTCGAGTTTTTTTCTAGATAAGAGAAAACTAATTCAAAGCAAGTAGAAGAACTAGTGAAAATTAGAGTAGGAGTTAATAAAATAGAAAATAGATAATAGAGAAAACAAATAAAAATAAAAGTTGGTTCTGTGAAAATATTTTTAAATCATTAACTTTTAACTAGACTGAAAAAGAAAACAAACAGAAAAGTCAGTTTTTAAACAGGAATGGAAAATAGGAAATTCTTTCCAAACTTATGAAATAGAATGTAGTATAAGTGAATAAAATGAACATTTTTGTACCAGCAAAATACAAAAAATTCTGGAAAGACTTAAACCACTGAAACTAAATTAAGGAGAAATAAAAAAGTCTGAACAGACTTATGAGAAGTAGAGCAATTTAAATAGTAATAAAAAATAATTTAAAATAAAAACTTCCCACAATAAAAACCCACGAACAGATGGCTTCACTTGTGAATTCCACCAAACATTTGAAGAAGAATTAACACTGATTTTTCACAAACTCTTCCAAAACGAGAAAGGAGGGAGACACTTTTCAACTATGAGGCCAGTTTTACCCTAAAACCAAAAACAGAAAAGGACATCACAAGAAAATAACACCACGGAATAACATTCATTATGATTATAGATGCTGAAATCAACAAATGCTAGCCAAGGGAATTCAGCAACACAGAAGAAGTTACATATTATAAGCAAATGGGTACATTGAATGTGTCCATTGAATCACCCTTGCATTATTCCTTAAATGCAAGGGTGAGGCAATGTGGACAAATATATTAGTATAATATATTAATAATATAAAGTTGGCCACGCAGGGTGGCTCACACCTGTAATCCTAGCACTTTGAGAGGCTGAGGTGGGCAGAACACAAGGTCAGGAGATCGAGACCATCCTGGCTAACACGGTGATACGCCATCTCTACTAAAAAAATACAAAAAAAAAAAAAAAAAAAAAATTAGCTAGGTGTGGTGGCGGGTGCCTGTAGTCCCAGCTACTTGGTAGGCTGAGGCAAGAGAATGGCGAGAACTCGGGAGGCGGAGCTTGCAGTGAGCCAAGATCCCGCCACTGCACTCCAGCCTGGGCAACAGAGCAAGTCTCCGTCTCAAAACAAAACAAAACAAAAAAACCACACACAAAAAACAGAAAGCTTACCTCCTCACAACAGGAAAAAAAAAAATTGAAGACGTTCACGCTTGCCACTTCTATTTAACATTGTAGTGGGAGATTACAGTCAGTAAAAAATAGGTGCAAAAATAAAATAAAGAAAATTCAGATTTTGAAAAGCAAAAAGTAAAACTACCTCTATTTTAAAATGACATGATCTTGTATGTAGAAAATTCTGAGGAATAAAAAACAATTAGTGTTAATAAATTATTTCAGCAAGGTTGCAGGACAAAATATCAAGATAAAAATCAACTATTTCTATAACCAGCAACAAACAAACTGATAATGAAATTAAGAAAATAGCAACAGAAAGAATAAAATACATTGGAATGAACCTGTTGAGGCACATGAAAGACTTACATTACACAATGAAAACTTGAAAACATAATTTAATGAAAATAAAGATGACATTATTAAAAGGAAAAACTTACCATGTTCACGGTCTAGACTTAATTTTGTTTAGCAAGTGTTACAAATTGATCTATAGATTCAGTGTAAACCGTGTTAAAATCTCAACTTTTTTTCCAGAAATTGATAAATTGACCTTAAAATTCATATGGAAAATGCAATGAAGCAAGAGTAGCCTAAATAATCTTGAATAAATGAAATAAATCTTGGAGGAGTTACACTTTTAAACTTGAAAACTTACTGCAAAGCTACAGTATTAAAAAACAGAGTGGTACTAACATATAGATATGTAAATCATGCAGAAGTTTGAGAGTTCAGAAATAAATCTTTACATGTACATTCAATTGATTTTTCAAAAGGATGCCAAGACAATTCAAAATGAAAACATTCTTTTTCAATAAATGGTGCTAGAAAACCTGGCTATTTACATGGAAAAAAATTGAACTGGACCATTAACTCACGCTATACACAAAAACTCACTGTAAACGTGTCACTTATATAAACATAAAAACTAAAATTATAAAACTCTTAAAAATATAGGTATAAAATGTCATGACCTTAAAATAAGTTTTTTACATATGGTACCAAAACACAAGCTTTGTACAAAAAAAGGATACACTAAATTTTATCAATATTTAAAATATTAATGCTTCAAAGGACACCATCAAGAAAGTATAAAGACAACTCAAAGAATGGGAGAGAATATTTGCAAAAGCAAAAACCAATAAAACCCAAGAATGTTCATTTAAGCAACAATGAGATGCCACTGCACACCTGTTAGAATGGCCAAAACCAAGAATACTGATGATACCAAATGTTGGAGAGGATGTGGAGCAACAGAAACTTCCATTAATTACCGGTAGGAACAAAATTTTGAAAAAGCCATTTTCCCAACACCACTTTGAAAAACCCCTTTGGAAAGAAATTGGGCAGTTTCTTACAAAACTAAGCACAGTCTTACCATATAATCTAGCAATCTCACCACTTCAAATTTACCCCAAAGAAGTTGAAAACTTATGTACACACAAAAATCTACACACAGATGTTTATAGTAGCTTTATTAATAATTGCAAAAACTGGAACCAACTAAGATGCCCTTCATTCAGTAGGTGAAGAGATTAATCAACTATGGTACATCCAGACAATGAAATATTGTTCAGCACTAAAAACAAATGAGCGATTCAGCCATAAAAAGACATGAAGGACATTTAAAATGCATATTATTAAGTAAAATGTGTCAATCTTAAAAGGCTGCATACTGTATGATTCTAACTATGTGACATTCTAGAAAGGCAAAATCAGGGAGACAAAAAAAAAAGAAATGAGTGGTTGTCAGGGGTTGAGGAGGTTGTAGGAATGAATAGGCAGACACAGAGGATTTTTAGCATGGTGAAACTGGTTGGTAGGATGCTAGAATGGTGGATAAATATTATTATACTTTTGTCTAAACTCAAAGAATTGTTCAGCTAGCTTGTAATTACTGAGGTATGACATCAAGAGTGAACCCTAATTTATAGTATGGGCTTTGGGTGATTATGATATGTCAATGTAGGTTCATCAGTTTTAACAAATGTACCACTCTGATGAGAAATATTCACAATGGAGGAGGCTATGCAAGTGTAGGGGCAGGGAATATATGGGAAATCCCTGTATCTTTTACTCAACATCCTATGAACCTAAAATTGCTGTAAAAAATAAAGTTAAAGTGTATTTGAAAATAATAATAATATAAAAGACATAAATGTTCATAACAGTATTATTCATAATTGGCCTGAGGTGGACACCCCAAATGTCCCTCAGTTGATAAATTAATAAACAAAATATGGTACATTCATACAATGAAATGTTATTCGGTAATAAAAAGAATGAGTTACTAATACAACCTATGACATGGACAAACCTTGAAAGAAAGTAAAAGAAATTAGGTACAAAAGATCACAGATTGTATTATTTAATTTATATGGAAAATCCAGAATAGCCAAATCCATATAACTAGAATGTAGATCAGCAATTTCTCATGACTGAGTGGGGAATGCAGAATGAAAAATGATGGCTAATAGGTACAGGGTTTCTTTTTGGGATGGTGAAATTTTGTTTGAATTAAATAGTAGTGGTGGTTACACAACTCTTGAATATCTGAAATCACTGAAGTTCACACTTTAAAAGAGTGAATTTTATGGTATGTAAATTATATCTCATTGTTAAAAATCCTAGAAGGGGAAAAATGAAGAAAAAAATGATTCATCCTTTAGGTGAGTCTTACTCAAGCTTTGTCTCCTCCAGTAAACTAACCCTTATCTTGCCCATATGACATGCCTTCTCCAAGCCCATTTGGATAGGAGTTGATTATCTCAACACAAAGGTTTATGATGTAGCTTGGATCAGAAGTAATACAATTGATCATCTCGTGAGGTTTTTTTCTAAACCTTTTATTCATTCACTTTAAGTCCAATATTGGTTGGATACATGAGGTATTCTTGCATGTCCTCAAGTTGGGGACAAGTTGCCCTGACAATCTTATCACAATATCATGTAACTTGGTGCACTCTCCTTAAAAATGCTGCCATGCTTTTTAATCCCACTAGTACTTCAGTGGGTATAAGATTCTGGGGAAGTTTCTATCACCATCTTATGATATTATAGGCATATATTCAAGGATTAATGATTAGAAACAGATACATGGTAGATAATATTTTTCTTAAAGAAAGTATCTCTCAAATTTGACACTATTGTCAAATTATTCCATTTTGTTTTTAAGACTCAATAATTACAGGGTAGCTGACAAATTTTCAATGAGAGTTCTGCTACCAAGAAGACAGATGGGTGAATCACATCTACTTTCTGTCGTGAAATGTTTAGTAAAGACCTAACTCTTTCCAAAAGGTCAGTTGCAGGACAAAATACAGAAAGACAAACTATGGATGTGTTTGGCCACTACTCTGTGCCCTTCTCCCTCATTTCTCTTAAATTTCCTTTTGAATAATGTAGGATACATTATCAGTTTTCTGATTGTCTCTGTAACAAATAATTTCCCGTCAACCAATATTTTATGAATTCCTTGTATGCCATCATATTCAATCAGTTTCTGTATCTTGTAAATCCAGCTCCCATAACACTTCTCATGCCTGTCTTCTTTATTCCATTTATACATCCCACTTTCTGAGTTTAGTTTCTTTTACTCTATGACCTTACTTGTTGGAAGCACAGAATTTGGAGTGACAAATGTTTGTATTCTGGCGCTACAATTACTAGGTGTGTGACTTTAAGGAAGACACTTTATTTACTATCACTGCCAGGAATCTTCCTAAAACATCACAGCCCATCACTGTCATCATCAGGAAACTCATATAACTATTTTTTACTCTTTAAGGAACACATCATCCCAATGTTGTACATACTAATGTAAATCAGATAAAACTGTGGAAGCTGTAGAAATCATTTTGCAAACCTGTTGTAAGCATTTCAATACTCTGAGAAAGAAAATCCTAAGTAAAATAATGCAAGCCTATCATACTTATAGATGAAAAATTGCATATGAGAATATAATAATTTCATCATTTCATCCATGCACATATAGTTTTATATAAGTAATATACTAATATTATCAAAATATCAAGTGTCAAAATAAAACAATGAAATTGTATTGATCAAATCAAATCAGATTAAATGTTTAATTTGAGGAAATAATATTCCATAGTATATAAGACTAAACTGCTATATTTAACCTAATAAAATAGCCTTCCCAATCATTTTACCATGCTTTATTAAAAAAAAAGGATACATTTTATTTCTTCCCTTTCCATCTTTTCCTCAGTGGTATAAAACAAAATTCTCTAAGTTATATACCCTGTTTCATTACCATTGTGATTTTGTTGGGCTTTTAAAAACTCTCACTATATGGTTTTGATATCTTAATTTTAGGGACTGTAAAACTCATCTTTCTGGATTTTCTATTTGGCCATATATGTAAAATATTATTATACTTTACCCAGAGTAGCTGGAGAAAGGAGCTTCTGATGGTTTCTGTCTGCCTTTGAAAGGAAGCCTTAGATGCCACTTTAAATTAAAAGTTGAGGTAGATGTTTTTATTATGCTCATTTCACAGATAATAAAACTAAGGCTCTGAGAGAATCAGTGACGTTTCTAGGACCAGACAATGAATCAGAATGAAGGAAATTTGAATTTATTCTTCAGATTTAATGTGATTTATAACATACTAGGAGCTTTTGCATGTTAATATGTTCACATTTTAAAACCATATATAAACAGGGAGAAAGATAATCAAGGACTTGTAAAATAAAAATAATCATAGCATTAATGCTAATTTCTCAAAATGAAGTGAGGTCACGAAATTGTTAGTTAAACATAAATCCATCTTTTTGTTACTTTCAGCACAAAAGAAGATCAAGGAAAATATAGTTCTTCAGCTTGGGGCATACAGTGATTATTTTCTTATTTTATTTATGTTCAAGCTTTTTTCAAAGAGGGATTAAAGCTACTAAATGATGAATTGAATAGAAAACTAGAACACTTTAATTCATCTTTTGCTTTTGTCTTATTTGTCAAGTAAAATGACCACTGGACTAAAATAATAGTGCAAACACTAATATAGGAGAAAGCATCCCAAGATTATGCTCAAGATTGGTCAGGAGATGTAAGGTGAGCAACCAACTGTTTCAAGTCCCTCAACCAACAAATTTGATGCTAGAACGAAAGACCTAGTAAGCAAGATTTCTCATGGCCATTGATGATCATTGATTGTTATTGAGAGTAGGATTAAAAAAGTCTATAAAATTGATAAACATAATCTTGATTTTCACAATGTATACTAAAAATAAAGTAAACAAACTGTGGATTGTATCATTTAATGCAGATCCTGGAAAATATTCTAGAATCAAGAACTACTAGGCATAAGCTGGGTTGGCATAAATGCATACTATCACATTAACCCCATTCATTTCCTTGGGAAATTGGTAGATATAAAAAATCTGACTGTGGTAGTCATCCTTATCAGTAAGGCATTTGGTCATATTCTTATGAGATACTTGTAGCTACAAGAAAATTAAAGGTGAAATGTAACAGCAATTTATTGAATCAGAAATCAATTGGGTGACTTTGCCTACATGTGAATAGAATTGTGATCAATTGGCTAGGAGGTTTCTAATGGTTGTCTCAAGATTCTATATAGAGATTGTTCACCTAATGTATTTTTATAGCTCTTTGGTAACAACAGAAAGGTCATTTATCAAAGTTACAGACGGCAAACAGCAAATTTGGTATATAAACTGATATATGGCTTGAATAGTGAATTTGAAATGGTAATGGACTCAAAACCACACAGTATAACTATACCATCCAAGTAAATAAATGAGATTTCATAACGTAAGTCCTAAAAATAGAGGTAGAGCAGGTACAACCCAGACAATATTAATTTTTTTCTAACAAACAGTCATAAATGGATGGAAAATATTACCATTGTAAGAGAATAAAGGGATAAGACATTTGAGTAAAAGTAGAAGATATGCATCTTCTGCTTTATGAAGAATATAAGTGTTCTGCTTGTGACATACATATTTCAAAATAATCAACAGCAGGCAACACAGAGCTGACAAGGATTGTGTTAATAACTATGTAATCCAAAGATTCCAGAAAGGAATAAAATAAAGCATAGAATTTCAGGAACTTTAAGAGAGGAACAATGAACGTACAAGTATGAGGAGTGCATTTCAAATGAGTTAGGGACCAAACAAAAATATTCCTCTTGTATTAAGACACCACAATAAAATAAAATAGGGTTAATTCCTAAAAACATATCAATTTGAGGAAGATCATTATATAAATCACATAATTTTTTGTTAATTAAAAGCACATTTGAAAAAAAATGAGACAATCCAGAAAGTGTTCAAAGTAGTACTACATGTTTTTAAAGAATTATTATGTAAAAGACAGGATATTATGTAGAACAAATAATTGATTTATTCTATAGATAAGAAAGAAAGAGAAAAAAGAAAGAAAGAAAGCAAGAAAAGGAAGAAAGAAAAAGAAAGAAAGAAAGAAAGAGAGAAAGAGAAAGGAGAAGAAGTCATCGAATAGTTGGCTTGGCACTACAATATTTCAGGTATCGTGAAATGTTTTATACACATTTATATTTTGTATTTATTCCTCAAAGCTAGTCCATTTTTATTAAGAAACTGAAAGAAAAATGTAAAAAGGCTGTTAGCTTCTCAAGGGCATATGATTTGTAAGTAGCAGAGTTGATCTTGGAATTCTGGTTATATCAGGTCCCTCCGTGGATTACTATGAGCTGCAACCAGTTCATATTACTCTGACAGTCAAAATATCCAACATTCTCCCCCAACCAAGCCATATACTGAGGATCAAAGATACGGAATTGATCACAGAGGTTGGCAAGCATTGCTTTTTTCCCTCAGTTTGGCACCTACAACCTGTAGGAAAGTTGCCCAGTCATGTGATTGAAATTGAACTTAAAGACAAAAGAGACTCATACTGTTATGAAGAGTTAAGTTCAATAATTTACATACATAGTATTTTTACATTCATCAGTTTTCTCTCCCTGTAATCATGAGAGACAGGTTGTCATCTTCTGCATAAAGGAATCACAACTATGTTATTTCCCAAAGATTCAACTAATTAGATACAGAATTGAGACCACTACTTAATTCATTTGAAAATCAGTTACATGCCTTTTCACTTATATACAGGACAATTTTATAAATTTATTTATATATTCAGTATATTTATGGATTACATTATACTGTACACAAAAGAAACAGAAAAAATAAAACTACAAATGAAGCACAGTTTTGACACAAGGTTAAACTTGTTCTCAACATAATTGCCCCTGAGATAGATGATAGACAGATAGATAGATAGATAGATAGATAGATAGATAGATAGATAGATTTTTTTCTTTTTGAGACAGAGTTTTACTCCCATCACCCAAGCTGAAGTGCCATGCAGTGATTTCAGCTCACTGCAACCTCTACCTCCCAGGCTCAAGTGATTCTCCTGCCTCAGCCTCCCAAGTAGCTGGGACTGCAGGCGTGCTCCACTAGGCCCGGCTATTCTGTTTGTTTGTTTTTGGTAGAGACAGGGTTTCACTATGTTGCCCAGGTTGGTTTCAAACTCCTGGGCTCAAAGGATTAGCCCACTTCGGCCTCCCAAAGTTCTGGGACTACAAGTGTGAGCCACCATGCCGGGCCTGCACTTGATATATTTCAAAATGGTTTCTAGTTTATTTGAAATATGGTGTTCTGAATGTTTTCCTAAAGTGTTTTTGTCATCCTGATATCCTTCCTTCAATTTCTGTGGATTTTATGAGCACATGATGGTTGTCAAATATTACTTATTTTAGGTATATGGCATATCATTGAGGTCGAAGTTTACTGAGTTCAATACTGGCTCAATTTTTGAGTGTTATTATTTTATCATCACAAATACCAATTGAAGAAAAAGAAACAGATACTCCAAAGGTCTAAATAATGGATTGAGTAGAAGAATGCTTTGGAATCCAAATCATAACTTCTTTAGTACAGTATCACAATATTAATTGTTCCATGTGTGTCATGTTAAGGAGAAAAAAAAATTCTAACAAATAAAGTATATTAACTGTCAATATAGTGTTTGCATCAACTGCCATAAGAAATACTTAATTTTACTTGAAGCAAACAATGAATGTTGCTAAAAAATCGAAGATAATTACCTAAGATGAAAATAGGAAAATGTTGTTAAAATGTTGTTAAAAACAAAGTTCATTTCTGCCAAGGTGGCATTCAACTACTTCAGCCAGAAGTTAATTTTATAGAAATATATATTTCTGAGTAGTTTACAAATAATATATGAAAACATATCTGGAAAGGAATGTGATATTGAAGTCATAATATTCAAAACAATTATCTACTGTGGTAATCTAATAATTGATTCTTGCGACAAGAAATACAGACCTCTCTTGGAATATACTTGCAATAATTTCTTACTCTGCTTTATTCCACCTTTCTTGTACTTCTCTATTGCCTCTGAAAAGACCAAAGAGATCAAATTTTCCACAAAAAATATAAAGTGGATAATAATACCACTCCTGCTTTCCAGATAAATTAAATGGAAATATTAAACAACTTGGTCTATTGGCATATTTTGAGTAATATCAGTGCCCCATATTGAAATCTGACAAAGTAATTGTAAAGGCTGACCAGTTTTTGGTTTGTAAAGGAAAAAAAAACTAATAAATTCTACAAATCCGAAACAAATAAAAGTGTCCTGTGCCTAGAATACTCCAATAGTGAAAATTAGGTTGACTCAGAGAAAGAGTAAGATGGTCTGATTATTTTGTACGTGACGAAAAAACTATTGTGCATTCGTTAGAAAGGAAACAAGCTTCCAAGAATGAAATTGGATCAACTTATAATATAGCACATATACTCACACATGAGTACAAGATTTTGATTTTTAAAATAAAATGGAAAACACAAAATAAAAAAGGGGTGTATGTAGATGAGGGCTTTCATCTGAAAACTGTGCTATCTACATGAGAAAAAAAGGAAGCAAGATTTATTTAAGAGGTGGATAAGAGTTCTAAAAACCTGGTTAAATCTGCATGAAAATGCAAGAAAACCACATAGGGAAATCAAAACGGATCAATAGATAAAATATTCCCAGGCTTTACTGCTTCAGGAAAAGAGATAACAAAATAGGACATTTAAAATGTCATTGAAGTTATGACTGTTCTAGTTTATAATCCAATTCGTGCTCATTCCATATTATTGTCTGGTAAGCTTGGTAAATTGAACATGATTTGAGATCATGAATAAAAGAGAGAATATGTTTATTCTTATATGTAACATAAAGACATGATGAAGTTCATTTAAGTTTGGAATCTGTTGGTCCATGTTAAAACAAGTCAAAAATTCATTTATAATTCTGTTGAGGAATTGAACTTATCATCACTTAAATTCCTGTGAATGCAAAAGAGGAGTTAATGAGATTATATAAGTGAACCTATGAAGATATAAGCAGGATGTTGGAAACTTGGATAACTTGTATTCCATGAAGAGAGAGAAATAACCATTGTTGAGAAAATACCTGATGGTTTATCACGTGAAGTTTAGAGAAACACCAGAAGTGAATGATAAATTATGAGTTTCAATATTCTATCCACTTGGATCCAGCCTATGAATGCATTTTACTTGGCATCATAGGGAGTAAATAAAACAGGCCAGTTAGAAGACTGCTTCAGTATTTTTTTATTTTTTTTACTTTTTATTTCTCCTTTTGCTACTGCCTTCTTTTTTTAGCTTTTAGGTTCAGGGGTACATGTGCAGGTTTGTTATGTAGGTAACCTTGTGTCATAAGGGTTTTTTATACAGATTATTTCATCGCCCAGATATTAAGCCTAGTATCCAGTAGCTATTTTTTTCTGCTTCTCTCCCTCTTTCCACCCTCCACCCTCAAGTATGCCCCAGTGTCTGTTGTTCCCTTCTTTGTGTTTGTGAGTTCTCATTATTTAGCTCTCACTGATGAGTGAGAACATGCAGTATTTGGTTTTCTCTTCCTGCATTAGTTTGCTAAGAAAAATAGCCTCCATCTCCATCCATGATACTGCAAATCACATGATCTCATTCTTTATTATGATTGCATAGTATTCCATGGTGTATAGGTACCACATTTTCTTAATCCAATCTGTCATTGACCGACATTTAGATTGATTCTATGTCTTTGCTATTGTGAATAGTGCTGCAGAGAATATTTGCATGCTTGTGTCTTCATGGCAGAATGATTTATATTCCTCTAGGTATATACCCAGCAATGCGATTGCTGGGTCAAATAGTAGTTCTGTTTTTAGCTCTTTGAGGAATCAGCATATTGCTTTCTACAATGGTTGAACTAATTTACACTCCCACCAACAGTGTATATGTGTTCCCTTTTCTCCTTTACTTCACCAACATCTACTATTTTTTTTCTCTTTTTAATGATATCCATTCTGACTGGTGTGAGATGGTATCTCATCGTGGTTTTGATTTGCGTTTCTGTAATGATCAGTCATATTGAACTTTTTTTCATATCCTTGTTGACCACATGTATGTCTTCTTTTAAAAATTGTCTGTGTCTTTTGCCCACTTTTTAATGTTTTTTTTTTTCTCTTATACATTTGTTTGTTTCTTATAAATGCTGGATATCAGACTTAGTCAGGTGCAATGTTTGCAAATATTTTCTCTCATTTTATAGGCTGTCTACTCTGTCTTTTTACTTTGTTAACTTTGGCTCTTGGCTTGGTTGTTGTTGATGTATAGAAATACTAGTTGATTGTTTTGTTTTGTTTTGTTTTTGGCTGTGCAGAAGCTGTTAAGTTTAATTAGATCCCACTTGTCAATTTTTTATTTTGTTGCAATTGCTTTGGAATCTTTGTCATGAAATCTTTGTCAGTTCCTATGCCCAGAATGGCATTGCCTAGATTGTCTTCCAGGGTTTCTATAGTTTTGGATTTTACATTGAAGTTTTTAATCCATCTTAAGTTGATTTTTGTATATGGTGTAAGGAAGGGGTTCAGTTTCAATCTTCAGCATATAGCTAGTCAGTTACCCCAGCATCATTTATTGAAAAGGGTTTTTTTTCCCCCATTGCTTTTGTCGGCTTTGTTGAAGATCAGATAGATGGTTGCAGGCGTGCAGCCTTATTTTTGGGCTCTCTATTCTGTTCCATTGATCTATGTGCCTGTTTCTGTACCAGTACCATGTGTTTTAGTTACTGTAGCCCTGCAGTATAGTTTGAAGTCAGGTAACTTGAGGCCTTCACCTTCTTTTTCCTTAGGATTGCCTTGGCTATTTGGGCTCTTCTTTGGTTACATATTAACTTTAAAGTATTTTTTCTAGATCTTTGAAGAATGTCATTGGTAGTTTGATAGGAATAACATGAATCTGTAAATTTCTTTGGGTACTATGGCCATTTTAATGGTATTGATTCTTCTATCCATGAGCATGGGATGTTTTTCTATTTGTGTCTTCTCCGGTTTTTTGAGCAGCGTTTTGCAGTTCTTGTCGTAGAGGCCCTTCTCCTCTCTGGATAGCTGTATTCCTAGGTATTTAATTATTTTTGCAGTGATTGTGAATGGAAGTGCCTTCCTGATTTGGCTCTT
This sequence comes from Homo sapiens, assembly GCF_000001405.40. NCBI lineage: Eukaryota > Metazoa > Chordata > Mammalia > Primates > Hominidae > Homo > Homo sapiens. The sequence continues at coordinate 81,111,239 of NC_000002.12, read as the reverse complement.
TGCTTGGCTGTTGTTGTTGTATAGAAATGCTAGTGATTTTTGTACATTGATTTTGTATTCTGAAACTTTGCTGAAATTGTGTATCAGCTGAAGGAGCATCTGGGCTAAGACTATGCAATTTTCTGGATGTAGAATAATGTCATCTGCAGATAAGGATAGTTTGACTTCCTCTTTTTCTGTGTGGATGCACTTTATTTATTTCTGTTCCCTGTCTCCTTTGGCTATGACTTCCAATATTATATTGAATAGGAGTGTAGAGGGAGGGCATCCTTATCTTGTGCTGGTTTTCAAGGAGAATGCTTTCAGCTTTTGCCCATTCAGTATGGTGTTGGCTGTGAGTTTGACATAGATGGCTCTTATTATTTTGAGGTATGTTCATTCAATACTTAGTTTATTGTGAGTTTTTTTTTCTTTTTTTTTGAGACGGAGTCTTGCTCTGTCGCCCAGGCTGGAGTGCAGTGGTACGATCTCAGCTCACTGCAAGCTCCGCCTCCTGGGTTCAAGCCATTCTCCTGCCTCAGCCTCCTGAGTAGCTGGGACTACAGGTGCCCGCCACTATGCCTGGCTAATTTTTTGTATTTTTAGTAGAGATGGGCTTTCACCATGTTAGCCAGGATGCTCTCGATCTCCTGACCTTGTGAGCCGCACGCCTCAGCCTCCCAAAGTGCTGGGATTACAGGCATTAGCCACCACACCCAGCTATTGTGAGTTTTTAACATAAAAGAATGTCAAATTTTATCAAGAGCCTTTTATGCATTTATGGAGATAATCATGTGGTTTTTGTCTTTAATTCTGTTTATATGATGAATCACATTTATTGATTTGCTTATGTTGGACCACCCTTGCATCCCAGGGTTGAAGCCTACTTGATCATGGTGGATTAGCTTTTTGATGTGCTGCTGGATTTCATTTGTAGCATTTTGTTGAGGATATTTGCATCAATGTTCATCAATGATATTTGTCTGAAGTTTTCTTTTTTTGTTCTATCTCTGCCAGGTTTTGGTGTTAGGATAACGCTGGCTTTATAGAATGAGTAGAAAAGGAGTTTCTCATTCTCAATGTTTTTGTAATAGTTTCAGTAGGAATGCTTCAGTATTTATAGTAAGTTGCAAGGTTTTTCTCTGAACATAATTTAAGAAATAAAAAGTAGAAATATGTTTAAGAAATTTGAGAAAAATAGCACCAGAAACAGAGCTTATTGAAGGATTAGATACCAAGGAAGCAAAGTAGAGGTAACAGATTAGGTTAAATTTAAAGATTACTGGGGGATGGTGTTGTCACTATCTGATATAAAAAAATATAGGAGTAGCCATTAGTTGAGATGGAGAGATGATGAGATTCTCTTTGAAAAGAAGTTTGTAAAACATCAAATTGGAAATGTTCATTTTTAAGGTTTGGATATTGAGATTTAACTATTGATCATTTAGGTATATAAAACCTTTCAATGATTCCCCACTAATTCAATTCTAAAGTCAATTCACTTTCCATGAAAGATGGTTTATAGCATCAGAATGTATAAGGAGTTCAAATAACTCCATAGGAAAAAAATCTAATAATCTGACTTAAAAATGGGCAAAATATATGAACAGGCATTTCTCAAAAGGAGACATACAAATGGCAAATGGGTATATGAAAAGGTGCTCAACATCATTGATTGTCAGAGAAATGCAAATCAAAACTACAATGAGCTATCATTCTACGTTAGTTAAAATGGTTTTTATGCAAAGGACAGGCAATAGTGAATGTTGGTAGGAATGTGGGAAAAATGGAAGGCTTGTACACTGTTGGTGGGAATGTAAATTTGTAAAGCCACTGTAGAGAACAGCATGGAGGTTTCTCAAAAAACTAAAAGTAGAACTACCCTATGATCCAGCAATCTCACTGCTAAGTATATACTGTTAAACTAAATATGGCCTGAGAAGGACTCTGTACTTCTATATTTGAGTCCTTGGTGATGAACTGTAACCTAGCTTAATAGGCACACAAAACTGAAAACCAACTTAGTAGTATGCCCCTGTAACAATAGCTAACTCTTGACCAATCCCAGCAGCCATACTTCAACCTTTCGTATACTACTGAGTGTTCAAAGTATGTTCGAATAAGGCATACACCAAGCTGTAACCAATTCAGCTGTTCTGTACCTCACTTCCAATTTCTGTATGTCATTTCCCTTTTTTTGTCTATAAATATTCTTCCACTCTGGCTGCTCTGAGTCTCTGTGAATCTGCTGTGATTCTAGGGGCTGCCTGATTTGCGAATCATTCATTGCTCAATTAAACTCCTTTAAATTTAATTTGACTGAAGTTTTTCTTTTATCAGTACCCAAAAGAAAGGAAATCAGTATATCAAAGAGATATCTGAACTCTCATGTTTATTGCAGCACTATTTACAACAGCCAAGGTTTGGAAGCAACTTAAGTATCTGTCAACAGATGAATGAATAAAGAAAATGTGGTATGTATACATTATAGAATACTATTCAGTCATAAAAAAGAATGGGATCTTGTCATTTGCAACAACTTGGATGGAACAGGAGGACAATGTGTTAAGTGAAATTAACCAAGCACATAAAGACAAACCTCACATGTTGTCACTTATTTGTAAGAACTAAAAATTAAAACAATTGAACTCATGGAGAGAGAGTAGAATGATGATTACCAGAGGCTAGGAAGGGTAGTGGGTGGGGTGGGGGTAGTGGAGACAGTTAACGAGTACAAAAATACAGTTAGAATGAATTAGACTTAGTATTTGACAGCACAACATGGTGACTAGAGTCAACAATAATTTATTGTACATTTTAAAGTAATTAAAAGAGTATAATTGGAATGTTTGTAACAGAAAGAATTGATAAATGCTTGAGGTGATGGATACCCCTTTTACCCTTTAAAAAAATTAATGTGATTGCTCAAGTATTATAGTGTTTTTATAAGTCCAGGAAAATGAAGAAGCTACTGAGTACTAAATGCCCAGAAGAGCACTTAGGAAGTCTGTTTCTAAAGAATGTATACTTTTTTGAAAGGGCTAACATGCATGGATATGTAAAATATAAAGTATACCATAAGAACAGTATAAGTTTAGTTGACAACTACCTGCAAAAATAATAGAAAGATCCAGGTTTGTTCTAAGCAAAGAATAGATTGATCAAAGATAAACAACTCGAGTTTAAAATAGAGAGCCTTACCTCTAGCATTATCATAGTGCAATGAAAATTTAATGATCTGGATTCAGTGAATGAAAAATTCAAGGCAATAAAGTAAGAAAATATTATAAGTTTGGGACTTGTAGTAGAACGCAGTGATACACCAATGTATTATATTTTTTAACCACACCCCTTTTCCATTAAGTTAATTTGCCTACTGATGAGAGTGTTGCTTGGAGGTGATTAATAACAATCTTTGAATATTTTCTCTCCAAAGGATGTTTTATATTTTAGGAGAATGACTTAATCTTGGATCTCTTCTTTCCAGAAATAGTTCCATTCTATGAGAGACCACAAGGAGTGATATAAAATGTGTCTATTGAATGTAGAGTCAGACAAGTTGTAGCTGTTGCTTGTAATTTTATGTTGCCTCTGCATGCATTTTGAACACAGGTTAGCTTTCCTGTGCCAAAGGCAGGGCTCAGTGACCCTTCACACACTTTCCAGTTCTACTTCGCACCCAAAAGGCTCAAGCTAGTGGCCCAAGACAGAACTTAAATACATCTCTCTTGCTTAACAGACTGGGCTCCCAGCTTTCCTGCAGCTTCCCTTCAATGGACCATTCTGGCATTTGCTGGCAAACTTAAAGTGACCCTTTTTACATCCCCCTGACCTCTTATGTATGGCCTCCAGGCATGCAGTGTACCCCCTCAGGGTCTATAAATACTAAAAACTCTTAAACTTTCTAATTGTTTCTGAAACATTGAAGCCTGCCAACCAATCTGAACGTTGAAGCTAAGGGCCCCAAAAGAACCCATGCAGGTGGCCCTGCTCATGCTCTTCTTTTCTGGGCCTCTACTGGCTGCTGGAGACAGTAGCTACCAAATGAGTTGATAGAGAAATCTAAGACTTTTATTTAAAAAATAGGTATGTATTGAAATTGTGGTTAAAAATTGACTGGTCATTTGAGAAGAGCAAAATTGTTAAGATATTTGAGATTGACAGGTTCTTGATTTGTGAAATGATGATAATTACATATAGTTTGTAAGTCTGTGGTGCAGATAAAAAGACAGAATAATGTGAAAATCTTAATAAGGGGGCCTTCAAGTACTAGCAATATATATCCTTATGTTTCTATCAGGAACAACACTTTTCAATTTTTTTAGGAAAAAACGATTGTTTTCAAATCTCAATAGTGCATCTGCCACCTCTCAGTTCAGGCAAAGCACCTCTGCTTTCACTTTTCCCCAAGGAAGAATTTGTCAGTCGCGCATATCTGAGAAGGATTGATCTTCAGTGTCTTTATACCCTGTGTCAGGGGATGTAGGCAGAATACACTTGACTATACACATTAACACCTTGCTCTGAAGAGAAATTTAATTTCAACTTCTCTAAGTTTTTGTACTAGTCAGGGTGGGCAAGGTTATGCTGGAATGGGACACCCAGAGAGCCAGGCTAATGGAAAAGCTATTACTCAGTGTCAGTGACTGTCATGGCAGGAGGCGAAAGGGAACTTATGCAAATCTTACACAATGAATTAAGTCTTGTGTCTCAGAAGGGAGCCATATCAATTCCAATTATGATTCTCGGTCTCAGTCAGCCACTAAAAGGCCAGGAAGTACAATCCCATGTTCCCAGAAGACTGAGGGTCAAAAATATTTAGCAATCAGGCAAATAATTACCATAGTTATGGCTTAATACACACACACACACACACACACACACACACACATACACATACACTGTGTGTGGTGAGAGCACATACCAGAAATCTTATTTATAGAGAAATTTATTTTTTCTTTTCAATTACTGAACTGCATACTATCTCAAGTTCCCATTTTGCCTGGTAGGAAAAAAAAAAGGAATCAATTAATTATAGGTAAACTCAATCACTTCCAGATTGTCTTACACATTAGAGATTTAAACTGAGCCAAATTAGCATCTTTACCCTCTGTGAGGAAAGACAAAACATGTAGCATGGAGACATGTGGTATGAGATCATGGAATCACATACTGCCTGGCACTTACTGCTTGGTTCCTAAGGCCTAGTTGTTTATTTATCATCCACAAAATTGTTGTCATGCTTCTACCACAGAATGGTATAATATCAGGGAGGCAAGGTCCCTCCCCTGTACTATAATCAATGAAAGAAAATAAAACAGAATTAACCATGGCCCAAAAAGCAAGATTTAACTGAGGACACAAAGGAGGAATACATGAAAAGCTAACACACCGTTCACAGCAAGTGCCTAAAAAAATGCCTGTCAATCATAGAGAGTGCTGGAAATGTGATGAGCAAAATAACTAGTCCACCAAGCTGGGAGGATTTAAGTGGAGGTAAGGAAAAGACTAGATCTTAGTCTACAACAACCAGTAAATTATAACGTGTCCATTTATATTAGATTCAAACTTTAATGAAAGCTATAATTAATTGTTTACCAATGTTAGGCACTTATGTTAAGCACTTTATGTGCACTGTTTCTTTTAATTCTCATAATAATTTTATGAGGTTGGAAAGAATTTTATGCTTATTTGAAAGATATATGTCACTTAAAGTAGTTTAGTATGGAGCTGGTTACTAAGTGTCAAAGACAGGATTAATGTTCAGATCTTTTATACTCCAACAACTACACTATTCTTTATTTGTTATGTTCAACATATTTTGTCTCCATTTGCAAATTTGACACACTTACATATAATCAAATTAATCATGGCATTTATAAGTGTATTATGATTGGGGGCACTTACCAGACCACATTGTACCTTGAGTTTGAGTTCTGACTCCATCCAATAATAGTTGTATGAACACAGCAGGTCATTAATGTAGTGTGTATATGTCTGTTTACTCATCTATATAACTGAGATAAAATAATTGCCGTGCTAATCTTGCAAGTTTTTTGATCATCAAACTAGCTACTCTATAGAGGACACAATAAAAATTTTAAAAAATATATAATATATATTTTCTAATTTTTAATATATATAATATGCATTATTATCAGAAGGGATTTAGCATTCCACATAGAAAAATGAAATATTAAAACCACAGCATTAGCTTTAAAATGCAATGTTCATGGAATAATTTATGAAGTAATCCATGAACATACCTGGCAAATATGTAAAAAATAAAAAAAAAGAAGTCTTTTTAAATTAGTCTGGTAATGTGAGAGTAAAATAAAGCAAAATATAAATGCCAGAATAAAAAATTTCAAAGAAAAATGCAGCTTCAAATAGCCAGAGAGAGAAAACAAATCTCAATGTCTCCAACTCCCCTGCCCTCACTTTTCACTGTTAGGGTGCCCAATGCTCCATAGTTTCCAGTGCAGTTTTTAAAAAGCTGGCTAAATCTTCCATTTTATTAATGCAATGACTAATCCACCAAGTTTGCCTCCATTTCCTGAAATGAAACAATGATGACAATTTTCCAACTAGCATATGAACAAATGTTTGAGTAACCTAAGTCGGTAATGGGCAGGAACTTTCAATTTTAAAGCAGTATCTAGAAGGTATTTGTTAAGAGAGGACAAAGAAAAACAGAACAAAGCTATAAACCACTGTCAGTTTTAAAATTATATAAGAAAATGTTTAAAAGCTGTACATTAAGAATAACAGACACCTATGTGATGGCATGGTATGCCTATATCAAAATATCTCATGTGACCCATAAATACAAACATCTACTATGTACCCACAAAAATTAAAGAAGAGGGAAAAAATGACAGCAAAACAAAAAAAGAAAAACAGACCCATCCTTTCAAATGCAGATGGATTCCCTCTATATTAATGGCTTTCTAAGTGAATGCCGTAAAATACAAATGCAATACTAGAAAACTGTAGAAGTATCAATGTAGGTGATCTATAACAAACAGAAATAAGAAGCCACAAACTGCAAAGTTTTGTCATGTTAATTAGTATAACTCCTCATTCCACATAGTCAATAAAAATTCAAGACAATTTCTGAAATCTATGCAGGACATGAGAGTAATCAATGTTCACAGTCTAGTTGTGAGCTAGAAGGATTCAACATTAAGGTTTCTGAGAGGAAGATAAGAAGAGACTAAATTTATACACTTCTCATTATAAATAAGTGCTACCTGAGTTAAAATAACAGGTCAGTGAATCAGCAGCTAGCTTTAAACTTTCTATTTTCCATGAAACTTGCAACTACTCAAATAAATCCAAAGTAGCTTTCTAAATTATTATATTAATACATTGGTAGGTAGGTTTTGAGTACCATCTGTCCGCAAATGTGCTGCTCTTAGCTTGTCTTGTTTCTTCTTCACTAATTTTTCAGAGCTATACTTTCACCTTTATTCCCAAGCAGCCCACAGGATCCAAATCTATTTTAGTTTGAAAGTCGAAGACAAAGAGAGAATTGTAGTTATCGGCAATCTCAGGTGTGCTCATCCTTAGAGTCAGCCCCAGTGATTATTAGTCTATGCACAACGAGTGATCCCCAGACATCTGCAGCTGAAGGCTTTCCATATAATTCGCTCTTACCTACTCTTTTACACAAGTATAATAGGCCAACCGACTGTGTTTATATTGGATTTCACTGCCTCTAACTCATATTTCCCAATCAGACTTGAGACCCTCAACCTTCAGCCCATGGGACATTTTGCTAATATAGTGAGCTGAATTCTACTTCCCGTAAGTGACACATTCCTCTCTTAGTTACTGCTCCAGATCATGCCCAGATTATACCAAATGTCTTACCCCAGGAAAAAGAGATCCTATCTTTCTACTACTCTGTCTTGGTAGAAGAAGTGTCCTAAATCACATGCTGATGGGAACCTAGAAAGTCATCCATCATTATCCTCACATTGAAGATAATAGCCTGACACCCATAGTCACTGAGATCTTGGCTGAAGTGAAAGGCTGCCATGATTCATTACCAGGATGGTCACACTACAAAGTTTATGTTAATTCTTCTCTTCCTTGAGAGCTTGACAGTGGTGGAGTAATAGGTAGGTGAAGTGGAGCCCAATTATGAAGAGCTCTGAAAATCATAAGGGAAAGTTTTCACTTTATCCAATATGCCATAAGTTGTTGTTGTTGTTTCTTGAGATGGAGAAATCCAAATCAAAGGAATACATTAACACGGTGACCATATTCTGGTTTTCTTATGAGATATCTGGCTTTTACCTGTGTCTGGTGTAACTTTTAATTGTTTCTGTCTAAAACTCTCAAGAGATTCTCTATTTGAACAAGAAAATATTGTCCCCCTATGTTTTATGAAATTGATGAATCATAGTCAATTATTGGGAAGTATATTCATTATCTATAACGCCCTAGAAGCAGCCTTTGGCCAAAAGAGTAATGTTTGGTTCTATACACTGTACCTACCATTTCTTGGTTAAGGAAACATGCTTTTGTTTCACATATCTCCTCAATTATACCATTCTTCCTAGGAGAGTTCTTGTTCTGAGTGAATAGAAATAGAAAAAACTTCTTGTCCTGATTTGCCTGAAGGTTAATATTCTTTAATTATTGTACTCTTTCAAAGCATCACTGGTGTTTTCTATAATAACATTTTCCTTTTGTTATTGAAATTTGTGTTTTAGTGATATAACATTTATTTTGTTTTCTGTTGTCCTTTCCTTTTCTGTCTTAGCTTGTAGAATCTTAGAGAGAGAGAGAGAGAGAGAAATCAGTGCCTGTGTCCCCCTGTAGTTTCAAATATAATTAGCCATTTACATCTTTAAACAGTTGCTAAAAAAGAAAGCGATGTGTACTTGGATATGCACCCTCATGTTAGATTCAGATTTAATTACCAATAATTTAGTAATATCTGTATCAGCTCTGAAGGTTCTGATGTGCAATGCATAATGCTAAATCTCTTCTAGATTTAAAGTTGGAGAGACTATATTCTCTCATACATCATGCAATATTATCTCATAAGAGACAGGAGTATGCCCCTCAAATAATTGGGATAAAAAGACAAATGGAGATATTGACAGAATCATAATTGGACTTTATTTGGCTACTCCAGCAGTATCTAAGCCTGTCAACACAGTATAGGCTTATCTTTGAAGCAGGGAACAATGGCACTAAGAAGTAAGCTGGCCTTATATGTAAGATATCCCTGGCACAAAGGTAGTGTCAAATAAATAGAAACTTACCCTTGCCTTAGTAAAGTGGCATCATCTAAGATAGAGAAAACCACTGTGCAGAGAAACACCTGATTGAGATACCCTGTGCTTTTGACTCTATCATTCTGTGTCCAGGATTATAATTCTAACAACAATCAGGTGTGCCATAATAAAATAAAAACAAAATACATTGGGCACATACATGTGGAGACACCAGTCTTTACTAGACATTTTTTAGGGGTGAATACATAAGGGAAAAAGATGTACTTACCAATACAAAAGACAGAACATCACATTTAAAATGCTAAAAATGCATAATTTTTACATGGTTTCTTATACAATTGAAAAGATATTTTAGGAATCACACTTTGTGTTTTAGACAAAACACAAATTCTATAAAAACAAAGATATTTAAAAAAATGAGACAAAGAAGGGACTGAAAAACTAAACAAAATATATTAAATAATGACACTTAAGGCATTAGGCATCAGTCAATGAAGGACAGTAAGACAGAAGGAAAGCAGTTAAATTTTACACTTACCCCAGCTAACTGCCTGAAAAAGTTTTTAGGAGCAGTGCAGGATGGGAAAACTCACACAGAGTCCACAGCCTCCCTGGGTTGAAAAAATAGAGCCAGGAGTCTGGGAAAGCTAAGGAGATTAAAGTACACAGAAGAACTGGAAATTGAGAGCTGCACGGAGAAAGAATTTCATATACTGCAAAAAAATCTCCTAGAGAATTCAATTAAGTACTGCTCAGTACACGCATGGGAGAAAATACTCAAAGATTGGGAGAAGAACCACCCAAAAGGATTAGAAGAAAAAATGCCTGGAAACCACACAGTGCCAAAAACAGCAACTGTAATCATTATTCAGTCCCAAACCATTTTATTTCAGGGGACATTGTGTAGAGTAGAAAGGTCTGTCCTCACCAGCAAGAACAAAACATGAAACCCAGATTAATGCATCTCTTTTCTTGTCTAACAAACTTAAAACCAGACATGAAGGGCTCATTGGTTTCTATATAGCGAATCTGTTTCTCTCTCTCTCTCTCTCTCTTTTTCTCTGTCTCTCTCTCTCTCACCCACACACATATACCCCTCAAAATTGTTTAAAGAAATATAAATACATCCAATATCAAACAAGGTAAAATTCATGTCTGATATAAACTCAGAAACTACCAGCCATGCAAAAATCAAGAAAATACAACTCATACTAATAAATCAAGACATTGAAACAAACTCAAATGATTATCATAATGGAATTAATAGACAAGAACATTAAAACATTTATTATGACTGTATTTCATATGTTCAAAAATCTACAAGTAGTCTTGAACTTATTCAGTAGAGACATAAAAGTGATAAGAAAGGTTCAGATCTAAGTCAAAAATTACAAATTACAATCCCCGACATGAAAAAGATGCAATGTGATTAACACAAGATTAGATATTGGAGAATAAAAGATTAGTAAACTTAAAAATATAGCAATAAATATATCCAAATTAAGAGTCAGAGGAAAAAAAAGACTGAGGAAAAATGAACATAACATCATGTACTTTGAAGAATGAGACCATATATATGTTTAGGAGAAAAGCTTTAAGCAGCTCAGGGAAAAAAGACATGTTATATCCAGAAGATCAAAGGTAATAGCTCTAGATTTCTCTTAGGACAGCTAGCTTAGAAGACAGTAGAATGATGTCTTTAAAAGTACTGAAAGGACAAAAAAGAAACTGTCAACATAGAATTCTATTCCTAGCAAAAATATCATTCAAATATTTAAGTAAAATAGTTTCTCAGACATACAAAGACTAATAATTAATCATCAGCTGTCTTGTGACATAAACAAATGTTAAAAAAGAAGTACTTCAAGCAGAAGAAAATGAAACTATATTGAAACCTGGATCTACCTAAAGGAATAAAAAAACACAGAAAGTATAATTACATAGATAAATGTAAAGATTTTTATTATTACTAAAATCTTATTTTAAAAATAAGAAACCATTTAAAATAAACATAATAATACTTTAAGTGTTGTTTTAAACATATATAGGAACAAAATACATGACAATAGCATAAAGGTCTGGTGGGTGGGGAGTAGAAGCACAGTTGACCCTTGAACAACAACGGTTTGAACTCTGTGGGTCTACTTATACATGGATTTTCTCCTACATTCGCCACCCCTAGGACAGCAAGACCAACCTCTCCTTTTACTCAGCCTACTAAACGTGAAGACAACAAAGATGAAGACTTCTATCATGATCCACTCCCACTTAATAAATAGTAAATATATTTTCTCTTCCTTATAATTTTCCTAATAACAATTCCTTTTCTCTAGCTTGTTTTATTGTAAGCATATAGTATCTAACACATATAACATATAGAATCAAATGTTTATGCTATCTGTAAGGCTTCTGGTGAGCAGTAGGCTACTAGCAGTTAAATTTGGGGGAAGTCAAAAGTTATATTTGATTTCAGCTGCAAAGGCAGTCAGCGTTCCTAAACCCTGCATTATTCAATGATCAGCTATATATTATTTTAAAGTTCTCACACTATATGGGAAAAGCATAACATTGTTTGAAAGTAGATGGTAAACAGTTAAAAATGTGCACTAAAAACCTTAAAGTATCCATTAAAATAAAACATCAAAAATAGCAACTAAAAATAGTCAACAAAAAAGGGAAAAATTGAATAATGTATTCAACACGAAAGGAGGCTGAAAAAGAGAAAAAAAAGAATTGCATTCAGATAGTGTAAATAAAAAGCAAATAGCTTGAAGGTAGATTTAAACCCAATATTACCAATAATAGCATTAAATTTATGTGATCTAAAAACTTTAGTTAGAATGCAGAGATTATCAGATTGGATAAAAATAACAAGACTCATATACATTGCTTTTAAAAAGGTGTTTTGTAAGTATAAAAACATGAATACAAGTAAAAGGTTGGAAAAAGATATATCATGCTAACACTGATCAAAAAGAAAGCTGGAGGGACTATACTGTTATCAGATAAAGTAGACAGACTTAAGAGCAAAGTCTCTTAATAGGGATAAAAAGGATAATCTTATAATGGCAAAAAAGTTGATTAATCAAGATGATATAACAGTTCTATCCATTTATGTACTTATAGGAAAGTTTTTAAATAGTTGAAGCAAAATCTGATAGAACTGCAAGGAACAATTCTGTTGTAGACAAATCTTTAGTTATAATTAGAGATTTTAATACTTCTCTCTCATGCCAAATAGTATAAATAGAGATAGAAAATCAAAAAGGATAAAGAAGACTTGAACAACCTATCAACCAACTAGACCAGTTTCATATTTATAGAATATTCCAAACAAAAACAACATCAGAATTTACAACCTTTCCAAGTATACATAAAACATTTACCAAGATAGATTATACTCTCAGTTATCAAAACTTTCTCAATAAATCTGAAAAGATTTAAGCCATTGAAATTATATTTCTGATTACAATGCAATTAAAACAGAAATCATTTACAAAATATGAATAATTCCCAAATATTTGGAAACTAACACTCCTCTTAATAATCAATGGGTCAAAGGTGGATTCAAAAGTGAAATTTTTTGAAAGTATTTGAATATAGATTAAAACGAAAGTACGACATATGAAAATTTGTACTTTGCAGGTAACACAGTAGTTAGTGGGAGATTTATAGCACTGAACTCTATATTAGAAAAGAAGAAAGATCTCAGTCAGCTTCCACCTCGGCTCCCACCTTAAGAAACTAAAAAAGCGAACTGAGAAATTAGAAAGAAACTTAAAGCAAAAGAAAACCAAAATAATCAAATGAAAGAAAATAATCAAATTAAATAGAAAATCAACAAAAGAGAAAATCAAGTAAGAAAGACAAAGGAATGGCTGGGCGCGATGGCTCACTCCTATAATCCCAGCTCTTTGGGAGCCCGAGGCAGGCGGATCACGAGTTCAGGAGATTGAGACCATCCTGGCTACCACGGTGAAACGCCGTCTCTACTAAAAATCCAAAAAATTAGCTGGGCATGGTGGCGGGCACCTGTAATCCCAGCTACTCGTGAGGCTGAGGCAGGAGAATCACTTGAATGACCTGTAATCCCAGCTACTCGGGAGGCTGAGGCAGGAGAATTACTTGAACCCAGCAGGTGGAGGTTGCAGTGAGCCGAGATCACGCCATTGCATTCCAGCCTGGGCGACAGAGCAAGACTCCATCTCAAAAAAAAAAAAAAAGAGGAAAAAAGTGACAGAGAAACAAATTTCAGTAAAATACCACTATATACTTATTAGAATGTTTAAGATATCAAAGACTGATTATGCAAAGTATTGTTAAGTGTATGGAGCAACTTGAGGTCTTTCTTACACACTGCTGGTAGGAGTGTCAGATTATGCCAGCACTTATAAAGAACAATTGGAAGTTTATGAGAAATTTAAACAAATACCAAGCATATGAGCAAGCCAATGCGCCTCTACATATTTACCCAAGAGAAGTAAAGCATATCTTCATACAAAGTCTTTAATATGAATGTTTACAGAAGCTTTATTTGCAGTAGCCAAATACAAGAAACAATCCAAAAGTCCTTCAAGAGTTGAATGAACAAATTGTGGTATAATCACACAATAGAATATTACTTAGTAATACAAAGGAATGAGTTATTAATTCATGCAACGATGTAGGTGAGTTTCAGAATAAGTATGCTGAGTGAAAATAAAAGTCAGAAAAAAAGTTTATGGTGTATGAATCCTTCATATAAAATTCTGAACAATGATAGGTGATCCACAATGAGAGAAACTGGGTTAGTAATTGCCAGCAATTGAAGAAGGAAAGGATTCCAGGAAGAATAGGAAATGAGAATGAAGAATCAGGAAACTTTGGAGTGATGAATACTGTATAGTCCCTTTTCTTATTGCTATAAAGAACCGCCCGAGACTGGGTAATTTATAAAGGAAAGAGGTTTAATTGACTCACAGTTCAGTATGGTTGGGGAGGCCTCAGAAAACTTATAACCATGGTGGAAGACGAAGGGCAAGCAAGACGTCTTCTTCACAAGGTGGCAGGAAGGAAAAGTGGTGAGCAAAGAGGGAAGAGCCGCTTATAAAACCATTAGATCTCGTGAGAACTCTTTCACTATCAGGAGAACTGCATGTGGGAAATCATCCTCATGATTCAATTACCTCCACCTGGTCTCTCCCTTGACATGTGGGGATTATTACAATTCAAGATGAGATTTGGGTGGGGCACAAAGTCTAATCATATTAGATACATACATTATCTTTATTGCAGTGATTGTTTAATTGGTGCATACATATGCCAAAACATATCAGATTTTATTCTTTAAACATGTATAATTTAGCACATCAATTTTACTTCAGTAAAGCTCTGTGTGTGTGTGCCCGCGTGTATGTTTAACAACAAATGATTGACAAGCAAGAAGAAAAAGTAGACTGAGATAAGAAAGGTGTCAAAAAACTACTATTTCAAAAGCAAAACTTAATCATTAATTTAAGAAAATATAAAAAAAGAAATGCTGAGAACAGACAGTATATTCAGAAAATTAAAGATAAAACATTGGAAGAGTTGGTCTTAGAAATTAAGAGAATAAAGTAAAATAAATTGAAGTAATAGCTAAATTTAAATTAGAAAAACGTCATTGGTTAGACAAGAAAGTTTCGAATTAATAGATCAAAAATTCAGCAGGACAATAATATAATGGGAAAAGACAGAAAGGCATTAAATTGCTATGCTACTATAAGGTTTAAATTCAGCAGAAAATCAGAGTTAAATAAAAAAAATAAGATTACCCCTTGCACAGGAAAAAATATTCAAACTAAACATGATTTCTTTTTACTTCTTGGCACACTTAAATACCAGAACATAATGGATATGATCTCAATCAAGAGGAAATTGTGTGATCCACAAAAAGTAGACTCAGCTATAAAGTGAGAAGAGTAATGCCCAGTATGATAGCTGTACAGCAGACCTAGGGATTATTGAGGCTTGATTGAAACTAGAAGACAGAGATCTGTTCGATAAGAAGAATATAAGCATAACACTAGGCTTCTTTTGTATTTATCCCACATAATCAGTCTCAAATAATTTTTGCTAAAGTTCAAATTAAATCACATTGTGCTTCTTATTTCAAGGTTTCTACAGAATACCCATTGCCTTTAGAAGAAACTTTAAGCATTTTAGAATGACAAAGAAGAACCTACAAATCTAATCCCTGATTGCATTTCCAGCCTCATGTCTTCCCTGGTACAGTTCCTTAATATTTAGCCATATCAGTTTCCCTACATTTCCCCAAACCATTTTCCTTACTTTGTATT
Source organism: Homo sapiens (assembly GCF_000001405.40). Lineage (NCBI taxonomy): Eukaryota > Metazoa > Chordata > Mammalia > Primates > Hominidae > Homo > Homo sapiens. Next base: position 81,095,689 of record NC_000002.12, on the reverse strand, counting down.
TTGTTCCTGCTGCCCTTTCCCATTTGAATATTTTCCACATTTGCCCATTTTAACACTCAGTTCATTGGTCTCTTTCTCTTGGAAATGTTTACTTACAGTACTAGCCCTAGTTAAGCCTTGCTTTTTTGTGCTTATTTTCTATCATCTTGTTTTTTAATTTTTTTAATAGTAGCACTCACATTGCTTTGTGATAATTAACTTTTTCTCTTTTTGCCTTACTGTTTTCTATAAAAGATGTAAAGACCTTAAGGTGTATGACTTGCTCATTGTAATTTTCCTAGAACACATAGTGAATACAGATATAAGTGAGTAGGGAGGGTGTTCTGTGCATGTGTGTATATACACACACACAAGTGTTTAGTAAGTACTTGTTCAATGAATAAAACTAAAACTTTTGCCTCCTTCCACATGTTCTTCCAGTGTTTTAGTATTCCACAGAAAATATTCACTTCATTTTAATATTATTCTATTTCCTGGTGTTCTGCATTGAGGTAGAGAAATTATTAATCTTAATTTTCACACAAACCCTCCTGTTCTTAAATCTCATTGTTACTGCCGATTCAATGGGTAAAATTCAATGAAGATAGGCAGAGAATAATCAGGAGCTGGAAGCTGTGTATTTCCATAGTTCATGCAAGGATGGAAGACATTCAATTCCAACCAGCAGAGTGAAGAATCCTAGTGGAAGAAACAGGGTATTTAGTAGGAAGCTACTAGAATCATCACACCATGGGAGCAAGGCTAAACAAGTGCTAGATAAGTGGCTCTCAACAAGGGAAAATTTTTCCCAATGGACATTCAGTAACATCTAGAGACATTGGTTTTGCAGGACAAATGTCTCACAATTTGCAGGACAATCCCCACACCAAAGAATTGTCTGGTGCCAAATGCCAATACTGCTGAGATTGAGATGTGCTGCCCTAGATTAGAGAATACTACTCTAGGTCTGTCCTAACAGAGCTTAAAGTCTTAAAAAAATCAAGATGACTGGCAAGAAACTTAACAGCATCCTAGAAAAAGGTGAATACTCTTAAATGAAAGCTACAAAATCCAGCATTCAAACAACATAAAACAACAATATTCGCATTCAGATAAAAATTCCAAACAGCAAAAAGTGTGATCTACAATCAGAAGAAAAATCAGGGGAAAGAAAAAAATCAGCAATGATGGAGATAAGAGAATGACTTTCTAAGGTCTTTAAATAGAACTCTATTAAGGACTTTAAACAGCTTTTATGAATATGCCAAGGATTTAAAGGAAAAGATTAACATAATTATGAGTCATCAAGGAATTAAAAGAAAGCAAATGGAACTTTTAATTTTAGCAATTCACTAAATTTTATTAATAGCAATTATAAGAAATAATCAATGACCTTGATGACATGGCTGAAGCATAGAGAAAAAAAAATTGAAAATTACAGGATAAGTTAAAAAATTAATAACAAACAGAGCCTCAGTGATTATAGACAAATAGCAAATGTTATAACATACATAATTAAAATACAGGAAAGAAAATGAGATAGAAAAATGTATTTGAAGAACAGCTAGCCAACAGCAACAAAGGCTACCAAATTTGATGAAACCTATAAACTCACACATATAACACTTGATTCGGCAACAGAATAACCATTTCTTTCAGGTGCTCGTTGAGCCCTCACTAAGACAAATCATATTCTGAGTTGTAAAAGGTCTCTCAATAAATATGTAGAAATTATATATGTGTGTGTATATATATATATACACACAAGGTCCTAGGGGTTAATTTTATATATATATATATATATATATATACATATATATACACATATATATATACACACACACACACATATATATATATACATCTGTCTATCTATCTATCTATCTATACTTCTAAATAGCTGTGGGTCAAAAAAATGCAAAGAAAATTAGAAAATATATTTGAATATATTGAATTCAATAAAAATGAAAACAAAGCCAATTAAATTTATTACTTCTGGTTTCTGCTTTGAGATGCAGAGATCTGGGAAGGATATAGCTTCCATACTGAAAAGTTTAAAAAAAAAAAAAAAAAAGAAGAAAACCATCAAACTACATACTTGGTAGTTTTCTTGACCCCATTAGTGACCTTAAGTCATAGGGCAATTGGCTAGTCCAAACTCTAAGGCAAGACAGGCACCTGTAGGAAGGTACGACATAGGAGCATTGGCTTAGCTAAAGCAGCTATAAACAGTCATCAGAAAGAAGAGTAAGATATAAGAGTTCAGCTAGTAGTAGCTAGCAAGTTAGTAGAGCCCAAGTGTGCACTGGTAAGAGAGGGGGATGCTCCCTGATGGCTAAATAAATTGGATGAGTCTGCATGTTGGGGCTTGTAGTACAGTACTTTCCTGTGGCTGCTGTTACAAAGGACCACAAACTTGGTGGTTTAAAACAAGTTTATTCTTTCACAGTTCTGGAGGCCAGAAGCCCTAAATCATGGTGTCACTTGAGCTGTTCCTCTCTGATGCCTTTGGAAGATGATCCTTCCTTGACTCTTTCACCTTCCAGTAGCCTCAGGCTACTTGGTTTTGGCTGCATAACTCTAATGTCTGCTTCTGTCTTCACATAGCCTTCTTCCCTCTCTCTCTCCTCTTCCTTTTTTTCTTGAGTATTATTTTATTTGTAGAATAACTTGACAAATAATAATTGTATATACTTATGAGGTACAAGGTGATGTTTTGATTTATGTGTATATTGTGGAATGATCAAATCAAGCTAATTAACCTATTCATCACCCGAAATACTTATCATTCTTTTGTGGTAAGAAGATTTAAAATCCATTATTTTAGCTACTTTGAAATGTATAATAATTTGTTATAACCTATAGTCACCATGCATATGTGGAATCTAAAAAATGTCTAACTCACAGTATAAAAGAGTGGAATGGTGGCCACCAGACACTGGGGGTGGGGGGCAGGGGATGTATGGGTAAAGGAGAAATGTTAGTCTTTCCTCTTCTTATAAAAACATCAGTCATATTGGATTAAGGGCCCACCCTACTTTAGTATGACCTTATCTAACTGATTATCTCTGTGATGAACCTAATTGCAGATAAGGTCACAACCTGAGGTACTAGGGGTTAGTATTTCAGTATATCTTTTGTGGGGGACTTAATTCAACCCATAAGAGGGCTCAAATAAATATTTGGAGAGAGTTCTAAGACCTAGGGAAGTGGAGCATCAGTCTATGGGGGAGGTGGGGTGAAAGAAACACCACCAATCACTCATTTTTTCTGTCTTCTCTTGCCTATATATTTTTTTAAAAAGCCTTAATTTGTTGAGGAGAAAGGTAAGAAACACTGTCCTGTCCCCAGTTACTACTGGGGTGAAAAAACAAAGAAAGAAACGCTTTCCAGCTATATATAATTCTACACTAGGGACTGATTAATTTTTGTTGTTGTTAAGAAACTCCTATGCATTGGATGTGTGTGTGTGTGTGTGTGTGTGTGTGTGTGTGTGGTGTGGTGGTATGTGTGTGTGTGTGTAGTGATATGAAGAAACACATATCATTAGCCTCAGTAATTTACAGGTAGTATGAATTTGGTTTCTTCCATCAGCCAGGATTAGGCAGAAAGAAGACACCAGGTTTTCTTAAGATGAATCTCCACCAACACCAAAGTTTAGCAGAGGATACAACTCCATTTTTCACACTAGAGTATTTTGGCCATCTGTCAATTTTTACTTTAAGTGTATTGACAGCAGAGTTCTAGAGTGTCATCTGTAGGGGAATGTCAAGCTTAGGGATGGGCTTGTTCTTTCATTGAAAGAGTCATAGCCGTGATCCATCAAACGGTAGCTCACTCTATACATATTTAAAACCCATCTTTTATGAGAAATGGTGGTGCTGTAGAATCATTCTCACTGTGGCAAGCAAGATATTAACGGTCCCTGCTGCCTTTCCCTGAATCATCTCCAGAATACACATGAATCAAACAAAGTATTTTCATTGGACCAAAAAATTCAAAAGAGAGGGGCCAGGAGAAGTAAGTGATGAGAGTTATCTTTTTCACTGTAAGAAAGCCCATAAATTAGTACACTGATATTCTGAATTCAAAAGTATAAAACCAAAGCTTTAGTTACTGACCTAAATATTATTTTTTAAATGAATAGCAATAGTATTCAAAAATCTGTTAATATTTATTATGATTTAGAAAGAATGAGTTTCCGTTGAAGCAGGTTTCAAATATATGAATTAAACAGATATTTTATTTTTGGTAGAATGTATCGATCATCAGTGCAAACAGAAAGGAATGATCCACATGCTCTCCCGTACCCTCATTCTCCCTGGTAATGTCTGAAGCTGTGAAAGAAGTACAATTATTCTTTCAAGCCAGTGGCAAGGTACTTTTACACCAAGCAAGATTCAGAGATTAAGAATTCATGTTTTAATTTTTAAAAGTAAAGTGAAATGTGTTTCTTAGCACACTTAAGGATTTAGAGCTATCACGGCAAAGGTGTGAAGAGTGCGTATGTCTCAGCTCTCGACCATTCTGAGAGTGAGAAATACGTTGTTTTGACCTCATATCTTCCCAGGGACTAGAGTTCCTTTCCTTAGCTAAAATATACTAAGTATATTTTATGTATACTTAGTATCCGGAATTCCGATAATAACTTTGTATAATTAATTTTATTCAATCAACATTATTACTTTTATGATGGGTACTATTATTACTTTCATTTGTCATGTCATACAACTCTGGATAGAGATATACTTTGATAAGTCTCCACAGCTTTCTAATTTTTTCCTTATTTTATGACTTTTTGGTGATATTCCAAAATCATCATAAATACCCAAATTATCCAAAACTCAACATGACTTCTCAAATATCTCAAGAAATATTGTGTGGTATTTGGGCTAATACATGCTAACTGGTGAAAAAAACTAGCTAAAAGGCTGTTTTGATTTGTTCCTAGGAATAAATAGATGATTTGAAGAATGAACTGTTATAATATTACATGCAACAATTACAAAAAAATCTTAAGGTCTTACAAAAAACAAAGGTTTGTTTCCTGCTCATATTTTTCATCATAGTAGTTGATCTGGGACATTATATTTACCTCAGTCTATATGCATGCACTCTAGTTGGGGTATACCTAGCTCACAGCAGAAGGAAAAGAGAGAATGGCATTTCATAGAATAGCCCCAAAAGTATCAGCTAAAAGTGGTATCAAATTTGACAGCCAAGTCTGACATTAAGAGGATGAAGACACACAGTCTCTGAGTAGGCTGGTATCTTTAGCAGAGAAACAGTAAATATTTTGAAATGTGTATTAAAATATAATTTATTAAAATAAATCTTAATAGAGTAGAATCAAAAATCAAAATATACTTCAGAAGCCTTTAAAAGAATACTATTTACTTTTAAAAAATGAATAAAATGGTCTAAGTGGAATCAAAGATGGCTTTCACATTTCTGGCAAATTTTTGTTAATGTTAAAGATTGGACTGGGATAAATTATTAAGATATTATTAAAAATATTTTAATTAAAGTGTCATTAAATAAATTGGCCAATGGTTGGGCTTGGTTTATGACATAGGTGGGCTTTTGAAATTGAAGTTTGTGATTAATCAGCTAATCACTCATCATTAAAATCCAGTAAGTAATTGGAATTTTTCAGTGAGAAAATTAAGAATAAAAAGCAGAGCAACTGTAGATGGGAAAAGAAAGAAAGAACACCACAATTTAAGGGAAAATCAAAAGTAAATCATCTAGCAAAGTAGACTGTAAAACAAAATAATAACTATAAAAAACAAAATGCTAGCATTAGGCTAGCATTCCTCATGTTATTTATTCGTGTTATTCCTCATATATTTGCTGTACCCTCCCCTCTCCAAAGTAGGATCAAACTTGAATCTCTGAGTTTACCAACTTGAATCTCTTAATTTTCTGTAGAATTTATGTTGGCTTATAGCTTGCATCTTGCAGTATTATGATATTTTCTGACTGTGGTGGTAAGAAATGCTGTTCCATATAAACAAACAAATAAATAAACAAATAAGCAAACAAAACTCTTCATTTGAAGAAGAGAAAAATTCAATCCCATTATGAGCCTCCATCTCCCTCTCCACAACTCCACCTAACTGATTTTCATCCTTGACACTCTGACGTCTATTTCAGTCATGCTCTAGGATTTGGGGCTCATTAGTGTGCACTGCCAACAGAGGAAGAGAGGGGAGTGGTGACTAATACCTTACAAAAGTAAGAGCAGAACAGGTGTTAGCCCAAGTGATGTGAATTTACTGCAAATAAATAAGAAAAAATAACATAAACGTCAAAGTTCCTGCTTGTAGAATATTAGAATTTAGCTTAGGTTTTCATTGCCTGTTAAAATGCAAAGCTCACTGAGAGAGAACACTTTGAACTGTTCTCAATTGATCATATTCACCAAAGTGCATTTGTGAAATGCCTAGTGGCAGGAAACGAAAAAAAGATTAACTGAATGCAATTTTTTTTTTAATTTGAGATGGAGTTTCGCTCTGTCACCCTGGCTGGAGTGCAATGGCACGATCTCGGCTCACTGTAACTTCTGCTTCCCAGGTTCAAACGATTCTCCTGCCTCAGCCACTAAAGTAGCTGGGATTACAGTCGCCCGCCACTATGTCTGGCTAATTTTTGTACTTTTAATAGAGATGGGGTTTCAACATGTTGCTCAGGCTGGTCTCGAACTCCTCACCTCAGGTGATCTGCCCGCTTCAGCCTCACAAAGTGCTGGGATTACAGGCGTGAGCCACCATGCCCGGCCCTGAATGGAACTTTAATCCAGTTCTTTTCTTAAAATAGATTTTAATAGGATATTAGTAACATCATTACCCTTTTATTTGCTTAAGCCAAACACATGGGTCTTATCCTGGATTTCACCTTTTACCCTCATCTTCACATACAATCTATCATCAAATTAAATAAGTTGCACCTCTGAAGTAATTCTTGACTCTAACGTTTATATCATTATCTCCTGTCACCATTCTAGCAAATTATTATCATCTGTTGCATAAGTGACTTGATCCCTTTCCTTCCATTTTTGCCACTTTCTGGTCCAGTAAGTGATTTTTTTCTAATATAAGTTAGTATACTTTACTTCCCTTATCAAAGATCCTCACTGGTTTCCACTTTCTCTTAAATTTATATCCAGCCCTTTTACTATGGTCCAGAATGTTCATCATAAGACCATTCCCCAGCTCCATCTCTCTACAGTCCAGCCTCATTCACTTCTTTTGTTTCTTCAAAGCATCAATGCCCTTTCCTTCTTCTAGATAATTGAACTTGCTGTTCCTTCTTCCTGCCATACTCTTTTCTCCAATAGTTTGCACTCTGAGCTCGTACTTTGTGTCTCAGTTTAAACGCCATATTTCCAGAGGAGCACCCTCAGATTCCCATCCAAACTGGTTTCCTCTTACTCATTATTATCTCATCACCCCATTAGTTTCCTTCACAGGAATTTCAGAATTATTAACAATCTAGTGTATTTTAAAAATTATTTATTATTGGTATATTTCACAAAGCCCGAGGGGGCAGTGAACTTTTCTGTCTCACTTTATCCTCAGAACTTAGCAGAGTGCATCACAAGCAGGTATTTCATATTTGTTGAATAAATTAATTAGCAGGTGAACAAGTAATAAGAAAAATAAGAGACCATTGAGCTTCTGGAAACGACATGGGAAATAGGACTGAGAAATGGAGAACTAAGAAGACAAATTCCACCAATTTCACAATTTTGCCACGGTCTGACCATGAGTGTGTATTGCCTTTGTGTGTTGAGCCAGTGTGTGGGGAAGTGAGAGAGTAATGGAGAGAGCGCCTATGACACATCCTACAGAGAAAAGCTCCAGATGCCCCTGGGACACCAGATGGCTGTTAAGCTTCTATTTGTTCCCTGTAAACTCTTAAGTTCTCACCCCATTCTCAGCTGAGTCAATGGGAAACATCTGAAGGAATATAAATTTTTAAAAAATGTTTCATCATAAGCATCACTCCAGTGGCCAGCCTCCCAGCACTGTTTTTATGTGCAGCAAAAGCCCTTGACATTTTGTAGGAACGTCAAAAATCTGCTTAAGGACATATACAGAGTTAGACTGGAATTGTACTTAGGACTAGACAACCACATGCCAGGATACTTATCTTATTATTCTCCTTCCTCCTCTTTACCTACTAAAAATGCATTCTAAGCCCTTCTCCACAAACTGAACAACTTAACTAACCCTTGTTCCATATTAATAACAATTACTTTTACTGAGTGCTTACCATATGCAATATACTACTGTGATCATATGCCACGTATTAACTCATTTAATCTGCAAGACTAATCCTGAGTCCAGCACACATTATCGCCAGTTTACACATGAGAAAAGTGACATTCATCCTTTAGATAAACTTGCCTAAAATCACACACCTAGTAAATGACAAAAGTGGAATTTGAACACTGGTTGTTTGTAATTGCTTAATAGATGGTCTCACTACAACATGATGAAAAGCAACCATTCAGCCAACTGCAGAGTAGGCCACCTAAAATCCCATCTAGAATGTCTATGTAGTTTTCCCTTAACCAAGTTAAACTTCTCTCATTCCTTGCAAAAAGTCTTCTAGAATGAGTTTTATTTCAAAAGCAAAAGAGAGAAATCTGTTCTATTAAATCCTTTCTATAGGCAGTAAAAATGGAAATCAGTTCTCTTTCTGTCAGCTCTACATGTTGCCAAGCTATATGGGAGAAGCCAGTGAGTAGCACCTGTGGGTAGTGCCGATGAGCTACAAACAGACTTTTCCACAGCACTTTAATGGAAGCCACATTTCAGATGTTAACACTTAAGGTGCAACAATTATGTGAGTCTCTGAAGGGCTCCACAGAACTTAAGAAGCGCAAGAGCTACCTAATTTGCTGGGCCCAGTATATAATGAAAATGATGGATTCCTTCTTTAAAAACTAATAAGAATTTTATGACACCAATAGCAAAACAGTGAAGGGACATTCTAAGCATGTGGCCTAGTACAACCATAAAATTGTTCCTACTTGAAGACAAGTCCTGAGGAAATTGTCAAGATGGCAAAACTTCTCCTTTGCTAAATTAACCTTTTGCTTCCTTCAAGTCTCCAGTGTCCACCTTGCTGAACACCCTTCCTGTGGCATTCCTCAGGAGGATGTCCTCAGCCAGAAAATTCTCTCACTAGGCTCTTCCCATCTCTGTCTCCATCATGAAAATTCTTTGTCTTTGCATTTTTCTCAACATTTATCAATCACATATTATGTAATGTGTCTGTAATAAATATCTGAGATAGAAAGGTGAAATGACATAACCTCTGCCTTGAAGGAAAACACAAGCTAATGACAAGAAAAAACAGTAAATAAAATTACAACCTAGTGGCATAAATGCTACTCTAAAACCAAGGGGAATGAAGGAAGGAAGGAAGGAAGGAAGGAAGGAAGGGAAGGAGGGAGGGAGGGAGGGAAGCAGGGAGGGAAGGAAGCAAGGAAAGGAAGAATGATCCCATATAGAGTAGTTGAAAAGCAGACATAGGTACCAGTCTAGAAGTCAAAATTCACCATATCAGGAAGGATATTCTAGACAAAAGAGAGAGACATCAATTTGTTAGCATCCAGGTGATGACAGCATTGCAAATATTTGATTAATTTATTTGAAATATATACACTGATTTTTCAAAGGATTTGGAATAAGAGTGGAGAATCAATAAAAATTCACAGGGAATTTGGGACTTTTTCAAATTATTCATGCTCCAGCCACCAACAGTGCTTATCAGCCCTACCTGCTGGGGCTGATTCCTTTGGGACAGTCCAGATGTACTGAAGCAGTGAGCCTTTTCTGCTGATGGGAAAGAATGGCAGATTTTTTTCAGGTGTGTTTGGTGGTCACAGAAAAAGTTGAGACTTAATTATAGTAGATATTTACTTAATCATAATAAAGCCATGTATTTACTAGGTTTGTGTCAGTCTCCATAACTGGCTAGGATAGGGAGGCAGGAGGAAGGGAGACAGACACACAAAGCATTAGGCTAGCATTCTTCATGTTATTTAAAATATAATATAAGGTCTGTATTTGCTATACCCTCCCCTCTCTTGAAGGCCTAAGGAGGAACTGGAACAGTACAGCACTTTAACAACCCAAGGGCATTCTATGGAATTTACACCATGAGTTTTTTGGTAGCTTATGCCTGAAAATGTAATTACTGATCATGGGACTTTCAAAAACTACCTGATTTTAAAAAACTGTTCTTAGGAGGCCTTTTTAATGCCCCATACTAGCCACATATGATGCCACATATCTTAACATATTCTAGGAGTAGTACATATTCTATATACTTCCAATACACAGAGAACCCACATCTATTAGTATTAATATTTACATATATTTATTTCCATCTGAAAGAAGTTTGAGCCCAAATGTGAGTTGCAGAAGAGCACCAATAGGATAATAATTTTAAAGGTATTTATGAAGACTTCTAAAACCCTAGATAATATATTTTAAAATAGAGGACAATTAAGATAATAAGTTATCTTATAAATAGTGTAACTGCTTTTCTTAATATTTTCATGCACAGAAAGCCAATGCAGTAACAATAGTTAGATTTTGAGGATGGCTAGATAGGCCAATATGAGAGCAGGAAATTACAAACATTGATTAATATGGAGATGTTCCCTTAGATATTAGGCCCAAATGGCTTATGAGCCTCTGTATCACAGTTGGTCCCCAAGTCTGGTTTCATCACAGTGACTAATCAGAGGCATGGGTAGGACCCATTTGTCTGTGCCACAATGGCAAATAGAAAAAAAATTGTATAATATCTTAAATACCAAGATAAGGATCTCAGTTTTTAAATTTTAAAACCAAGAACAAATAAAGAAGCAATTATTATCTAAGAAATATTTTTAAGTATATAGGAATTTATTTCCGAGAAATTGTTTCTTTGTAGAAGATCTAACACCCTTTATAACACAAATGCCCAAACACTTTACATTTATGTTGTATATATATTACTGGGTTTATCAATTTTGATGTCCCAGGTAGCCTACATAGGGAGAGCCAAGAGACTACCTTTCTAAGGATCTCACGTTATTTCCAGAAAAAGAAAAACAAATATTGTGTGATCTGCCTAATAAGCGTAAACAAAAGAAAGGAAACACACTCAATCCCTGAATAATAATAGAATTCCCTTCATTTTCTTATGTAGCATCAATACAAGAGATCATATATTTTAAAAAATGGAACTCTCATGGCTTATTGACATTTTTATGAAATTAAAAAGCAGTGCTTGGCCTCAAAGGAAAAGAGTTCTTCTCAGTAATTACCATATCACCCTGAAACCTCTGCCTTCCTGGAATTCTCTATAAAAATTCCAAAGCTCTTAGCAATAACTTTCAAACATCACGATTTTGCCCTAAAGAGTGATTGTTTTCTGGTATTAAGCATACTCTCACTTTGGTTGTTTGAGAGTCCAAATATGAAAAGCCAAATTGCTATTGTTCAAGTACTGCTTGATATGAGGAGTGTAATTGGAGTGGAAATCACACAGGGTTACTTGATGCAATAAACCAGGTGATTACCTTGTGTGGGAAAAATGTTTTTCATATTTCCAAGACCTCATTTAGAGTAAGAAAAAATTCAGGTTAAAAATCATTTATGATTGAGAGTTCAACATTTCTATCCCCCAATTTTATGATCCCTGGATAAGTAAATGTGGTGAAACATCATGCACAGCTTTCTTGGAAATTCACTTAGAGAATATGAAGGTGTGGAGACACTGCAAGGGGCTAAGACACTGTGAACTTACATATACCCATGGACATTAAGGAAAGCTCTGTTCCTCAAATGAGGAAAAGCCTCTAACCACATACAGTGCCACATACCTTAACATAGTCTAAGAGCAGCAAATGTTTTATATACTTCCCAGGGAAGTATATAGGAAATGAGGAAAATGAGGAAAAACTCTATGAGTCACCCAAATAAAATCAGTGGGGGGGAATGTAGCATAAAAAGAAAGTAAGAAAAAGACCCTATGAGAAGCAGCTAGTTTTTCTCATAAGAAGAGAAAAACTACCTCAAGCTACATCAACGTGAATCTGGTTGGTAAGAAGTTTTTGATCTGAAATAAGAAATATTTGTCATTGTCATGTGCTATGTATTCAAGGAAATCACATAATAAACTACTAATTATCTTGCATTCTGTTGGCATTTTCTGCATATACAGTAGTCTCTCCTTATCTGCGGTTTTAGTTGCTGTGGTTCCAGTTACACACAGACAACCCTGGTTTGAAAATATTAAATGGAAAATTCCAGAAATAAATAATCCGTAACTATTAAATTTTGTGCCACTCTGAGTAGCATGATGAAATTTCATGCTTTTCCTGCTCCATCTCACCTGAGATGTGAATCCTTCCCTTATCCAGTGTATCCAGATTATATATACTATCTGCCCATTAGTCATTTAGTAGCTGCCTCAATTATCAGATTGGGTGTTGTGGTATTGCAGTGCTTGTCTTCAAGTAATCCTTAATTTACTTAATAATGGCCCCAAAGTGCAACAGTAGTAATGCTGTCATATTGTTATAATTGTTCCATTTTATTATTATTTATCATTGTTAATCTTTTCTTATACCTAATTTATAAGTTAAACTTTATCACAGGTATGTATATATAGGATAAAACATTGTATGTATAGCGTTGAGTATGATCTGAGGCTTCAGGCTCAGGCATTCACTGGAAGTCCTAGAATGTATCCCCCACAGAAAAGAGGAGGGCTAATGTATACAGTAATAATATGCTAATCAATAAAATTACAACAAAGCAATCATCAAGACAATATTTACTGCTTTGGATTTAAACAGACCTAGATTTGATTCCACCTCCGTGATCTTGATAATGTTACTTAAGTTCATTGAATCTTAGTTTTCTCAAGTGTGTTTGTTTGTATTTTAACCAGGAATAATATTTCCCACCTTAGAGGAAATAGAGTTTATAGAGTTTTATTTTACTTATAGGAAATAGAGTTTTTGTCTTAGACTTGTGTGTATTAAATGAATTATTACAGATAAAGACATAGGTGTATTAACTTTGACATGCTGTCACATTTTGAGTATTCAAAAAATAGTATCCATTGGTAGTACTAGAAGAGGCAGAATATTCAAACTGAGGCCCAGAGAAACAATGATTTGCAAGGTCAATGATTGGTGGCAGAACTGAGTTTCAAAGCAGACCTCTGATCTCCTTGTCCAGGGTTTTTTCTACCACATCACGGCCCAAGAAAAAGCCTATCTTTAAGCCTGAAATATTTCCAATATTTTCAGGACCCATCTGGCCTTGTCAACCATGAACTTTCCTTATAAACTATTAACAAAAGTAACACAGATAAATAGAGGAAAGCAGTCAGGACTTAACCAAGGAAAAATATCAAAGTCCATTTAGCTCATACTGCTCTCAATTTGCCAGGTGACTAAATTCATTAAGGGTTTTTCACATAAGGCATACCATCCTCATCAGCAACTGTTGCCTTTGAGGTTGTGATTTTACATTCAATTCCAATTTTCCTTGGATTTCAGCAAAACAAAAATAAATAGAAAAGGAATCCCTTTGAAATAATGCAGAAGCAGAATTCAGAAACCACACAGACCTCTTATATAAGCATTTAAAAATACAAGCATTATTCTTGCTTAAAATGCCTAAACAAGCCTTGTCCTACCAACGGTCTTTCTTTGCATTCTTGCCAGCGTCTATTACTTTTCATCTTTTTGATAATAGCCATTTTAACTGGAGAGAGACAACATCTCATTATGGTTTTGATATGCATTCCTCTGGTGATTAGTGATGTGCAGTTTTTCATATGCCTGTTGGCCATTTGTATGTCTCCTTTTGAGAAATGTCTATTCAGATCATTTGCCCACTTTTTAATCAGTTTTTTTTTTTTTTTTGCTTTTGCTTTTTGAGTTGTTTTAGTTTCTTTTATATTCTGGTTATTAATCAGTTGTCAGATGAATAGTTTGCAAATATTTGCAAATAGGTTGCCTCATCACTCTGTTACTTGTTTCCTTTCTTGTACTTTTTAGCTTGATATAATCCCGTTTGTCTATTTATGTTTGTGTAACAGTGTGCTTTTGAGGTCTTATCAAAAATATCTTTGCCCAGACCAATGTCCTGAAGTGTTTCCCCAATGTTTTCTTCTAGTACATTCATAGTTTCAGGTATTACGTTTAAGCCTTTAATCCATTTTCATTTTATTTTTGTATATGATGAGAAACAGAGGTCTGGCGCGGTGGCTCATGCCTGTAATCCCAGCACTTTGGGAGGCTGAGGAGGGCGGATCACGAGGTCAGGAGATCGAGACCTTTCTGGCTAACACAGTGAAACCCCGTCTCTACTAAAAATACAAAAAAATTAGCTGGGCGTGGTGGTGGGCGCCTGTAGTCCCAGCTACTCAGGAGGCTGAGGCAGGACAATGGCATGAACCCGGGAGGCGGAGCTTGCAGTGGGCCGAGATCGCGCCACTGCACTCTAGCCTGGGTGACAAAGCGAGACTACATCTCAAAAAAAAAAAAAAAAAAGGGAGAGAAATAGAGATAGAGGTTCATTTTTTCTGCATATGGATATCTAATTTTTTCAGCAGCATTTATGGAAGAGCATTCACTTCTTTTTCCAGTGAATATTCTTACTGCCTTTATCAAAAATCAGTTGGCCATAAATATACGGATTTGTTTCTGGATTCTTGATTCTGTTTCATTGGTCTATGTGTTAGTTTTTTATGCCAGTGACATGCTGTTTTTGTTACTATAGCTTTAGAATATATTTTGAAGTCAGGTAATGTGATGACTTCAGCTTTGTTCTTTTTGTTCAGGATTGCTTTGGTGATTTAGGGACTTCTGTAGTGCCATATGAATTTTAAGATATTTTTTATTTCTGTGAATAGTATCATTGATATTTTGATAGGGATTGCATTGACTCTGTAGATTGTTCTTTATATTTTGGTCGTTTTCACAATATTAATTTGTCCGGTTCATAAACACGAAATATACCTCTAGTTATTTTGGTGACCTCTTCAATCTCTTTCATTAGTGTTTTCTAGTTTTCCTTTAGAGATCTTTCAACTTCTTGGTTAAATTTATTCCTTGATTTTTATTTTTTAATTTTTTAACTATTGTAAATGGGATTTCTTTTTTGCATCATTTTTCCATTATTTCATTTTTTAGTGGGTAGAAATGCTACTGATTTTTGTATGTCAATTTTGTATCCTGCAACTTTACTGAATTTCTGTATCAATTCTAAAAGTTTTTCGGTTGCACTTTTAGGGTTTTCTATATATAAAATCATATCCTTTGCAAACAGGGACAATTTGACTTCTTTCTTTCCAGTTTGGGTTTCCTTTTTTACTTCTTTATCTTGCCCCTTATTTCTCTGGCTATGACTTCAAATACAATTTGAATAAGTGTGGTGAGAGTGGATATCCTTGTCTTGTTCCAGTTCTTAGAGAAAAAGTTTTCAGCTTGTCTGTGTTCAGCATAATCTTAGCAGTTGGTCTGTAATATATGGCCTATATTGTGTTGAACCACTCTCTTTCTATACCTAGTTTGTTGAGGGTTAGTATTATAAAGCGATGCTAAATTTTATCAAATGCTTTTTCTGCATCTGTTGAGAAAATCACATGGTTTTAGTCCTTCATTCTGTTGATGTGATGTATCACATATATTGATTTGTGTATATTGAGTTATCCATGCACTCCAGGGATAAGTCCCACTTGATCATGGTGAATGATCTTATTTAATGTGCTTGGACATGGGATTCTGAATTGACAGTCTTTATTCTGAGCCCTTTGAACATATGGCATTCCATTCTTTTCTGGCCTTCATGTTTTCTGATGAGAAATTAGATTAATCATACTGAGAACAGTTTTATATAATGAGTTGTTATTCTCTTACTGCTTTTAAGATTTTCTCTTTATTACTGATTTAAATACGACTATGATGTGTCTAACATGGATGAAGTCACATTTATTCTACTTAGAGTTCATCATGTTTCTTGAATTTATTGAGTGACATTTTTCAGCAAGATTAACATTTTTCACCAAAATTGGGAAGATTTTGGCATTATTTCCTCAATTTTTTTCTCATTATTTTCTCCTCATTCTTTCTCATTCTCTTTTTCTAGAATACTCATTATGCATATGTTGAAATTATTGATGCTAACAGGTCTCTGAGACTGTTCATTTATATTCATTTCTTAAATTCTCCTCCTCAGACTGGAATTTCACTATTAACATATTTTTATGATTGCTGATTTTTTCTTCTACCAGCTCTATTTTTGTGCCTCCATTGTGAATTTTCTATTCCAGTTTTTTTTTCAACTTCAGAAATTCTAATTGGTTCTTTTTTATAATTATTATTTCTTTCTTTATATTCTGTATTTGGTTATACATAGTTGTTACACTTTAATTTTTGTACATTATGTTCTGTAGTTCTTTTAACATACTAATAGCTAATTTAAAGTATTGATGAAGAGAGCTTAACCCTGTAAAAGATTTGAAGATACTTATTCTGAGCCAAATATGAGTGACCAATGCCCCATGACATAGCCCCAAGAGATCCTGAGAATATGTCCCCAAGATGGTCAGGCTACAGCTTGGTTTTACATATTTTAGGGAGACATAAGACATCTATCAGTACAGGTAAGATGTACATTAGTTCAGTCCAGAAAGGTAGGACAACTTGAAGAGGGGGCTTCCAGGTCTAGGCAGATTCAAAGATTTTCCGATTGGCAATTGGTTGAAAGGCTTATTATCTAAAGACCTGGAATAAATAGAAAGGAATGTCTAGGTGAAGATAAGGGGCTGTGGAGACCAAGGTTTTATCACGTAGATAAAGCCTCCAGGTAGCAGGCTTCAGAGCTCTTCTCAGGCCTAAAAAGGTGCCAGACTCTTAGTTAATTCTCTCTTGGATCAGGGAAAAAAACATGGAAAGGGAAAAGAACCCTCTACAGAATGTAAATTTTCATCACAAAAGACAGCTTTGCAGGGCCTTTTTAAAATTTGTCATAGAAACATACTTTGGTATAAAATACTTTGATTTCTTTCAATGCCTATAATCCATCACATTGGTATCTTATTGCTACAAAAAGTCTGCTTTGTGAGTCTTGAGGTCCCTCTTTTAATGGTAATGCTGGTCAGCTC
The DNA here is from genome assembly GCF_000001405.40 of Homo sapiens. Taxonomy (NCBI): domain Eukaryota; kingdom Metazoa; phylum Chordata; class Mammalia; order Primates; family Hominidae; genus Homo; species Homo sapiens. The sequence goes on along the minus strand of NC_000002.12, from coordinate 81,078,517 downwards.
TGCCTGAATTCCAAAGGGAGGAACGTATAATGAAGCATGTCCAACCATCCATTCCCATCATGGCCTGAACTAGTGTTTCAGGTTTATTTTAGAAAGCCTTGGGCAAGAGGACAGGTCCATTCAGTTAGCTGGAGGACTTAGAATTTTATTTTTGGTTTACAAAAGTCTTTATTTACTAAATCCAAAATTCAGGCCCCCTCAGTCACAGAATCTGCTGACGTTTTATGTTTGTTTTATGTTTCCGTTTTTTCCACGTCTAGTATATTTTGTTAAAAATTGGACATTCTAGATAATGCAAGAAAGCTATTCTGATGTTGAGTTTTCTACTTCTGTTACTGAGATGTTTTTCCTTATTGCTGTTATTTGTGTAAAGACTTTCCTTAATTAATTTTAGATTCTGTATTCTTTGCAATGTGTGGCCACAGAGTTCACAGTTAGTATTTGTTTTTAAGTTATTGTTTTTATTTTTAAGCCTGGTTCCCTGATGGTCATATTTGGGTCAGTATAATTTAGCGGTCAGCTAAATTATGCTCCAATCATTTGTCAGAGTTTTGTAAGTGCCTTGCCTGTGTATCTTCTATTCTTTGCTAATGGCACTCTTGTGAGGAGGTACACCTTTTAACTTCAGGTCCTCATTTTACAGAACAGTCTTAGCTTTTAGTTTCTGTTTGTTCAAGGCCTTAAGTCAGTCAGTGACCGGTGCTTTCTTATTTTCCATATATTTTTCTGCGTATGCGCATACATACAAACTTTCAGATTCTCGGGCATATGTCAGAGCTTTTTAAAGTTCCCTATGATCACCTAGTTTTCCAAAATTCCCTTTTCAGTTCCCAGACAGGCTCTTGTTTGCCCCAAGTGAAATCACAGCCTCAGGCAACTATGCTGCTTGCCATCCGTTTGCTATTGTTTTGGAAATGCCCTAGGGTTAGACTGTTCTGCTGAATTGAGCTCTGAGTCAAATCAAACAGCCTCCACATTCTTGAGAATAGAAATATCTCAGGGAACTGCAAGTTCAGATAAAATATTGACTATGCCCTAGAGATTGTACTTTTAACAGATCTCCAAAAGTGTCTGATATCTCTGTTTTCTAGGTTGCTGCCAACTTTCGGGAACAGTGCCACTGAAAGAGGGAGGCGGATGGGAATCACCCTAAATTAAAACAATATAGACTCTGCTGTCTTAGCTAGGATTAGCAGTTGCCCTATTTTCGGTTTAATCTGTGGCTTTGTCTAATTACCACACTTCTGAAAGAGTTTATTTTAGTTATCTTGCTTGTATGTTCACTGTTTTATAGAAAGAATAAGTTCACCAACTTTTTGCTTTGTCCTTGCAGAATTCATTAAAAATGTCTCTTTAATCTCTTCTATATATGCTGATTTTTTTTGTGCATTTTATCTAATGACAGAAGTGTGTTAAATTTCTCACTATGTATCCTTCACTATGTTAGTTGATTAGTCTCTAGTTCTGTAAGTCTTTGCTTTATATGTTTTGAGGCTGTTATACAGATTTATAATTGATGATCTTCCTGATAGATTGAAATCTCTATCAGTATATAAAGATTCTCTATTTCCCTAGTAATGTTTTTTGCCTTAAAGTCTGTATCGTCTATTATTAATATAGTTATGTCAGCTTTAATATTATTATAAATTTCATAGCATATGTTTCCTCGTTCTTTCAAATTTCTGCATATTTAGGTTTTGCATATTATTCTTGTAACATGTATTTTGATTTTTAAGAAATTATTCCAAAATATTTCCCTTTTAAATAAAGCATTTTGTTCATTTACATTTACTATAATTTACTGCCACATTTAGATTTATCTCTATCACTTTAATTTTGTGCTAATTGCACTGATTTTTTTAAATCTCTCTTCTTTCTTACCTTATCAAACACTAGATATTGCTGGCACCATGATCTTTGACTTCCATATACCAGAAGTGTGAGAAATAAATTTTTATTGTCTATACAGCCAATCCTGTGTATTTTGCAATGGCAGCCTGAGCAGACTAAGATAATTCTCAATCATTATTTCTTCAACTATATCCTTTGTCCAGTTTTCCCTCTCAACTCTTTCCTTTTATACTTTTTATCTCTTTCTCACTATGCTTCCTAGATATTTTTTTCCGAACTTTATCTTACAAGTCATTAATTTCATTCATTGTGTTTTTAATTTTAGTTTTGATTATTTTACTTTTTAGTTTCTTAATCTTTACCTATATTTGCAATCATCCAAGTGTACTTAACAAATCATGTTATTTTCTTCAGTTGATATTTACAGTTCTGAAGATTCAAACGTTAGATTTTGCTGTGTTCTCTGCTAATTCCTAGTTGTTGTTTTTCTCTTGTTTGATCTTTTTTTGGGTTTTTTTTGACTGAAAAAAAAATCACTGATTTTTAACCGAAAAAGTCATAGCTGTAGGTCTTGGATTTAGTCTGTGAGAAAGCTTTACTGCCCAGAAGAAGATGGGTTTTTCGAGAGAAAATTTGTTTGCTCTTTCCAAGAACATGAGAACACTAACGGGACATTTGATTTTTTTTCCCCCCACAAAGGCCCCTTAAGACATTAGGGTTATGCAAACTAGGTTTTCATATGCAGATGGAGTCTAGAATGTGATCATGAATTATTTCTGAGAAAGGTTTTTTCACTTTCACGCGGGGCTCTGTTTTAATTTAAATAATCCCCTAGCAGCAGTTAAGCATATCAGATTTATTTTTAATCCACATTTCCATGGAGGGTTCTATATTTCAGGGTCAACTTTGTGTCAGGAGTGGGTTTGCTTTTGTTGGGCTCTTCACTTGAATAAGCCCTAGGTCTTACCTCCTTTCCTTTGCAATTTTGAGGCCACTGACATAGAAGCTCTGTGGTCTTCAGTTTCAGCACATACAACAGGGAAAATTGCTTCAGTGACCCATGTATCTATCTGGATCCCCTTTCCTTTTACCAGCTTTGACCTTGAGGTATTCACCATTAAACAATCAGCTCATTAATACATTTTTAAAAATTGTTTTATTCAGATTGTTTTCATGCTTACAGCGTGAATTTCAGACAGTTTTCTAATATTTCACCCTATTTGAAACAGAAGTAAAAATAACAAGGCAATTCTGTTGTAGACCTATTATCCAAAACTACTACTCTATTATATAATTATCTATGTTTTGTGTATATAGTATATATGGTATCTATTTACACTGAACCCACTACCTTTCCCTCCACACCACATCTGTCCTTGGTTTGTCACTGTTCCCAACTTAAGTACCTCTACAGTCATGAGTTCAAAGGGATTTCACTCTGCCATGAAATTTAACAGAATACACGGCTCGGGTTAAAATTGATATCAAATAAAAATAATAGTTTATTAACCAACTACAATGCTAGTAGTTTCCCCAAATCTAATTTTTTGGCTCTAAATAAAGTGGAATCAAACAAAAAAGGGATATGTACATGATGCATTTAAAAATATGATTTGCTGACTTCATATTCAATCTGCTGTGGAAGTCACCAGTCCAACTTTGCTGAACCATGTTCCTCAGAAGGAGATCTGCTTTTCTGTCTTTGTTGACCTCAACTTTTCTATAATTGGTATATATGACACCTCACCATACATGACACTTAGATATATTATATACATTTTTACAAATTGAAGTATTATTTTTCTCTGATTGTAAGAAATGCTCAGGTACTATTTATTCAGATATTTTGTCTTTATTGCTTAATTATTAGTGATCCTGGCACTCCTATTATACTGACATTGACACTTCAACATCTGTCCCCTCATTATATTACTTTATCGCTTCCTGCTAACTGCTGGGTAAGTTTTAAATTGATCTCCCAGCTTACTTGTTTTCTGATTATGTTCCTGTTGATGGCCAAACTATCCCCTGCAATCCATTATTTTAAACTCCTGCCTCCACCACTTAAGATTAGCTTTTCTTTCCTTAGTCTCCTGCTAAGTGACTAGAGTTTATGACAGTTTAAGTGCTCTGGTGGCTCTAATGGAATCCTACCAACTTCCAAACTGCACAGCCCTATTCTAACTGCATCCCTCAGTGCACTTACCTTAAAATCATTAATGTTGAAATGTCTTACATATAAATGGGGAGATTATAGTGGGGGAGTGATTGCTGTTGTTGTTTACTTGCTTTAGTTTGCTTTTCTTTAGCTCATAGTGGAACTTTTCAGGAATAGTCCTATTATAAAAATCCCAAAGCCAACTCTGTAATATTTTATTCCCTGTCTCTAGGATCAACTTTATTTTATAAAATTTAAGATTTTGGCTACCAGTACTTAAAATATGGTTCATTTTTCTTATAAAATATTTGAAACACTGTGTCTTAAAATCCATGCAATCAAACCAAATGTGACATTTAGTCCAAAATATTTTTAAAAAAGATATTGAATTTTACATTTTTCACTCTTTTGTTTTCCTTGTATTTAAAAACCATTTTTGGTCATGTTAACACAATTCCATCATATAATATTTATGATGTGTCAAAATAGTTTCACGTCCAACATTTTTTTCACTTTTGATCCAGAATATGGTCTTTCTACGTGAATATCCTATATGCACATTAAAAACTTATTTTGCTTTCGTATGGTAGAATGTTCTGCAAAATGTCAAGTAGAAGAAATTGATTGACAACATTGTTCTAACCTTCTATATCTTTACTCGTTTTCTGCCTTTAATAATTTTAGGGCTATTTAAATGATCCATTTCATATTGATAGGTTGTGCTAGTTTTTGCCTATGTAGGAATTGGTATAATTCATCTGTGCTGTCAAATTTATATTTTACAGAAATTTACAGAATTTCCTTATTAGCCTTTTGATGTCTGCAGGGTCTAAAGTGATTTTCCTATAACATTTTTACTGTTGGTTATTTGTGTCTTTTCTCATATTTTTGCCAGTCATGCTAAAGCTTAGTCGATTTTACTATTATTTTCAGAGAACCAGCTTTTTGTTTCACTGAGTTTCTCTATTTTATGTTTTCAATTTCATTAATTTCTATTTTGATTTTTACAATTTCCTTTCTGTTGCTTGGATTTTTAAAAATTATTTTTCTAAGTTCTTGTGTAAGAGCTTAGATTTTCTACTTCATTTTTTTCTCTTTTCTAATGTATATACATATTTAACACTATAATTTTTTTCTCAGTACTGCTTTAACTATGTGACCAAAGTTGTGACATATGTACATTTTCATTTTCATTCAACTCCATAGTATTTTAGGTTATCAATTTCAACTTCCTTTTGGATCCATGATTACTTGGAAGGGGCATTTTTTTTTACTCCAGTTCCCAACTACTTGCATGTTTTTCTGTTATTTTTAACTGCTAGTTTGATCTCACTGTGGCTAGAAACACACTCTATATTATTTAATTTTTTGTCTAAATTGTTTGAGTTTGTTTTGTACCCCAGGATATTGTCTGTCTTGATACATTTTCTGTTCCCACTTGAAACAGACCTGTTATTCAGTACAGGGATTATGTTTAATGTATGTTTGTCTTCTGTTTGCTCTATTTTTTGTTTCACTCTTTTGTTTTTTAAGCCTTCTGTAAGTTACTTGAACACTTTTTTGAATTCCATTTAGATTTACTTATAGTGTTTTCAATGTACCTCTTTTATAGCTTTTATAATGGTTGATCTCGATCTAATTATATATATTGTATATATATGACATATTTATATATAGAAATATATATGACATATAAATATACATGTCACAGTCTACAGTTATTATCATCCTACCAGATTGAGTGAAGTATAGGAATTCTACCTTCCTCACATCTCTTTACTCTTCCATTTATAATGTAATTATCTTAAATATTTTCTACATATATTTAGAGGCACATTAGACAGTGTTATAATTTTGGCTGCAAACATCTAACACAATTTAGAAAACTCAAAGAAAAGTGTACTTTCTGTGTCATTTTTTTTTCTTACTGTGTATTTTCTCCTTCCTTACTATCCCAAAGTTGTTTTTTTTTTTTGTTTTTTTTGTTTTTTTAATTGCCTCCTGTCTGTTTGGAGAATTTCCTTCAGCCATTCTTTTAGAGTAAGTCTGCTAGTAACAAATTTTAATCTTTCTTCATTTAAAATTTTTTTGTTTATTTTCTCTTCATTCCTGAAGTGTATTTTCTGCAGATTTAGGAGTCTGTGTTGACAGTTCTTTTCTTTCAGGACTTGAAAAATACTGTGCAATTTTCTTCTGCCTTCCATGGCTTCTGAAGAGAAATCTGGTATCATGTAAATGTTTTTTCTTTATAAGCGAAGTGTCATTTTTCTCTTACTGCTTTCAAAAGTTTGTATTTATCTCCAGATTTCAGAACTTTGACTACGTTGTGTCTTGGTGTAGATTTCTTTGTGTTTATCCTATTTGGGATTCACTCACTGTCTTTAAATATGTAGATTTTGTATCTCCTGTCAAATTTAGAAAATTTTCAGTCATATTTCTTTGAATACTTTTTCAGTCCCAAACCTTTTCTCCCCTTCTTCCATTATTTCAATTATAAAATTTTGCTAGAATTTTTGTTATATTCCCATGGGTCTCTAAAGCTGTATCCATTTTTTTCCCTGGCTATTTTTTCCTTTATACGGAATTGTTAATTTTATTATTCTATTTTCCAATTCACTGATTCTCTTCTCTCCCTCTCCATTCTGCTACTGGGTCCACCTCCTGAGCTTTTCATTTAGGTTATAATATTTTTTTTAGTTTTAAAATTTCCATTTGGTTCTTATTTGTATTTTCTAATTTTGGTGAGTTTTTACATTTCTTTGCTGATACTCTCTATTTTTTCTATTTGCTCCAAGCATGTTTGTAATTGCTTATTGAAGCATTTTTATCATGGCTGCTTTAATATTTTTATTATGTAATTCCACATTTCTGTCACCTTAGTTTTGTATTGATTACCCATTTCATTCAGTTTGAAAACTTGCTGATTCTTGGCATGATAAATGAGTTTCAATTGAATATTGGTCTTTTTTCTATTATTTTAAAAAATTTAGAGTTGTATTTATGTTTTCTGTTTTAGCTGAGTTTTTCTGATACCACACTGGCAATGGAAGGGGGTCGCCACCTTATTGCTGACAGATGAATGGAGAAGACCAGGTTCTCCACGGGTGTCTCAGGTGACCTTGTTGACACCTGAGAAGAGGAGGTTTCATCATTATTTTCGAGTGAGGAGGGTGGGAATTCTGCCTTTCCATGAGGTCTCCACTGGCACTGTGATTGGGTTCAATTGGCCTCATTACTGCTATGTGACAATGAAAGTTCTGACTTTTCTCTAGGCCTCCTTTGACACCATTCCATTTGGGAGGAGTGTGACCCTTGTTACTGCTTAGTGTGGATAAAACCTAGGCATTTCCCATGGTACTGACCTACGAGCACGTGTTTGTTAGTGCGCAGCAGGAAGGAAGGTCCTGGCTTCCAACTTCTCCAACACTAACTCAGTACTGTTTTGGAATACTATATTATAGTCTCATAAGGGTGGAAGCCTAGGCTTTCCATCTGACTTTTGTTGTTACAGATGCAGATGGGGCCATAGACTTTTCTGTAGTGCTTGGCTGGAGTAGAGAAGATACTGTTTAACGATTTTCCATCTTGCCTGGCTACCACTTTTCTGGGCTTTTAGCTAGAGACTTCAGGCTGTTATTGGCTTTTTTTGTTCTTTTTGTTTGTGACTATTGTTGCTTCCAGATTGCTATCTTCTTCACCTCTAATTCAAATGTATTTGAGGCAAAAAAATAAATATCACAAAACTCACCACCATGAAATTTCTTGAATTCCAAGGTCCCTAGGTAGGTCTTCCTTCTTCTCTCCACTATTCGGAGTCTTCTTATATTTGTTTTATGCATAATGTCCATAGTTTTTAGTTGTATTTAACAATAGAAATAATATAATATAAATATATAGTTATATAATTAATAAATATATAAATTATATAAACAAATATATAATATATATAATAAATATATAATTAACAATAGATATATAATTATATATATTATTTCTACTGTTAAACAAGAACCAAATATATACACACACATATATAGATGTATTTTCTATATGTTCTGAAAATAGAAGTTGTGGATTGTTTTTATAATTCTATTTTATTTCCAATATTGGTTTATTATTTATATCTATTTTTTAAATGTCTTTGTAGATTACCACAGGGTTTACAATATAAATCTTCAGATAATCATGGTTCACCTTCAAATAATATTATAAAATTTTGTGTGTATAATAAGCACCTTACTAAACAGTTGATGCCCATTTTTGTTATCTTTCTTGACACAATTATTGTAATATATTTTATCTTTTATGTAGGTTATGAATATAATATCCATTGATACCTCTTTTACTTTAGACAACCATCTTTTAGAGCAATTAAAACGTTTAGTAAATAATGTTGTATTTACCTTCAATTATAACACTTAGAACACTGCTTTATTTCTTTGTGTAGATGAAAGTTTTTCTTTGATGTCATTTTCACTCCACCTGGAGAACTTACTTTTAACATTTCAGTAGAGAACAGAAAAAATGGCAACAAATTTTCTCTATTGTTTCTCTGAAGGTTATTATATCTCCGTTATATGTGAAGGGTATTTTTGCTACATAGAGAATATTGTTGAGCAGTTTATTCCCATTTTTGCACTTTAAAGACATTACTGTATTGTATTCTGACTTGCAAAATAATTTCTAACAAAAATCCTGGTATCATTCTTTTTTTGTGTTGTTAGACAGAGTCTTGCTGCTCTGTCACCCAGACGAGAGTGCAGTGGCATGATCTCAGCTCCCAGGTTCAAGCAATTCTTGTGCCTCAGCTTTCCAAGTAGCTGGGATTACAGGTGTGCACCACCATGCCTGGCTAATTTTTGTATTTTTAGTAGAGACGGGGTTTTGTCACGTTGCCCAGGCTGCTCTCAAACTCCTGCCTCAAGTTATCTGCCCACCACAGCTTCCCAAAGTGCTGGGATTACAGGTGTGAGCCACTGCCCCAGCAGAAACTGGAATAATTCTTGTATTTGTTTCTTTATATGTAATATGACTTTTAATCAGACTACTTTCAGGATTTTATTTTGTCTTTAGTTTTCAAGAGTTTACTAGGATATATTGTGTGTGTGTGTGTTTGTGTTTCGGGTAGGGAGTGGCTATCTTGTTTAATCTTGTATGAAATTTTGAGATGTTGGATATACTGTTTGGTGTCTTTCACTACTTTTAGAAAAGTATCTGCCCTTATCTTTCCCAAGATCTTTCACTTTGTCTCTCTTTTCCTTCTGAAATTCCAGTTACCGATATTAGAACACACACACAAAAAACCGCTTCCTATATCTTGGATTCTTAATTTTTAAAATATTTTTTTCTTGGTGATGTAATTTTGATGATAACCATTGACCTAGAATGAGACTCACTAATTATTTTCCCAGCTGTCAAATCTATTGATGAGCTTATTGAAGGTATTATTTATCTCTGCTACTCTGTTTTCATTTCTACCATTTTTATTTAATTTTATTATATTTTCTATATCTCTGCTGAAATCTACCATCTGTTCATTCATATTATACAGTTTTCCACTAGAATTTTTAATATATTATTTATATTTCCTATATGATTATTCAAATATCAGTGCCATGGTCTAATTCTACCAACAACTTTGTCTCTTAACTGTATTTTTATTTGTTCTATTCACTTGCATGTTTCATAATCTTTAGTTAAAAATATACCTTTTGTTAGGCAATACAGACTGAGCTATAGCTTATTCATTCTTCAAAATGGGCTTCCCCCTTTATTTTCTAGCTTTTGTGTGGAGGATTGAGTAAATCTAGTTAAGGGTTGAGCTGAGTTGAATTTTTTTTGTTATTATCATTTTACTCAGTACATTACCACTCTTCAAGTACTTATAGCATTACCTTCTATTTAAGGTTGGTGCTAGAGAAATTTTTTAACATCCAATCAATTCTTAATTTAAGGCTTCCCTTTGTGCCTACATCACAAAGAGAGTATCTCTTCATGTTCTTGCTCTTTTCCAGTAAATATACTGGATTGCTCTTACTTGTTCTTTCATAGTTGATAGCTCTGAGGGCAGAAGGAGGAGACCTTCTCTGTTGTTCTGGTTCAGCCTTAGTCTTAGGCAGCTGATGTGTTTCTCATTCTCAATGGTTGATCTTTCTCAGTGATCGTGCCTTAGCCCCTAGTGGTAGAAAATCTTTATTGATCTGGTCCTAGGACATTTTTCTGTCCCTTCTCCAAGAAGTTTTTCTGTTTTTATTCCTCAGTTTTGATAGGTATTTATTTGTATTCTCTGTGGGACAGGGCTTACTGCACTTACTCAAACTGCTTAAGACTTTTCTCCCATGGGGAAGCAGAGAAGAAGTACCCAACCAGGTTTCATGCCATCCCCAAAGCAGTTGCTATTCCCCTTTTTCAGGCATTCACCATAAGAAATGTTCCTTCTGATCTCTTGTCTTGCCCCCGGTATTTCTTATAAGTACCTAATGATGTGTGTGGAGAAGAGCCTATGAGTTGGAGTGATTTATCTTGTGTCTGCAGTATCCAGGGTTTCTATACTTTCATAATAGCACATAATCAGTGTTCAAAAATTAATTATATTTACTAAACATTCTTAAAAGTTTATTTGATAGCTTTGATCTTCTTTAGGAAAGCTAGTGTTCATATCCTTTTTCCTCTTTGAAAGAGTGTCTTGCTTATACGTTGGGTTAGTTGGTTTCCCTGTGAATTCTGCTCTCTGATGTGTTCAAGAAAGTTGCAATCTTATAGAGAACCCAGATTTTTGTTGTTGTAAGGGTCTAAATGATAATCTTTCCAGTTTTCTATATCCTAATACAAAGCTGAAAGTTATAATGGCATTTTAAAGCAAATTCTCCAGTGGCATTTATAGCTCTAAAACAGAAATATATACTCTAACCAAAGTTTAAAATTACTAAGTAAGTAAATATAACGATAAAAAACATTCAGATTTTAGTTTCTGGAATGTTATTATGATGTTTAATGAACATGGAATAGCACATCTTAGTTGAATCCAGAATAATCCCATTAATCTCTCCATATTAAATAAATGTTCCATATATCAAAACTCTAAGTCTCTATGATGGTTAATACTGAGTGTCAACTTGATTAAACTGAAGGATGCAAAGCATTGTTCCAGGATGTGCCTGTGAGGGTATTACCAAAGGAGATTAACATTTGAGTCAATAGACTGCAAGAGGTAGAGCCACTGTCAATCTGGGTGGGCACCATTTAATCAGCTGCCAGCACAGCTAGGATAACAGCAGTCAGTGGAACACGGAAGGACTAGACTGGCTAAGTCTTCTGGCCCCCATCTTTCTCCCGTGCTGGATGCTTTCTGCCCTAGAACATCAAACTTCAAGATCTTTAGCGTTTTGATTCTTGGGGTTTACACCAGTGGTTTGCCATGGGTTTTCAGGCCTTCGGTCACAGACTGAAAACTACACTGTTGGCTTTCTACATTTGAGGTTTTGGGACTCAGACTGTCTTCCTTCTCCTCAGCTTGCATATAGCCTATTGTGGGACTTCACTTTGTGATCGTATGAGTAATACTCCTTAATAAACTCCCTTTCATATATACATCAGTTCTATTAGTCCTATCCCTCTAGAGAACCCTAATATAGATATTGTTACCAAGAGTGGGGCACTGCAGTAAAGATACCCGAAAATGTGGAAGTGACTTTGGAACTGGGTAATAGGTACTGGTTGGAAGAGTTTTGAGGGCTCAGAAGAAGATAGGAAAATGTGGGAAAGTTTGGAACTTCTAAGAGACTTGTTGAATGGCTTTGACCAAAATGCTGACAGGAATAAGGACAATAAAATCCAGGCTGTGGTGGTCTCAGATGGAAATGAGGAAATTGTTGGGAACTGGAGTAAAGGTCACACTTGCTATGTAAAGAGACTGGAGGCATTTTGCTCCTGCCCTAGAGATCTGTGGAACCTTGAACTTGAGAGAGATGATATAGGGCATCTACTTAAAAAAAATTTCTAAGCAGCAAAGTGTTCAAAAGAAAGCAGAGCAAAAAAGTTTGAAAAATTTGCAGGCTGATGATTCAGCAGAAAGGCAAAATCCGTTTTCTGGCGAGAAATTCAAACCTGCTACAGAAGTTTGGATAAGTAACAAGGAGCCAAATGCTAATTGCCAAGACAATGGGGAAAATGTCTCCAGCACATATCAGAGACCTTTGTGACAGCCCCTCCCATCACAGACTCAGAGGCCTAAGAGGGAAAAATGGTTTCCTGGGCTGGGTCCAGGCCTTCAGTGCTGCGTGTAGCCTCGGGACTTTGTGTCCTGCATCCCAGCTGCTCCAGCCATGGCTAAAAGGGCCAATGTATGGCTCAGGCCATTGCTTAAAAGGGTGCAAGCCCTTGACAGCTTACATGTGGTGCTGGGCCTGTGGGTACACAGAAGTCAAGAATTTAGGTTTGGAAACCTCCACCTAAATTTCAGAGGATGCATGGAAATGCCTGGATGTTCAGGCAGAGGTGTGCTGCAGAGGCAGAGCCCTCATGAAGAACGTCTACTAGGGCAATGTGGGAGGGAAATGTGGGGTGGGACACAGAGTCCCCACTGGGGCACTGCCTAATGGAGCTGTGAGAAGAGAGCCATCTGCAGAACCCCAGAATGGTAGAACCACTGACAGCTTGTGCTGTGCACCTGGAAAAGCCACAGGCATTCAATGCCAGCCCATGAAAGCAGCCAGGAGAGGGGGCTGTATTCTGCAAAGCCACAGGGGTAGAGCTTCCCAAGACCATGGCAAGCCACCTCTTGCATCAGCATGACCAGGATGTAAGACATGGAGTCAAAGGAGATCATTTTGGACTTTAAGATTTGACTCCCCTGCTGGATTTCAGACTTACATGGGGCCTGTTGCCCCTTCATTTTGGCCAATTTATTCTTTGGAATAGGTGTCTTTAACCAATGACTGTACTCCCATTGCATCTAGGAAGTAACTAACTTTCTTTTGATTTTACAGGCTCATAGGCACAAGGAAATTGCTTGTCTCAGATGAAACTTTGGACTGTGGACTTTTGAGTCAATGCTGAAACGAGTTAAGACTTTGGGGGTCTGTTGGGAAGGCATGATTGGTTTTGAAATGTGAGGACATTAGATTTGGGAGGGGCCAGGGTGGAATGATATGGTTTGACTGTGTCCCCACCCAAGTCTCATCTTGAATTGTAGTTCCCATCATTCCCATCTATTGTGGGAGGGACCCAGCAGGAGATAAGTGAATCATGGGGGCTGTTTCCCTCATACTGTTCTCACTGTAGTGAATAAGTCTCATGAGATCTGATGGTTTTATAAATGGGAATTTCCCTGGACAAGCTCTCTTTCACCTGCTACCATGTAAGATGTAACTTGCTCCTCCTTGTCTTCCACCATGATTGTAGGGCCTCCCCAGCTATGTGGAACTGTGAGTCAATTAAATCTCTTTCCTTTATAATTACCCAGTCTTGGGTATGTCTTTATTAGCAGCATGAAAACAGACTAATACAGTCTTAAAAAAGCAAACACCGTACATGATATCTAAAGCTCTTCCGTGTCTTTCTGAAGAACAAAGAAAGAAGCATCAAGGAAGCATTGGCAACCATTGGAACAATAAGCTGCCTGTAAGTGCAAGCTGAATTCCTACAATTAAGAAAAACATGTAAAAATTATGTGCAGAGGTGAAAGATGGAACTTTCCAGAATCCTTTGTACTAAGAACATCTATGTACAACTTTCCATTACAAAACACTCCCTTAAACTTTAGGGATTATTATATGCATAGATACAGGTAGAGAAACCATCTTCAGTTTATTCTCATAGCCCCAGGTAACTTAGGACTTCTTGTAACAGAAGTACTGTTTGTCTTCTAGCAAGAGAGGTATAATACGAGTATATCCTAAGATATTTTTATAGATAAGTGGGTTTTTTAATAAAGGGATAAAAGGAATTACATTTCTAATAAAACACTGGCTAATCACAAATTTTACACAATAGTGAACACTATGTTTTTCTCCCAAAATCAGTCTGCACTTATACTTGAATAATCTGTGCTTTCAGAGTCAACTAGATATTATTATAAGAAAACAGAAAAGGAAAGAGTAGAGAAAGATTGCTGAAACCTTGACTTTCATTTTGGTTTAACTTTGAGAGAAACAGCTATTTTTATCTTACTGATTTATTTATGAGACGTAAGACAGCAGCCTATAGTGTAACATTCCTCTGAAGTGGATATGAGCATCAAGGAGAACCAGAAGGGACTCTTTGGTTAAAATAAGAACCGACTCAACTAGTATCCTGATTGTGAATCATGGCTTTGGTGACTGATGTTGTTGTTTGAAAGAGTTTCCTTTCTTGATTAGCTTTCATTCTCACCTGTTCTGTACTGCTTGGTCCCTGCTGAGCTGACCCTGAGAATAAAGGTGTTTTCGTGAAATTTTCAATTCTGTTCCTTGCCACTTGGAGGTCAAAGTTTGTCTGAACCCCATGGAGTTTTCTTGATTCACATGCAACTTCTAGGCCTTTGAAATGTACCCAGTAAAAAAGGAACAAGGGTTTGTGGCCAGTATTAGATGAAAATCCTAAGACAATTGTGAGATCTTGTAAAATACATTTTATACAGCATATATCACAAATGTAACAAGAGAAACCCCATTGGACATCCATGATTCCTGGAGGTTGCTCTGTCCATAATCCAAAATGTGTTAAATAAAAATACAACTCTTATTTATATGTCTTGGCTAACTGGTTCTTTATATGGGTAAGTATTCTGAACTAGAATACATTATTTTCTTATTTAGTATTGTACCTCAAAGAGTTTCAAGAGACAATAGTTCTACTTAATAGGTTAACAAGAATATGAAATTAATTGACTAGCACCTGGGGGAAAGAAGATAGAGGGAACCAAATAATATGGAGACAGACTGAGCCAGGGGAGAAAATATGTTAGAAAAGAGAGAGATTTAGTATTAAAATGAAGGTTTTCTTTATTATGTCCTGTTCCAGAGTTCCCCCACCCTTCATGACACCTAAATCTTAAATAAGTATCTGCTACCCAACATCATATGTCACAATATATGATGTTAGAGATGGGTGGATGAAGGAAAGGGAAACCATGTTAATAGAAGAATAGAGCACAATATGGAGAGACAATAGATGCCCCAGCTATGTAAATAGACAGACAAGGGGTTCTTCTTTTTCCTGTTTCTCTTCTTTTACAGACAAAAAAAGACAACTGTATGGTAGTTGATGGCTATTCTCATAATTCCACAAAATGTTAGTTTTCTTACAATAGTTAAGGCTGGTGAGAAGACAAAGAGCCATTAATAGCTAGACGTTAGCAGTTATGGTACGTCCAAAGGTCTCCTAAAGTACTTCAAATCCAAATGGAAGGTGATTAAGAAAATAATAATAATAACATACCCTGGATTAGATGAGTCAAATATGAATTTTTTCCAGACAAATTAGGCTGCAGCCCATGGGAGATTTGGACTGTTCAAACTTTTACAGGTTTATAACTGTAGTAGGTGAAAGTGTTTCTCACCAATATTTACAATTGTCCTTCTTCAAGGAACAAAGAGATATTGCAATGTCTCAGCTTGTTGATGTTTATCTTATTTGAATGACTTGATTTGATACGTTAAATTTAAGAAATGAAATGTGTCATTAGCAGTTATAAGTACTCTCTTTCCCTGTCTTAATGCACAAAGAAAATTTTTATTATGGAGGTGCAATGCTAATTCTTCACATAAAGACCTGGAAAATTAGGTGAAACTGGAAATTCATGCTGGAAATTACAGTATAATTTGTGTAAGCAAGAAATTAATCTTTGTTGCCTTAAACCACTAATATTTTGGGATTGTTTGTTACCACAGCAAAATCTTGACTAACACCATTGTTTGTATTTATGTGGTCATTGTTTCTAGAGATGTCTTAAAGTATTTGTTTGATGCACTTAACCTACTTCACACTTCAGATGACACTCTCTTTTGCATTTGCAGGACTTGTTCAAGAATTTTATTATTTGCAGAAAGTGTCACTTATATCTGCTTACTCTTTCACCCAAAACATCAAGCTATTAGCATCATCTAAAGCAATGGCATCTCAATGCAAGTGTGTTGCAATTATTTTGAGGCATGTCTCAAGTGATACATTACTAATAATTATTAAGTACATAAGGTCATGAATGAAATAACATTTTCCAAATTCAAGTGGATCGAAGTTATCATACTAAGAAAATTTTACTTCTTGCATTCTAATATTAAATTGGGATGGAGATTATAAAACTAAAGTAAACCTTGTTATGCCCATTGAACCACACTGCACATAAGACCATCATCTTTTGTATCTCATGATAGAAAACAAATACTTAAATGTTCTGTCGTCGTTTACAAAATACTGGAGTAAGACTTTGCACAATTTAGGTACTAACTTTATGTTATATTCTCAGCTGTGTTTTTCTAGTCACTTCAAGGCCATTCAAGAGGCAAAAATAAATTCCTATTGGACAAGTTTCAAGCCCACCACACCCACTTCACACAAATACTTGCAGTTTTGTTCACATATAAGTCATCTGAATAAAATTTAATTCGAGCAGGTAATTCTACATTTGGGATACAACATGTTTTTAAAAATATAAAAGACTAATAATGAAAATTCCCAATAGGCCAGCCTTCTTATTTAATTGGAAAAGAAGTGTGAAGAAGTAAAGAATTTGCTGAAACATAGAGAGTAAATTTTACAACTGTGACTTAAACTTCATTTTCATAAAATACGGTTCAATATTCTTTTAGCCAAAAAAATTGCTCAATAATAGACAGCAAACTCATTTTTTCCCTTTTCACTTTTACTTGCCATAGCTATATCAAGCTTTTTTCCCAAGCTCAACACAGTGATAATTCTAGGTTTCATAATTCCTCCTGAAAGGAGTTTGTCCATATTGCTTGCCCCAACTTTTACTGTTTCCACCCAAGGGACTGCATCCTAAGCCTCCTAGCTCTGAGACTGGAAGAAACTCACATATAAATGCCTCTAGAGACCACAGGAAAAAAGCAGAGGTTTTATAAGAGTGAACAAGCACTTTCAAGGGCTTCATCCCCAAGCCCCAAGGAGTAGTGCATAGAAGGAGCTTAGAAAACACAGCCCCTGTTTCTTACAGAAAGGAGTTTATGACACACTGCTCTGGCAGCTACTTGGTAGTCTGGCTTCAAACTTGGGGAGCTTCTAACTTGGCAGGTTAAAAGAATAGACAAGTGTAAGCCATCTGGTAGCCTGAGAAGCAGATTGGCACTTCCTGAGACATCTCCACTGACTCATCCCAGCAATAAGTCCAGCTCCATAAATCCCTATTGAAAGAAGTGTTTACATAACATCAAGTACCCTAACGTTTACAGCTTCTACCTGAAGAACGACATACTAAACCTCCTAGCTTTAGGAATAGAGGAGACTAAGTATTGCATGTCTATATAAACCACAAAAAAGGAAGTTTTATATGGGTGTGTAAGCACTTCCAGTGCCTTAATTCCCCTGAAGCCATGCAGAGAAGAGGCATTAAAACCACACCTCTCTGTTTCCCCACAGAAGAGGTTTATGCCATGCATCAAGTGCTACTACTTTTACTGATACCTACTGAAGAACTTGATCCTTAGCTCTGGGAGCAGAAGGGACTAGGCATATGTAAGCCTCCTTAGATCACAGAACAAAGAGTTGGTATTACACAAGTGTATAAACACTTCCATGGGATACACCCCCTCAAAGCAGCACATAAAAGGTGAGGAATACGATACTTCCATTTTTCCTCAAAGGGGCTTATGACACACACTGCCAGTGGCTGTGATGGCCTGGCTTCTAACAAACTTTTATTGGAAAGCTAACAGGGCAAACAATAGTCCTTCAACAGCTGGGGCCAGAGCTTGACCCTTCATGAACCTTCCCTCTGTCTTACTCCAGTGATAAATCCAGCCATACTCATTCTTCCTGGAAGAAGTTTAGCCATGTACCAAGTGCCACATCTTCTATAGCTCCCACCCAAGGGACTGTCTCTTTAACAACCTAGGTCTAGGAATTGATGGGGCTTTGCATTTTTGAGCAACCCAAGACTACAGAAAACAAAGAGGTGGACATACAGCAGGCTAAATTTTAGCAGCTATCTCCCCAGGATCAGAGGGTACAGCTTAAACATGAGTATACCATTTGCCAGATTCTCTCCCTAATTTAAAGCAGATAAAGTGAGAGATAAACACCCTTCCTCAGCATCACTGTGAAAGTAGAAAACACTAATACATATACAACATCCCAATCTTTCAAAATACATATAAACAGTCTGACTTCTACACTATTGGTCTTGGGGTACAGACAGAACATAGCAAATCCTAAGCTCCAGGGACTACCATAAAGAGACAGTAGTCTGAAAAAACATAAAAATTTGAAAGACATCTTAATATTTCTAGCCAGATGGATTATTGAGATGCTTCTTTACATGAAGCTGGACTCACAATACCAGGAGAGGTAGTTATCTAATGTGCAGAAACAAAGAGAGTCAAATAAAATGAACAAACAAGGGAATGTATTTCAAATAAAAATACATAAATAAAATTTCAGAAACTGATCTGCCTGAAGTAAAGATGTATGATTTGCCTGACATGGAGTTCAATATAATAATGGTGATAAAGATGTTCACCAAGGTTAAGACAGTAATGCAAGAACAAACTGAGAACTCAACAAAATAATAGAAAGTATAAAAAGTAGCAAATAGAAATCATAGATCTGAAGAATACTGTAAGTGCACTGAAAAGTTCAATAGAGGGGTTCCACATAGATTAGATGAAGCAGAAGAAAGGGTCAGTGAACTTAAAGATAGGTCTTTGAAAATCATCAAATCAGAGAGACAAAAAGAATAAAGAAGAGTAAAAGATAGCTTAAGAGGCTTATGCGACACCATCAAACAGAACAACTTATACATTATTGTTGTACCAGGAAAGAAAGAGAAAAAAGAAACAGAAAACACACTTAAAGAAATAATGACACAGTACTTTCCAAGCCTGTGAAAGATAATAGAAAGTCAGAGCCAGAAAGCTCAAAAGATACCAAATAAAATGAATCCAAAGAGACCCATATGAAAGCACATTATAATAAATTGGCAAATGTTAGAGTGTTGAAAGCAGCAAGAGAAAAGTGAATTATAAAGTATATGAGAACTCACCTAAGACATCAGTGAATTTCTCAGCAGTAATCTTGCAGGCCAGAAGAAAGTGGAATAATATATTCCAATAACTGAAATAAGAAAAATCTGCCAAACAAGAATACAAAACCCAGCAATCTTGTCTTTCAAAGTGAAGCTGGTATTAAAGGCAATCTCAAAGAAAAGTTAAAAGAGTTTATAATCACTATACCTGCCTTATAAGAAGTGCTAAATGGAGTTCTTTGAGCTGAATAAAGAGAACACTAATTAGAAACATGCAAACATATGAAAGTACAAAACTTACTGGTAAAAGTGAGTACATTACCAAATACCAAACACTAATATTGTAATGGCAGTGGGTAAATCAGTTATATCTCTAGTATAAAAGCTAAAAGGCAAAACAATTAAAAACAACTAAAGATATAATATTTCTTAAGGTATAAAAATTATAAAAAGAAGTAAAGTGTGATATTAAAATATAAAACGTAGGAGGAGAAAAACTGTAGTATTCGTGTATGTGATCAAAATTAACTTGTTATCAATTTAAATTAGGTTGTAATAGGAATAAGATGTTTTATATAAGCTTCAGAATAACCAAAAAGCAAAAGTCTGTAATATATAAGAAAAGACCTGAAGATACCACTATGGAAAGCCATTAAAGCACAGAGGAAGAAAACAAGAGAAGAAGAAAAGAACAAAGTGTCTACAAAACAATGGGAAAACAATTAACAAAATGGCACTAGTAAGTTTTTAACCTAATAATAACTTTAAGTGTAAGTGGATTAAATTCTCCCATCAAAAGGCAGAGAGTGGCTAAATGAATTTTTTTAAAAAATAAGATCCTCCTATATGCTGCATACAAGTGACTCACATTACCTTAAAGAAAACTCATAAACTAAAAGTGAAGACAAAGAAAATAAATATTTCATGCAAGTGGAAACAAAAAGAGCAGGGGTAGCTATATTTATTTTAGCAAAAATAGGCTTTAAATCAAAAATTTAAAAACAGACAAAGAAGGTCATCATGTAATGATAAAAGGGTTAATTAAACAAAGGGCCTACCAATGTAAATATATGTGCACACAACATTGGAGCACCTAAATATAGGAAACATTATAAAGGAAATGTTATGAGATCTGAATACAGACATAGACTACAACACAAATTACCTCACATTCAATATTGGATTGATCATCCAGGAAGAAAACCAATAAGGAAACATTGAATTTGAACTATACTTTAGACCAAATGGATCTAACAGACATATAGAGCATTCCACCTGGCAGTAACAATATACAGATTCTTCTCAAGTGCACATGAAACACTCTCTAGAATGGATTACATGTTAGGCCACAGTCTTAGCACATTTTTAAAAAGATTAAAATTATTTCAAGTATCCTTTCTAACCAAAATGGTACAAAATTAGAAATCAATAATAGGAGAAATTATGAAAAATTAACAATATGTGGAAATTAAACTATATTCTCTGGAATAATTTAGTCAAAGAAGGATTAAAGGAGAAATTTTAAAACATCTTGAGACAATGAAGATGAAAAAAACTTAAGGAATGCAGCAAAAACTGTTTTCAGAGGAAACATTATAGCAATAAATGCCTATTTCAAAAAAAGAAGAGATCCCAAGTAAATAACCTAATATTATACTTCAAGGAAGTAGAAAAAGAAGAAACTAAGCCCTAAGTTAGCAGAAGAAAGAAAATAACAAGGATCAGAGCAGAAATAAATGGAATAGAGACGAAAAAACAATAGAAAAGACTAAAAAAAAGAAAAAGAAAAAAAGAAAGAAAACCTAAGAGATGGTTTTCTGAAAAGCTAAATAAAGTTGACAAACCTTTCATTAGCCTAAGAAAAAAAGAAAGACCCAAATAAATAAAACCAGAAATGAGAAAAGAGACATTACAACAGGTAACACAGAAATATGAAGAGTCATGTGAGACTAAGAACAATTATATGTCAAAAAATTGACAAGCTGGAGGAAATAGGCAAATTCCCAGAAGCAAATAACCTATTAAGAGCGAATCACAAAATTCAGAAACCTGAACAGTGCAATGCTGAGTAAGGAAATTGAACTGGTAATTAAAAGTATCTCACCAAAGAAAATCCAAGAACAGATGACTTCATGAATATTCTCTCAAACATTTAAAAATTTACTAATACCTATCCTTCTCAAACTCTTCTAGAAATTTATACATGAGGGAAGGACTACATCCAAAGTCATTTTTCATAATGAGGCCCCATCACCTCAATACCAAAGCCAGAGAAAAACACTACAAAAAAACTAAACTATAGGCAAATATCATTAATGAACATAGATGCAAAAATCCTCAATGAAATACTAGCAATTCCTATCCAAAAGTACATTAAAATGATCATTTGCCATGATCAATTAGGATTTAGTCCTAAGATTCAAAGTTAGTTCATCATATGCAAATCAATAAGTGTAATTCACCATATTCACAGAATTAAGGGCAAAAATCTTATGATCACCTCAATGGATGGAGAAAAAGCACTTGACAAGATTCAACATTCTTTCATGATAAAAACTCTCAACAAATTAGGTATAGAAGAAATGTTCTTCAACATAATAAAGGCCATATATTATTAGCTCATAGCTAACATACTCGGTGTTAAAAACTAAGTATTTTCTTTAAGGTAAGGAAAAAAATAACAATGTCCACTCTCACCACTTCTATTTGAAGTACTGGAAGTCCTACACAGAGCAATTAGGCAAAAGAAAAAAATTACAGTTATCCAAATAGGAAAGGATAGAGTGAAATTCTTTGTGTTTCCTGATGACTTGATCTTTTATATAAAAATTTCTAATGACTCTGCCAAAAAAACTGTTAGAACTGATAAACAAACAGTAAATTTTCAGTATAAAGTATCAACTTACAAAAATCAATAGTGTTTCTATACACTAACAACAAACTGTCTGAAAAATAAATTTTAAAAACCAATTCTGTTTATAATAGTATAAAAATACTTTCATCAAGAAGTGAAAGATATCTATATATAAAGATATGCATATATACTGAAAACAATAAAATATTGATGAAATACATTGAAGACACAAATAGAATGATACCCAACATTTATGAATTTGAATAATTCATATTGTTAAAATATTCATAAACACTTAATCTACAATTCAACAGAATTCCTATAATAATTTCAATGTCATTCTTCATATAAATAGAAAAAAATACTAAAATGTATACAGAACCACAAAAGGACCCAAATAGTCAAATCAATCTTGACAAAAAAGAACAAAGTTGGAGACATTTCAACCAATCTGCATACCAAATTTCAAAATGTGTTTCAAAGCTATAGTAATTAAAAGATCATGGTACTGGCATAAAACAGACACACCAACCAGTGGAATAGAATAGAGTGCCCAGAAGTAAACCCCACATCTATAGTCAATTGATTTTTTATCAAAGTGCCAACAACACACAATAGGAGAACAGTCTCTTCAATAAATTGTGTTGCGAAAACTGGATATACACATACAGAATAATAAAAATGGACCCTTTCCTCACCAATTATACAAGAATAAACTCAAAATGGATGACATACTTAAAAAGAAGACCTGAAAATATAAAACTAATGGAAGAAAACATTGGATAAAACTCCAAGTCATTGGTCTGGGTAGAGATTTCTTGAATATGACTCAAAAGCACACGTAATGAAAGCAAAAATAGACAAATAAAACTGCATGAAACCAAAAGCTTCTGCACAGCAAAGAAAACAGTAGAGTAAGGAGACAACCCTCATTGGGAGGAATATTTGCAAATTATGCATCAGATGAAAGGTTCATATCCAAAACATACAAGAAAATTAATAATAAGACACAAATAGCCATATTGTAAATGGGCAAACAACTTGAATAGATATTTCTCAAAGGCAGACATACAAATGACCAACAGATATATAAAAACATGTTCAACATCTTTAATAATCAGAGAAATGAAAATGAAAACCCACAATGAGATTTCACCTCATACCTGTTAGGTTGGCTGTTAGCTAAAAGATGGAAGATAAGTGTTGGTGAGAATGTGGAGAAAAGGGAATGCTTCTACACTGTTGGTGGTATTGTATATTTGTACAGACATTTTGGAAAACAATAGAGAGGTTCCTCAAAAAACTAAAAATGAATTAAGTTATTATCTGGCAGCCCCACTACTGAGTATACACCCAAAGGAATTGAAATTGATATGTGGAAGAAAAATCAGTACTCTCATGTTCATTGAAGTATTCTTCTCAATAGCTGAGCTATGGAAACAACCTAGTATCCATTAATAGATAAATGGATTAAAGAAATGTGATACACATACACAATAAAATACTAAAATTCAGCTTTAAATAAAATTCAGCCTTAAAAAAAAAGGAGGAAATTCTGTCATTTTCAACAACATGGATGAACCTAGAGGACATTATGTTAAGTGAAATAAGCCAAGGACAGAGAAACAAATACTTCATGATTTCAATTGCATGTGGAATCTAATGGTCAAACTCATAGAAGTAGACACTAGAATGGTAGTTACCAGAGGCTGTCGGGAGCAGGGAGGACTAGACAGAGAAAGTTGAGATGTTGGTTAATGGATATAAAGTTACAGTTATATAGAAAGAGTAAGTTCTAGTGTGCTTTTTCACAGCAAGGTAGCAATACTTAATAATAGCTAAAAGTGTGTTTTAAACCTTCCCACCATAAAGAAATGATAAATATTTGAGGATATGCTAGTTATCCTGATTTGATCATTCCACAATGCATACATGTATTACAATGTCACATTTTACCCCATAAATATATAAAATTACTATTTATCAATTAAAAATAAAATAAAACTTGAAACAAGTTGTGTTCCTTAAATACATACAATTTTTATTTGTCAGTTATACAACACTAAGGCTAAAAAGAAAGTTAAAAAAATGAGAATTTTTATAGGTCATTCAGCAGGATGCCATGGACACAGTAGAAAAATAACAAAACCTCTCTGTTGAAGTTTATCTTTGAAGCCATATGTGGAATCTAAAAAAGCCAAATTCATAGAAGTATAAAGTAGAATGGTGGCTACCAGAGGCTGTGGTGAGCAGGGAGGAGTGGAAAGGGAAGTAAACATATAACATTTATATATAAAACCATTTATTTAGAAACAGAGTAGTGTGGTAATCAAGTGAACTGGGCATAAAATTGCTCTTCCTGGGTTAAAATATGGTTTAAATATTAGCTTGCTATTAGACCTTGGGAAAATTACTTAATTTCCCTCTTCCTTAGTTTATTTACCTGTAAAACAAGGATACTAAAAGTGTCTACTTCATATATTTGTTACAGTTAAATCAATGTATACATTTTAAAACTTCACAAAGGTAATTAATTAGTCAATAAAGCACGTTAATTAGTCAATAAATTATCTGTTATTTTTGTTGTCTTGTTGTTTTTAAATATCCACAATATGCAAGGCCCTACACAGAGATCTGGGGCCAAATGAATGTCAGATTTATTTAACAAATTAATAATGTCAAAATCCTTTTAAAGAAAGTATATAATTTTTTTTATGAAGATAGACTGCTTGAAAGTCCTTTTGCTACTCTGAAAGTACCTCATTGATAAGATAGCATATATATATTTTTTAATCTACTGATTATGGTTGATGGGATTCAGGACATGCTACCCCAAAACATGGAACGTTGGCATTCAAGAAAACAGCAGAAACAGGAAGTCCACTCTCATATTCCCCTTACTCTTCTCCCCTAAAGCAGGTCCAAAGGCCCTCATTAGAGAGCTACCCTCCTCATGTGTAGAGGAAAGAAACATCTTTATCTCTGAAGACACAGCAACACAGAACAGAATTTGAACAAACCAACTTTGCTAAATTATCTTCAGTTTTTAATTTAATCATACCTCTCCATGGCTATCCACTTATTCATCAAAGCTAACGTAAAAATACACAGATTTACCCATTCCTTTGGGTCTCCACTTCCTTATGAAGGATCCTGTTCCCATAAAACTTACTTTAAATCAATTTGATGCATTTTTTTGTTAATTTTTCTTTTGTTTAAAGGACCTCGGCAATGAACCTAGAATGGGTGAGAAAAATATATTTCCTTTCCTCTACGTAGTAAATATATTATCACCCTAATTCTAATTTACATTTGATATATATGCAGTAAAACAGTCTCTCTACAAATATTTTATTATTCAAGCTTTTTATGAATTCAAACTGCAATAGTGCAAATTTGCTTAATTGGCCTTACCTGCCATTTTCTATAATTCAGTAGACTATTCGCTGAAGGAAAAAAATACCTATTCGCTGAAGGAAAAAAATACCCAAGTATTATAGTTATATAGTGAGCAAACACAGACACACCCATGAGATTTGGATTTGCCAATTTGTTATCAGTTTAGGTTAAAAGATTTTGGGTTCCATTCCAGTAAAATTTTTTGAAGCACAATTATGTTGCCAATGTTCTTTCATCTGATGAAAAATGACTATACCAGCCAATTATGATCTGAAAACTAAATTAGAAATACACATTGAAGAAAATATATCCCTCAGTTGCATTTTGAAAGAAAAATAAGATCTTAAAACTAAAGTCCGGAAACTAAACATTGATTAGGGACTTGTGCACATGAAAGCAAGTATTGTTAGTTGGAAGCAGTGATTGCATCCAATTAGGAGATTGCTTTCAACAAAGCACTAATAACCCGTCCTCACCACAGACACCCAATTTTGCCAAAGTCACGTAACATTTTTATCATAACTGTTATCTGCTTTAGAATTTTTATTTACAAATAATGGACAAAATAGCCCTCATTTAGACTTTGATCTGTTTCCAAGAGTTGACTTTTTGTTGGAATCAGTGAAATTAAACAGGAAGGAAGAATGGAAAGAATGAAGGGGTGAAAGATCTGCTTGAAGCCAGAGGTAAGTATAGAAAGAGTGTTATAGTTAAAGTGAATTGTCAAACAGGAGAAGGTAAGCATTGATGAAGGATCAGGACACATTGATTTAACCTGAATTATATGGGCATATTCCTCGTTTAAAAAAAAGAAATAGTTACTGATGCCAGATAAAGTAAAGGACTCTCGCAGGATGCTTCCCTGTTGGGAAGCTTTGAATACCTTGACAGTCTCCCTCAAATGAGGGAGGGAAAAAAGACAATAAATATTCTCCTCACAGGATCAGAGAAATGTAATTTGATAAAAAGTATAAACTGATATATAGCATCCAGTTAATATTAGGTTTGAGAACAAAGAGCAGATTGCTCTTGAAGTACACAAAATTTTAGGCGGCAGATTTGGATACTAAATCACAGAGAAATTATCATTTTAGAAAAAATATTAGTGACTAATAAACCTTGAGTACCCACTGTGACCAAACATTGTACTTAGCACCTGATTTGTAATGTAAGGGAAAATTTGTGCTTTGGTAAAAACAAACAAACCACCACCACCACCACCCACAAAAACAAACAACAACAAAACAAAACAAAAAACTATGCATTGCTTAGAATACACCTTTTAGAGTTAACTATACTGATTTTATAGGAGCTATTTTATAATTCTCCAAGTTGTAGGTACCTGAGAGCAATGAAAAAAAAGTTCTCTTAACAGACCCAGAAAATTTGTATAGTGCAGGTTCAACTGACTTCCTCAAGGTGAAAACAGCTTGTTTGGCCTCAATTTGTATATTTATTTCATTATTCTACCTCTATAAATATATCTTTTCTTTGGATTCCGACCTATAAACTGATAGTAACATCTTACACGTTTCTTTCCTAATTTAAATATTGAGTTAAATGGTATATTTAACACATGTTCATTTTTCATCTGCATGGGAGTTGTTTTACTTTCTTTCTTTTTTAAAAAAATTAGAGATGAAAGAAAACACACATTTTTTTTTTCCAGGCTCATCATTTTCTGGGTAAGAAAACTGAGCCCCAAAGTGATAAAATGAGTTTTGTGAAGTTGCACAGGTAATTATTGGCAGCATTAAGACGATAACCAAGTCCATTCTCCATGCTGATTTCCTCCCACACTCAAAGCCACCTGAATTAACTTTTTAAAGAGGAGACAGTTTATAGTCCAGATACTGGATGAATAATAGAATTTCAGGGAGGTATACACCAGTGTCGTGTGTTTGGAACATGTTATTTTGAGAGGGAAAGGAGGCTTCCTAGACATACTTTCATCGCTGAAATAAATCTTTCAGGGTGATACTAATTCACTTATGTGTAAACTTAAGCTCTGTGTAGAGTAGAGAAAATGTCAAGACCTGAGAATTAACTGACAGTCCAGGAGTCACTGGAAGCTAACAATTATGCTGGCTTCTCCTCCTGATTCCAAAGTGCAAACATGTTTTAAACAGATTGCCAGTCCCCCCAGGGAAGAGAGAAGGAAATGGCTGGATTAAAGTCAGAAAGCAGGGAGCCAAAAAAATCTAGTATTCATTACCATCCCCATCAATGAATATTTATCGAGCTCCCACAGAGAACCTAGTATCAAGGCTCAGGAATTCTGAGAAGTAAATACAATTTAGAGCAGTAAAAGTTCTCTGTATCCAAGGCTGGCACACGGCAAGGCGGAAGAACCCTGGATGCCTAAGCAAGTAGAGGAGAGAGCCAGGAAAATGCAGAGTCCTTCTT
Organism: Homo sapiens; assembly: GCF_000001405.40. Taxonomy (NCBI): domain Eukaryota; kingdom Metazoa; phylum Chordata; class Mammalia; order Primates; family Hominidae; genus Homo; species Homo sapiens. The sequence goes on along the minus strand of NC_000002.12, from coordinate 81,050,671 downwards.
TCTCAATTTTTTAGAAAAAATCCCGTTCCAATGAAGGATTTATTTCCCATTTTTGTGTAATTATTTAAAACTAAAGTTTTAGTCCATTTTTAATATTGATATTCAGATTCAACTACTTTGATATCTTCTGGAAACTTTCAAGTGTCTTCAGACTCTCAGGTTCAGTGATATTTTGACCTGAAATGTAAAAAAGTAACAAAATTGTTTGACTGGGAGATTTTTAGGGTCTTTTGCCACACCCCACCAAAACAATGGCTTCTGGTAATAGGATGTTTATGCCTAAGCAAGATGCTGTAACTGTGTAAAAAAGTAATATTTTGAACTTAGATGCAAATGATACCTTGGAATTGTAATGGTGTAACATATACTAACAGGCTTTAGTATCACAATGTGAAAGGATTTTTGGATTTCTTTTGTGTGGGCAGCCTTGCCCATGAACACCTACCAATTATTGATAAGAGTACCCAGTTATCTTATAAGAGAGGAAGCCGTGTGGTCTCTTTTCCAGAAGTGCCTAGCATAAGAAGGTTCATTTACAGTTCATGCTCAAAACTCAATGTCTGATATCCCCCTCTTGTCCAGACAGGGTGGATCTGGTGCTCTCTGAGTAACCATGGTCTAAAATAATGTCTTCTGCTATGGTTTAGATGTGGTTTATCCCCACCAAAACTCGCGCTGAAATTTGATCCCAACGTTGCAGTGTTGGGAGGCGAGGCCTAGTGGAAAGTGTTTGGATCATGGGGTCGAATCCCTCACAAATACATTAATACCCCACCAAAGGAGTTAGTAAGTTCTTTCTTAGGAATAGATTTGTTCCTAAGAGAGTGACTTGTTACAGTGTCTGGCTTTCTCAATTTCTATTTCTTACTCTATCACCACGTGATCTCTTTACACATTCCAGCTCTGCTTTAACTTTCTGCCATGAGTTTAAGTAGCATGAGGCCCTCACCAGATGCAGATGCTCAATCTTGAACTTTCCAGCCACTGGAATTGTAAGCAAAATCAACCTCTTTATAAATTATCCAGCCTCAGGTATTCTGTTATAGCAATGCTAAATAAAGATGGAAAATTGGTATTGAAGATTAGGATGTTGTTATACGACAACTGGAAATATGAAGGCAGCTTTGGAAATGCGTAATTTGTAGTGATTGTATTCTAGTCTGCTGAGGAGCATAATAGAATAGCCTGTATTGCCTGTATTGCAATGAAAAGAGCATTAAGGGCACTTCTGACGAAGGATCAGAAGACAAAAGGATGAGGGAAAGTTTGGAACTTCTCAGAGATCGGTTAAGTGGCTGTAACCAAAATATTAATGGAAATATGAACAGTGAAGGCAATTCTGACAAAATCTCAGATGGAAATTCAGAGGTACCTATTGGGAAGTAGAGATAGGTCACCCTTGTTACACTATAGCAAAGGACTTGGCTACATTGTGTCCATGTCCCAGGGCTTTGTGAAGGTGGAAAATAAGAAAAATGAACTAGTATAACTGGTAGAAGAAATTTCTGAGCAGCAAAGTATTCAAGAAGCTGCATGGTTATTTTTAATAGCTGTGCTGAGCTACAGAAAAAAAAAGAGTAATAATAAGAGAAAAGAATGATCTAAAGAGAGAATTTGCAACTAAAAGGGAAGCAGAGAGTAAGAATTTGGAAAATTCACAGCCTGGCCATGTGGTAGAGAATGAAAGTGTATTTTTATGAGAGAAATTCAAGGGTATGGCCAAGCAACCACTTACTAAAGAGATTAGCACGATAAAACAGAGCCAGGTGCTAATAGTCAAAACAATTAGAAAAAGGCATTTAAAAGATTACTGAGGTTTCCCCTCCCATCTCAGGCCCAGAGACCTAGAATGACAGAATAGTATCAAGGACAGGACCGTGTTGCCACTTTCCAGTGCCACTGTGGGACACTGCTTTCCACATCCCAGCTCCTCTGTTGGAGCAAGAAGCATTGCTCAAGGGGGCCCAGGTTAAGGCACATGCTGCCACCAAAAAGAATGCAAGCCATAAGCCTTGGTGGCATTCACATCCACATGGAACTAATTTGCAGGCCTTCAGAATGCAATGCTATGGAAGCATGGTTTCTTCCACCAGCATTTCAAAGAAGGTATGAAATAGTCTGTGGACCGAGGCACAGATATGCCAATGGGGTGGAACTAGTGAAGAAGTAGGGCAATGCTGAGTTAAAAATGTGAGGTTAGAGCTGACACAGGGAGCTCACCTCAGTGCCTGGGGGAGCTGTGAGATTGGGGCCACTGTCAAGACCCCAACATTACAGAGCCACCAGGAATATGTAATTCCCACCTGAGAAAGTTACAGGCATTTGACTCCAAACCATGAGAGAAGCCACATCAGCTGTGACCAGCAAAGCCATGAGGATATCTTTGCACACTCTTTGCCCTTTTTCTACTCTCCACCATAAATTGAAGCATCATGGGGTCATCATCATATTCAACTTTCCAATTTTGAACCTTCCAGCTATCAGAATCACGGGTCAAATCAATTTATTTTCTTTATAAATTATCAATCCTAGGCATCCTGTTATAGCAACACAAAATGGACTAAGACACCCCCATTCTCCAGCCATGTCTATTTTCTGTCATCACCTTCATCTGAATCCTGCTGGAGTGGGGCAGTTGTTATCCTTTAACTTCCCTGGGCTAGCCATCAGACCTAGGCCTTATCCATTAAAATTATTTATATGTGCCAAGCCTGTGTTTTCAGGTGAAAGACACATTCAGTTTAAGGAGAATCAACTTACTCTTCATTTCATGTTTGGAACTAGGAAACTAGAATTCAAAGATTATGACCAGGTAATTATCCATGGAAGTGCTGCCCCAGGGTGAAATATGCATAGTTGGTGTATCTCATTTATACACACAGAAATGGACAAGTAAAAAACATGCTGTCACTGTGTGTCCCACACCTTCTTTCTCATCTCTATACTCCTGCTGCTTTTGATTATGCTGCCTCCATCCCATTTTCTATATTCTTTCTTTGGACCATAGTTTCTCAACTTTTATTACTGGCAGTTAGAGCTAGATAATTATTCATGATGAGAGGCTATCCTGTTTAGCACCATCCTATAGTTTCTCTCCACTAGAAGCCAGTTGCATCATCCAAGTTGTGATAACCAAAAACATCTGTGGATGTTGCCAAATTTCCCCTCACGGGTAAAATCTCCCCCAGTATAGAATCAGTAATCTAGACCTTGTTATGTTTCTTCCAACTCTGCCATAACCAGCTGTGTAATTCTGGCCAGGTGACTCCACTTGTCTCGGTAACAGTTTTTGCTTGTAATATTTATAGAATTTTCTACGTGTCATCCTCTTAATTCTTTAAATCCTTTCTTCTTCCCAGACATTAAGCTTACCGGTGAAGCCAGAGTGAATTCTCTGCAGTCCTCAACAGTGCATATACTCCATGAACTGCCTACATTCTAGCCAAAGTTGAATTGGCTTTCCCATCTATATGGTTCTATCTTCTCTCAAAATTTCAATAATATATTTTTATAGATACTAACTAAATTTTGGATAATAAATGAGTGATAAAATTGCAAAATGCTAAATTAATAATAGAATGCTGAATTAACAGAAGAATGTATCAATAATTTTAATGGCCTGAGGTACCTCCATTTGACCAAAGTATTGCCTGTTCTCTAAAAGCAATTTTTCCTCCAGCTGTTCCTGTGACTTACATCCAGAGACTGAGTGAAAAGATTTTTTAAATTATCACCTCATTTTTTCTACAATGTTTTCTCCAAATATCAAGGCAATCTTGTTGCTGATTATAGCAGATGTCATCTTACTTTCAATTACAATTATACATATGGCCTATCCTTCCCCAGGCCACTACAGCCTGAATATATAATAAAGAATTTGGATCAAATAATTAGAAGAAAATAAAAGCATTTTCTTAAAACCTTACTAGTGCAAACACTGGAAGGATTACTTTAAAGGCCCCATTGTTCTCTGTTTCCCCAGTTTATTATCCATGTCTAGCTTTATACACCCTGGTTTTACTCTTCCCAGAATTAAATCTTTCCCAACCAAACACATTACTGAAAAGTTTATAGAGGAGCAATGAATTCCACTGGGGCTTTTTAGCCCTGGAGGCAAACATCATTTTTAGCCATCCAAATTGTCTGCCCAATACAACTCCCTGGACTTTTTTTGTAAATGAATCATCAACTGATACATAGTTTATACCAGAGGAGACATTATATGTTTTCGGTGAACGCACAGTTTAAAAAATAAATCTCTCTTTCATAAGCATCAGATATAAGTTTGAATTATATGGCTTGAATTTGGCTTTCCACTCTGGGACCATACGGTTTTATCATTTTAAGCATTTGTAAGTTTCAAATTTGAGCCATTGTATGGGTCTTAGAATTCAGAGATTTGGAGAACTATGAATAAATAATTGATACTTCTCAATTGTGTCAATATCCACAGATAACAAGAGAAATGGGCCATCTTTCTGGGAGCAGGAACGTTAGCTCATTTTGACTGAGAACAGTGATAAGAAAAACAAGATTCATGCTTGGTGCACATGTCAACAACATTCATAGACTCAAGCTGGACTTACTCAGCCAGGTCTTTTGCCCCATGTGTTATTGTGCAAAGTTAGTGATGGAAAGATTGCCTTTGAGAAGACTGACGAGCCATTCTCGTTCCACTATTGAAGACCCTGCTTAAAGTTAAATGTGTCAACTGAGTGTTTCTACTAAGAGAATATGGTTATTATTACATTATTATTACACATATTAATGGCTTAAATGATGAAAACAGGGTATTAATAAAATAGATGCTATAGATAATCTAATGCAATCTTTCATAGTCAAGGATTACTCAATAAAGGTAAAGTGACCCATGAACCATCTACCGAGTAATATATTTTTCTTTGTAATTTAGAGTAAATTTTACATCAACTAGAAAAAAAATTGTAATCATGAAATTTCATGTAAAAACAAGAACTTGGGGATTATTTTGAAATATCTTAATTCTATCTCATTCCTTTATGGAAGAGCTCTCCAGAGCCTAGTTTTGACTTATCCATTTAGACAAAGCATATGCCCTAAAGATTTCCTACCAACTTGCTGACTTTCTACTGTTTCTTCTATCTGGCTACTTTTAATTAGAATCTCTGCCTGGCTGCTGAAAGCATTTAAAGCTGAAATTTTTGCCCTCAGTATTTTGGACTGCTTTTCCTGAACACTTAAGGAAATTAATACTACCTACACAAAGGTAGAGCATCACAACTAGAATTATTAATGGTTACAAACACAACGTTAATACACAACTGTCATCAAACAAATAGCAATAAAGGATAGAATAGGTGGAAAGATCTGGGCCAGGTGCTGAACAGGGATTGTCAGGCAGTTATAATGTAAATAAAACAGAAAATAAAGAAAGTGTTTAACACTTCTAGAACTCATTTGTCCCATCTCCACCTTCTTTCATGTAGCCCCTTTAAAGCTGAAACATCCAAACTCCAGACCTTGAATAGAGTTAGCACATTGCTCTTGAACTAATAATCCAGAGTCTTTAGCAGGAATTATTTCTGTGATTTATCTGACTTGTGACAGTGAAAAGAGCAAATGACATAGGAGAAGCAGGGGATGAGGAGAATTGATAACTTAATTTAGTCAAATTAAACTCAGCCTTGGATGACACACCTGTCAAATGATAACTGTTACTTATTCAGTGTCCAGTACATACTATTCTAGATGCTTTACATATATTAACTCATTTAATTTTTGTAACAACCAAATTAACCTCAAACCGACAGCTAGAAAATGAGAATCAAGATTTAAATACAGATAATCTGGCTTTAGAAACTGTTCCGAAACTTCACACGTCAAAGCATCTCCTCCATAAAACCACATTAATAGTATGTAACCTATAGAATTAAAGTGAAACTAAGTAATTAATGTGTGTAAAGCTCTTAGCATAACTCCTGACATGTAAGTGCTCAATTATAAGTAATTGCTATTATAGAACAGTAGAAGTGTGAAGTCACAGTGTTTTCCTTCTCCTTTCCTTTTCTTCTTTTTTTTCAACACAGTCTCTTCGGCTCTGTTCACAACATCTGAAAAATAATGCTCTTGTCAAAATCCAAGGTTCTTTTATTAGCGTGTGGAATCTGAATCTCTCTCCATCTGCTTCTAGCTCATATAACTGGGTTTTATTTCATCTTGGTCTGTTTTTTAATTTCTTATCCAACAACCTGTCTAGTACTCCAGCAACACCTGCATCCCCAAATTAATCTTGCCAGGCCCTTCCCAATTTCTGAAATCCTGCCTCTGGTACCTTGTGTTTCACTTGGTTAATGGAATTCTGTAACTCATCCAAGCTCTATTCTGTGATAAAATATACAAGGCCAGAAAGCCATTAATAAAGCTAATGCAAAAATCCAAGGGTCCCTCCTCCAAGCTGCTATCAGATTCAGTGGGTAAAATAATCTAACATAGCAAGTCTAATTGTTCTACCCAAACACTTATTTATAACACCCAAGTGTAGAATGCTATAGAATTTAAACGTTCTTTTTCCAAAGAATATTGTACACGAACATACAGATGTATTGTATAAAATAAGATTCCTTGAGTTATTCTATCATCTTCCAACTATGCCATTGCATTTTTTGTACTTGATTTTTCCTCACACATACAAAATTAAGAAACCAGAAATTTGTAACTCTTTAAGAAATCTCCAGGAAAAATCAGCAAAATGCTTTCCTCATTACTCACCTAGCTGTGAAATCAGCAGGTGGTTTCTCAGTTCTATTGGCTTTAAGTCAGCTTGACGAGTGGAGTTGTCACAAGAAGCTCCACAGCAGGTGCTGTGAAATCTTCTCAAATCAAACCCAGTTCCAAATGATGATCTATGCAATGTAGAGGAACTCCATAAAGTAGGAATATAAGCATCATAGTGTTAAACAGTAAAATCCCAGGGAGGTTTTAAGAGGCACTTTTTATCCATTTGCAATCCAGCCAGAGAAGGGAGAACTCTTTTGGAATTGAGTACAAAAAGGAATAAGCAAAGATATAGTCAGAGATTGAATAAGGGGTAGCAAAATAGTGAATTGTGCAAGGAAAAAGAACAATCAACGTCCATGGCCAAAACCTTTATTCAATTATTGCCATGTGAGAATAATATTCAGATGAATATTTGAGGGAATGAGAAGCCTAAAGATTCTATGTAATAGACTGAGGAAGGTCAGTCAAGGTTCAGTTTTGTCCCAATAATTTTGCACTGCTCAAATTATCAGATGCCATAGGGAATCTAAGGAAAAAAAATACAGGCAGTAAGAGTGGGGCCAAAATTTAGCACCATATTGGTAGATAATTTGGATTAAGTTAGATGGGTGATAAGAGAAAGTTGGAGGCCAAGATTTTACCAAGCTCTCAGTGGAGATCTTATAGTCTTGAAGAATTATTCACAATACCTAAAGAATATTTTCCAATTTTTAATAGGTCAAGTATACTTTTAAATCTGGAGAAAGGCTTTTTTGTTGTTACCACTCAGATCTCTCATCAAGAGACAATCTGTTGTGAGAAGAATTGTTACCTGATAGCCTGAAGCTGCCACACTTTCACAACTGAAGAGAGCATTTTTGATAAAGCCACCCTACCCCGGATTGCTCCTAGATAATCACTGAGCACAGTGGGAATCTTGAGTTGGGAATCTCTGCCACAAACTGGTCTGTTCTAATGGAAAGCTCTGGTCTGGGGGTTACCATCATCCTGGCCAAGACTTTGTCTTCATATAAAATTCCTCTTCATTTCCTTTCTCTTTTTTTCCCAGGGAAGTCTCTCCTTGACTACTCCTGCCCCTTCTGCCCATTATCCTCAGAAGTGTTTCCCACAATCAATCTCTTGCACATTTAATTGTGTCGTGTCATCCATTTCTTGTAGAACCCAAACTGACACATTAACTCACTTATAAAAAATACTAAAAAGAGATCGCAGGAAATGTGTCTAACTAATGGACACATCTCTATCCTACTTCACATCCAAAATCTTCTAGGGGTCATGGCATTACTAGAT